>NC_000015.10:48276874-48901874 GCF_000001405.40 Homo sapiens
CAGTGCTCAAAATGGGGAGAATAATCAACATTGCCAAATGCAGCAGAAATGTACAGTAAGATCATGAATCAAATGGAATTGGCATGACATAGGTAATCTTAGTGAGAGCAATTTCTGTAAAGCAGGGTTATCAGAATCGAGATTGCAGTGGGTTGAGGAGAGACTATCAGATGAACAAGCAGAGAATATGGATGTAGCCAACCCTTCTGAGAAGCTTGGATGGTAACAAGAGGAATGAGATTGAGCAGGCTTACTGTGGGGAAACTATAGATCTCTGGGAGATCAAATCATGTTTCCAGACTGAGGAAATGGCACAAGAGAGTGAAAAAATTGAAGACGTAGGCAAAGAAAGGGGCGACCCACGGAGTAAGATCCAGGAGGAACAGAAAATTGAGGGAAAGGCATGAATGGAAGAGTTGGCCTGAAACATAAAAAAATTAAAAAATTTTTAAAAATTAAAAAAAAACCACTTCATCTAAAATTGGAGCAAAGGAGGTGAGGATTGATGATGGGATATGTGGATTTGTGAGAGTAGAGTGGTAAATTGAAGAAGATGATGCACAATAGTCTCAATTCTTTCTATTAAGCTGGAGCAATGGTTTACTTCTAAAAGCAAGAGAGGAATGGTTTAACTGAGAATGAGAAGAAACTAGTAAGCATTTTAAAAAGTCATGATGGAGAATGAAAAAGATCAGCAAGAACTGATCAGTGTACAACAGTGAAAACCCAGTTGTGGTTGTCCAGTTTTCTCTGGCAGCATGAAGTCTCCAAGGTACAGGAGCGGCATCAGGGTATTTCTGAGAGTAGGTTCAGCAGACAGAAAAAAGAATTCTTAAGGGCTATTGCCTGATCGATTCATACTCTATTTGCTGGTTCATTATTGTCTACATCAAAACAGGAAAGAATATGAGTGGATTAGGTGAATTTTCTGATGCAACCATTCTGGTATGTTGTAGGAGAAGAGGAGGACGAAGAAAAAAACTAGAGATCAAGTGTTTGTATAAGACAGAGAGCTACTATCTGATTATGTATACTCTATGATAATGAAGCATTAAAAAATAAAACAGCGAGGAGAGTGCATCCTATGCAAAATTGTAGCACAAAAGGTTATCTCTTGGTGCCTTTAGCCTTCCTTTTTATGCCCCTTTTCTTCTTTATGGACATTTTAAATCTCCAGATCAGAAATACTAACTCCCACTCAGTGAGTATTCACTATTAATGTATATTCCCTCCTAGTAGAACTTAATACTTTAGTAGCAACATAGTTAAAATATTTGAGCACTTACGTGAACCCGGGAGGCGGAGCTTGCAGTGAGCCGAGATCGCGCCACTGCACTCCAGCCTGGGCGAAAGAGCGAGACTCCGTCTCAACAACAACAAAAAATATTTGAGCACTTATTATGTGCCATCTATTATGCTTCTTGTTCACACATAGCATTTATCATCCCAGCTACCCTATGAGGAGAGTATTATCATTGTCCCCATTTTACAACTGGTAAAATGGGGGCTTACCCAAGATTCACAAGGCTAGTCATTGGTACAGCTGGGATTCAAACCTGTATCTGTTTGAAAGCCCCTATTTTATCTTTGAAAAAGAGGAGCTAGAGAGGATGGTGACATATAAAGAGAGGCAATGGTGAAATCTGAGCTCTGGGAATGAGGCAAAGCTGTTTCTATGTGTTCCTTAAGACACCCAACAAGGGGGCTGCCTGTCTATGGTAACATAGACCTGACTTTGAGGGCAATTACAAGAACTTAGTATTAAGAGAACTGTTCTGTTGCGAACTTCCTAGGTTTTACTTTAATTTTTTTCTCCTGGCTTTTGTGCTGTAATGTTTTCCATCTAAAAATGAGAATGCAAAATATAACTTGTATTTAGATTACACATTTGCTTTGTGTGTTATGTTGATCTCTTCAAGCTGAAAGATGTGATGTAGCTGAAAAGCATTGCTCCCACCCCTCATTGTTCCATCTGCCAAGATGCACCATCAATTTACTTCTATAAAGCAATACAGCAACCAAGTTTTGCAATATTTCTCAAATAATCCTGGCAGTGAACTGCATCCCCTTTTAATTTCCCAAGGGTTGTATCCTATTTAAATAAACTTTGATGTTTGAAATATTTCTGCTTCTTAGTCAAGAAAGGGAAAATGCAATTGGATGCTAATAAAATAATTACAAGTACCAACTATCTAGGGTAAACAAAGAAAAACAATGTTACACAAATACATGAAGAACACGCAGAAAAACAACATGATAGAAATTAACTTTCCGCCACATTTCCATGCATTGTTTTGAGGTTTATGTAATTTACGACACAAACCTCTTATTAGATTTTGAATTGGAAGAAATAAACTTGCATTTCATTATATTATGCTGTAATTCAGGGCCTAATAAGGGCCTAATAAATCTTAAGTATTGCATTATACTATGTTAATGATTGTCATCATAGCTTTTCCAACACAGGCACCACAGTGTCATCACAGATTATAATTTAAAGGAAATATTAGCAATTCAGAGTGCCCATATACTGTAGTTAATAAAGCAGTGAATAGAAATCAGCTTTATAGATAATTTACCAGCTAACGACAATTATTTTTATATTGTATCACAGGCTTATGTGAGAATAACTTTTAATATAAATAAGATCGATGCTCATAACATTGTAACTTGTATACTGTAGCAACTCATCCAATACTGATGACTGATAGTTTCTCTTAATAAATTATTGCCTGACAACACACACAAAAAAAGCCATGATATTTCATACTGCTCACTTCCCAGAGGAATTTAGCAAGTTTTCCAACTACAACAAGGAGTCAAAATTGTACTGGTAAGAAATAAAGTGATGGAACATGATTTGCCATATATTGTGGTCAAGTATTCCATGTAAGTACAGCATGATTTGTGAACATCTCAGAGCACGGGGATACTGCTGTGTCTGATCAAGTGGCTTAGCAAAATAAAGACAGATGGCAGTGTAGTAAATAATTACTTGATTAGAAGGCAACCACTGCAGGATTGCTTCCTGCCTTCAATTCAACTAGACTTCACCTGGGGTACAGCACATTGATTCATATGAGCATTTACAGCTTTGAGTTGATTGACCAAGGAAAGAATTACAACTTAAAATTAATAAAGAAAAAGGATGCTGTAAAATGGGAAGGGATTCCATTCCCCAGTGGGTTTCCCTGCTCTCCCTTCTGGTGTCAGATAATTAACGACTCTCTATCCTTAAGATTCAAAGCAGATTGTAATTTGTAGGGCCTCTGCCTATTTCTAAAAGATATCTTAAAAAAAAAAAAAAAAAGACTGGGGACATAACATTTGAAGCAATCTTGACAAGTAAATTGAGTTTCAAAAAATAATCACTCCAACTGGGTACCATATAATCGATTTATAAAGCACTTGAAAATACAGTAACTACTATTCAAAGTACTTTTGGCATTTACATGACAGTATGGCTCAAGAGTCACTCTTAGTTATTACTGTGAAAACTGTTTGGGATGTGGATGACAAAATTGATTAGAAACCTGCCCTCAACTGAGAGAACCTACAGGTCTAAGCTTTTTCTTCCACCGTCATAACTTCAGGTTGAGGTTATAAACATCTTGAAAAGAGAGAAGGGCAGGCATGCTCTCTATATCCCTATTTCCATATCTCGATCTCTATCTATCTATCTCTATCTCTATCTCTCAGTAGCAATGTGGCCTTATAAACTATGACATACTACAGAATTATCTAATGTATTCAAGTTCCCAGTAGGTACCATTAAAGGATTTCCAGGTGGTGGTCTTTTCCAGGGAAAAGTCCCCTCTCCTTCCCCACTTGCCTCTCATGCTTCCATTTCCCAGGCTCTTATCTCACTGGTCCCACCTTCTGTCCTCTATCTGCCCCTTTTTTATATAACTTTGTATACGGTATTAACTGCACTTCTTTCAAACATTGTCTTTTGTACTTACCACACACACACATACACACACACACACTTCTCACACCCCCATTCTTCACAACTCTGCACTTGTTTTTCTTCTTTTATAAAGACAGTACTTTCAAAACTATTGAACTGAATTGAACAGCATTGATCTGTTCTTTAATTTATTTCAACATACAATTCTTGAGTGCCTGTTGGTGCAAACATGGGTCCAGGTAATAAACGGGAGGGGTGGCAGCATGAAGAACATGGGAGGGATAACATGAGGTCCAAGCATAGCGTTTGGAATAGACAGACCTGGGTTTGGATCCCAAATTTGACATCTTTTGTCTGTGTGATGTTGGTCAAGTTACCCATCCTCTCTGTGTTTCACTTTTTGCATTTTCCAATGGGAATAATTATAGTACCTACGTCACAGATTTGTTGTTTTGGATTAAAGAATTTGATGGCTGCAAAGTGTTTGGCATTGTACTTGGCATACAGTAAACTCTCAATAAATGTTGGTGATGAAAAATGGCGTAAGTTCTGCCCTCCAGGAGTCTGGAGTCCATTGTGAATAAGATAGACATCCAAGTCACACAGTTATAGTAGTTAGTGGAATAAAGGTTTAAGCAAGGTATTACGGAAATACAGAGGAGATTGATTCTGATTGAGAAATTTGGGGATGGTTTTTGAAAACATGCAGACTGGGTGTTCCTTCAACAGGCAGCTATTGCGATCAAGGCATATCACTGAAGGAGAAGAGAGAAGAGGGATAAACACTAGAATTGGGAGCAGAAGACTTGGGTCACTAGCTGTGCTACCTTGGACAAATCACTTGAACTTTCTGAGCCCAAGTTTCCTTTTTGGTAAAATGGGGAGAATAATACCAGCTCTGCATGCATCCCAGTATTCGTATCAAATGAGATACTATGTAGAAAGGGCTTTGTAATTTCTGAAAATTAAAAATGTAGTCGTGATGGTGGTGATGATAGAAAAAGTAATTTTTATTGTCAGGCTAGTGGAAATCAACTTATATCCATTCGTTCATACTCTCTTGGCTGGCTCCCCTTGTGGCTAATGGTATGCCTTTGCAAGTCATCTGGCCAGTATTTCTGTTGACAAAAATGTTTAGACAAAGTCTACTCTTAATTTCCCTGCATGCAAACAGAGGCAAGCAGTACACCAGATAGATCATTCAGAAGAACAGATAATCAAAACATCACTTCTGTTTAGTGTTGAAATGCGAAAAGGAAGGAGTGCACAGAAGGAGGCCTTAGATCACCTACCAAGTGAATAATTAAGAATTAACTTGAATAAGAACTTGCGAAAATCACTATGCAAATGGGAATCACACCATGGTATGGATCTGAAAATCCAAGATGGCAAAGCAAGCTGATTTTAGCCTTTAGAATAAATACTCTCTGTAATCTTCTGTCTCTATCATCTTTGAGGAAACTGCTACATCTAAAGCATTCGAGCAAAATTTGATTTTGTCTCTCAGGCCTGCAATTTTGCAGCTTGCTCTGTTCTGGATGGGCTGTGCACATACCTTCAAGCAATTGTTGGAATCGCTCCCAGTTCACTCAGCCCGCTGACTCCATTACAAAAGAGGATTTATCTTTCTTTCCCTCTTTGTCCAAACTAGAGGACAAAGAGCATGGCAACCAGTGGCTAATCATAGGGCGCACTGGAGCCTGCCCAAAAAAAAAGAAAAGAGAAGAATCCCCTCCCAGGGCAGCCCTTACAGTTGCCACATCAGAGGACTGCAAAGAGCAGGTTACCCCATAAGTGGCCCCTGCAATACCCCAGAAGACAAAATAACAGCTAGGATGCCGTCATCCAGGACAGTGACAACAAAGTCTGGGTACCAGTGCTGCTGCTCTAGTGCAGCCTTCCATATAGAACCGTATCTTTAGGGTCCTCCTTTTAAAATGACATGTTGGATGGGCCATCATTTTGGGGGATTAACTTAGCCCATTACACCATATGCCTGAGAGTGTTTAGGTTTATCTGATGATAAAGCATAGGAAGGTAATAAAACAACTCTGAAATAGTAATAATAATAAGCCACAGGAGGAAGGTCTTCATGGTGGGAAGCATATGCAGATCTCTTTGCATATGAACCCTGTAACTTGCTGGGTGATATCAGGCAACTCACTTAACCTATTAGTTTCTTCATCTACAAAATGAAGATGATAATAGTAGTAACTATCTCAGAGTTGTTTAGAAAGGAATAAAATGCAACACAGTCCCTGGCACCCAAAGAGTGTGCAATAAATAGCAATTGCTAAAATAACTCCCAGGCATCTCAAAATACTCAATTTGTTTTGCATGACTAGGCCCATTTCCAAAAGTTGCATAAATATACTGCCTATAGAATGCCATTCTTGCTCTGTTTTTTAAGGACCTCCAAAACACTATGCAGAAACTTTGTTTATTCTTTTTGCAAAGCTTGGGGGGTGGGAAAAGGAAAGGGTTACAGTTTTCCATTTCACAGACGGGAAATCCGAGGCATAGAAAAAGTAAATTACTTGCCTAATGTCACATAAAGCCAGCAGCAGAGCTGTAATTGGTTGTGACCCCCCAGTGCAATGCAGCTTGTCTTCTCCTTTCAAAAGTCAGGGGTAAGCAACTTCTGTCTCAGCTTTAATACCATCAGTCTAATTTCTCAGATTTTCTATAGCTGCTGATCTTGAGAACCTTTGAAGCTTTGGGGAAATCACATGGGTGATTTGACCTTAAATCTCATGCCACTCGCAAAAGATTAATTGCTAAGACCTGGAAAGGGGCCAGACAATTCTGTGTAGCTGAATAGCAGCATCGTCTAGGGATGTGACTGTCCTGACAGATTTAGTTAGTACATAATTGATAAATCTAGAGTTTGTATAGCTTCGCTTCACAGATAGATAACGCAATGGGCTCCAAGGGTTGACATTTACAGAAGCTCTCCCAGTGTTTTGTAACACTGAATCTAGGTTTTCTATCCTCTTCCTCTGAGCATTGCTCATTTTCTAAGGCTCTGTTCTCAGCAGGCAATAAGATGAGGGCATCTGACAAGAGTGCCACCTCACCCAGTATAAGCAAGAAGCAAGAAGCCTCCTAAGTGTAGCACTGTCATATGACTGCTTTGAAAGTCTTATTTACCCTGATTCAGTGCAGGGTGAGGTCAAAGAGAGATCCAGCACATTACATAGCAGCTAGGAAATTTTCGTCACAATCGGAATCCAAAAAAGATAAAAGGCAGCCAGATACAACATCAAAGCTTGGATAGTGTGTCTCAACCTTGGGCAGGAAATTTTGCACTGCTTGACTCCTGTTCCAGACTAAAACATGTCACAAGACCCCTTTTAGCAATTTGAACTCTGACAGGCACCCAGAAACCTCAGCTTTTATTTCTTTGACTTTGGTCACCCACTCCACAAAGTTATTTTGCTTATTGAAAGGAATTGGTGGTGGATATTTTCCATTGTAATTTGTATCCAGAGCCTATAGAGTTTATTGTAAGATTTTGTTATCTTTTCTTAATTCTTGCTGTCTAGTTTTATGTTTCAATTCATGAAGCATTGTTGTGTGGCTGATATATACTCAGTGTACTTCTGTAATTTTGTCACTTCCAGTTGTAAAACATCTGACCCACTAGCTTAGGTCAGTAAATCAGTGGCTTACAGTGTGAAAGATTTTCTGTTTGTTTGTTTTTGCATGGTAGTGAATAAGGGTGGCATTAAATAGCCTCTCTTGCCCTCACAAATAAAAATGCTGTAACTTCATGTATCATAACTTAACACATAGAGCTGTTTTTCTAAGCTAGTTGTGACAACTTTCTGAATACAATTTACTAAGATACATTACTTTTTCTCTTTTCTTTTGGAGACACGATCTCACTCTATTGCCCAGGCTGCAGTGCAGTGGCATGATCATGGCTCACTGCAGCCTCTACCTCCCAGGCTCAGGTGATCCTCTCACCTCGGCCTCCCAAGTAGCTGGCACTACACACCACACCCAGCTGATTTTTGTATCGTTCATAGAGATGGAGTTTCACCATGTTGCCAAGTCTGGTTTCAAACTCCTGGGCTCAAACGATACACCCATCTTGGCTTCCCAAAGTGCTGAGATTACAGGCATGAGCTACCTCACCCAACCAAAATATATTACTTGTATTAGAAGATAATATATAAAAATCATTTAGAAAAAATTACTATGTATAAACAATTATTTTATCACATACATACCATTTTAAATATTAAAAGTTTATAAGATTGTTTCTAGAAACTTTGTAGTTCTGAGTTAAGTAGGTGATTTTGTCTTCTTTCATCAGAGGAATTAGAGAGATTAGAACAGGAGAGACTAGCATTGGAAGCGACTATCAAAGATAATGAGTGTGAAGAGGAAAGTGGAGGCATCCGAGGCTTGTTTAAAAAAGCTGGCAAGTTGAACATTACTAAGACAACGCCTAAAAAAGGTAAGAACTTTTTAAAATTTGCAAAAAAGTTTACAAGATGAGTCACTATTTGAGCATCTATGAAGAGTCCGAAGTCAGCATCTAAGATGTTGGGAGCATTGAGTGTGGGTAGGAACTGAAAGGTTTCTCTCCAGAAGGTAGTATGGATAAACGGTAGCAGCTATTGTCATTTATCAACCTCATTAAGTACTTTGTACCATCTTACTGTCAAAAATTATTTTTTAAATGTAATATTTGGTTTGGAAGTCAAATAGTGCTTAAGCAGATTGCATGCCATAAAACAGAAGTTTCTCAGTTAAGATGGAAAGGGGATAGAAATTTAAGAGCCAATACCCAAACTGTCTTATCCACAGACACCCTTACCTTTCAGACATTTCAGGGAACTGAAATACGACTAGTACATGCAAATACGGTATCCAGCTGGAACGCTGATTTCAACAAAAGCATCTTTATCACAAACCAGAATGCACGACTTAGAACTTTATTGGTACTCACTACCTGTAGATTTCATCTAAATGCTACACTTATATGTGGACTTATGGTATGCAGTCCTGGGACAAAGGATCAGAGGTTGGGAGAGCTTGTTACACATTTTATAAACAGATGATTCAAACGTTTGGTTTTTTGAAAATTACTTCCCGAAACGCTATGGGTTTGAGTTTAATGAGGTCCACAGTGACCTCTGCTGGTCAAAAATCAGAATGTTACCAGGCATTTGTTTATGCACGAATGTCCTGTAGTTACTGAAGTCATACACTGGTGTGAGGCCAGGAAAAGATGGTTTCTCTGGGAGGGTCTCCAAGTCAAACAGCAGGATCCAAGTGGAGACTTAGCAAGCTTCTGGTCTAGGTTGACCGGCGCCAACCCTTTAAAGAGGCCCTTCGACAAGGCCATCTCCTACCCTGTAAATCGTTTGTCTGTTTGCTTTCCTACTATAGCCCAAGGACGAAATTTCACCTGTAATATAATAGTTTTATATATCCACAGAGAATGATGGGAAATCCAGATATTGCCCCACTTCAAATACTCTGGCTACTGTCGAGCTCCTGGGATACCCCATGGGCCGTGGCCTACTCCTTACAGTCCACCTTAAAATGACATAAATGATGTGTTTGAATTCAACTTGAAGCTACATCAGGACTTTTAGGGTGAAAATATTTAAATAAGACTGTTCTGGATGCTAACTATTATCTTCTTTTCTTTCTAATTATTTGGTTTAACTGTGAAAAAAGTTAACAATCCATTAAATCTGCTCTATTAAGTGGTACAGTCTGGAAAATAATGGGAAATTCCAAAGTCATAGCCCAATAATGTGCTCCAACTAGAGAGAGGGAAGCATTAATGTCCTTATTATGACAGCGGGACTTGTTATTTATTCTGGAAGCTTATTTCTGCGTCACAATACTTGTTTTGGCAAAAATATACTCTTCCAAAAGTCAACATGTCAAATTGTTCAGAAAAGAAAAGTAATAATGTTATATACTGTTTTAATACCTAGAAGTTTAAACACAGCTCTAAAGTGGGCCCATTCACTACTCTGGGCTTCCATTGCTTGTCAACTCTTTTGAGTTCTAGACGAGAACCAATCCTGCCTCCAGGTACCTGAGTGTGAACAGGAGGCCTCTGGCTGCTTTGACTTGTCTGTAAGTGAGGGCAGAGCTTGGTCCATTTTGTAAATAAATTTTTCTCCCTCAGCGGTCCCAGGGATGTAAAAACAATATCAGATCATTGCTTCAGAACTGACAGACTCTAAACATGGAAACAACAAAAGATAAAACAAAGCATCTTCAGAACCTCTTAGATCAGAGAGGAAGCTCTGAAGAGGCTGTCAGCCCTCCTCTAAGCACCAGGCTGACACCACCACTTTGAAACACAGCAATAAAGTCATGACTTTCAAAGACACAGATATGAGAAATGCTACGTACGCTGTGGCAAATAAACCCCTCTTGGCAAACAGGAACAGGTCCAGTTCCAACACTGGCCGAGTTCCCTGGTACACTTTCACTGTATCCATGTTAGGGTAGAAATCACATTTAAAAAAATTGTAACTATTTTATATACACCCTTAATTATAACTCAAGTAAAGATGTTTTGTATTTCCATATTTTCTAAGGTTTTTTTTTTTTCATCTAATTCACAAAGATTCAAATAGCTCAAATGGCTTTACTTTAGCTTCGCAAGATTCCTTGAAAAGAAAGCAGAAGAGTAAGCCAGGCCAACTAAGAGACTAAATAGTCATAGAGTTCAAGATGCACACAGTCCCTGGCAAATTTTATAAACCAGACCTGAATGGAACTTAAACCAAAATAGTGCTTCATGAATCAATTCCCTAATGAACGGATATTTCTGATTCTATAGCTTATTTCTAGAAAACCACTTACCACATGTTAAGTAAATACAAAAATATTAATATCATTAAGGTGATTTATATCTGAGATTTTGGGAAATGTGGATATTCTGGCTAGTAGCATTGTTGCATGCCTAAATAATAACTCCACTCTGAGACAGATTACTAAAGGTCTGAAAAAATCCATTGTCTTTTAATAAAAACTATTATTATAAAGCTGTTTTACTTATTGACTGTCAATATTTTATTTAACTATTGAAGGTGTTCTCAATTATTCTGGGATTGGACTTTTATCTCTGCCTTTTGAAGAATACCGCTATTTATTTTAGGTATAATAAACATGAATCTGTGACCTTTTCTCTATTTTCATCACTAGATTGATTGGAAAGTTATTTTGTTTCTGCCCTCAAAAGCAAACAGATGCATCAATTC
Organism: Homo sapiens; assembly: GCF_000001405.40. Taxonomy (NCBI): domain Eukaryota; kingdom Metazoa; phylum Chordata; class Mammalia; order Primates; family Hominidae; genus Homo; species Homo sapiens. The sequence goes on from NC_000015.10 coordinate 48,288,029, forward strand.
CTCTTTCGTTTCAGATGGCAGCATTAACACAAGCCAGTCGATGCATGTGGGAGAGTTCAACCAGAAACTGGTGGAAGCCAGCACTCAATTTAAAAAGAAACAAGAAAAAGGCACAATTGATGTTTGGTGGTTGTTTGATGATGGAGGTAAAAACTTTCAGAAAATACACTAGGGACAAGAATTTCAATTTTGATAAACTTAAACTGCATGAGAAGGTATATGGGAACAATACTGGTTAAAGAATAACATTTCTGTGTTCTCCAAAGACTATAACTTAATTAAGAGCTATCAATGTGGTAATGAATAAAGATATAAAGCTATTCATTTCCTTCCATTTAGATATACTCATTGTGTCATAATTTATTCTTTATTCCAGGGTTAACACTTCTTATCCCCTATATCTTAACTCTCAGAAAAAAATGGAAAGACTGTAAATTAAGAATCTATGTGGGAGGGAAGATCAACCGCATTGAAGAAGAAAAAATTGTGTAAGTAGTTTGCCACTCACATGTTAGGTCATTTCAGAGGTTTGTTGCTTTAATGCTTTAATTTTAATAACTTTAAGTGTCTCTGAGACACAATAGACTCAAAGACAAAGCCACCAGGATAGGCCTCGTGTTTACTTGGTTATCTGGTCAGTAAATTATTCGCATATTTTTCCTGATCGCTGTCTTCAAGCAAGTCCTCTTATCCTCTGTCACAAATGCTTTCCAAAAGGAAGGTGCCACAGAAGCCTCATCTCAAGTCTTGAGTGGGAGCTTCGTTATCTCATATAATGCTTATTTTGTTCTGACCAGTAAAGGCATCCAAGAAAAGAAGAGCCTGAAGGAAATCTGGGTCCAGTTGCTTTTTCTGTGGGAATTCAAAACTCCTAATTCATGGCAGTCACTCTTAGAACAGCATATGTAAAAGAGAACTAAATGGAGAGACTGCACCTGGGTTCTAGCCCCAGCTCTGCCATCAAGGAGCTGCAGGACTTTGCAACAGTCTCCAAACGCATCTGGGTCCCCAGTTTCTCCTTTGTAGTTTGAAAGAGTTTAAAGGGATGACTGTAGAGAACTCTTAATTAAAAAAAAAAAATCCCACAGTGTAAGTCTGTATCTTTCTCATTAATTTAGCCATTGAGAGTTGATGCCAGTTGTGAGAATAATAAGCATGCTGAGAACATGACACATCTAGAGGTCTCTGATGGAAATCCAGAAAACCACCTTCAGCAGCTCTTAGTCCCTCAGGGCACTGAGGGACTAAGCTCTGAGCCCTTCCTGGAACCAGCACTTCCAGAAGTCACAAAATAATGACAGGCTTTATTCAGTAATTTTTAACATTTTCTCTTCCCTCTTAGGATGTATTATGCTGTGAATGTGACATATATATATATATATATATATATATATATATATAATGTATAACTATGTATAACTGTATAATGTATAATGTATAACAATGTATAACAATGTATATACACACACACAGTTATACACTGCTACATTGTTACATTCTGAGAAATGTATCAGGCAATTTCCTATTGTGCAAACATCATAGAGTGTACTTACACAAACCTAGATGGTATAGCCTACTACACACCTAGGTTATATGGTATATGCTGTTGCTCCTAGGCTACAAATCTGAACTGAATACTATAGGCAAATGTGACACAATGGTAAATATTTGTATATCAAAACACAGAAATGGTACAGTAAAAATACAGCATAAAAGGTAAAAAATGGTCCACTTGTATTGGGCACTTACCATGAGTGGAACTTGCAGGACTGGCAGTTGCTCTGGGTGAGTCAGTGAGTGGTGAGTGAATGTGAGGCCCCAGGACACGACTACACTACTGTAGATTTTATCAACACTGTATACTTGGGCTACACAAAATTTATACAAAAATACTTTTCTTCAAAGCTGGACCTGGGAATAAAAAATATTTTTTTCTTCAATAATAAATTAACCTTAGCTTACCGTAAACATTTTTACTTCATAATTTCTAAGCTTTTGACCCTTTTGTAATAACACTGAGCTTAAAACGTATTGTACAGCTATGCAAAAGTGTTTTCTTTATATCCTTATTCTATAAGCATTTTTCTACTTTTTAAACTGTTTTCTTTTTTTCTTTTTAAATATTTTTGTTAAAAACTGAAACATAAACACACACATTAGTGTAGGTCTATCCAGGGTCAGGATCATCAATATCACTGTCTGCCACCTCCACATCCTGTATCCCACTGGAAGGTCTTCCAGGGCAATAACAGGCATGGAGCTGTCATCTCCTGTGAAAACAAAGCTTCCTCTGGAATACCTCCTAAAGGACCTGCCTGAAGCTGTTTCACAGTTCACTTTTTTTAATAAGTAGAAGGAGTACACTCTAAAATAATAATAAAAGGTATAGTATGTAAACACATAACCAGTAACAGTCATTTATTATGTTATCAAGTATTATGTACTGTACGCAATTGTATGTGCTATATTTTTATATGACTGGCAGTGCAGTTGGTTTGTTTACACCAGCATCATCACAAATGTGTGAATAATGTATTGTGCTATGCCGTTACAACAGCTACGACATCACTAGGTGATAGGAATTTTTCAGTTCCATTATAATCTTATGGGACCACCATCGTATATGCAGTCTGTCATTGATCAGAATGTTTTTATGTGGTGTATGACTGCATATATATTATGCATATATGCATATATGCATATATGTCTTTTCAATCAAAGCAATATGATATTTGTATGCTAATATTATATAGATTTAATTATACTTAAAGAGGATCATATTAACATGGAAACTAACATAATGTCTATAATATTTTATATTTCTTAAAGCTGCCAATATTTTATTGGGACAATTAGTATAATTTGAAAATGTTTTGTGGCTTAGATGGTAGTATGGCACCAATGTTAAATTTTCCAATTTCAAAAATTGTGCTCTCTTTATATAAGAGATTGTCCTTGTTCTTACGAACTGCTCACTGAAAAATTTAGGGGTAAAGGTGCCTAATATCTGCAACTGACTTTAAAAGATTAGAGTAGATAGGTAGATAGAGATAGAAGTAAATAGATAGATAAATATAAAGAGAGAGAAACAAAGAAAATGGTAAATCAAACGGGACAAAATATAAACAACTGGTGAATTTGGGAGTTCTTTGTATTATCTTAAAAACTTTTCTGTAACTTTGAAATTATATCAGAATTATCAGTTGCCAGGAAAAAACCATATATATATATATATGTGAGGTTTTATAATATATATGATGGTTTATAATGTTATAATATGTTTATATATTATATAATTTAGATATATGTTTGTATATATAATCATATAATTTATCATCTTATGATATATTGTATGATAACTGTTTGTCAGTAGCTTGTCAGTAACTCTATAAAAATTATCACCAATATAATAGTCCATAAGTATTAAGACTTGCTGTCTTTCAAATAATAAGAAATGTGGACAGATTTGCATTCTGTTCCCTGTGACATAAATGCAGAGTTGGATTGGCTGTTGCCAGTGTCTGCACCTACAGGGGTTTCTTTATGCCTTCAGTGAAATAGCTTGGTCCACACTTAATGCGTTCATCAAGTACTGTAATGAAAATCAAACACCAACCAAAAAGCCTCTGTCTGAAAGCTAAGCTGAAATAAGACGTGATTGCTTTTGATATCTTAACTCAAACAAAAAACTCTTTGATTGAAAATAGTTAAATATGCAATGATGAAGTATTTTCCTTTTATATTTTCAGAATGGCTTCCCTTCTGAGCAAATTTAGGATAAAATTTGCAGACATCCATATCATCGGTGACATCAACATTAGGCCAAACAAAGAGAGGTATGAAATATTTAACAAGAGACATTGATTACCCATGGTACTCTCTCATTCTCTTTTGTGTTGATTATCAAACAGTAAAAATGTTATGTATTTACTGCAGCGACTTCTTGATAGGATCTAATAAGAAGAGCCTTCAAATAAGCATGACATGGAACTAACAAGTACATTCTAAAGGGAAGGAAAGCTTTTACAGTGAAGACAAGCCTGAGAGGGAGAATTGTTGAAACAGATTAGTTAGTATTTTAGAATTGCCCTTCCTGTTCTTGTTTTCTATGGTGGCAAGAGCAGCACGAAGTGCAAGGTCATACTATTCTGAATGGAGCCATCAGGGCAAGTTTTGTTATTCAGAGTTACTCGTGGGGCAGCCTGGATGGGGAGCTCTGATGGAGAATATATGGAAATAGCTTGTATCTTCTTGGCACACTGACAATACCAACTCTAAAGGGCCACTTTAGCTTTTAGGCACTAAAGGCCCAACAGGGAAGGCCTATGAATTTTGGGGGGACGTCTAAAACTATTTGAAGCCTGGAAAAGAAATGTATTGGCTCCAAAATAAAAAAAAAAGAAAATGACAAAATAAAAGTAATCATTTAAATATCTTCAAAATGTGACATTATTTTAATCCTCATTAATTGTTATATTTATCAACTCCATTAGTGTCTTAGTTAGCTCAGGCTGCTATACCAAAATGCGATGGACTGGGTGGATTAAACAACAGACATTTATTTCTCACAGTTCTGGCGAAGTTCTGGGAAGTCCCAGTTCAAGGTGCTAAATTACTCAGTTCCCTTTGAGGGCCCTCTTCCTGGTATGTAGATGGCCGCCTCCTTGCTATGTCCTCACATGGTGGAAAGAATTCTGCTGTCTCTTTCTCTTCCTATAAGGGCACTAATCCTAAAATAGGGAACCTACCCTCATGAAATCATCTAAACCTAATTACCACCCAGAGGCTTCACCTCCAAATACTATCACCTGGAAGTTAGGGCTTCGACACATGAATTTGGGTGGGGGGACACAAGCATTCAGCTTATAACAATGATATTTTTGGGGGTTTTGTGGGGTTTTTTTTGAGACAGGGTCTCACTCTGTCACCCAGGCTGGAGTGTAGCAGTGCAATCTCAGCTCACAACAACCTCTGCCTCCTGGGCTCAGGTCATTCTCCCATCTCAGCCTCCTAGATAGCTGGGACCACAAGCACATGCCACCACACCTGGCTAATTTTTTGGTAGAGACAGGCTTTCGCCATGTTGCCCAGGCTGGTCTCAAGCCCCTGAGCTTAAGCCATCTGCCCGCCTTATCCTCCCAAAGTGCTGGGATTACAGGCATAAGCCATCACACCTGGCAACACTGATATTTGAAAACAGTTGTAGGTTAGATCTTCACAGTAGTTTGCAAGGGTGCAAGAAGATTGTTTAAAAACCATGGCCAATTATAAATTAAATTAAATATTTAGAGTTATCATTTAACAATTATAAAATGTCTTCAATTATTTATAGTCTAAAATCATATTTTCTGTTGCATTCAGATGTAATTTAATACATTTGATTTCATGTGGAGTGGGGCCTCCAAGAGGAATCATACAGAGGGATGTGAAGGTCCTGGAATGGCTTAGATTATCACGGTTCTGTCAGATCTCTTCCCTTTTCTGTTGACCATCATTTCTTCTTCCTTTTGTACTTCTTGATGGATTATAATTCCACAGTTTTCCAGGCTTCTTGCCTCTTTCCTTCCTTTGATTTATTGCTATTCTATATGAGCTTAATAACTAACTGAAAATTATTCCAATTTAAGATGCATTCCTACTGATCAAACAAACTTGAATTTCATATTCTTTGAGGTTATTCATGATCCTTCCAAGGAGATGGGTCAGTTAAAATGGCTTTACAAAACACCTTAACTGCAAGGCGCTGTGGCTCACGCCTGTAACCTCAGCACTTTGAGAGGCCAAGACGGGAGGATCACTTGAGCCCAGGAGTTCCAGAGCAGCCTAGGCAACATAGCAAGACCCCCAAAAATAGCAAAAATTTGCCAGGCTTCGTGGTGTATGCCTGTAGTCCTAGATACTCAGGAGGCTGAGGCAGGTGAGATCATGTGAACCTGGAAAGTCAAGGCTGCAGTGAGCCATGATCACCCCACTGCACTGCAGCCTGGGTGACAGAGTGAGACCCTATCTCAAAAAAAAAAAAAGAAAAAAAGAAAAAGGAGCCAAGCACTGTGACTCACGCCTGTAATCCCAGCACTTTGGGAGGCTGAGGCAGCAGATCAGCTGAAGTGAGGAGTTTGAGATCAGCCTGACCAACACGGTGAAACCCCGTCTCTACTAAAAATTCAAAAATAGCCGGGTATGGTGGTGGGTGCCTGTAGTCCCAACTACTCTGGAGGCTGAGGCAGGAGAATCGCTTGGACCTGGGAGACAGAGGTTGCAGTGAGCCGAGATCGCACCACTGCACCTCAGCCTGGGCGACAGAGCAAGACTACATCTCAAAAAAAAAAAAAAAAAAGAAGAAGAAGAAAAGAAAAATACATTAACTGTGATCAGAAAGCTATAATCGACAGTGTTAAACTGATTATTACTTTGTGATATTTCTTTACATCATACTCTACTGCCTTACATTTTTATATTTCTACAGTTGTAAATACATAAGAAAAATTAAGAACATATAATTTTCATTGATAAATGGAATTAACATTCTGATATGAACTGGGTTGTCATACAATAATCTCTGGTAGCCTTCCACTTTTTATTCAAGAACTTCCATTCTCTATGTCATTGCATTTTGGCATTTGCAGTGATATAATCAAACAAGCTCATCATATGGCTCTAATTGGTAGAAATACATCATCTTTCACAACAGCAAGTCCAACAATTCCTTAGTACATGCCACTTAGCAATAGGGCATAGCTGGCCAGTGCTCTGCAAGATAGGGCCATTTTCTGTTGTCTAGTGGGTAGTCACTGTGTCTTCTACTGACTTAGGATTTCCTATAAGCCCTAGCTTAATGCTGGGCATGAATTATCCACCCACTTCTTTTTATTTTATTTATTTATTTATTTATTTATTTTTAAGACAGGGTCTCACTCTGTCGTCTAGGCTAGGTTGCAGGTGGTACAATCATAGCTCATTGCAGCCTCTAACTCCTGGGCTCAAGAGATCCTCCTGCCTCAGCCTCTTGAGTAGCTGGGTCTACAGGCATGAGCCCCTATACCCAGCTTTTTTTTTTTTTTTTGTAAAGAAAAGTCTCACTATGTTGCCCTGACTGGTCTCAAACCCCTGGGCTTAATTGATCCTGCCACCTTGGCTTCCCAAAGTGCTGGAATTACAGGCATGAGCCACCACACCTGGCCTCACCCACTTCTTGTAGCCAAATTCTCCTTGCTGTTGTTGGTCTTATACTTAGCTAAGCATTATCAATGTTTGCTGATTAATTTGTCCCTATATTTCTTTGTCTCTTTACTTGTCAATCTGGTTTTCTCAACCCAAGTCCTTGTTTCCTTCCCCTTCTTTCATAATAGTCTCTATCTAGCTGCCATGGTCACCACCCTGCATAGCCATCCTTTCTGTCCTGTTGCTGAGGAGGCTGATGTACCTCTTCCATTAACCAAGCCTCTTTATTCTTTGAATACTTTTCATAGTCTAGACACTTTTCTTCTTACTACTGTGACCTTTGTCCCAAGATGTCCTCTTCTGATGTCCACCATGTTAATTTGGTATTTGTCACATGTCCTCATTATCCTGGAATAAAGAGAATTAATTTTTTTGTCAGGAAATAAATTAGTTTTCAAAATTTTGGAGATTTTCTCTCTGTTGTTTCAAGGTATTAAGGAAAATGCAGGGAAAAAAAATCCATTCTTACTGAAATAAAAGAATCCTTGTGGCCAATATACCCTGCTGACGAAACAGGAGGCCACCAGGAGTGTGCTGGAAGAGCCATCCTCCTCTCTTCAGCCTCCTACCATAGTGATGCCATATTACCTTATAAAACAGTCCATATCTGATGTTGGCAATGGCTGTTCCAATACCTGAAAGTAACCCTAATGTAGAAGACAGTATGGTCATTCAATAAATCTCACGGATGGCCACTAGTAGCGCGTCTGGCACATTTGTAATACCTTAATTAAGGCAACTCCTCTGGATGGTCTAATCAGAGAAAGAGAACTCTTCCTCTGGGCTGATGCAGCCCCAGACCCAGGGGCTAAGGCTTAGAGAATAGAACACTGGCTCTATTTCAGCTCCCACTTGGACCTCGGCCGGGCAGCCCTTACCTACTGTTAACAACTATCTCCTGATCACTCACTATTCTTTCTTGGTTGCCGGGTGATACACAATGTCAAAAATAGTTTGTCAATGATTTCCATGTTGGAGGCTAATTTTAAATGCCCTCAAATTGCCTTTAATAAATCTTTTGACTACCCATAAAACATCAGTAAGTCTTGATGGAGGAATTTTATCATAGAAACATTATCTATAAACATGGTAGGGCAAGGGTGAAAGGGAGTACAAAAGCAAAGTTAATGAGAAAATAATTGACCCAGGAGAAACTGAAAAGCTCTTGTGCTTAAATTCTATTTTTTATTGTATAGACTGAATTAAAAGTCATAGGACAAAAAGACAACAATCTTTATGTGGAAATCAAAGAGAAACTAGAAGCAATTAAGTAGGTAATTTAGTTTAAAGATGCTAGAGTAGTCCCAGAAACAGTTGGTACATTACTTTGAGAGAAGAAATTTTATGTGGACTTAGGGGGAAAATATTATGCAATTTAAAAATTTTTAAACTTTATTATGAGGAACAAGGATGAGGAAGGCAGCAGTTAATTTTAAAAATTGAATTCTTATTTATATTTAATAGCATGTAACACTTGGCTTATTCTATAGTCAATTAAAAGTACTTATAAAGAAAAAAATCAGATTTAATGAGATTCAAAATAGAAATCTTGAGCTACGTCAGGATCCTCTAGCAAAGAGAATGAAAAATGGCCAGCTCAGAGATGATCCAAAGGATAGACCAATCAAAGATGAACACAGAGAAGGAGCAGTAAGAGTGCAAAGACAAAACTGGGCAAATACAGCCCCGTTATCACCCCCTGTGTCACTTAGCATGTTTCAATTGCAAGTAAAAGAAAACTTAACTCACAGTGATTTAGACAATAGGAATTACTTTCACATATAACTTAAAAATAAAATCATATTTTGGATTTCAGGGTAAGCTTGATCTAGGTTAATTTTGTAATCAAGGACTGATTCTCTTTCAGTCTCCCTACTTTACTTTTTTTTAATAAAATCATCTATCAAAGTTGATTTCACTTATAAAAACAAGATGACTGTCAATTGCAACCAGGACTATCTACTCGCTCATGTATGTTCCGTAGGAGAGAAAGTTTGTCTCTTCCCAAATTACTGAGCTCAGGGTCCAGGGCTCCTTTCAGGTTTCACTAACCTAAGCCACTGAGACATTACTGTGGTCAGCATAGTTGTGGGTGCTTATTGGTTCAAGTTTACCTGTGTTATGTGCCCACCTGGCCAATTACTCTGGAAGAAGACATAGAGTTGTGCTGATTGGCTGACAATGGCATGGAGCCATTCCCACTGAAAGTACAATGAGGAAAACACAGTACGGATACTGGGGAGACAACCAGCAACCTCTACTCCACCTTCTATTTCTTAGGAAACTATTTTTGTACTGTGCTTTCTAACAAGGATTTGGGCTGAGCTGCAAAGAAACTCTCATCCTGATCAAAATAAGTATACGAAGAGCTTAAACAGAAAGCCTCTCCATTGCTAATCTCAACCCTGTGGCTGCTGAGTAAAGTGAATATCTTGCCTTTCCAAGGCACTGCATGCTTTTCAGAGCACTGTCACCCAAATACTCACAGTGACTCTCAAGCCAGTTTCTAGCAGCCATTGTTACTCCCCTTTTATAGCCTAGAATATCCAGGTCAAGGAGGACAATGCAAGAGCTGGAGCGAGAACCCAGACCCTACTCTCCAAAGCCAGCACCTTTCCATAGTAATGACCACTCCTAGAGGTCTCTAAAGGCACGACACTGTTGAAATAGGAAATAAAAGTTGAAAGAATAATAGGGCCTATCAGTCTTATTCTTTCCCTGTCTTTGCCTACCTTTCTAAATAAGTTAATGCAATAGAAGCCTAATGCATTAAGTATCTTTTCAGTCTCTTAACAAAGGCTCACTAGTAGGGACAATCCTGCTCCTTTGTAATCTCTGCACTTTTATCTGCAAATCCTAAATCAGGCCAGTTGGTGAGATAATTGAACTCATTACTTCATATTTTCACTTCTTGACTTAACAGCATATCAATTCTAATTATTATTCATTCTAAAATTACTAAATTATAACTAAGCTACATTATATAAAACCAAAGAAATTTTTCATACTTGAGATCATCTTAAAGTAGCATACTAGAGACAACTACTGCCATAAATTATAAGTTTTACTTTGTGTCATTGTTTTTAAAAATAAATCTTATGAGGTTCTTATAAGTAATTTTTAAAATGTTCTATAGCTCTTAGCTGCTAGTTTTCTCCTCAGCGATTTCTTTTTAAATGTTCTAACATAGCCTCAGATTTTTAGGCATTAAAACATTATTGATTTTTGTTCTTTCTCCTAACATGAACCTGAATAATACTCATTTGAAAATCTCAGACAGCAACATCAAACAACAAAAGGACAAGGGGAGCATTATTTGCAGAAAACGTCCAAATTGTTCTACAATCATTAAACTTGTGGGAGCCCTTGCTGTTCTCCTCCTACCTGCCCGCGGCCTCCTGCCATGAGTGGGAGTTGCCATGTGGACTAAGGGTGAGGGTAGCCATATCCATTTCCTACATTAATTGATAAATGTCTCCCATAGAGTCTGTACAATAAGCAAGTGGAAACTCATTTGTGTGGTAAAGTATCTACATTACAACTATGTCTTCGACTACACTATGCAGAAAATGTCTTTGCAGAACAATTACTACCTATGTGTATATGTGTTAATATTGTAAGTATGTATGCGTATGTGTGTTAATATTGAAGATCTAATACCTAATAGGCTAACAAGGCCTTGAACACTCTAAGGCCTTTTCTGGGGTAGGGAGGGAGTACTGTAGCCATGGTTTTACTCACAGTAAATTCCCTGCAAAGATAATTCTTAAAAGATTTGCATGATATTCAGCTCTGATTCCACAGCCAGCAGAGCCAGTCACACCTGGAGTATCTGTGAAATAATGAGTTAGTTTCCCACTGTGAGGCCTCCTTTATAATTCAAATTTTAGCTGGAAAGTCTTTGAAGAGATGATTGAACCATATCGTCTCCATGAAAGCTGCAAAGATTTAACAACTGCTGAGAAATTAAAAAGAGAAACTCCGTGGAAAATTACAGATGCAGAACTGGAAGCAGTCAAGGAAAAGGTAAGGATTTGTCTTTCTTAATTTTTTTGCTGTCTAACTAGCTGAGAAAGGAAACAGTAGTTGATTTAAAGACAAAGAAGCAATATATTTATTATCAAATGTCATTATTCAAGATCCAAGCTTTCTGCATTTTTCAAGTGCTTTTCAATCATTTACTGGATACGATTATTTAGAAAACTTTTTCATTTTTTCCCATAAGGTCAATTATATTTTAAAAGTTAAAAAATAGGTTATTGGTACATATTGTGAAGTCTCCTTTCAAATTTAATTTTAAAGAGCAGGAGACAGACTCATCAGCCTAAAATAATTTGAGTCAATATGTGTGCAAAGTTGATAAAGTTAGATTGACTCACAATTTAACACAATAAGAAATACTTTTAACCTGATGAAGAGATGGCTATGAAAAACTTATAAAGGCATCTGAAGAAACATATGATGTGACTGGAACAATGAATATGGAAGCTGGATCCAGCACACATTGTAAGATGGATGTAAAATGGTGAGCCTTTCTAGACAGCCCAGTAAGATGCTCCCATCTGTGCCTTCTGTCCTGAGCCAAATGAAGTTGGTGATAATGAGAATAATGCAAAGGGCAGGGGGTCAACAACTAAGTAGAAGAATTGACACCTGGATTGGACGGAAATGAAAAAGGACCACAAGAACTTCTAAACTACAAAATCTTGAGTGTTTTCACAGGAGCACTCAAGCGCTGCTAATCTCATTGTACTTTAAGTATAATTGCAGGCATTTACAAATGTTAGAAAGAAATCTTAGGGCCGGGTGCACTGGCTCACACCTGTAATCCCAGAACTTTGGGAGGCTAAGGCGGGAGGACTGCTTGAGCCCAGGAGTTCAGGGCCAGCTTGGTTAACAGAGCAAAACCCCACCTCTACAAAAAATTACAAAAATTAGCCTGGTGAGGTAGCGTGTGTGTGGTCCCAGCTACTTGGGAGGCGAAGGCAGGAGGATCACTTGAGCCCAGGGGGCAGAGGTGAGCTGAGCTCGTGCCACTGTACTCTAGTCTGGATGATAGGAGTGAAACCCTGTTTAAAAAAAAAAAAAAGAGAGAGAGAAATCTTAGGATAAATGGGTTAATCAATTTAAAAGCTCTTCAGGTAGGATTTTGTTTTACTGGAACATGTGGGATTTTGGACAGTGAAGGAAGATAAGGGCCACCCTGAGACCCTGACCCCTGGGGCCCACGAGCTTCAGAGAGCCTCGCTTGGACTGACTGCCCACCATGCCCTACATAAACCACATTAGGAGCTGAACTTGAAAAAATTCGAGCAAGAAACGCTAAAAGCCTTTTAGATTTAGTGAAAAAAAAGAGACTGAACTAGAATTATAAAGTCTGTGTGTAACAAACTGCCCGGTTCTGACCAAGTTTTTTCATATAATTGAGCAAATCATGCATCTGAGCCTTGGTTTCTGAACCAGTGAAATACAATAAAAAATATTACTCTCATCACTGCAAAGTGGTTATTTTTCCAAGTGAGTCTTTTGGTGGCTTTTTAATTGAAAGCCCCCTCTGCTTACAGAATATTCAGAGAGCTTAAAGAAAGGCAGACTAGAATATAATTTATGTTCTTAGAGTATCAAATTGGTATAAAGATTCAATCGGTTTCTTTTTTAACAGAAAACCTATTGCCTCAAACTGGCCATTCCACTGTGCATAGGCATGGGCATATGCCACTGTGCCCATGGCAGGTTCATGAGGCTCCTTGTAGTGTAGGAAGAGGCCAGGGTAGGAGAAAACACCTTCTTTTTAGTGTTATCTATGTTGTTTGCTTCCCCTCTCCCTAGAATTTAATAAGCCACTATAGCACAATGAAAATCTTTGTACTGTGTCTTATTCTTTATATTTCTAAAATTTCTCATGAGGTTTTAAAACACCATAAGTTTCTAAGCCTGAAAAAGTAATTGTAATTTTTATACATTTTTTAAGATGAGATTTTCTGCTTGTTCATGATTTAAGAAAATAAATTCTCATTCATAATTCTGGTAGAACTGTACTCAACAAATCTGAATGTTGCCCACAGAGTTACCGCCAAGTTCGACTGAATGAACTCTTACAGGAGCACTCCAGAGCTGCTAATCTCATTGTCCTGTAAGTATCATTGCAAGCATTGAAGAACATTAGAAATAAATCTTAGGGTTAATGGGTTAATCCATTTAAAAGCTTGGGACTCTTCAGGTGGGAATTTTGTTTTGTTTTTGTGTTTTTTTTGGGGGGGGGAACACGTGGGATTCTTAGACAGTGAAGGAAGGTAAGTGCCACTCTGAGACCTTGACCCCTCAGGCCCATGAGCATCAGAGAGCCTCACTTGGACTTGCTGTCCACCATGCCTTATGAAGAGGCGTGTGCCCATCTAGTAAGACCATGCTCCAGGAATCTGAGACCCTGGATTTCTCTGCCTAACAGCCACAAGTCAGCGACCACAGCTCACGGGCCCCTTCCCTGAGTGGATGTCCCTGAGCCACTGTGCCCATGGCAGGTTCATGAGGCTCCCTGTACTGTAGGAAGAGGCCAGGGTAGGAGAAAAAGGCAGAGCCATTTCCATTTTCACTCTTTATGCTCTAGCCTTACAAATGTTAGGGTTGCGTCTACTGAAAATGTATGTTTGTTTACTTAAAGGTTGGTATTTAAACAAGAAAATCTCTAATGACTTCACATTTATACCTCATGAATTGACTCCTATGTATAAAGATAAATATATCTTCACGTAGTGTAGACTGGACAACTATCCATCAAAGACATTGTAGAATGGTCTGCTGGATTGGGTGGTAGGGTTCCAATAGATGGTTTCTGAGGTTTTTCCCAAATATAAGATATTTAAATTATTTGAAAAATCATTTACACCAAAAACGGGGGTAGGTATTAGCTGATCAAATTCCCTATTTAAAGGAAAGTGAAAATGTACATTTTTGTTTTGTCTTTACAATACCTAAGCCTGTTTTTCTGGTTTATAGATAGTATTACCTGAAAAATACATCAGTTTGCTATCTACAGTAAAAATAATTTTGGTGCTTTCATCTTGGGGTGGCGTAAAAATTAAGGCTGCCGGCCGGGCGCGGTGGCTCACGCCTGCAATCCCAGCACTTTGGGAGGCCGAGGCGGGTGGATCATGAGGTCAGGAGATCGAGACCATCCTGGCTAACAAGGTGAAACCCCGTCTCTACTAAAAATACAAAAAATTAGCCGGGCGCGGTGGCGGGCGCCTGTAGTCCCAGCTACTCGGGAGGCTGAGGCAGGAGAATGGCGTGAACCCGGGAAGCGGAGCTTGCAGTGAGCCGAGATTGTGCCACTGCAGTCCGCAGTCCGGCCTGGGCGACAGAGCGAGACTCCGTCTCAAAAAAAAAAAAAAAAAAAAAAAATTAAGGCTGCCAGTTATTAAATAGCTCAGAAATACTAGTGCCGTTACTACCTATAGTAATTTTCACTTTCATTTTTAAATTTTTCCTTCATGTCATTAGGAGCCTTCCCGTGGCAAGAAAGGGATCCATATCGGATTTGTTGTATATGGCTTGGTTGGAAATCCTCACAAAGAACCTCCCACCTGTCTTACTAGTTAGAGGAAATCACAAAAATGTCTTGACATTTTACTCTTAAAACATGAAAGATTGGAATACATTTTAACTTAATGTAATGCATAATTAAGAAACATGTTCCAGTACTTTATGTTGTAAATCTGATCTATGGATATGCAAACCTCTGGAGAGGATCCTACCAGATTCTACATACATTGCATAATTTTTATCAGTTAATGCGAGCTTTTTTTTCTCTTCTCAGCTTAAGGGGTTGTCAAAGCCAATGTTATCCCTAGAAAAACATTTTTGTCACTGCTGTTGATAAACAAGAAAATCAAGGAAACTCATGTTGGCTTATGCTCATGAAAACCACCAATGTGATTGTAAACTTCTCCAGACAAACTTAACCTTTTGTTTCTTAATTTTTTGTTTTGAGTGTTTGCTTCTCAGCCCTGGTATAGGTCTCAGCCCCACAGCAGGATCTCAATAAATGCTTATTGACAGGCTGGCATAGTAACCACAGGTGGTTATCAAAGGAAAAGACCAATAGGCTGGGGAACATAATTATGCTTGGCCCCCTCAGAGGCTTATACCTCCAAAGCAGATTTAAAAATCAGTAACTCAAAACTTTAAGAAGTAGTTGAGTCTACAAAATATTCAAAGCAGTTACCTAAATAAGGTTATTTAATGTAACAGATTATATACTTAAAGTGATCTGAGCAATCATTGATAACATATGGCTTAAATTTGCTGCTGCCTGAAAAGTATATTAACTAGATTAGAAGACACCATATACTCCAATAAAATGAAATATATTCTATTCTCAATATATAAACTTTAATTGTACTCCCTATCAAATATTTTGAAATTTCCATCACGGCATTACTTTGCATATTTTTTTCTAATTAAATGGTTAGTACAGATGAAATCTTTATAGATGACTACTTGAAAACTAAGTGCTACAAATTTTCAAACCATTATTAAGAAATATATCCTGAATCATATATTTAGTTACTTTCTATAGTGATTGTATGGATTTAAAAGAATAATTAAAATGTGAAGTTGAAAAACTTGTAAAATTTGGAATATACAGATACTGATTTTTTTCATTTTTGTTAGTATACCTATAATACATAATCACATTGACAAACCAATGAAAATATTGATTTTCTGATGAATGGCTTGATTTTTCTCCTTGACATGTTTTGACTGTTCATTCTAACTGAAAACATATATGGGAAAATATGAACCTGAAATAAAAGCACTCAAATTCAATTGCTTTGGCCTAGGTCATGTTTTTACTTTCAGTCACTAAAATTGTGGTGCAATGGTGTATCAGATGTGAGCCTGAAGATTTCAGTCAGTGGCCTCATCTGCAGCTGCTTAAAGCTAGGATTCAAGATCAGGACTTCCTAACCCAGCCTCTCTGCTCAGAAGGATGACCAGAGAATAAGGGAGACCATCAGCAAAGCTTAGGCAGCTGGATATTCCTATTCCAAATCCAGGGCCACTGTGCTTAACTCTGCCCTTGATAAAACCCTTTCTCTTGAGCACTATGGACCTGAAATCCAAATGCCTAAACTCAGCTTCATGTGGGCCTGACACTTCTCTGAAATACTTGAGGGTCTCTGGGAAAGGTGAGAAGTAATATGACTTCTTTAACAGGACATTCTGGCTCTTGTTTCTTTCCCGGCTGCTGCAAGTTGGGCTCCTTGGGAAACAGACTCTGAGACAAAGTTTAGCATGATCCCCTGGGGATCAACACCTGAGGGAAGGAGGGGAAGAAACAGCAAACATAGAGGTAAGCAGTGAGCTGGGATGCAGGCCCAACGACAGCCTCTGCTGACCCTACAGAGAGTCATCCCAAGCAGGGCAGAAAGGGCCAGGCTTTTGTACTCTGCTTTTATCAGTTATTGCATGGGGGCTGCCTGGGAAGAGGTGTGACCTCTGGGGCAGGGGGGTGCATGGGGCAGCTCTGTGCAGCAGAGGCAATCCCCCAAGGGCCTGGCAGGGAAAGTCTATGTGCTGACAGCACTCCTAGCTGTTAGGGCAACAAGCTCTTCATTAAACAAGGTCTGGGTAGTACCGAAGGGACCATATAAAGTAGTAGAAACCGAGTTACTGAATTTCCAGAGGGCTAGTAGCAAGAAGATGGCTGAGTATAGCCCTTGGATTCCAGGTTAAGGGTTGGGTGGCTCTAAGGTACTAGAGATCTTGAGGTCAAGAGCAACTGTATTGGGAATAAATTCGGAGGGCAGAAAGTTAAAAGGATAGGGGCTACAGTCACATAGCAGCAGATTTATCCAGCCCTTGGTGCCCTGCTGTTGTCCTTTTCTTCACCCAACTCTATTGATCCAGCCACCCATCATGTCCATGTCTACACTCAGGTTTCTGAGCAAGAAGGAGAACATTCCACAGTCATGTGCATTGGTGTCCAACTGTCTCTGTCTCCTCACTTTGTGCATGTTTCTCAACAGCGTCCCCACCCTTTCCTCACCATGACTTCACCATCACTTTTTCAGTTGCTGTCTCTGCTCCCATCCCCACAAATATAGACATATTCATAGACATAAAATTTCTTTCATAGATAGTGCCATACTGGGAGCATTGTCCTATGAGTTTTTTACTTAACACTCAATTTTAGAAATATTTCAATGGAAGCTTTATTTATTATAATTATTATTATTATTTAGAGACAAAGTCTGGCTCTCTCACCCAGGATGGAGTGTAGTGGTGCAATTATAGCTCGCCATAATCTCAAACTCCTGGGCTCAAACAATTCTCTCACCTCTACTTCCTGAATAGCTAGGACTACATTCATACGCCACCACACCTGGCTAACCTTTTAAAATTTTTTTGTAGAGACAGGAGCTCACTATATTGCCCAAGCTGCTCTTGAACTCCTGGCCTCAAGCAATCCTCCCGCCTTGGCCTTCCAAAGTGCTGGGATTGCAAGCATGAGTCACCATACCAGGCCATTGATGGAAACTTTAAAAAGAGAGTATAAATTCTTGGGGACCACCATAACCCTGGTAAATTAGAATCTCTGGGAGTGGGACTGAGGGACCTGTATGTTCTGATGATCTGCAAGATTTTGGAACTAGTGCTTTGAGGGCAGTCCCTCCCATTTCCATGATTTGATTTCCACTACATGTTGGTGTCTCCTGAATTTACATTTTTAACTCAGATCTCTTCTAAGTCTCAGATCCATATATTTAAACACTAATTGTCTTGATGTTTCTCTCTAGGTGTCCTACCCTAAATGCAGATTGACCAGACTTTTGTAAAACACACACACATACACTGGAGGAATGGCATCTAATTCTCTTTCTCTCTCTCTTTTTTTTTTGACATGGAGTCTCACTTTGTCACCCAGGCTGGAGTGCCATGGCACAATCTCGGGTCCCTGAAACCTCCACCTCCCAGGTTCAAGCAATTCTCATGCCTCAGCCTCCTGAGTAGCTGTGATTAGAGGCACCTGGCTAATTTTTGTATTTTTAGTAGAGAGGGGGTTTGCCATGTTGGCCAGGCTGGTCTCGAACGCCTGACCTCAGGTGATCTGCTCGCCTTGGCCTCCCAAAGCGCTAGGATTACAAGTGTGAGCCACTGCGCCCAGCCTATCTAATTATCTTTCTCAATGCGTATCAGGTCTCCCCTGAAACAGCCGAGATCACGCCACTGCACTCCAGCCTGGGCAACAGAGTGAAACTTCGTCTCAAAAAAAAAAAATAAAATTTTTAAAAAACAGAAGAAAATCTGCATCACAGCAGAAAACTAAGAAAGGATGCCATTCACATGGTAATTTATTTAGAAATAAAATCATGCTATAGTTTACATGGGTGGAGACTGATGGAAGCAATCAAAGATCAGCTTACAATCAATGCTCCTGGGGAAAAAAAAATCTTAGGGAATAATTGCAGGAGACCCTGGGAGAATTCCAATAATCCTTCCCCGCAATTTGAAGCTGGAAGTGAGAATAGGCAGTAGGACAGGGTGGAGCACCTTCCTTAGGACCCATTGTGTTGGATACTGCAAGTATTCAGAACAGCTTCCCTGAGAGGTTGCATGGTATGCTTGGTGGGCATTGCTATGCAGCATCTCATGGATGCCTTTGGCAGAGGCATCAGAAAAGAAAACAACAACATTGTGTGTAAATCCCAATACATAAAGAGCATAAAAACATTAAAAATAATCCAAAAGAGAAGAGTAAAAAAATATTACTTAAAAAAGAGAGAAATTATACAATAATAGAATCCTACAATAGAAGAAAAATCAAACATGCAAGAAACAAATAGAAAACACAAATGTGTTCATCTTTCTTATTAACAAAATGACTCTCAAATTTAATGAAAAAATCAAACTCTATTCTATCTGCAAGCATTATATTCAGAATTAAATATAAAAAGGCTAAAAGTCCACAAGTGGAAGTGAAAAAAAAAGGCTAAAAGCAAAAGAATAAACAAAAATATACACAAACATTTAAGCAAAAGGAATAGAGTTGACAATATTAACTTCAAAGTTTAAGACTAAAAGAATTAGGAATGACAGGAGAGTATCATTTTATATTTATAAAATAGATATAGCCACAATGTAGCTATAATAATAATGCAGCATTCTGTAAACAAATAGCATAGTATTGACATAAATAATACAAAAAATTGTTGGAAACAAAAGGACAGTCCCAGAAAGCCAATTTTTGATTTTTTTTTTTTTTTTTTTTTTTTTAAGATGGAGTTTCACTCTTGTTGCCCAGGCTGGAGTGCAGTGGCACAATTTCTGCCTACTGCAAGCTCTGCCTCCCGGGATCAAGTGAGTCTCCTGCCTCAGTCTCCTGAATAGCTGGAATTATAAGCATGTGCCGACAGCTCGGTTAACTTTTGTGTTTTTAGTAGAGACAGAGTTTCACCATGTTGTCCAGGCTGTTCTTGAACTCCTAACCTCAGATGATTCACCCGCCTCGGCCTCCCAAAGTGCCGGGATTACAGGCGTGAGCCACTGCACCCGGCCAGAAAGTCAATTTTCTTAGGAAACAGTTCACCCTTATGACAATCTTTGACAAATCAAGTATAGGAAGAATTCAAACAACATTAAAAAAAAATTGAATAGGTACAATAGTGCTCACCCACAGAAAATACATCAACTTTTAAAAATCTATTGAATATTTATGAAAACAAATTCTATGTTAATAGCAAATAAAAACTCAGTAAATTCCAAAATGTAGAAATAGTAAATATAACACTTTTATCACAACACAATAAAACTGACATTACAAATATATAAACAACAATATAAAAAACCTTACTTACTGGAAAAAGAAAATTCTCCTAAATAACTCAGGTCAAAAAGAAGTAGAAAATGCAGCTTTAGACTCTTTGGTAAAAATGACATGGAGAATTCCACATAGCAAAACATATGATAAAAAAGCAGGAGTTGGAGGCAAATATGTAGCCATAAATGGCTTTATTAATAAATAAGAAAAATGGAAGTTAACATTAAACTCAAGAATTAAAAACAGCACAAAGTAATCAAAGGAAGGCATGAAAAAGAAATTGAGGGAAAAAGCAGCATAGTAAGATGAAGAGCTCAAGCCTAGGAGACAAAGAGCTGGGAGCTGAATCTCAGTTTCCCCACTCTCTAGAAGAGGGGTCGTTAGTTGGCGTCCTTAAGAATCAGTCTTCTCCTATGTAAAACGGGGATTAAGAGAATGCATCTCTTAGGGTTGTTGCAAACAGATGAGATAATGTGGGTCAATAGATGAGCACAGTACTGGGCTCAGCACTTTATGGTAAATACTTAAGCACAGACATTATTATTTTCAATAAAGACAGTAACAGCTCAAATGACAAACTCAACTGTTGTTTGTTGCTGTTGCTAAAAAAGAAAAGGAATAACATCAAATAAAAAAACTTCTTTTTAGTTTTAGAAGAATAGATAAAATATAAATATACACATTTACAAATAAGCAAGGGACTTTGGGTTCAACTTTGGGAAAGAATGTCCTTTAAAACTCTAGTATGGTAAATTTTTAATTACAATACACATATCTATTTGTAGTAAAATATAAACCACTCAAATTAACTCAAAAGGAAATAGAATACCTGATAAAATCTAATACTTCAGGATAAAACACGAAGATTGTCAAAGATCTAGCTCAAAAAAGTTTCAACCCAAAGGATTTTTTCTAGGCAACTTCTTTTAAACTTTCAAAGAAAATATAATTACCATTATATTTAAGCTATTGCTGAACAGAACAAGATAAAACATTGTCTTTCCCTTTCTCAGTTATTTTGCAAAACTAGCATAAACTTGATACCAAAATATGACAGACCACAAAAATAGGATACAAGTCAATTTCTTGTATGAATAAACATAGGAAAATCCAAAATAGAATACTAGCAACTCAATTTTACCAATGTATTCAAACAATATTCCACTATAATCAGGAATATGGTATTCTAGGAATACAGATATATCTTATTGCTAGGAAATCAGTTAATTTAATTAATCCAATTTAGTGAGCATTAGTTACCATTTACTTATTCATATTTTTTGAATATTTATTTGTAAATGCATAGTGTACCTCTAGAAGAATGCATAAGAAACCAATTAGGGTTGACTTTGGAGAAGAAAACTGAATGAAGGACAAGTAAGAGATTTCATTTTTACTATATACAATAATAACTACTCAAAAACTAACATTTAAATAATTAAATCCATAAACAAGCTACTTGTCTGCCAGACTGTATTTAATGATTAACTCATGTTTGATCTGACATATATTGTGAAGGTCATATATAATAAATTTCTAACACTCAAAAATATATTATACCATCATTATTGTGTTGTGCTTATTCGTAAAATAAGTGAGCAACTAAAACGTCACTGTAAAAAGAAAAAGTTGACCCCATCACATACCTACTGATAAGCTTAGGTTTTTAGTTTTGTTTTTTTTTTAAACATGAGATCTTTTAAAATATATATATGCCTCTTTCTTGGGTGGAGAAAGTGATAGAGAAATATTGCATCAGATTTACCACTATGGCCCTGCAGACATTATTTAGGTCAGTAGGTTCATATTGCATATTTTACTTTCTGGAACTCAGGAATAGACAAGTATAATCTTGTGCTGTGTTTTGTTTTGTTTTGTTTTGTCTGGAGACAGAGTCTCTGTTGCCCAGGCTGGAGTGCAGTGTCGCAGTCATAGCTCACTGAAGCCTCTGAACTCCTGGGCTCAAGTGATCCTCCCACCTCAGCCTCCCAGGTGGCTGGGACTACAGGTGCAAGCCACCATGCTGAACTATTTTTTCGTTTTATTATTCCTTTTTCTATAGATGGGGTCTCACTCTGTTGCCCAGGCAGGTCACAAATTCCTGCATTTAAGCAGTCCTCCCACCTCAACCTCCCCAAATGCTGGGATTACAGGCAGCAGCCACCATACTCAGCCAAGTATAATCTTAATAGGTTCTGAGTTTTATTTTCTGGGCCAAATAAAACTCAGAATTGATATTATCCATAGTAGGATAGGGTAATTATTATAATGTGACTGAATTGTGTGAATCTATGCATTATGAGTATAGTATGTTCTTTCATCCTTTTAAACACAAAACCCAAGTGGGATGTGTATTAATTTTCTACTGCTGCATAATAAATTATCACAAACTTCATGGTTTAAAACAGTACCCATTTATTATTTCACACTTTCCATGGGTCGAGAGTACAGGCATATCTTTTATTTTATTTTATTTTATTTTATTTATTTTTTGTAGAGACAAGGTCTTGCTATGTTGCCCAGGCTGGTCTAGAACTCCTGGCCTCAAACAATCTTCCTGCCTCGGCCTCCCACAGTGCTGGGATTACAGGTGTGAGCCCTATGGCTGGCCAGACATATCTTAACTGGGTTCTTTGCTCAGGATCTTACTATACTGGAATCAAGATTTTAGCTAGGGCTACAGTCTCCTCTGAGGTTCAGGATCCTCTTCCAAGCTCAAGTGATTGGCAGCTGTATTAATTTTCTTGCTGCTATAGAACTCATGGCAGCTTGCGTCTTTAAGGCCACCAGGGAGAAATCTTTAAACTCTAGACCCTCTGTTAAAGGGCTTACCTGATTAAGTCAGGCCCACTTTAGTCAATCTCCCTTATGATTGAACTTAAAGGCCGGGCATGGTGGCTCACACCTGTAATACTAGCACTTTGGGAGGCAGAGGCTGGTGGATCACCTGAGGTCAGGAGTTAGAGATCAGCCTGGCCAACATGGTAAAATCCCATCTCTACTAAAAATATAAAAATTAGCTGGGTGTGGTGGCCCGTGCCTGTAATCCCAGCTACTTGGGAGGCTGAGGCAAGAGAATTGCTTGAACCCGGGAGGCAGAAGTTGCAGTGAGCCAAGATCGCTCTACTGCACTCCAGCCTGCCCAACGGGAGCAAGATTCCCTCTCAAAAAAAAATAATAATAAAATAAAATAATTTTTAAAAAGATCAAACTTAAAGTCAACAGATTAAGGATTTTAATTATATCTGCAAAAATTTTCATCTTTTCCTTATAAAGTAAGCTAATAATTAGAGGGGCACCCCACCATACTCACAGGTCCCTCCCAGACTCAAGAGGAGGAGATTACACAGGCCATCTTAGAATCCTGCCTTCAATATTGCTATCTCACATTTCTAGAGATCATATATATCAGCTATGAAGAGCCAAGCTGGGAGTTAGATAAGTTAAAAATGGTCCATGAAGTGTCCCCCAAAAAGTTCCACTCTCTGTGCATGCACAATAGATCATATTCATTTGGAGGGATATCTAGAACCATAAAAATAAATTAAACCTGAAAAAGACCTCAGAGATCCTCAAGTACTAAAATGATGTTTCCATACAGAACATTTGCACACAATTCTAGTTACATTGTTTTTCAGTCAACAAAATGTTAAATGAGCAGTAACTAGCCATAAGTGACACCAGGGATAATGCAGCAAAACATGAAAAACTTTTAACAAAGGAAATATAGAGCACAAAATTGCAGCAATCTGAGGTCAAAAACGTGAAAGAGATTCTACACACCCCAGTAGAGCTTGAGGACATCATTACTTTGTAAGAGGACAGACTAATGGCAGAAAAGCTCAATTTTGTTCCATGTATCCTGGTTAAGAAAGCAAGGATACCTGCACTGCAATTCACCCTCAGAAAAATTCTCGTCCACATGGCTGGCATCAAAAGATGGCTAAGCTTCAGTTATCTGGAAAATTAATTTACATAGACAGACTCTTTCTGCAGTTAAGCAGAGTATATGGAGCTCCAGTGTAAGATTTAAACAGTATATTTTCAGGTTAAGTAATTTAAGATGAGGAATGCAGAAAGGAGAACTTCTCAGAGGTTGAGGCCAAGAACCAGGTCATGAATGTCATTGCTTCAGAGAAGGTGACAAGCAATGACAACTGGGATAAGAAGACTAATTTCCTCCTCAGCCTGGGAGACATATTGCAGCAGAGGGTAGTTTGGGACAAAACTCAGCAGTTGACTTTGAGAGAAAGGCATAAGTAACTGCTAAACTGTGAGACTGCTGCAGACCCTGGGGGCTCAAGCCCAACCCTCTGTTGTCATGCAAGCCCCTGTTCTCACACAGCATGGCTTTCCCAGACTTTCAAATCTGGATCATCTGCTCTTTTCGATGCCCAAGAGATGAAGAAAAAGAGACTGACTTCTCTGTTATTATGTACTTGCACTTTCTGATGTTCCTATTGCACTTCTGCCCAACAAAGAGGTGGTAAAATTATTCTCAGGGAAAGTGAGAAGTTCAGAGGAGTAAGAAATAACAGGTATTTAAAGATGTTAGGCCAAGCACGGTGGCTCACATCTGTAATCCCAGCACTTTGGGAAGCCGAGGCAGGAGGATAGCTTGAGCTCAGGAGTTCGAGAACAGTCTGGGCAACACAGTGAAACCCTGTCTCTACAAAAAAAAAATAATAATAATAATAACAAACATTAGTCAGGTGTGGTGGTGTATGCCTGTAGTCCCAGCTACTTGGGAGGCTGAGGTGGGAAGGATCACTTGAGCCCTAGAGGCGGAAGTTGCGGTAAGTTGTAATTGCACCACTGCACTCCAGCCTGGGTGACAGAGCAAGACTCTGTCTCAAAAAACAAAAAACAAAAACAAATACAAAAAAAAATATTAAACAACTCCAGCTGCTAACACAACACGCACATTGGAAACAGATCACCATACTGTGATTTCCTAATGCTCAAAGATACATTTACAAAATGAATTCTACTAAAAAAAAGTATTATTTGTGCACTTTTGACTTAATGTGTCCAAAAGTGAGCTCTTACTCTTCCTTCCCAAAGGTGCTCTTTAACACTCTTCCTTCATCTCCATGCATGACAATGCTATCCTTGCCATGAATCTTCGAGTCATCTTTGACTCTCACACGCACATCTGATTTATCAGCAAATCCTATTGGCTTCAGAATATATCCAGAATCTACTCACTTGTCACCATCTCCACTTCTGCCTCTCTGACCCATGTTGCCACTGGACCATTTCTCACCTGGATCACTGCAGGAGCCTTCTCAAGGGTCTTTCCACATCAGGCCTAGCTCCTCCTCTGCCTCATTTCAACATCTTCTCAAAGGTCTTTCCACATCAGGCCTTACTCCTCCTCTTCCTCATAGCAACCCAAGCAATCCTGCCAAGTAAACTAGAGATTGTCATTCCTGTTACCAAAATCTTCTAATGGCTTCCCATTTCAGTCCATGGAAAAGCCACTGTCCTTACAAGAGCTTACAAGGCCCTACCCCTGCACCCCATCCACCTATTTCTGCGACTTCAACACCTACAACTGTGTACGCCTTCCTCTGTCACTGTTCAGACCACACTGGCCTTCTTACAGGTGAGTTTGCACCCTGGGACCTTAGTGCCTGCTGTGTCCTCTGCCTGGAATGCCCTTCCCCAAGATATCACTTCCTTCAAGTTAGGTAAAACAACCCCCAGCCCCCAGCCCCACAATCAGCAAATAGCATGTTCTCACTGAGGCCTTCCCTGGCTTCCCTCTCTGAAATCAGAAGTCTAAATCCCATACCTCCCTCCCTGCTTTACTTTTCTCCTTAACTCTCGGCACTACTCATTTGAATCACATCTTCTATCTGTTGTCAGACTTATTTTGTCTGTTCTGTTCCCTGCCATATCCTCAAAGTCTAGACCAGTGCCTGGCACATGGAACACATTCAACAGATATTTGTTGGAACGATGAATTAATACAGGGCACTGAGGGGACATGGCAAGTATGAAACTCCTTTGGGGTCTGGTCTCTGACTCACTATGAAGCCGCATTCTGCCCTGCTCAGGGCCCTTCCACACCAGCTATGCCCTGACGCACCACACACTCTGTACTCTCCAGAGCTCTGAATATGCTTATCCTGCTGCCTGGGATTTCTGACTCTCTCTCTCTCTCTTTTTTTTTTTTTTTTTTTTTTTGAGATGGAGTCTCGCTCTGTCACCCAGGCTGGAGTGCAGTGGCATGTCTCAACCCACTGCAACTTTTGCCTCTCAGGTTCAAGCGATTCTCATGCATCAGCCTTTCAAGTAGCTGGGATTACAGGCATGCGCCACTATGCCCGGCTAATTTTTGTATTTTTAGCAGAGATGGAGTTTCACCATGTTGGCCAGGCTGTCTTGAACTAATCTCAAATTATCTGCCCACCTTGGCCTCCCAAAGTGCTAAGATTACAGGCATGAGCCACCGCACCCAGCCTCACTCTTTTTTTTATGTTTTTGAGACGGAGTCTCACGCTGTTGCCCAGGCTGGAGTGCAATGGTGCGATCTCGGCTCGCTGCAACCTCGCACTCCCGTTCAAACGATTCTCCTGCCTCAACCTCCAGCGTAGCTGGGATTACAGGCACCGCCACCACGCCAAGCTAATTTTTTAATTTTTAGTAGAGACAGGGTTTCACCATGTTGGTCAGGATGGTCTCAATCTCCTGACCTTGTGATCTGCCCACCTCAGCCTCCCAAACTGCTGGGATTATAGGCGTGAGCCACCTCGCCCAGCCTCTTTTTTCAATCACTGTTATTTTTATCCTTATTTAGTTCACTACTATACTCACTTTCTCTTGAGTTGATTGGCCATCTGGTGTCAGTTCTTTTGTCAATTGATTCAACAAAAATGTGTCAGGCTGTAAAGACACAAAGATACACTGTTCTGAGCTCTTAAGATATTGGCATCCACATTCCCTGCCCTCAAAAAGTTAAAGGTTTAGACAGACAAGAAAACAAGTTACACATAATAATTACAAATTGTGAAAAATACTGTGAAGGAAATAAAGAGAAAGTGTTGAGACAGGATAACTCTGTTGACCTTGATGCCCTTTGTGGGCGGGAACTGGAGAGGCTCCTTTCACTCAGCCCACTGTCGGCCACTCCTCCCAAAAGAGAGCCTGCGAGCAAGCGAGTGCAGCAACCGGAGACAACACTGGAACTGGCCCATTACTCCTCTCTGGCAGGAGCACGCTCTGTGCAGGCCCTATAGCAGCATCCAAGCCCCTGCCCTCTCCGTACCCGGGCATCCAGGAAGAATCAGGCCACAAGAACGAATAGAAGGGTGGTTGGTGTATGCGGAGGATTTTACTGGGTGATATAAGTGGCTCTCAGCAGGATAAGGAATTGGAAAGGGGATGGGTGTGGGAAGAAGGTGATCTTTCCCTGAAGCCACACTGTCTGAAGTTAGCCACATCTATCCATAGTCTTGATGCTCAGCAGCTTGTACCCCCACCGCTCCGCTGCTTGTGTTGCTCTGCCAGTTGAAGTCTTTTTATGTCAACAGGATAGGGGCGTGGCAGGCCAAAAAAGTAACATTTGGGTGGAAAAACAGGGTCAGCTATTTTCACTTAGGGCTGTGGTTCCAGGCTTAAGGGTGGGGTGGGGAGGGGGTTTAGCCAGGAGCCCAGCTGTTCTGTATCAGTGTGACAGAGAATAATGGAAATAGTAATACTTTATTAGGGTACTCAGTGAGGATGTCTATGAAAAACACATAAGGATAAGAAGGTGCTGACAGTGTTGAACTTTACCGGAGCCCTGTGCTCCTGGAACACAGCAATCGTTAAGAAGTCTCCCCAGCTTTCTGTGTTCTAGAAATGGCTAACTGAAATCAACCACCATTCCCTATATGACTTAGACAAGACACTGCCAACTCTTTCTCATGATTCCTACAAGACTGTAGATGATTCCTTTGTTTACCTGTGACAAGGTCAAACCCAGACTTTTCCCCTTTAAACTGAGCCTGCACATAAGGTCAGACAGACACCTTCTAACTTTATTCTTTGTCTCATGGATGATTAGCTGAGATAAGTTTTGTCCTCATGAAACTAACTAGACACAGAAATAAACAATCCCAACTTTAAATTTACTCCACCTATAACTTGTCTACTCTTCCCTATAAAAATCTAAGACAAGGCCAGGTGTGGGGACTCACACCTGTAATCCCAGCACTTTGGGAGGCCAAGGTGGGCAGATCACTTGAGGTCAGGGGTTTGAGACCATCCTGGCCAACATGGTGAAACCCAGCCTCTACTAAAAATACAAAAAAATAAGCCGGGCATGGTGGCGGGTGCCTATAATCCTAGCTACTCAGGGGGCTGAGGCAGGAGAATTGCTTGAACCCAGGAGGCAGAGGTTACAGTGAGCTGAGATCACACCACTGCACTCCAGCCTGAGTGGCAGAGTAAGACTCTGTCTCAAAAAAACAAACAAACAGAAAAAATCTAAAACAAAACTATCCTGCTAGATACACTGTAGTAGGCTGAACACGGCCCCTGAAGATATCCAGGTCCTAATCCCTGAAATCTGTGAATTTTACCTTACATGGAAAAAGGGCTTTTGCAAATGTGATTAAGGATCTTGAGATGAGGCAATCATCCTGGATTATCTGGCTAAGTCCTAAATAAAAGCACAAGTATTTTTTTAAATTTAAATTTTATTTTACTTTATTTTATTTTAAATTCTGGGATACATGTACAGGATGTGCAGGTTTGTTACATAAGTAAACACATGCCATGATGGTTTACTGCACCTATCCACCCATCACCTAGGTATTAAGCACCACATGCATAAGCACAAGTATCTTTGTAAGGGGGAAGCTGAGGGACATTTGACTATAAGCAGAAAATCATGTGATGGAAGCAGGGTCAGACAGAAGATGCTACACTGCCGGTTTTGAAGATAAAGGGGCCATGAGCCAAGGAATGCAGCTCTAGACATGGGAAAAAGCAAGAAAACAGATTCTCCCTTAGAGAATCTGCATCTCTCCAGAGGCAATGTGGCACCAGAGACACCTTGATTTTTGGCACGGAAGACTCATTTTGGAATTCTAGCCTCCAGAACTGTAAGGGAATCAATTTCTATTGTTTTAAGTCACTAATTTTGTGAAAATTTTTTACAGCAGTAATAGAAAATAAATACATACTCTAATCTTCAAATCTGGGGTGTTTTCCCTATTGCAATAGCCAAAATAAAATCAATCTCCTTACTTATTCAGTTTTTGTCTTTGATGGTGCTACCCATGTGAAGAACAGTGAGTAGAACAGGCCAGGCAGAATGAACACTACGGGCAAAAGCCCCCAGGCAAGAGAGGACTTGAGATATTCTGGAACCTAGGAAATGAGTGTGACTCAAGAGAAAGTTGAACAATAACAGTCTGATCATGCAGGGCCTTGGGCCATGACAGGGAATTGGGGATTTATTATATGTGTGATGGGAAACCTTTAGAAGATTTTAAGCCATAAATGGTGAAAGCAGGGAGGTTAGTTAACAGTCCCGGTAGCTGGGTGTGGTGGCTTACGCCTGTAATCCCAGCACTTTGGGAGGCCGAGGTGGGCAGATCACGAGGACAGGAGATAGAACCCATCCTGGACAACATGGTGAAACCCCATCTCTACTAAAAATACAAAAATTAGCCAGGTGTGGTGTTGCATGCCTGTAGTCCCAGCTACTCGGGAGGCTGAAGCAAGAGAATGGCTTGAACCTGGGAGGCGGAGGTTGCAGTAAGCCAAGATTGCGTCACTGCACTCCAGCCTGGCGACCGAACAAGAACTCCATCTCAAAACAAAAACAAAAACAAAAACAAAACAAAACAAAAAACCAGTCCTGGTAAGAAATGATGGTGGCCTCAGAATGGGAGAATAATTCAGATTTGTTTAGATACAGAATTAGTAGGGCTGGATGAACCAGATTCTGTCTTTGTGTGGGTCACAGTAGGAAACAGAGAACACAGTCAAATTAGGATAACTTGAGGAGGGTTTACTAAAGGGACTATTCATAAAGATGTGGGCAAGAAATGGAAGCCCAAAACCACAAGGGAGAGTCCAGTACCTACAAGCTGGGAATAATGTGATGCTCTTCCCTTTGCCAGGTCCGAAGAGAAAAGGGGAGAGCATCATTTCTAGAGCTTGGAAGACAAGGCAACTTGACAAGAGCAGTGGCGTTCAGTAGAGGTTTAACGCCCACCTGACCTTTCCCGCCCTTCTCCCTCTGGTCTCCTGCTGGGGCTCTCCATTGTCTTAACCCACATTGAAGCCACAAGACAAAGGAGCTCGTTGGTGATGCCCATACAGGTCAGCTGCCTGGACAGCGAACAAACTGTAAAGGGACAGAGAGTGGGCCTGGAGGGAACAAACAAAGGTGTGTTAGGGATAGTCCAATTATTACAATTTACTAAAAGAAAATGCAGAGACTTGAATTTTCTACATGATTTCCTTAATACTCAGTTTCAGCTAGCCTATGCCTATAGGCACAAAAATAATGAACTCTCACCTTCCTGACTTCTTTTTCTTTTTTTTGAACATTTACAACTGCTTTTTTGTCCTAAAGGCAATCAGGAAAGAAAGTGATTAAAACACTTATGAAGATTAATAATGCTGTCTTCAAAGTTCAGTGGAAAAATTATTTTGGTAAAATTCTAAAATTTGAGAAAACGTTTCTATAGGAGAACTGGATAATACCCACTTTGGACTAAAGAGAATTGAGTTTGTGCAGTCTAGTAAGTAAAGGTTGTTTCACCAGGGCAGAATGCGGAATCACAATCACCCGAAACCACAAGCGGAATTCATACGTCTCCCTGCACAGATACCCATATTTTGCCATTGCTTAAGTTTCCTTTTTGTTGTTGTTGTTATTACTCTGGAAGATAATTCAATTCATATTGCACATTTCCTCACAGAAAATTTGAATCTTATGAATATAAAAATCATGGACTTGGCCCAATTTTATTTTAATCAGTTTTTCAGTTTCCTAATTCAGGATTAGCTTCCCAGTATATATGCAGACATTTAGTAACAAGTGCAACAGTGTGCACATTAAAATATGGAGAGTTTCAGCAGCAATTTGAGTTATAGTAATTACTGGGTTTGTTTACACAGACATAGATGAAAAGTATAACCTTTTTCTTTTTTTTTAATTTGGAAAAATCATGTGCTACCAGCAGAAAAAATTATACAATAGTTGTATAATGTCATAGAGGAAATCAGGTGCAACCAATGAGACTGAGAAATAAAGGGATCAAAATCATATAAGGTAGTGTCTTAACT
Organism: Homo sapiens; assembly: GCF_000001405.40. Lineage (NCBI taxonomy): Eukaryota > Metazoa > Chordata > Mammalia > Primates > Hominidae > Homo > Homo sapiens. Next base: position 48,319,368 of record NC_000015.10, read on the forward strand.
AGGCATCCTTTCTCCTGGAATTAGCCCCAATAGTAGAGAAAGGCTCTCACAGGCACATTCTGCTCAGAATGATTGCCACAACCTTCACCAGCACCCAAATCACCTGCCCAGTGGACACCAGGATCTCCATTTACCAATTCCAGTGCAATCCCAAAGCCATCTTCTACTGCGCTTTGGCAATCATTTGTCATATCTTGTTCCCTGGCCCCATTTGCTCCATCTGGGAAATCAGACTGATTGAGATGGGGTTTGTAAAGGGGAAGGAGAGAAGAGGGAGGAAAATGCCCTCTCTGCTACCCTAGCAACTGGGAGCCAACAAGAGAGGCACTAGTGTTCTTGGGGAAAGTGGGAAAGTAAGTCCATCCCTGGGGACACTCAGAAACAGATCAGGCCTGCTTTTGAAAGGCTTATTGATACCAGATCTGAAAGCTCTCCCAAGACACTCAGATTACTGCTTTCATGACTACAGGGCTGTTTCTCTAAAGGCAGCAAGCAGGCATACAGAGACCTTCACAAGTCTTACAATGATTAAAAAGGGGTAAAATTACCCAAATCACCAATAATTCATCTCAATATCTTCTTCCACCTATTCTACCCTATTTCCATATCAAATTGACTTACTGAGCCATCAATTCAGCTAAAAGGGAAGTCCTATTGATTGTTTAAAATATCCGTTTTAAGTCTTGTGGTAGACAGAAAAATGGCCTTCAAAGATGTCCACACTCAGATCCCCAGAACTATGAATTTTATTACCTCACATGGCAAAGGTGACTTTGCAGATGTGATTAAGGTCACCAACCTTGAGATGGGGAGATTATCCTGGATAATCTGGGTGGGGCCACTCTAATCACATGAGTCTTGAAAGAGAAGAAACTTTCTCAGCTGTGGACATAGAACCAGAGAGGTGGCAGTGGCAGCATGAGAAGAATTCAACTTGCTGCGTTGGCGAGGAAGACGGAAGAAGGAGGTCACAAAGCATGGAATGCAGGCAGCCCAGCAGCTGGGAAAAGCAAGAAAATGGATTCTCCCTCAGAGCCTCTAGAAGGGAGGGCGGCCTTACCAACATCTTAATTTTAGTCCAGTGATACCCATGTCGGACTTCTGACCTAAAGAACTGCAAGGTAAGAAGTTTGTATTGTTTAAGCCATCAAGGCTGTGGTAATTTTTTTACAGCAGCAATAGAAAATTTGGACTGTGTAGTCTTCATCACCTCAAGCTTGGATTAGCACAATAGAAAATTTCCAGTCTCCCCAGCCTCCAGCTTCTTAGTCTCCACGTCATCTTAGAAAATCTCATTCCACTAAACTCTTGTCAAATATTACTCTACTCATTCTACTCCCCTGTCCAAGAGCCTACAAATGGCAATTTTTCAAACTAAGCACCTCTGAACATCAGATCTGTGGTGTCCTCTTTGGGCCTGCCAAGGGGGGAAGATGGGAGGCTCACCATGCACCTATTTTAATGGCAAAAGTTCTGGTCTGACTGTTCTACACTGTGTACTTCAGAATAAAATTAGGCTGAAAGAATGGGTTCCATTGCTTTACAAGTATTTGACCTATAGCATTAAATATAAGCTTCTCGGCTCAATTTTTAAGGCCTGCACAATCTCACCCTACTCTGTTCCTCTAGTCTATGAACTCCTTTAGTCCCCAAAAGTAATCTTTCACATAAATCAGAACAATTTACTCACAATACCTACAAATAGTTATGTTCCTATTGATACCCACACACTGAAGAGTGCAAATACTGAAGCTTAAAATCATTCAGTCTTCTCTCAACTCGGAGAAAGACTTTCTTTTTTTTTTTTTTTTTTTTTTTGAGACGGAGTCTCTCTCTGTCGCCCAGGCTGGAGTGTGGAGTGCAGTGGCGTGATCTGGGCTCGCTGCAAGGTCCGCCTCCCGGGTTCACGCCATTCTCCTGCCTCAGCCTCCCCGGCAGCTGGGACTACAGGTGCACGCCGCCACGCCCGGCTAATTTTTTGTAGTTTTGGTAGAGATGGGGTTTCACCGTGTTAGCCAGGATGGTCTCATGAGCCACCACGCCCGGCCCAGAGAAAGCCTTTCTATTCACCTCCAGACCTTTTTACACCAAGAAACCAACCCAACTTCCCTATTCCCTCCCTGCCAAGTAAAGTCTACCTCTTCTACTCCAGGGAGCATTTACAGGTTAAGCATCCCTTAACTGAAATGCTTGAGACCGAAAGTGTTTCAGATTTTGAATTTTTTCAGATTCTGGAATATCTGCATATACATAATGAGTTATGTTGGGGATGCGATTCATGTCTAAAGGTAAAACTCACCAATGTTTCCTTTTTTTTTTTTTTTTTTTTTTTTTTTTGAGACGGAGTCTCGCTCTGTCGCCCAGGCCGGACTGCGGACTGCAGTGGCGCAATCTCGGCTCACTGCAAGCTCTGCTTCCCGGGTTCACGCCATTCTCCTGCCTCAGCCTCCCGAGTAGCTGGGACTACAGGCGCCCGCCACCGCGCCCGGCTAATTTTTTGTATTTTTAGTAGAGACGGGGTTTCACCTTGTTAGCCAGGATGGTCTCGATCTCCTGACCTCGTGATCCACCCGCCTCGGCCTCCCAAAGTGCTGGGATTACAGGCGTGAGCCACCGCGCCCGGCCACCAATGTTTCATATACACCTTATACACATAGCCTGAAGGTAATTTTATACAGTATATTACATAATTTTGTGTATGAAGCAAGGTTTGTGCATATATGAAGTTGATGTACATTGAACCATCAGAAAGCAAAGGTGTCACTATCTCAGACACCCATATGGACAGTCACCTGTTGTTTGGCATCACCATCATTGCTGACTTTGAATTGATATGCAACCAATAAGCAATCATTTTCTTATACTTATTCACATATAAGTACTTAGTAAAAAATATGACATACCACTAATACGGTGAAAAAATGTGTTCAGGGTAACTAAGTGGCACAATAGCACCACCAGAACACCTGTATCATCCATTAAACAACAGCAGTCACAAACAATGACAGGCTCTCAGTTTCCACCTACAATTCTGTGTTTTGATTGAAAAGTTACTGTGCACTGTAACCCCTTGGGAATGGTGAATAAACAGTGTGTTTTGTGTCTAAGTCTTGATTGCAACAAGTTGCATGAGGTCAGGTGAGGAATTTTCCATTTGTGGTGTCATTTGGTGCTCAAAAGTTTAAGATTTTGGAGCATTTTGGATTTTCAGATTAGGGATGTTCAACTCACAGAGCTATAGGGAGTCACTGTGTATGCCAAGGGAATGCCTCTCCTATCTCATGAGTCACTTTCCTCCAGCTTATTTGAGAGTCAATTTGTTTTAAGATCTAATTCTACATTGTTGCCTAGTTTCTTCTCAGAACCACTCCTGTTTAGTCCCCGTAAGTCTCCAAACCCCAACTCAGATGGGGCCTCTGATCACTTCTGTTGATTACTGGGGGGATTCTAAGATTTCCTTTAGCACAATGTCGTCATCATCAGGTTAAAATCAGAGGAGATGTGATCCTTGGAGAGAATACTCCCATTCTCCGCTTTATCCCTTCTTAGCCTAAAATGCCACTAACCTTGTATGCAACATGCTTTAATGAAGGTTTGTAATAACTGAAAGGATCGTAATGTAAATCAAAAGCAAAAATGGAAAGAAAAAGTAAAACTGGATGTCAAATTTGACTGCAAACAAAGATCAAGGTGAAATGTTATAACATTTAATCGCAAGGTTTCCAATAGCTGCCTGTTCTTCCTGGGGCTTGGTAGTTCAATTCAACAGGTTGAACAATACACCCATTGTTCTTCCAAATAAATGTTAGTTGTTGATAAGGTTAGCTCAGGTTAGTTTCTATTACTTACCAGCAAAAGACTACTAATATATCCTTTACAAAAAATGGTTCTATGGCCACATGTGCTTGGGAAATGCTTACAGAGCACATAGCCCAGCTTGGAAATTCACAATGGTCATTAAAGACTCTGAGAAGTCCTGCAATACAGACACGACTTTAATATATAAGCCATTATTACCAAAGAGTATGTCCCAAACTTTTGTCAGTGTAAAACTTCCATTAGCAATACGTGAATACAATGAATGCATGGAGGCAATCACATCATTATTCCAAAAGAATTTGCCAACTCATCAGATTGTCTTGGCCACATTTCATGTAGCATTTTATGAATAATTTGCATTAACATATTGATTAAAAGTAAAAGGGATAATACTTTTGTTTTTGAGGCAGAGTCTCACTCCGTGGCCCAGGCTGGAGTGCAGGTGGTGCGATCACTGCTCACGGCAGTCTCGACTTGCCAAGCTCAAGCAATCCGTCCACTTCAGCCTCCAAAGTAACTGAGACTACAAGCGCGCGCCACCACGTCCAGCTAATTTGTTAGTTTTTTGTGTGTGTGGAGACAAGGTCTCACTGTGTTGCCCAGGCTGGTCTCTAACTCCCAAGCTCAAGCAATTCTCTCGCCTTGACCTCCCAAAATGTTGGAATTACAGGCATGAGCCACCACACCCAGTCGGGATAATACTTTTGAAATGCCCTTCTTGGTAATCCAGGGTTTTTTCTTTACTTACCCTTTATTGCTCAGAATATGGGAGGGTGAGATCGAAGAAGTTTTTAAAGAAGAGAAGGTCTCTAAACAACAAGAAAAGACAGGAAACAGCAGAAAGAAAGAATATGGCCGAGAAATCTAAGGATCCTAGCTTTCCCCTGCTACCCTCCTCACCTCTCCTGAGTCAAAAATATGGGGGAGAGGGGTATTTGTTGCTCTCCTGAAAAGTTTTCAAGCCCTTTAAAGAAGCCCCATGATACAGAAATATGTTTGGTGATCTGAAATGTATTCCCAAATGAAAATATTGCAAAGAAACGTGTTTTACATTAAGAAATAACGAAGGCATGTGATCAAGGGTACACATTAATTTTGCGAGAGCATTTTACAGGAAAAATATCTTGATTCCTGTTATGGACTGAATGTGCCCCACCCTCCCAAATTTAATGTTAAAGTCCTAACCGCTGGTCTGATGGTATTTGAGATGGGGCCTTGGGGAGGTAATCAAGTTTAAATTAAGTCATAAGGGTGGGGTCTTAATCCAAGGAAAGACCATATGAGTACACAGAGAGAAGGTGGCCTTCTGCAACCCACAAGAGAGCCCTTAGCAGAACACCACGATGATGGCACCCTGACCTTGGAGCCTCCAGAACTGTTTGAAAATTAATTTCTGTTGTTTAACTTAGTCTATGGTATTTAGTTATGGCAGCCCAAGGTAACTAAGACATATCTAAGTATTTCGAAGGAAGAATATCTTGATTCCTGAGCTTTCACAAAATGGGTTAAAATGTTCCTAGTTCCCAAAACTCTGATGCAATAATTGCAACTTAGTGCCCCTTAGTTATAATGTATGTTTCCAGACGTTACTTGTTTCTGACATTGAGTCCATATTTACCTTGTTTGGTTTAATATAATTACAGACAGGAACATTGCTTGAGCTTCCATCATCATACCTTGAAATTTATGAGCCAAAGATCAGGCTGAAAGGCTAATTAATATTACTGAAGATGAACTGAAAAGATTCCTTGGGCAGACTGATGGGTCAATAGAAGTTTCCAGGGTTTTCATCACCAAACATATTTAACAATCGAAATACGCTGGTCAGCTTACAAAATCTCAGTGTTTGCCCGTTACACTGCATTACTACTACTATGAAAATAGTCCGTGTGCTGGAGTGAAACCAGTTCTGCTACTCTAGCCAAATGGAGCCAAACAATTAATGTCTGAACCAGGTATAAAGACGGTCTGCATTATATGTTTACTTTTCCAGTCCAATTGGATGCCCTCCAAAGATGAGAGAGGGAGACACAATATGAAGAGATCATATAAGCCAGAGGAGACAGTGGGAGCTTAGAGTTGACTTAGTTTTTAAAGAGCTTTCCAGTTTAGTCCATGTGATTCCCCTCCACCTACTCTTTTCCCCTTATCTAATCTTGAACAATTAAAACCAGCAAATATATTTCTTACACTAGAATTTACATTAAAATTTCACTTTACATTCTACAGTGTTTCAGCCTTGCAGTCCTGTTTAACTATTGGGGCCTCGTTAGCGACTTGTTTATTTAATAGTCTCAGCAAAACTAAGAAATAAGCAAATATTCTGAATGCTGCCTGGTCTGCAGTTATTCTTTTTAAAAAAAAATTTTTTTAAAGACTAGTCAAGCATAGTAGTGAGAAGGGGAGAAAGTAGAACAAGGAGTTTCAGATCAAACTCCTGACTGTGAACAATCGGTTGAGATAACTCCCTACCTTCGGGCCAGCCATGCAATTACTCTTAATACAATTGTACCACAGAAGCATTGCTAAGAACACAGACCCTGGCTCTGCCTCTATATTTAAGGTAATGGAGCCTTTATTAAAACGGTCCACAGTATAGTATACTTGGTAAAGCTGGTAATATTGGTTATATGTGACATTATTCTTTTCAGGATGTCTTGACCCCCACAGATTCTCTAGAAATAAATCCCCTAAAGCAGTGGTCTTTAACCAGGGGTGGGCAACAGAATCACCCTGGAGATTTTGTGTAGTCAGTTGGTGATGGGGCTTGGATATGTGCATTTACTCTAGCTCTTTTGATGATTCTCCTGTGTACCCTGGCACTTAAGCCATCTGCTTATAAAAGATAATTCTTATTCTTATTCTTTTTTTTTTTTTTTTTGAGATGGAGTTTTGCTCTGTCGCCCAGGCTGGAGGGCAATTGTGTGATCCAGGCTGGCTCACTGCAACCTCCACCTCCTTGATTCAAGTGTTTCTCCTGCCTCAGTCTCCCAAGTAGCTGGGATTGCAGGCATGCACCACCACACCTGGCTAATTTTTGTATCTTTAGTAGAGACAGCATTTCACCATGTTGGCCAGGCTGGTCTCAAACGACTGACCTCAAGTGATCTGCCCGTCTCGGCCTCCCAAAATGCTGGGATTACAGGCATGAGCCACCACGTCCGGCCTGTTTTTATTTCACTTCCTAAAACTCAATGATGCTTTAAAATGAAATAACAATAGTCTTTCTCTGGACTGTAATTACAGAACTTTTGGCTCCTAGTGCTTCTACGCCACTGGCATAATTCAGAGTATGCTTTTCATGGTGATTATGTTTGTTAAGAGAGATTGGGTATTCAGTGTATTAGGGAGAACTATAGTTCTGAGTTTGTGGCTTAAGTATTCTGCTCCCTTTGAGCCTTTAGTTCAATGAGGCAGTCATTTGTGAGCTTGTCCAAAGTAATTTTGCAGAAATAAATGCTTGTTTTGTTGATTATCTGCTAGCTCCTTAACTGTTTATTTAACTGCCATTCAATGTCAATCTACTGAGCTACTTACATGCTTAAGAGTTCTGTGTTGGTCTTATGAAATCAAGTCTACATATATTTATCTGGTCTTTGTGCTCTTCCCAAGAACCTGGCAGGAACATTTTTGTGGGTTTCATAAATTATACCCCAGTTCAGTGTTTTCACATTCAGCCATATATACTCTCGGGGGAGTATAAGACATTCCAAGGAGTTTCCTGATGGTATTCTGGACAAAACAGTTTTATAAGAATGAACCGTCAGCTAGTCAACATACAAATGTACTTTTTACTGAAACTGATCTGCCTATATTCTAGCCCTTCTTCCTACCTCCTCTATTGCAATTGCCCTTTTGCAAAAGATGGGCACACTTACCTATCCAAAACCTGACTGGCACCTTATCCTATGGTATAAAAACCTCTGGGCTTGAAACAAAGGAGCACTTCTAAATTTTGGTACCAGAACCCAAAGTATGGCTTCTGTCTTTTTTTGGCTTACACATATTTCTATTAAGCGTGAACTGTGGCATGATAAATGAGTATTTTGTTCCATGATGGAATGTTCTAAATTGAAATATAGATTCCTTCAGTTATAGGAAATGATGACAATTTTCCATTAATTTTTTCAGTTCTTCCATTCCTCAATGATCGCCAAAGAACATATTCCCCCGAGGAGGAGTTTGAGAGTTTTGTTCAAACTCACAAAAAACTAAGACAGCTCAACTGTCTATTGGAGATCCTCTCCATGGGAGGTTTGGGCAGAAGGACAGTGATCCAGATGGAGGTCGGAGATGAGAAAGAGGAGCAAAGAAAGTAATAAAAGCATGGGTAAATATTTTTTTAATGACTATAAAAAGTAGTAAAATAATGATGCTTATTGAGATTAAAAGATACATTTAATACACTAGACAGTAATAGCATATTTGTCAAAAGAAGGGTTAATGGTGTTAAAGCAGTCTAAGGTCCTTGAGTTATCCAGAAGACAATCATTTTGATTAATTTTATATTTTAGACACTGTATGTTTTAATTTATTTAAAATAATAAAACTAAAGAGTAAAACATCTAAATTAGAGGGGAAAGGTGAAATAAAAAACATTTAGTAAATTTCACAGAAGGCAGGAAAAGGTTTTAAAAAGGAACATCTGAAACCCAAATTAAGATAGGTTTAAATCCATCATGAAGGTTATATGATAGTGGAGGAAACAAACAGCTAACGAGTCAAGTGAATATACATGTAATTTTACATAGCAATATATACTATGCAGAAAAACCCAACAGGGTAAAGCATTAGATGCTGCCTAGGAGGAGACTATTTTTAGGTAAGGGAAGACCTAAGATAGAAAGAGGAGGTAAGTAAGACTCCAAGGGTTTTTATCGTGAGCAATAACAGGTTGAGAAGGGAAGAGGAGCCAAGGAGACTGAGGAGACAGCCAGTGAAATGGGAGGAAGTGTTTCAAGAAGGATGGTATGATCAACTGTGAAATTAAGAATGCTTGGCTTATTTACTACAAACATCTCTCCCAGACCTGGAAACACAGCCAGTAGCAAGGTCAGTATTAAGTTACCACAAGGCCAGGCACAGTGGCTGATGCCTGTAATCCTAGCACTTGGGCAGGCCAAGAAAGGCGGATTGCTTGAGCCCAGGAGTTCAAGAGACCCGCCATGGGCAACATGGTGAAATTGCATCTCTACAAAATGTACGAAAAATTAGCCAGGCGTGGTTGCACGTGCCTGTAGTCCCAGCTATCTGGAAGGCTGGGGTGGAAGGACCACCTGTACTCCAGCCTTGGTGACAGAGTAAGACCTTGTCTCAACATCAACAACTGCAAAAGAGTTACCATAGACTCAACAGGGGACATATAAATCTACAGCGCACAGTGGCTAAACGCAAGGGTTCTGAGGCCAGACTATCTGAATTGTGGTTTAACCTCCTTCTAGTTGTGATCTGTGTGATCTTGGGTAAGTTATTTAATCACTCTGTGCTTTGGTATCCTCATCTGTAAAATGGGGATAAAGAATTTGTTTCCTCTAGTTGTCATGATTAAACGAGTTTTTTTTTTTGAGACAGGGTCTCACTCTGTTGCCCAGACTGGAATGCAGTGGCATGATAATAACTGTCTGCAGCCTCCCAACTCCTGTGCTCAAGTGATCCTCCCACCTCTGCCTCCTGAGTAGCTAGGGCTACATGTGCCTGCCACCCACCATGCCTGGCTAATTTTGTATATGTTTTGTAGAGATGGGGTCTGCCTACGTTGCCCAGGCTGGTCTCGAACTCCTGAGCTGAAGCAATCCTCCCACCTTGACCTCCCAAAGTGCTGGGATTACAGGTGTGAGCCACTGCACCCAGCCAATTTTTTTTTTTTTTTTTTTTTTGCGACGTCGTTTTGCTCTTGTTGCCCAGGCTGGAGTGCAATGGCGCAATCTCAGCTCACCGCAACTTCCGCCTCCCGAGTTCAAGCGATTCTCCTGCCTCAGCCTCCCGAGTAGCTGGGATTACATGAATGTGCCATCACATGCGGCTAATTTTGTAGTTTTAGTAGAGACGGGGTTTCTCCATGTTGGTCAGGCTGGTCTCGAACTCCCGACCTCAGGTGATCCGCCCGCCTCAGCCTCCCAAAGTGCTGGGATTATAGGTGTGAGCCACCACGCCTGGCCTCGAGTTAATATTTTTTAAAGCACTTAGAATACACCTGACATAAAGTAGTAACAATGTGTATCTTTGTTAAAATGAGAGAGAAATCCCCAAAATGGCAAAGATAGGAAAAACAACCATGCTTTTCAAGTACTGACTTGCATTTTCAGAAGGTTCAAATTGGCACTAGACTTAGGTAATTGAATTAATCAGCATGACTGATAGGATAACTATAGTCTGATAAAGAAAACACCATGAAGGGCAGGGTGCGGTGGCTCACGCCTGTAATCCCAGCACTTTGGGAGGCCGAGGTGGGCGGATCACCTGAGGTCGGGAGTTCGAGACCAGCCTGACCAACATGGAGAAACCCCATCTCTACTAAAAATACAAAATTAGCCAGGCGTGGTGGCGCATGCCTGTAATTCCAGCTACTTGGAAGGCTGAGGAGGAGAATTGCTTGAACCTGGGAGGAGGTTGGGGTGAGCCGAGATCGAGCCATTGCACTCCAGCAAGGCTCTGTCTCAAAAAAAAAAACAAAAACTATGAAGTAAATTATGGTTGAAACATGTTTAGTTCTTAACTGCAGTATCTTGCATTTAAGGTGTATGTTCATAACAAGTTATATTTCTATTGTCATAAAGAACGTTCTATTAAATGCTTACTGGCTCAGAATCCTATTACTTTTTGCCAGTTAGATTATGGCCGTTTCTCTTTTAGTCTAAAATAAACTCAGCTGAAAAGTAACAATAAACACTTTATGTATACAGATTAACAACAAAAAATAGAAGGTAACCTGCTTGGTGTTAGATATTGTAATAAGCCAAACAAGTAACTTTTGTGTAAACACTGAAGTAAGTGCTTTGAAGAATTCATAAAAGTTTATGACTCTAATTCATGTGAGAGATAAAATGCATATACATCAGAAGATTACACAATGAAAGTATATGGCTAACGACTAATGAATGATATAGTAAGTGTTAAAAGAGATAAGATGGGGCAGAGGTCACTACTGATTGTAAAAAGTTTCATGAATGAAGCGAGACTTTTATCTGGGTCTAGGAAAATGAAGTCGTTACAATCATTACATCTTAGTACAAGCAAGGAATCAAATAGTATGTCTCTCATGTGAACATTTTAAGTAAATAACTGGAGAAAGTACTTCAACAAAATAAGGGAGCAAAATAATGTTGGCTCAAAATGAGGTCGAAAAGTTGCAGGGCTCGGATCGTGTTGCTAAAGGCATAAATTTGGGAGTCCTCAAGCTGTAGCTAATAGTTAACGTCCAGAGAAGGTAGTGTATATTCCATAGCCTCATGCAAAGGAATTCCAACTACGAAGACGAACCAGTTAAGGAGACCGAAAAGGGGGGGCCTGTATGGAAAGGCATAGCAACGAATGTAAAATTTCCCCAATAATACTCTAAAACTGCCCCACAGCTTTTTTAATTTTGAAAATTCAAAACCATTCAATTCAGCTCGCAGATTTTTGTGAGAAATAAGGAGATACTTGCAGCTCAGAAAAAATTATTAACAACTATCTAGAAAGTTACTGCTTTATCCCCCACTGTAAACTATACTACCACGACCCGGGATCCTTGTTCGACTCCTAGCCAAGGGGTTCCCACTGCGTTTCTGTTGGGTTATCCCAAACCTGTGATAGGATAGTAGCGCCCTCCCTGCCTCCGGTCGAATAAACACTACAACGTCTGACACTCGGTGCTGAAAGGAAATCGGGCGCGGTGTCTTGCCCACAGCTTGGGGAGCGGCCCCGGGCGCAATAACTGTCACCGGCGCCGAGATGCGGTTCCGGCGCTTAGGGCGCCGCTAAACTCAGAGCCCGGGAGTCATGGCTGCGGGCGGTGCCGCCCCAGGTAAATCAGTCCAGGAGCAGGGCCCGGGCCTGGCGTACACTCTCGGAAAAATGGGGGCCAGAGCAAACAAGAAGAGCGAAAGCAAGAGGGCTAGGCAGCCAGAGGCGGCAGCAAGACTCAAGACGCCAACGGCGCCGTCTTCCTGGGGCCCCAGGGCCTGCGCCATCCCTGGGCTGCCGGGGCACCGCCTCTCCACGCCCCTCGTCCGGCGGCGGCTGCGACTGCTTCCGAGGTCATGTTCCCAGGACGGGCGCGTCTTCAGGGTGGAAGCCTGGCGCACGTCCGGAGGTGCCGAGGACCCAACCAGCCCAAACTCTGGGGGAAATGACTCCCCTCTGCCCTCGCCCCGCGCTCTGCTACCATTTCCTTACGTCTCTGCTTCGCTCAGCGATGCAAAACGCGCGAGGCGCACGGCAGAGGGCCGAAGCCGCGGTACTCTCCGGGCCAGGCCCGCCCCTCGGCCGCGCCGCGCAGCACGGGATTCCCCGGCCGCTGTCCAGCGCTGGCCGCCTGAGCCAAGGCTGCCGCGGAGCCAGTACAGTCGGGGCCGCTGGCTGGAAGGGCGAGCTTCCTAAGGCGGGGGGAAGCCCGGCGCCGGGGCCGGGTAGGAAAGGCGGGGGAGGGGCTCCGGCCGTCTGGAAGGAATCCACGCGGCTTGAGGCTGTGGGGGAAGTAGGGTGGCGAGCGGTCCTTCTGCGCGCGGGGGGCGGGGGGGGTGGGGTGGTCCATTAGGGTCCCCTGGCGAGGGGGCGGCTTTCTAGTGTGTGAGGGCGACGCCCTAGAAGCTCCCCTTCAAAGTTGGCCCCACGCGCTGAATGTGGAAAGTTGACTGGGACCCAGTAGTTTCCCATCCCAAACCTGCTTTCCGAGAAGGGCTTCAAACCCAAAATGTGAATCCCGCCTCCCCTCTCAGCCAGAACTGTGGACTCGTCCCGGGGAGGGGCGGTGGGTGGGGCGGGGCTGGCGGGAAATTTCGGTTTTGGCGCGCTCCCTGCGGCGACGCTCATCGTGCGCTCTCCTCTTCCCCCGGTGGTCTCCTCGCTCGCCTTCTGGCTCTGCCATGCCCTGCTCTGAAGAGACACCCGCCATTTCACCCAGTAAGCGGGCCCGGCCTGCGGAGGTGGGCGGCATGCAGCTCCGCTTTGCCCGGCTCTCCGAGCACGCCACGGCCCCCACCCGGGGCTCCGCGCGCGCCGCGGGCTACGACCTGTACAGGTGAGCGGGGACCTGCCGGCGAGGAGGCTGGGAAGGGCCGGCCGTCCGCTGCCACAGCTAGAAACAGTCACCGGAGAGATCACAGGAACACACTAGCTATAAATAGGATTTCTGCCTTTTTCGTGTTTAAAATTTTAGCTTTCATCTTTGGCATAAATTAAATAGAGATTTGGGCAAAGACTGCAGAATAAGTAAAATAGCTATACGGTGTCTAGCAAGGCGTTACTTTGCAACGTTTATTGTGCCCTTCCTAAATAGAAGATAGAGAGGAAGGCCCATGGTGGCTTTCGAGTGGCCCGAGGGTGATGCTGTGCTCAATAGAAAAACCAAGGTGAGAGCCTAGATGTGAGCGTGAAAATACCTAAGAAGGATGAACGAAGATGCATCTGCCTTAAAAAGTTATTTTCTATACATTCATCCGGCCCAGGGCGGAATTTGAGAAGGCATCTGAAAACGAAAGGCAGAGCTGCCTGTAATCTACCACACTTTCATCTCTACAGCACGTTTTACCTGTACTAAAAACTTTCCGTATGCTGTTGTATTTAGTCCTCACAACAATCCTTAACTAGATAAGTGTTACTTTTTACACAGGCAGGAGTTTGTGAAGAGCTGAATTGATTTCCCCAGAGGCTTGAAGATGATATAATTTTTTATCCCGAATTTTGGGCTTTTTTTTTTTCATCTGACTACTGTGCCCAGTTCTTAGAACCATTAAGGTAGGAGAAAAGTAATGCTGAGAGGGAAGGAGATTTTATACTAAATCCCAAGCATTGGGATTTATTTTAAAGTATCTCAGATAATTCAAACATGAGAACTATTAGTCTAAGCACAGGAGAAGAGAAAGTAGTGCCTGATGATAGCAACAGAAAAAAAAGGAAAAGGAAAGTAGGTATGGACAATTGTAGCTGGAAAAACTACAGTCTCTTAATTTTGATGAATAAAAGTAGAGTGATATAGTTTGACTAGACCTTTCCAAAGTATATTTTGGAGCACTTTCTTGAGTCCTAGGGGAGTCCTTGATTTAAGATACCTTAAGTAGACTCCTAATAAACACAGGTGACTTTCTGTATACTGAAATTGACATGGAAATAATGGATCAGCAATAAATTAGGGCTTAACTGTTTAAAGAGGGATTTCAGTGAAAGAAGGGGTAGTACTGCTTTACCAGAGTTAATTAAGGTCTCCAAAGTAAACTTCCGGTTCTGCTCATTGTAAAATCTCTTAAATTTCTACCCAGGAGAGGGCCACAGTAATATCAAGAGTAGCAGCATTTGCTATGTGGACTTTAGAGGAATTCTGTTCCTAAGCAAGGTCCATCTCCAGGGGCCGTTCACGGTGATCAGCTGTCTCCCTCAGCCAGGAAATTCATAGCCTAAGCTTGGTAAACTACCAAGCCCTGCCTGACAGATACAACACAGTTCTTTATCTCTTATTTTGTCCACCCGTTTTTCTCCTTTCCTTCTGCATATTTTCCCTAATCACACAGATCATTGTGAGAATAAAATGGGTTAATATATGTAAACCAATTAGAACTGTTCCTGGCACACAGTAAAGGCTTAATCAATGATAGCTAGTATTATTAGTAGTATTTGGCCTTTTTTCTTTGTTCTTTCTTCATTTTTTTCCTTTTCAAACTATGGTTGTAAAGCATCCACCTTTTGAAAGTTTGCCTTTCTGCCCTTTCACGCTGATAAGTACCTCAGTTTCCAATAAACTTTTGTTCAGGGGCAAACATTTACAATGTTGACATCTCTTCACACCACCAAAAATATTCATGGAGAATTATTTTATCTAAAGCTGTCTTTTTAATAATAAAATAGCCACCTCTACCTTCTTCATAAACTTTTAAGATGAATTGGTAATTCATCATAGCAAGGTTGATTTTAGAAACTAAAGTTGCATTAATTCATTAAATACACTGAAAGTAATTTTGTATGCTTGGTCACAAAGAAAATATAAAAACAATTTTATAAATAGATTTGCAGTTATTTTCTTTCAATATTTTCTTAGTGCCTATGATTACACAATACCACCTATGGAGAAAGCTGTTGTGAAAACGGACATTCAGATAGCGCTCCCTTCTGGGTGTTATGGAAGAGTGGGTAAGTCATTTAAGAAACAGGTAACTATTTGTCAAGTTCTCCTTTGTGATAGATTCTTCATGTTTCATTTGGGGTAATAAGCAGGCAATATTGCTTGGGCTGTGTCCTAAAAGAAGCACCATTTGTGATAGCAAATGCACTCTTTGAAAGGCTTTATTTACATCTCTGCTTTGCCTCTTTTTGACCCTTTTATTTTTCTCCTTCCTCACTGGAGCTTTTAGGCTCACACTGGCCTAGAAGGCTGTTCTCAGAACATGGCATTTTATATTATGAGAGTAAAACTTCTGACCTGTTGGTCCCAGAATGTGTAAGCCTACTTAACCTTTTCTTGTTTGGCCATGGGGTTAGGGTAAGGGATACTCTTCAGTGTTGTAGAGGCACTGGGAGGAGCTAGGACAAAATGGAGTACACGTCAACAGGTTTGATTTTTCTGGAGCGGATCAGTTGTTACCAGACAGTTCTTTGCAAGAGCGTAAGTTCTTTTTGACTAACTTCAGAGTAAACATAAAGGAGGCAATGGAGCTGTGACGCCCTCCTCCAGGGAAAGGAGCTAGACTGGCACTATATTATTAGCCATGAGTGAGGAAACTGCCAGTACTTCAGCCCTTAAAAGATAACAAGATGGGCTCTCATCTCATCTCTTGAGCATCATTGACTCCATTTTTTAGAATTTTTTCAGGGGAAGGGGCAGGAGATGGAGTGAAATAAAGGTTAGTACAGAAAGAGGCAGCATTATTGACAAAGTGCCTGATTTAAATTATTCTAAAATAAAATGCTGGAAGTTAGGATAATTAATTATAGGCCTGATGCTTGAGTCTGCAATAATAAGGTGTAACCTTAGCTTTTTATTTTTTTCATTTTTTAGGATTAAAAAGTATACTAGCATTGAATCATTGAGACTTAGTTTTTGGCATTTTTACTTAACTGATATTAGCCCATTTATCTTACTCTGGTTCATGTGTTTCCTACAGGCATGTCTTTTGGCATCTGAATCATGAATAGTGGGGTCCCAAGTTGTAGGCTATGGTCTGCTACTATTTGGTTAGGTTTGTTTCCCTCTCCCTTCCTCTTCCTTTCCCTTCCCATCTGCATTGTACATGTTGTGGTGTCCCATCTTAAAACCAAAGTCTTCTTCCTCAGTAGTGTGTTCCTGCTGGCCATACTTCTCTTTCTTCCCCTTTGAGGCTTAACTTCTTGAAAGAGCAGCCTACAGTTGTTCCCGCTTGCTCACCTTTCAGCTCATTCTAGCAGTCCTTCTCCCCTGTCTGCAGCACCACAAATTCTGACTGAAGTCACATGGGAGTGGTTTAAGTTAGTTTTGAATTAAAACCTTGTGGAATTTTTCTAAACTAGTCTTTCCAACTTTGGTAATGCAGTATGATGAATATATATTCTTTAATTCAAAACCATGTGCTAAAGTTAAGATGAAGATATAGATATTATAGGTGAAGAGAATGACATGCTTAAATTGCATCAGTTATCTCTGATATAGCCCTTCCCCCTTAAAATAACCAATGTCTCCTTTTTTGTTTTTTAGCTCCACGGTCAGGCTTGGCTGCAAAACACTTTATTGATGTAGGAGGTAATATATTTCCTTTTTTATTCTGTAAATGTTTGCAAGTATTTACTTTGTCTTTAAAAGGTAATATTCAAATGACAGATTTTATTTTTAAGAAAAGAAAATGATTAGAGGAAAGCTTGTTATAATAGGAGGAAAAGCTTTGTGGTTATTTTAAGTAATTATATTTTGTTTAACTACTAACTTAATTTTTAAAATAATGATTACCTAATTAATAATGACAGATTTAATGATATAATAATTAAGTAATTATTTAAGCAACAAAAGTTCTAGAAAACACAGGTCTATCTTGTAAGAATTTTCTTCATAAGAGAGCTATCTGTCTTTAGCAAAATTTAAGAAGAAAATCTTTCCCTGAAGTCAGGAGAGAAAACACTTTTCTCTAAATTTGTTAAGACAGTCCTCTGTGTTACCTGTTTCCCTTATAATAAAGCCTTTCTCATGTTTGTCTCAAAGTTAACCCTACCTCATGTGGTACCTTTCATGAAGAACCCTCAGTGTCCTCTGCTAACTACTCTTGATACAGAGCTACTCCTCTTATTGTAAGGAAATTTCTACTTTCCTGATGTGGTTTCCTTGTTTCAGGTCCGCTCCAACTGGGATTCAGACCCCACTTATGTGGTCCTTACATACTGACCCTTTATCCCATCAGTAGTGAATCTTTCACTTAACAAGATACCTTGGCCCCCACATAAGTAGGTGTGCTAGATCTCCTCCTCCACCCGTTTTTACAGAGCTGCTTTATGGAGGCTTGTTAACAGATCAGGAAAACTGGCTTAGAAATGAGCCCACATGGATATGTGGTAAAAACTGGAGTCTCTGTGTGATTCCAGCCTCCTTGTTCTTTCCACTGCAATTAATTGTGGAGATTACCCTGCTGCATCCCCCTCACCAACTAAACACGTCCAGAATTAGCTCACTTTTATGTGCCACTGCAAGGGCTAACTAAGCACTTAATGAAACCTGGCTATCCTAGACCTGCCCCTTAGTCTAACATTTGGTGGGTGTGGTGTCTCTCCATAGTGTCACCAGGTGGTGCTGTGGGACAAGACAGGACCCCAAAAGTACACCCTTTAGGGACTAAAGGGGAGCTGAGTTTTACATAGCAGGGTGGACATTGACAGCCCACTCTTGGGTTGAGGATTCCTTGGGCTCTGTAAGTTATGCCCGATGTTCAAAAATGCTTTTACAAGGTCAACTGTGGTCATTTTGGGACAGTAACTTAAGGATATAAATAATTGTATATATTTTCAATGAAGTTTCAAATGATTGTTCAAGGAACGGGAGCTTTGGAATAACAACTGGATGTAGGTCCCAGCTCTGTCATTAACTAGTTATTACTTAACCTTTCTGAGCCTGTTTCCTCATTTTACAATGGAAATTAGTGTGCCTGCCTCTAGAGGTAGGAGGATTAAATGATAATGTGTATGAAATACCTAATATAGTACTTGGCACATATTAGATTCTGTGAGATATAATTTCTGTCCTTAGGGACTTCACAGATTGTTTTTATGTGGAAACTTTTTCTTTTATTCGACTTTGTTACTAATTTTTGCTCTGTTTAAAACAACTTTCTGGAAAAAAATTCATGTAAAAGAATGGAAAGTTAGTTTGCCTAGTGGTTGGTATGGTGTTATTCATAAAATCACATTGTGGTGTGTTCTTGGATGCAGAGAATCTTAACAATCTCCCTTAGGCACAAGTTTATCATAGTTGGCAACAGTTTTTATTTCTGAAGAGAGATGTTGTTAGAAATCCCAGGCTCTAAATAAGGGTCAAAGGGAAAAGTTGAGCATTCAGGATTCTGTTCAGAATTCACATCTGGTAGGTGTGGATAGTTTTTCACTAAAAAAGGTTTCCAACAAATGACATGCCAAACTCTTGACACAGTAAAACTTTTGCCTGAAGTCAGTTAATCACTCTGCCAGTTCCAATGCATGATTTTTCCAGTGATAACTTCAAGTTACTTTCTGCTTTCTCTGAGGAGAAATATCCCTGATACTTATATCCTGTAGGCAGAGAAGGCTTTTCTTGGAGGTCGAATGGCAATTGGGTGGTAAATGAATTTGGAACTACTGAAATTTTTATACCGTCAACATTCATGCAAAAAAAAAAACTATTGAGGGCCTTTTTTTCTGCCATACATTTGAATTGACTTCAAACTTCTTAATTTCTTTTAGTCACTTAAAGGTTTTTCACATTTTCGTGGCCCAAGCATAAAGATCACCTATCTGCAGGATTCAAGACACCCAATCATTTGAGTAGTTCTGATAGGACTGCTTTACAGATACGTTAGCAGAGGCCTTTCAAAAAGGGAGTGTTTTTGTATGTTAGAAGATACTATAAAGCCAACAAGCAAATATTTGCAACTTATATGAAAAAGAACAAATGAGAAAAAAACATACACAAAATATAGACAAGGACATGCAAATGTCCAACAAATGGGAGGAAAAAAATCCAGCCTCACTAGTCATCAGGGAATGAAAAGTAAGGCAATGAGATAGCCATTTTGTACTCATCATATTGGCCAGAATGTAAGAGATTGTTGCCATCAAATATTGGCAAGGATTTTGGAAATGGGCATTCTCAAATATTGCTGATGGAAGTTTGAGTGGCTACACCTTTTTTGCAACCTATTTGATGAAAATAAAAAGCATTCATATACAAGGATATACTTAAAGGGCTGCTTCATTTATTATAGCAAAATGTAAAAGCAGCCTGTGTCTGATATTATGCAAGAGAATAGTTACATAGAAACAATGGTACAGGTTGGGCGTTGTGGCTCATGCCTGTAATCCCAGCACTTTGGGAGGCTGAGACAGGCAGATTGCTTGAGCCCAGGAGTTTGAGGCTTATTTGAGCAACATAGGGATACTTTCTCTCTACAAGAAATACAAAAATTAGCCAGGTGTGGTGGTGCCTTTGTACCTGGAGGCTGAGGTGGGAGAATCACTTGAGGTTGAGGCTATAGTGAGTTGTGATCATACCACTATACTCCTGCCTGGGCTATAAGAGTGAGACCCTGCCAAAAAAAGAAAGAGAAGGAGAGAGAGAACCCATATTTCCATATCTTGTATCTAAAAAGAATGGCTAACATTTACATATATTAATCTCAAAGGATAAAAAGAAAAAAATAAAGTAGTATGTAAGATATATTTCTGTAACATTAGCTATCTCAGGGAGGGTAAGAGAATATTATAAGCTTTTACTTTATATGTATTTGTATTGTTTTAGTTATTTAAAAATTTTTGAATAAAGTAGAAACAATAGTTCAGAAGTCAGTCCATGTCTTTCTCTAACTCATTCAAGATAGATGAATTATTAGCTTGTACCTCAAAATCTCCCAGCATGGAAGTTCTCTAGCCTACTGTGGCCATTTTTTCTAGCATGGAACAACATGCTATGTTGAGGGATTTCTTCATTAAATCTAATTTAAATTGTCCCTGCAGTCAAAATTTTTTCCATATAGATAATATGGAAAACAGCTGGTTTCATCTTTATATCAAATTTTTTCATAAATATTAAGGTGTAAATTAATGGTCAACTGACGGTGGAGAAATAAAGCAGGGTTTGGTATTGGAATTGGTCAAGTTCAATAATGGATTGTTTCCTTCAGGCCCGACAGGAGATGAACTGCCTTTGCTGCTTTTCTGCCCAGTTTTATACTCACTCTTCTCGTAAAAGTGTTGCATCAGGAACCTTTTAAGAAGTGCTTAAATTCAGATTCACTTGTCCCTAGTAATTCATTCATAAAGCACAGGGGTTCATTTAAACGTATGTTGTAATCCATTCGGAAAATCTAAAATGTTGTTTTTGCTGAATATTTTTCCCCGTGGTGGACCTAAGGGTTTGCTTTTTTCCCCCCATTATATGAGAAAATTGAAAGGATATGCTTAGGAATTACCCTTGTTCTTAAAAAATGGGGGGTGGGTATGCTTTGGGGTTTTTTTGTCTGTTTTCTCAGCTTTCAAATAATGAGGAGTATGGGCAAATAGCATTACTGCCCATTGAGCTGAACACAGGATTATTTTTATTTCCATATTTTTTCCTTCATCAGGGCTTTTGTTTGGGGTAGAGTATTAATAACAAGTAAGATGTGACATGGAGCTGTCTTCAGTTAGATTCACGTGAGTCTTATCCAGCCTTTCACAAACTGAGGAGAAAGAATTAACGTGTATAGCAGGAAATTGGGGGTGGGAGGAGGAAGGGGAGTGACTGCTAATAAGGTAGGGGATTTTTGGAGGGAGGGTAATGTAAATGTGCTATAATTGACTGTGACGATAGTTGGCCAACTCTGATACACTATGAACTGTGGAATTGTAACACTTCAAATGGATAAATTGTATGCTTTGTGAATTATTTATCAATATAAAAAAATGAAAAGGCCCGGTGCACCTGTATTATCTGTGCTTGTGCTTATGGAAATATTTTAAATTATTGGCTCAAAGATAAATGCTAGCAAGTCTGGTAAGTATAACTCTCTGGGCTATGTCAGGGACCTGGCTCAAGTCTCCCCTGCAAAGATCTTCTCCCCCTGTGTTCATAATCTTAAACAAGTATTAATTACACAAAAAAAGTTGTACTCATGAAGCCTATGTGCTACAGTCTTCTGAGAAACCATGCTCTAAGAAAGGATGGTGGTTCAGATTAAAAGGAGAGGAAGATTATGAACTGAAAAATACAGCTTCATTTTTAGTGTAAAAATGGAATATTCTAATATTTGCAAGACTGCTGCTTAACAATGTCAGCGTTGATTTACTCCACTGCAGAGCTTTAGGCTTTTTGACATTTTTATTTATGACTCAATCGTATTTCAATCTGGGTATTAGCGGGAAGCTGATACCAGGAAAAACCTTTAAAACCCAAATCGTAATTTTCTCCTAGTCTTTTTGGCAAGTGTGCCGTGGGTAGACAGTAGGTTGGAGATGGCCATTGCTACTGCCAGCTTAAAATAGGAAATGGTCGCCATTTGATAAAGAGTGACAGGTTGGAAAATTAGGACCTGTTTTCTAAATTTTTATTTGTATTTTAGTAATGTCATTTCTTGGTTTTGAGGCTTTACATAGTACCAGGGCAAGATTCACTTATTCAATTGTAAGAATACAAATCTCAGAGCTACATGATAATGATTTTGAGATAATCTTACACCTCTAGTATTCCAATAGCAAAAATTGAGATAATATTACTTTTCTTTTCTCTAGCTGGTGTCATAGATGAAGATTATAGAGGAAATGTTGGTGTTGTACTGTTTAATTTTGGCAAAGAAAAGTTTGAAGGTATGTTAAATATATACATTCACATAATTTTAGTGAATTTTCAGAGTCATGTATGTGTAAATTAATATTGACTCCTTTAATTCTCATTGAATAAGACAGGATATGGCGAATGTGTCAGTAACGTCAGTAATAAACTATTCTTTCTTTGAAGTCAAAAAAGGTGATCGAATTGCACAGCTCATTTGCGAACGGATTTTTTATCCAGAAATAGAAGAAGTTCAAGTAAGTATTACAAAGGAAGATACAGAATAAGTAATATAACATCTTAAGTGAAGAAATATATATAATCTTGAGAATTTAATATGCTGTTTGTAACTAAATAGTATATATGACTAAACTTATTTTAAGCAAATTTAAAATACTAGTTTTAGAATTTCTTTAAATGTTTTTCATGTAGCTATTATGTAGTATTACTTTGGATAATAAGTTATTTAAACATACTGTGAACTTCTAATATTTTATTAGAATTTTTTAAAGTTATCCAGTATTCTAATTTATGGAGCTTTTTAGAATTTAATTTTCTTTCTGTAATCTCCCTTTTGAAAAGATGATATAGCAAGAGTAGAATTCTGGCTGTATTTTTCTTAGGAGCTGGAGAGGAAAACTGAAAGAGGCTCTTAAAAAAAACTGTGAAGCTTACTACCTTTCTATCTTTCAGGCCTTGGATGACACCGAAAGGGGTTCAGGAGGTTTTGGTTCCACTGGAAAGAATTAAAATTTATGCCAAGAACAGAAAACAAGAAGTCATACCTTTTTCTTAAAAAAAAAAAAAAAGTTTTTGCTTCAAGTGTTTTGGTGTTTTGCACTTCTGTAAACTTACTAGCTTTACCTTCTAAAAGTACTGCATTTTTTACTTTTTTTTATGATCAAGGAAAAGATCATTAAAAAAAAACACAAAGAAGTTTTTCTTTGTGTTTGGATCAAAAAGAAACTTTGTTTTTCCGCAATTGAAGGTTGTATGTAAATCTGCTTTGTGGTGACCTGATGTAAACAGTGTCTTCTTAAAATCAAATGTAAATCAATTACAGATTAAAAAAAAAAGCCTGTATTTAACTCATATGATCTCCCTTCAGCAACTTATTTTGCTTTAATTGCTTTAAATCTTAAGCAATATTTTTTATTCAGTAAACAAATTCTTTCACAAGGTACAAAATCTTGCATAAGCTGAACTAAAATAAAAATGAAAAGGAGAGATTAAAGGTATTCCTTGTTCTTCCCTTCTCTTCACTAGTCTAAAAACTTCTTTTTAATCTTAAGATTCTTTGTGATGAGGGTGAGAAAAAGAATCCTCAGTTTATTTTTCCACTATTAATCTTTCTTTTGATAAATCCTCTATTGACTGGGTAGAGGTATGTTTGTGAAAGACATGTAACTTGGGGATTTGTTACTTTAGGTTTGTTCCCTTGAATTTCATCTCATCAGGCAAATTGTACTAGTTGTAGTTACGAGTTTTCCCTCAGTGAAGTAGCAATAGGCTGTAATCAAGAAAATATGCCATTTATAGAGATAAGATAAATGAAATAATACTTCAGCCACCAGGTTTTTCTGTCTCACATACATAAGCAGCATTTCATTGCAGATATGGGACTGATTCTGTGGCTTACCTTGATTAACATCTTTTGGAAGTTTTGCTAGTGTGCTTTCCTTTCTTTACTATGTTTCTCAGATTCCTTTGTATCAGGGTTTTGGGTGTCACTTAGGTTTTGTCCATCAGATTCTGTGAGACACCAGGCATCGTTTTGAGGATGTGGGTTATACACATGGAGTGCTTCTGGAACTATCAGCCCACTTGACCACCCAGTTTGTGGAAGCACAGGCAAGAGTGTTCTTTTCTGGTGATTCTCCAGGCCATTTAATACCCTGCAATGTAATTGTCCCTCTGTGGCTCACATTTCATTAGTGAGCCATGAAATCAACTCAGTGGGACATAGCCAGCATTTTTGCATACCAGGTTGGGCTATAAAATATTTCTGTTGTCAATAAATTTTAAATGTTTTCCTGCTAAACTAACCAGAATGAATTCTGTTTTGTGCAACTAAACTGTGATCAATACCGAGTAACAGTTGAGTAAGAACAAACAGTATTACATGGCTACCGAGAAATATGGTCTTAGTTTACACTGTTAATGTCAGTTACCTCTTACAGAAAGTCTGCTGTAACAGGCACTTCATAAACACCTGGTTTTTTACTCATACTGTGAGAGAGTAGGTAAAACCCATTGTACAGAATGCAGAAATGGGCTCAGAGAGGTTTAGTAACCTGTATAACATTTCAGCTATGATGATCACTGTCTTTGTTTTGTGCTGCTATACCTGAGATGGTAATTTACAGAGAATGGAAATTTATTCTCAGTTTTGGAGGCTGGGAAGTCCAAGATGGTGCCTCATTGCTATGTCCTCCAGAGAGGAGGAATGTCATATCCTCACATGGCAGAAGACTAGAAAAGAGCCACTCCCACAAGCCCATTTTATAAGGGCACTATAATGCATTCATGAGGGCTCAGTCCTTAGGACTTAAACACTTCCCGTTAGGCGCTGCCTCCCAATACTGTTGCATTCGAGACTAAGTTCCCAGCATGAATTTTGGGGGACACATTGAGACCACACCAGTGACTTAAAATGCAGGCCCTTATGCCTTCAAGTCCATATGTGCAGTATCTTCAGCCTCTTCCAAGTGGTAGAGGTAGAGAATGTAGAGAAGAGAGAGTTTAATTTCTTCATACCCGGAATGTTTCCATCTGTGTACCATGCTTAAAGGAACATGCTCAGATATGAAGCTGCTCGGGAAATTAGAGATTTGGAGTATGTCCATGGGGTTAGGTGAAAGACCCAGGATGTTTTGTTTAGAGAAGAAATGTATCGGGAATGGGAGGAATATGGGGGAAGAAGTGGCTATTGAAAGTCCCTGGGATATGATAGATGTCCTTAGATTAAACACTTAGATGGGGCTGGGCACGGTGGCTCACGCCTGTAATCCCAGCACTTTTGGGAGGCCAAGGTGGGTGGATCACTTGAGGTCAGGAGTTTGAGACCAGCCTGGCCAACATGGTGAAACCCCATCTCTACTAAAAATACAAAAATTAGCTGGGGATAGTGGCACGCGCCTGTAACCCCAGCTACTTGGGAGGCCAAGGCAGGAGAATTGCTTGAACCCAGAAGGCAGGGTTGCAGTGAGCCGAGATCACACCACTACACTCCAGGCTAGGCGACAAAGCAAGACTCTGTCTCCAAAAAGGACTCAGATGGAATTAGCCTTGTCACATATGACTTGAGGGACCAGAAATAGGATTAGAGGACTTAATCTATAGGAAGATGGTGGCATAGGGGCGGACTCATAGAACTTCCCTGAAATAGCAAAATTAATAAAATGAAATAAAAGCAAAATATATGCCATATAAAAGAAAATAACGTAATGGGATTATTGGAGACTCATTTTTCTGTGTTATTTCTATAAAGTTTGATTATAGTATTTTTACTGGGTGAAATGTAAAATTTAGAAAAGCATACAAAGCAAGTTTACAGTATAGTGAATAACTACAAAATAAGAACATCTGAATAACCATTACCAAAGTGACCAAGCAGAATATTGCCAGGAGTACATTCCTTCTCAATCATACGCCACCTGTAGGGGTATCCATTCTTTTGACACTTAATTTCCTTTTCCTTAAAGTTTGCAACCTAATCAAGCCTAAGTTTCGCTTTGCCTGGTTTTGAACTTTATCAATGTACTCATTAATTCTTGGGTCTTGCTTCCTTTCCTTAACATTGAGATTTTATCCATGTTTCATATAGCTGTAGTTCATTTATTTTATTACCTTACAGTGTTCTGTTGTATTAATGCACCACAACCTTGCCAACCGAACTTGGTCATGCTGTATTATTGTTATTGCTAAACTTGGTTTTCTAATATTTTGTTTAGGGTCTTCTTTTTTATCAATGTTCACAGGAGAGATTGGCCTATAATTTTTCCCTTGTCACATTGTATTTGTCAGCTTTTGGTACCAAAATTATGCTACTTTCATAATGTGAACTGAGGAATATTCTTTCTCTCTCTTCGAATCCCCTGTGTTCCTCCCCTCTCCTCCCCTCCCCTCCCATCCTTTCTTTTCTCCTTTCTCCTTCCCTCCCCTCCCCTCTCCTACCTCCAGCACCTCTACAGTTTCTGGCTTTTCTTGTAACAGTTTAAAGAGTCAGTTGTCAATCAAGCTCTAGACAGGTTATGTGCCTTTTTTCCTCTGGTTGGTTTTAAGATTATGTGTTTGTATATGTCTTTGGTTTAGTGTAGTTGCACAACTAGGGAATAGATTACTGTTTATCTTTTGGGGATTCACTGAGTCTCTTAATCTGTGTATTGATATCTTTCATCAGTTCTGGAAAATCTCAGCATCTCTATCTCTGCATGTTTTATTATAATATTCTGAAATGTCTGCTCAAATTACAGTTATAGTTGCTTATTCTCAATTAAGTTAAAACCACTTCTTTTTATAGCAGTTTTAGGTTCACAGCAAAATTGAAAGAAAGTGCAAAGATATCCCATATACACCCTCCTCACACACGTGCACAGCCCCCTCCATTATCAGCATCCCCCACCAGGGTGGTATATTTGTTACAATTGATGAACGTACGTTGACGTATCATTTTTACCCAAAGTCTGTAGTTACATTTGGGTTCACTTTTGCTGTTGTACGTTCTATGGGTTTGGACACATTTATAATGACATGTGTTCATCTTTATTGTATCACACAGCACATTTTCACTGCCCTAGAAATCCTCTGTGCTTCATCTATTCTGCTCTTCTGACCCATGCCTGCCTACCCCTCGCTTAGCACACTTAAGCAACCACTGGTCTTTGTACTGTCTTCATAGTTTTGCCTTTTCCAGAGTCTTACATAGTTGGAATCATAGGATACAGCTTTTTCAGATTGGCTTCTTTCATTAATGTGCATTTCCATTTCTCCTGTTATTTTCTAGGAGTTTTACAGTTTCACATTTTACATTTAGTTCTGATCCATTTTGAATTTTTTTTTATGATCTTTTAATTTTTGAATTGTAAGGGTTTTTATTCTGGATTAAAGTCCAGGATCAGGTATATGATTTGCAAATATTTTCATTTATTATTTGAGTGTCCTTTCACTTTCATGATGGTGTCAAGAAACACAAATTTTTAAAATTCTGATTAGGTCCAAGTTATCTTTTTAATGTTGTTTGTGCTTCTGATGTCATATATTACATAATGCAAGGTCATAAAGATTTTACACCTAATTTTCTTCCAAGAGTTTTATAGTTTTAGCTTTTACATTTGGGGCTTTGATCCATTTTGACTTGACTTGGGTATGTGGTGTGAGATAGAGGTCTAACTTCATTCTTTGGCATGTGGATATTCAGTTATTCCAGCATTTGTTGAAAAGACTATTTCCCCATCTAATTGTTTTGGCATCCTTGTTGAAAATCAATTGACCATAAATATAAGGACCAATTTCTGAATTCTCAAGTCTGTTACATTGATCTTTATTTGTTAGTCTTTATGCCAGTATCACACTGCCTTGAGTACTATAGCTTCTATGAAGTTTTGAAATTAGGCATCCTCTCTCTCTCTCTCTCTTTTTTTTTTTTTTTTTTTTTTTTTTTGAGATGTAGTTTCGCTCTTGTTGCCCAGGCTGGAGTGTAATGGCATGATCTCAGCTCACTGCAACCTCCACCTCCCTGGTTCAAGCGATTCTCCTGCCTCAGCCTCCCGAGTAGCTGGGATTGTCACCACGCCCGACTAATTGTTTGCATTTTTAGTAGAGACGGGTCTTCACCATGATGGCCAGGCTGGTCTTGAACTCCTGACCTCAGGTGATCCACCCGCCTCGGCCTCCCAGAGTGCTGGGATTACAGGCATGAGCCACTGTGCCTGGCCTAGGCATCCTCTCTGTGTCTCTCTGTATATGTGTCCATATTTCCCTCTTCCTCAATGTAGTATGACCTCATCTTGATTACATCTGCCAAGCCCATATTTCCAATAAGATCACATTTACAAGTACTGGAAGTTAGGACTTCAACATATCTTTTTAGGGGACACATTTCTACCCACTACAGATATAATTAATAGTATTTTTCCTCTCTTGTGATGTCTTTGTTTTTGGCATTAGGACCTCATAGAATGAGATGGAACGTTTTCCCTCTTATGTTTTTAAGTTTGTGAAGATTGTTTGAATTCTTTAAAGGTTTGAAATTTACCAGTGAAACCATCTGCATCTGCACATTTCTTTGTAGAAAGCTTCGATTACTAATTAAGTGTATTTAATTGTTATTGGTCTGTCCAGATTTTCTATTTCTTCTTGAGTTTGTTTTGGTAGTTTATTAGGGCTCTCTCAGAGGGACAGAACTAATAGGATGGATATATATATATATATATATAGGTGAGTTTATTAAATAGTAACTTACACGATCACAAGGTTCCACAATAGGTTGTCTGCAAGCTGAGGAGCAAGGAGAGCCAATCCGGGTTCTAGGGCAAGAAGCATCCTACATGGAATAAAGATGTAGGTGCGGAGGCTAGGCCCATCTTTCCTTTTTCACATTTTTCTGCCTGCTTTATATTTGCTGGAAGCTGACTAGATTGTGCCCACCGGATTAAGGGTGGATTTGCCTTCCCCAGCCCACTGACTCAAATGTTAATCTCTTTTGGCAACACCCACACAGACACACCCAGGATTAATACTTTGTATCCCTCAATCCAATCAAGTTGACACTCAGTATTAACCATCACAGGTAGTTTGTGTCTTTTTAGAAATTTCTCCATTTCATCTAGGTTATCTAATTTCTTGGCATACGCTTGTTGATAGTGTTCTTATAATCCTTTTTATTTATTTCCTTTTTTTTTTTTTTTTTTTTTGAGACAGAGTCTCGCTCTGTTGCCAGGCTGGAGTGCAGTGGCGTAATCTCAGTTCACTGCAATCTCTGCCTCCTGGGTTCAAGCGATTCCCCTGCCTCAGCCTCCTGAATAGTTGGGACCACAGGCATGTGCCACCATGCCCGGCTAATTTTTTTTTTTTCTTGTATTTTAGTAGAGATGCGGTTTCACCATATTGGCCAGCATGGTCTCGATCTTCTGACCTCAGGTGATCCACCTGCCTTGGCCTCCCTAAGTGCTGGGGTTACAAGCGTGAGCTACTCCACCCTGCCAATCCTTTTTATTTCTACAAGGTCAATAGCAATGTACGTCTTTCATTCCTGATTTTAGTAATCTGAGTCTTCTCTCTTTTATTCTTGGTTAGTCAAGATAAAGATTCATTACTTTTATTGATATTTTCAAGAATCAAAAGTGGTTTTGATTTTTCTGCTTTTTATATTCTCTACTTCATTTATTGCCACTCTGATTTATATTATTTTCTTTCTCATTGCTTTAGTTTTAGTTTGCTTTTCATTTTCTAGTTTCTTAAGGTAGAGGATTAGATTATTAAATTGAGATTTTTCTTTTCTTTTTAAATATGGGCCTTTACAGTTATAAGTAAGAAGTAAAAAAGAAAATAAACTGGTTTTCTAGGAGGTGGAAGCCTTATGCTAATGAGGCTTGGTTCCTGAGCTCATTGAGCTTTGCATTCCCATTTGCTAGATTCCTGCTGGGGGCAAAGGGAGACCAGGGAAGTGTCTTTTTCTAAAGGCAAGTTCTTCTGCACTAGAAAGGAAACCAAAGTTATTTACTTATGGCCAAGGAGAAGACCTTATGATTTTCAGATTAACTAATAATTGAATAGTAGTAACCATTTTGCCAGTCTTAGTAATTTCCCAGCAGAAATCAGGCAGTTGTCTTCTTTCTTGACAGTCTGCCTCACTCACTAATGATGCCCACTGTTCATTCCTGTCCTTGGTGCTATATGTACATCAGAAGAGAAATAACAGGAAGTCTTCTAAAGATGAATCTGATGCTCCATCAATTAATTGACTTCAGTGGGGCTATTTGCAGAGGAAGCAACATAGTATTATTTAAACAGTTGGCTTGGCTGGGCAAGGAGGCCAGGGCCTGAGATCTGAGTTTCATAGCACCTTCCCTTCACAGTACTATACTTCCTGGCCATTTCCATCCCACCTTGCAGGAAATTGGTACCTCAACTTCTTTTTCATCTTTTCATATTTTATCAATGGAAGAATAGGGTAGGCTGGAGGGCCAAGATATGCAGACACCTGGAGTGTTGTGAAGCGAGTACATGAGAGATTGGGGTTAATGGGCCTTGAACATAACTGGCAAAATTAAATGAGTATTGAATAGTCCAAGTAGTCACATAGAAAGCATTCTCAGCAGAACTCCTACCCCAATCCCCTTGTGTTGACTGTCTGTTGACTGTCCCCAGACCACCTATGTCTTACTTGCCCTTCTTTCCCCCTGCGTCTTCACCTCCAGCAGGGCTCCCTGGTAGGACGGTACCAATAGTTCATACTATCTATGCCATCCAGCTTCCTTTCTCTCCCTACTGTTTATTTCTACTACATACCCTAAGGTAGTGGGGATCGCCTATCAGTTACCAGAACTGCAGATTACATAGGATAAAAGTAACTCACGAATGGAAAACCAAACATCGTATGTTCTCACTGATATGTGGGAGCTAAGCTATGAGGACGCAAAAGCAGTAGAATGATACAATGGACTTTGGGGACTCGGGGGGAAGAGTGGGAGCAGGGAGAGGGATAAAAGACTCTACACTACAGAGGGTGCAGCGTATACTGCTCGGGTAATGGGTGCACCAAAATATCACAAATCACCACTAAAGAACTTACTCATGTAACCAAATACCACCTGTACCCAAATAACATATGGACAAATAAAATAAAAAAATTTAAAAATCATATGGGCCAAAATTCAATTATAAGATGGTCAGCCCTCTGTATCTACGGGTTTTGTGTCTGTGAATTCAACCAACCATGGATCAAAAATATTTGAAAAAAGAAATAGGTGGTGTGCCTGTACTAAACGTGCAGACTTTTTTTCCTCTTGTTATTCTTGCCTAACCAATACAGCATAACAACTTTTTGCATAGCATTTACATTGTATTGGGTATTATAAGTAATCTGGAAATGATTTAAAGTATACAGGAGGATATGCATAGGTTCTATGAATATGACACAATTTTATATAAGGTACTTGAGCATTCTAGGATTTTGGTATCTGCAGGGGGCAGAGAGATCTCCCGGAACCAATCCCCAGTGGATACTGAGGGACCACTGTATTAGCAGTAATATTTATAGATTCACAGAATATCTCCGGACATAGAGAAAACTTTACACACAAAATCCATGCTAACAAGCATGTGAACATTCTAGTAAAGATAATAGTATAATTCTTGATCAAGCATTTAAAACCATTTCATCTTCCATTCATTAATGTAAAATATATAGTTTTATTGGTAACTGACCTAGTCCTTTTATTTTTATTTATTTATTTGTTTATTTATTTATTTGAGACAGAGTCTCACTCTGTCGCCCAGGCTGGAGTGCAGTGGTGTGATCTCGGCTCACTGCAACCTCGGCCTCCTGGGTTCACATGATTCTCCTGGAGAATTACAGGCACCCGCCACCATGCCCAGCTAATTTTTGTATTTTTAATGGAGACTGAGTTTCACCATGTTGGCTAGGCTGGTCTTGAACTCCTGACCTCAGGTGATCCACCCGCCTCGGCCTCCCAGAGTGCTAGGATTACAGGTGTGAGCCACCATGCCAGGCTGACCTGGTCCTTTTAGCTGAGAAATACCATCTAGTATTATCATCCTAAGAAGAGAGCTGAAATGGGGAGGAGTAACTTCTCAAAAGGGAAGATAAAATGCCTTTTGTGAAAAGATGCTTCTCCACTGGAGATGGGTATGTAAGCAATGTTTTGATGTTGCTCTTTTTCTTACTGAAAAGGGAATGAAAAAATGGAAAAGAAATTATAACTGAAACAAATTTTCACTGGAAGAATTATCTCAAGAAGCATATGATTAAAAAATATTAAAAAGTCTTTCATGGCAACTAAACACATTTAAGTTGGGAAGATTCTAAAAGATCCAGGATATCTCATAAAGAGGATATCTCATAAAGAAAAAGTCTAATAACTACGAGAGCAAGATTAGAGAGAAGAGTTAAGATTAACAAACTACCGGCCGGGCGCGGTGTCTCACGCCTGCAATCCCAGCACTTTGGGAGGCCAAGGCAGGCAGATCACGAGGTCAGGAGATTGAGACCGTCCTGGCTAACACGGTGAAACCCTGTCTCTACTAAAGATACAAAAAATTAGCCAGTGTGGTAGTGGGCACCTGTAGTCCCAGCTACTCGGGAGACTGAGGCAGGAGAATGGCGTGAACCCGGGAAGCGGAGCTTGCAGTGAGCCGAGATCGTGCCACTGGCACTCCAGCCTGGGCGACAGTGAGACTCCGTCTCAAAAAAAAAAAAGATTACCAAATTACCAAATTATGTCTAGGTTTGATCATATGTTTTCAAAATGGGTTTACCTATGAGTAAAGAAACTTCTAGGAGAATATATATCAAAATGATGATATCTTTGGCTGTTGGAATTGTAGGTAATTTTTTCCTTTTTGCATGATCTATATTTTAACTTTTTTTTTTTTTTTTTTTTTTTCTGATACGGAGTCTTGCTCTGTCGCCCAGAGCTGGAGTGCAATGGTGCGATCTCGGCTCACTGCAACCTCTGCCTCTTGGGTTCAAGCAATTCTCCTGCCTCAGCCTCCTGAGTAGCTGGGATTATAGGTGTGCGCCACTATGCCCAGCTAATTTTTTTTGTATTTTTAGAGAGACAGGGTTTCATCATGTTGGCCAGGCTGGTCTTGAACTCCTGACCTCATGGTCTGCCCATCTCAGCCTCCCAAAGTGCTGGGATTAATTACAGGCATGAGCCACTGCGCCCAGCCTATTTTAACATTTTTTAAACATGAAAACTATATTACTTGACTAAGAAACGATTAAAATTTTATTATAAAATACTTTTGTTAAATTTGTATTGCATTTACTGCTTTAACAAATACTTTTAATATTGAAAATATATGGGAACATTATAAATTACAAATTTTGAAGTAAAAAATGAGCCTGATCTAATGAAAAAAATAGTAACTTTGGGAGTTTTACATCTGAGTTTAAGCTCTGTTCTTTTACTAACTAAAATATCTTCAATAAATAAAGTAAACTTCCAGATCCTCAATTTTTATCATAAAATAAAGAGAGTCGGTCGGATAATCTCGGTAGTCTTCTCCCCCTCTCCCGTTTTACGAATCTTGAATAAGACCAGACTGTACAGCCGTGGCAAATTACTGCCACCTGGTGGCAGTTATCTAAGGTGAGCTAGCTGTATTTAAGGGATAGAATCACCATCATTCATGCATACTTGTGTTTGCCTAGCATCTATGTGCCAGGCAAGTGTCAGCATTATTGTTTATCCAATTTAGTGTTTTTCTAGATGATGTAGGTGAAACAACCAAGACATAAGCTGTGACATGCTAGCTGTGTGACCTTAAGGACATCATCTAACCTCTTGAGTCTGCCTTTCCATCTGAAAAATAAAGTTAATAATATCCACCTTACATTATTAGAAGACCTAGAGATGATAGGTGTAAAGTATCTTACACAGTCCATGGCAAAAGTATTTAGTCAATAAATGGTAGTAGTTATCCTTAGGAAGGTTACCATCTGTAGCAGGGGAAATAAGACAAATATAGGCATCTGTGCAAATATAGGTAGTGTGACATATATGATGTGCATGAAAATACAAAGAGGGCATGAGGTATATTCAAGAAATGGCAAAACCAAAGTTCCAATGGACTGGAGTATAAAGGACATGTAGGGAATTGTTGGTAACTCTTCTGGAATGGTAGGTTGCAGATCTGCTCTAGAGGGTCCTAAACGTCAAGGAGGCAATGGCCAGTCACAGAAGAGTTTTGGACTAAGAATAATATCACTAGAGCTGAGCTTCAGCAATACTGATATTAATCAAATGTCTGACAATGAGGTTAAGAAGCCAGGTAATGAGCACAGAGGATGGCAAAAGAAAGGTGGGTGGAGACCGAGCGTGGTGGCTCACATCTGTAATCAAAGCACCTCGGGAGACTGAGGTGGGCAAATTGCTTGTGCCCAGGAGTTCAAGACCAGCCTAAGCAACATAGCGAAACCTAGTCTCTAAAAAAATTAGCCAGGCATGATGGCTCACACTTGTAGTCCCAGCTACTCGGGAGGCTGAGAGATGGGAAGATCACTTAAGCCCAGGAAGTTGAGGATGCAGACCTTTGGTAATTACCCCAGGCAACGAGGCTGTTTTACAATGCGGCATAATCATGCCACTGCACTCCAGCCTGGGCAACAAAGTGAGACTCTGTCTCAAAAAAAAAAAAAAAAAAGAAAAAAAAGAAAAGAAAAGAAAGAAAGATGGAAGCCAGGTGCAGTGACTCACGCCTGTAATCCCAGCACTTTGGGAGGCAGAGGCGGGTGGATCACAAGGTCAGGAGATCGAGACCATCCTGGCCAACATGGCGAAACCCCGTCTCTACTAAAAATATAAAAATTAGCTGAGCGTGGTGGCGCATGCCTGTAATCCCAGCTACTTAGGAGGCTGAGGCAGGAGAATCGCTTGAACCAGGGAGTCGGAGCTTGCAGTGAGCCAAGATCACGCCACTGCACTCCACCCTGGCGACAGAGTGAGACTCCGTCTCAAAAAAGAAAGAAAGAAAGAAAGATGGGTAGGAATGACACTGAAAAACTGCAGAACTGCAATTGTGAGTGAATCTTTACAAATGAACTACCTGAGACAAAGGGAAACTAAGAAGTATTTGGTGTCAGGACACCAACCAGCCATAGCAGTTGTAGGACTAAACTCCAGGGTTCCTGGCCTGGGTCTAAAACCCTTTCCCCATCCATGAAAGGCATTAGCCCAAATTTCTACTGAGGTCTGAACCAAATATGAGTTTGGCCTTCGAATCACACATTGTTCAATACATAGGATAGTAACTCTTTGTGACTATTTTCTAATGTGCCATGGGCTAGAGAGGAAATACGACAAAATACTTTTCTACAAGGTCATTCACTTTGAGTATCAGAAAGAACATTCTACTTAGAATAAAATAAAATCCCAAGTGTGCCCATTTTAAAATCCCTGTGGGATTTATAATGGCTTAACTTTTAGTTGAGAAGAAATTTTTTTTTTTTCTGGCATCTTAGAGAAGCAGACAGAGAAGCAGAGGTGATGCTTTGACAAATAGTAGCATAGATCAGGATAAATGACAGGAAGCTCTCATAAAATATACTTCGATGAGAGCAAAGGCAAATAATGATATAATGCCCTGCAGCTACATGTTTGAAATGGAAATGTTTGGAATGAGGATGTTAGGGAAAATAATATTAGAAAAAGACTAATGCTGTATGAGGTTCCTGTCAGATGAGGAGTGTAGGATAATTGTGTAATAGTGAAATAATATGGTTTAGAAAAAAGAAGGTGCTGTTGACTGAGACTGTTTGATTATCATAGAAGAGATGAAACACTTTTTCATAGTCAGAAAAATCAATATACAGCCCAAGAAGAGAAGTCGTTTGATGATAAGGCAATAAAAACTTCAAAGGGCAAGTTAAAAATGTTTCCTAATTCATTTCAGCCTAAACTGATCCCTGCGCCCGTCTCACACTGTCCGCCAGCTCTTTTGCTGAAGTATGTTACCCTTTCTCCTTGGAATCATTACCCGGTCTCCTTGGAATGGAAACTGTGTCAGACTCCAGGGGTGAGTGGGAGGGAAAATGGTGCTCGCAGAAAGAGAGGAAGTGTTTTTTCAATTTAGAGCTAGAAGTAAGTGCTGACATTGTCTCATGTGTGTTTGGGGACAATGGCACAGGCCAGCGGTAACACATCCACTTTTCTGTGTCCCTTGCTCAGATGTGTTTGGCATGAGGCTGCAAAAGCCACGGCTACTTTATCGCACCCCAAATCTCTGAATCTCTGTTCTCCCTCCTGGGAATGTGAAATATGGACAACATGCAGTTTCTACCTTGTATTGTTAACATAATTATCCAGATGAATTCTCTTATTATTTCCCCACACATATTTTGAAACAAAAAATCCTTTCCCTTACGAAACTTCACTTCCTTTCTTCAGACGCACACCTTCTGTGGGGTTTGAACATTAACCTCAGCTGACTTCAGAGCTGCACTAAGCAAAGCCTGTGTTTTCTAGGCCAAAGTAGACAAAGTGAAGTGAAAGGAGCTGTTGCCAGTTGATGCTGACGAAGGTAGAAGAGAGGCTGGGTACTCACGCTAGGTTCCACCCCCTGCACCGCCCTCTCCCCCAGTACAGCTCATCTGGGAGTTCAGATTCCTCAGCCTTCTAGGTCACCTCTGATGAGCAGGGGCTGTGAGAACTGCTTAGCCTTTTGGCTACTGTAGTGTGGTTGGGAGAGAAAATACGTATTAATATTATTACTTAAAGATAGTTTTATTTGTGTCTATATTGAACATCTCTTGTTTAGAAGGCAAAATAATCATCTGCCTGCCACATTTTACTTCGTAGGCATAGAGTATCACCTTTTTTTTTTTTTTTTGAGACAGAGTCTTGCTCTGTTGCCCAGGCTGGAGTGCAGTGGCACGATTTCGGTTCACTGCAACTTCTGCTTCCTGGGTTCAAGAGATTCTCCTGCCTCAGCCTCCTGAGTAGTTGAGATTACAGGTGTCCGCCACCATGCCTGGCTAATTTTTGTATTTTTAGTAGAGGCGGGGTTTCACCATGTTGGCGAGACTGGTCTCAAATCCCTGGCCTCAAGTGATCCACCCGCCTCGGCCTCCCAAGTGCTGGGATTACAGGCGTGAGCCACCGCGCCCAGCCAGAGTATCATCTTTTAAACTGCTTTGTTCTAATATAATTATCTGTGTCCAAATTTTAGAATTGATTTTCATAACTTAAATTAGAATACAAATAATAAAAGGAAGAGAGCTAACATTTTTTAAGTGCTATATACACCAGGTGCTATTCTAGTTGTGTTCCTTTTACCTGAATGAGGTATTGTAAACCTAGGGGCAGAATTTACTCTTAGGGTGAAAACTGGTCTCTTTATTTTTAGGGAGTCAGCAAGCCATTCTGATGGGCTACTCAAATGTTAGAGTAGGATCTCAGAGCTCAAGGGCTTGTTTGGGCAGGCTGAGAAGGAGAGGCAGAGAGATGTGAGGGACTCAGGAGTTGGTGGCAGGGGTGGTTAGCAGGGGGCAGGAACGCCAAAATATGGTAGGAGGCTAATCAGAGAAAGGACCAGTGAGAAATTTCCTGCATCAAGGAGTGCCAAGACACTTCTTCTAAATTTATATTATGGAAATTTCTAGCATATACAAAAGCAGAATGAGAAGTATAATGAACCCCGTGTAATCATCACTCAGCTTTAACAATGATCCTCTCATAGCTGATTTTGTTTCTTCCGTATCCCTACCTACTTGCCCACTCCCAACCCCCAGTGAATTATTTTGAAACAAATCCCAGACATTGTATCACTTCACAGATTACATTTTAATCTGTTTTCCGAGCTATCTGTACGGTAGCTCCCCTCTTATTACCCAAACTTCAGTCAAATCCACTCCTTTAGTGTCAGTGGGACTTTAGAGGGGGACTAAAAGCAAAAGAGTTTGCATCTGGGCCAAAATGGGTGAAGAAAAAGTAGTGAGAAGCCTGATGCGCAGCCGAGATTAAGAATAAGCAGAGCTCCTGAGAATCCTTGAAAAGATTGGAGGTGAAGGGATGCTAGTTCTTCCATAGAAGTCAGATGGGAGTTTTATATAGTAGTGTGTGTGTCTGTGTGTGTGTGTGTGTGTGTGTGTGTGTGTGTGCTGTTATTAAAATGAAGAGTGACTCTGGAAGACTGGAAGACTTGGGGACAGCCAGACAGCTGGCCTTTGGGTTACAGTTGCATTTTCCAAGTTTCCTTTCCTTGCAAGGAAAGAAAATACTAAATTTAAACACCATCTTTCAATTTCTCAGTCAATAATTTCCTTTTCTGTCTCTTTCACAAATGCAGTTTCAAGACATCAATGCAAGGCATTTATTTTCTACGGCGCCTTTCAGAAACATGAAATCACTGAAGGAGCGTTGTTAAGCAATTCCAATCCCAATTAGGTTTGCAGCTGATGTCTACGTAGCCTTGTTTAAGTTACTATTCTTTAACAACTTGTGGTGTAACTAGCAAAAATTGTAAAAAGTGGACCTAGATTCTTGCAAAATTACCCTGTAGCGTTCTCAAGGTGGGGGAAAGAAAAATATGGACAACAATTGAACTAAATTTAATTTTATCAAGTTAATAATGCCTTTAAGATTATAGATAGGCCAGGCGCAGTGGCTCACGCCTATAATCCCAGCACTTTGGGAGGCCGAGGCAGGTGGATCACCTGAGATCAAGAGTTCAAGACCAGCCTGGCTAACATGGTGAAACCACATCTCTGCTAAAAATACAAAAAAATTAGCCAGGCATGGTGGCGGGCGCCTGTAATTCCAGCTACTTGGGAAGCTGAGGCAGGAGAATCACTTGAACCAGGGAGGCGGAGGTTGCAATAAGCTGAGATTGCGCTATTGCACTCCAGCCTGGGCAACAAGAGCAAAACTCCGTCTCAAAAAGCAAAACAAAACAAAAGATGATAGATAAACAGAGGAATTTGGGATTTGAAATGTCATCTTCTCTTAAGATGCATCTAGACAGTTGATAATTGCCCAAATAAGTTTAATATGGGATAGACTGCGAACTTTTTTTGCATGCAGATAGCATGAGTTATAGCTATTTCCTTATTTATATTCTAATAGAAAAAGAATTTTTCTTTGAGAAAAGAAAATGGCAACTTTACTATCTTTATCAGATGCGTTTCTGTCTTAAAAAAAGACCGAGGCTGTATGTGGGAAACAAAAATTATAACCAACATTAAGACAATATGTTGTTGAAAATACTGCTATCTAGAGGCCTTAGGAAATAGTATCTAGCAACCACTAGATGTCACTTGATGTTTGCTTTTTTGTAAAAGGTAGTTTTTTTGTTTTGTTTTTGTTTTTTCATAGTTTATCTGCAATTATAAGTCTACAATTCTCAATGGGTCCAAGCTGGCAGAAAACAAAATGCTGCAATATTTGAGTGAAAGCAGGCAAAAGTCATTAGATGAGAACAATGATTTTAACTTTAAATAAGATTTGGGTGGTTGCAGGGTTTGTATAATCTCTCCTGGCATTTGTAAGGACCAGAGAAGCCAGCAGCTTTGCCCTCCTGCTGTGTTTAAACAAAAATGGAAAATTGTAATGAACAGCTAGATTTTTCCTATCTTTCATTTTTTTCTTCCTCCTCCTTCCCCATTTTTAGGAGAATGTGACTTTTAAAATGATTGCCCTTTAATGAGGTTACTTGCAGCATTTTAAGATCAATCCTTCTTTGTTCAAATTTCTACCCACAAATCAAAACTGTTTTAATCTTCATTATCTCAGTAAAGCGCATGTGACAAAAGTAAATGGAGAAGACGTCTAGAAATGTTGTGAGGGTTCTCTGGG
This sequence comes from Homo sapiens, assembly GCF_000001405.40. Classification (NCBI taxonomy): domain Eukaryota; kingdom Metazoa; phylum Chordata; class Mammalia; order Primates; family Hominidae; genus Homo; species Homo sapiens. Next base: position 48,358,869 of record NC_000015.10, read on the forward strand.
GTTATCCACTTCCTGTATTTGCTAAAACTCTAATAATCAGTTCCAGTAGAGACCATGTATCCTGGGGTTTTGTTTTGTGTAACAGCTATTTGTTTATTTTTTTTAACTGTCATTGTATTTTGGCTTCATGATGGTTAAATGAGTCTCCGTATTAAGTAAACCTCTCTGACCCTGCCTATTTCCTGTCTTGTCAAACCTTTCCTTGTAAGAATAACAGTGTTCTTTTATTTGGTAGTGTGCAGCATGATGTTTTTGGCATGGCCAACATTTTTGACTTGCAAAAATTTGTGACCTCAAGTGTGAGAGAAGTGAATGCTTTTTTCGGTACCTCATGGGGTCTCAATCTTAAAAAGTATCTTACGAAAGAATTATCAGCATGTTTATTTCCCAAACATCACAAATAAACAAATAGAAATAGCTTTTTTTAATAAGCTACTAAAAATATTAAACCAATGAATACTTGGTGAACATTTTGCTGCTACTAAACTTACATAATTTCTCAAACTGGCCTAGCTATATGAAGACACAGAGCTTTTATCATGTTCTGTCTAGTAATTCATATTTTTGAAAACATATTTTCAAACCAAAACACATTGTATGTGAGTGGAGTATGGCTATTCCAAGTCACAGAATGGAAGAAATATCTTTGTTGCCTCATCCTTATATACCTAGGTCTATTTAGTTCTGAAATGGATTCTATAAGATAAGAACCATCAAAATCAAAAGTCTCAATCAAATGCACCTCCTTTTTTTAAGGTAGCTAGCCATTTGCTAGCATTTTTCTCTTATCTTTTGGTTTATTTTTCAATAATGTGGACATTATGAGAATAAAATCATGGTAAACATCTCTTGCATTTAAAGATTGACAACTGCTAAATATTAATTTTGAAATATTGATAACTAATTAGAATCTGAAGAAAATAGATTGTGTTGATTTGAAGGTGTCATGAATAAATTCTTATAATCACATAGCAGTAGTTCTGAAAGTCTTGGCTAACAAAAATCTAAATATCTGCAGCAAATGGAATTTGATAAAAGTACCACCAACTAGTAGTTTTTTGTTTTTTATCATTGGCTAGAAATATAGTTCTAATAAAGAGCCTGTGATGTATAGGCAGTAACAAAGAAAAAGCTGAGGACTAAAAAGATACATTCATCATTCTAGTATGGAATATTTTTTCTCAAAATGTCTGAAACACAGAACTATAAGCTTAATTTAAGATTTTCAGCCTGAGCAACATGGTGAAAACCCATCTCTACCAAAAATTAGCTGGGCATGATGGTGCATGCCTGTAGCCTATAGTCCCAGCCATTCAGGAGGTTGAGGTGGGAGGATCAATTGAGCCTAGGAGTTCGAGGCTGCAGTGCACCGAGATCACACCATTGCACTCCAACTTGGGTGACAGAATGAGATCCTGTCTCAAAAAAAAATATTTTTTCTTAGACCTGTCATTCAAACTTCCTTTAATTATTCATTGTCATTAAGTATTTCTTTTTCAGAGCCAAATCCAAGGAGACTTAAATTGTATTATCAAGATTTATTTCATTTATACCACACACATATAACACATATACTTTCCTATACTATAGTTTTCAAAACACTATTGTGTTGTCTTCCTTTTTAGAAAAAAAATACAGTAATACTTGAAATTGTATTAGCATTTTAACTAGCCCAGCACCTATTTTTTTCCACATGTGGTTTCCACTGGTGGTTTTCATAGGCCTCTAGAAGTTGTAGGTGTAGCCCCTTGTAGGTACAGATTGCCTTGTTTAAATAAAGGAATCATTTTTTCTTTAATAGAACCTAATTTTTTAAAAGCACATTTAAGTTGTGCAGTTGTGATTTGAAATAATAACAAAAAGTGATTACACCTAAAAGTTCTAAACTGGTACAATATTATCATGCCATTAGCTGTGATGGAGCTGAAAGCTGATAGAACTTACACTTGTATCTCATGACTCTGTTTCCTTTGAAGTAAGCACTGGTGGCTGACCGAGTTTAATGTCCCAGCTTTTTGGATCTCTAAGAGGATTACAGTGTGATTTTATAACCTGCCACAAATTCCTCTCTATGCAACTTACTATGTGCTATGTATGTGTTTTTAAAAAAATCAACTGGAGCATGTGCCTGTAGTCCCACCTACTTGGGAGGCTGACTCAGGAGAATCATTTGAGCCCAGGAGGCGGGAGGTTGCAGTGGGCTGAGATCACACCACTGTACTCCAGCCTATGGGACAGGGAGAGATTCCATCTTAAAAAAAAAAAAAAGAAAAAAAAAAGCAAAACAAAAACAACAACAGCAAAAAACCAATTGGAATCAAAATGTGTTTTCAAATGAGTCACTTTATTTTTTATTTCTTAGAGTTTTCTGAAAAATTTTTTTTTTTTTTGAGACAGTCTCACTCTTTTGCCCAGGCTAGAGTGCAGTGGTGTGATCTCTGCTCACTGCAAGCTCAGCCTCCCGGGTTCAAGCGATTCTCCTGCCTCAGCCTCCTGAGTAGCTGGGACTACAGGCGCCTGCCACCATGCCTGGCAAATTTTTTTGTACTTTTAGTAGAGACGGAGTTTCACTGTATTAGCCAGGATGGTCTCGATCTCCTGACCTTGTGATCTGCCTGCCTTGGCCTCCCAAAGTGCTGGGATTACAGGCGTGAGCCACCGCACCTGGTCTTCTGAAATTTTAAAAATTGCTTCAGCATAGTGCTGAAATACTTTATGTATGTAATGTAGAAGTCAATACAACAATAAAAATATCAGTCCTCTCTCTACCCCTCTCCACTCTGAGTCTAAACACTTTCAACTGTTTGTGATTTACTTTCATGTTCCTAAATAATATGCAAGTGCAGTTATTTCATTTCGTTTCAAGTGTAGTCACTTTCTACTGGTTTTCTTCTGGGGCTGATGAGAATTTAGCTTTCTTACCATACCCCTCTGGCTGCATTCCTCCCATGCCCCCACTTTGTCCTTCCTCTCATCCTCCCAACATAATCGTCTAACAATATTCTGGCTAAATTTAAAGCTGAGTCATATAGTGTACTATGGTAACATGTTTATGTAACCTTTTGTGGGTTTCTTTTTTTCATTAGTAATAGCTTATTTTTTGTTGTTGCTTAGTTTTTTATGCTTATTAGGAATTTCTCCCTAAATTCTTTGGTAGAATTGTGATACTCCCTTGAATAGAGTTGGACTCTAAGATAATCTATCAGTTTCTTTTTCTTTTCATTTTTTTTCTTCTAGATGCTTCCCCACTTTAATTCCTTTGTCTCTAGCTCCTGTCACTCCTGACTACTCTGCAACTGCCATCCTGGAGCTCAGTCTTCATAGGAATCCCTTTCATCTGTGTCCTCCACGCAATTTCCTATTGCCTGTATCCCATGCTTTTCCAGTTTGGGTTTGTTCCTCACTTTGGTAAAGCACAATCTCCAGCAGCTGCTTTTTAAACATTTGAAAATTTTATTTTATTTATTTTTTTTTTTTTGAGATGGAGTTTTGCTCTTGTCACCCAGGCTGGAGTGCCGTGGTGCAATCTGGGCTCACTACAACTTCTGCCTCCTGGGTTCAAGTGATTCTCCTGCCTCAGCCTCCCAAGTAGCTGGGATTACAGGCACCCTCCACCATGCCTGGCTAATTTTTGTATTTTTAGTAGAGACGTGGTTTCACCATGGTGGCCACACTGGTCTCGAATTCCTGACCTCAGGTGATCTGTCCGCCTTGGCCTCCCAAGGTGCTGGGATTACAGGGGTGAGCCACCGCACCTGGCCTAAACATTTTTTTAAATTGAAGTGTACCAAACTGTTTGCTAAACTTAAATGCACTAACTTAAGTGCTCAGCCCAATGCATTTTTGTATACACAGACATTCACGTAACTGACATCCAGATCAAGATATTGAATAGTTCCCAAACTCTTCAAGGCTCCCTCATGCCTCTTCCCCATCAGTAACCTCTATCCTACCCCGTACCTTCAACACGGTCATCGCTACTCTGGCTTCTACCACCATCAATGAGTTTTGCCTGTTCTTGAACTTTATATAAAATCATCATACAGTATGTACTGTTTTGTGTTTGGTATTCTTGCATCATGCTTGGGAGAGTCATCCATGTTGTTGCATGTACCAGTTGTTTATTTTGTTGTTTGTTTTTGCTATTTTATGTGGTATGAATGTAAAGTATTTGGATATAATAAATAAAGCTGCTACAACCAGTCTGGTCCCTGTCTTTTGTTGCACGCATGCACTCATTTCTTTTGGGGAATATCACCTAGAGGTGGAATTGCTGGGTCATAGGGTAGCCATTAACTTCTTGAGAAATGGTACAGTTAGAAATATCTTTGATAGGTTATACATTAGGTTAGGCTAGACTATGCTGCAGAAAAAAATAAGCTTCATTTCTTTTTTTTTTATTATACTTTAAGTTTTAGGGTACATGTGCACAACGTGCAGGTTTGTTACATATGTATACATGTGCCATGTTGGTGTGCTGCACCCATTAACTAGTCATTAACATTAGGTATATCTCCTAATGACCCAGCCATCCCATTACTGGGTATATACTCAAAGGATTATAAATCATGCTGCTATAAAGACACATGCATACATATGTTTATTGTGGCACTATTCACAATAGCAAAGACTTGGAACGAACCTAAATGTCCAACAATGATAGACTAGATTAAGAAAATGTAGCTTCACTTCTTAATGGGTTAACATGTCAAGTCTTTTTCTGGGTCACACCAAGTTGGCTGGAAGTTGGGTAACTCTCCAGGGCAACTATCTTTCATGTGGTGATCCAGTAATGCAAACTGCTTCAATCTCGTGGCTCCACCATTTCAACATCAGACGTCTTCAGAAAGCGTGGAGTTCATACTCCTGTCTAACTATTTGGCCAGAAAGTCTATGTCACTTCTGTTCACAGCCATGATCAGAACGTGTGGCCCTGCCTAACTTGGAGAAGCCTGGGAAGTGTAGTCCTCTTTGCACCCAGGAAGGAAAGGGGAACCAGATATTGGGGAGCATAAATACTGTATACCACACTTTACATACCTGACAATACCTTGATTCTAATTTCACAGTGAAATGAGAGATTGGCCAGGGAGTAAAGCCTTGGTAGAAAGTAATTGTTTTCCTTGGGATCTTTAAGTCATTTCTACATTGCTTTTTAGCTTCTACTGTTACTGTTAAGAAGTCCAGTACATTTTGAATCAACTTTATGTGGAAACTATTTGTTTCTTTGGAGTTTTAAAGAGTTTTATTTTTTATTCCTAGTATTTTGAAATTTCACAATGACATACCTTGATATGGGTATTTTACTTTCTTATCTTTACTCATTGTGGTTTTTTTGTTTGTTTCTTTTGTACTGCCTTCTAAAAGATATTCTTAATTTTACCTGCCAATTCTTTGTGGATTTTTAAAAACATTTCTACTTTAACATTTTAATTTTTAAGAGATTTTTATAGCATCTTATTATCTAGGTGCAGGAACTCTTAAAGGAGGGTTTCTGAAGTCTTCTCTTGCATTGCCTCTTTTCTTCATGTTTTTGTTTTCTATTTATTTGTCATTGCTCTTGTTTTTAAAACCTGTCTCTCATATTGGAGAGTTTCCTAATGTATCTGGAGATCTTTGGCTGCCTACATTTAGGCGTCAGGGAATAAAATGTTGATTGGAAGCCCTGTGTGCTTTGGTAGGACTTGCAGACTGGTGGACTGCACTGTAGAATGATAGGCAGGAGCCAGGCACTTCGTTGGGTGACTGCCATGTCAGTATTAGTAGGTGTTTTCCTTAGGGTTGGTCACTTTCTCCAAAGAAGAACTTGCCAGTCTCCTCTGTAGGGAGCATAGGCTTTGATGTCTGTGTTCATGGAGCTGCATGAAGGTTTCCACGTGTCCCCCTTCAGTATGTGGACTTTCACTTAATCCTTCTGTTTCTGTCCAGCCTCTTACCCTACTCCCCAGTATCACTGAGTCCAGAACCCTGCTGGTTCAGCCTCTCCAGAGAGCAAACATCCTGCCTTCTACCAGGGAAGAGGAGAGACGCTCATCTGACTGGAGGCATGGTGAAGACTCTATAACTTACTTTTATAGACATTCAACAAAGTCTTTGCCTTTGGCTCCACCCATTCCTGTCATCTTCATCAACACCAAGAACTATCAATCCTGACCTTTCCTAAGTTCTTTAGAGCAACTTATCTTTCTTCTTCTTGGCTTCCTCTTAGGTTTTATTAGGCTTTTAGGTTTTGGTTGTTTTCCCCACTTTACTCAGTCAACAACTCCTCTCTTTTTGGCTTTCCATCTTCCAAAATACAATTGTCAACTTTTGTCTGATGTCTCCTCTACAGCTCTCTTTGTCCTTGGGAGTTTACACCTTTTTAAATCCCCTTACTGTCATTTTCAATAGGTTTCTCCAGAGAGTATATATAAATGTTTGTCTTTAATTTTCAATGTTTAATTTGAATCATAACTACTTTGTAAAGCCAGAATACCATCATGTGACTACTGTGGCTAAAATCTGTTCTTAGAACTTCAATCCTACAGCATGAGTTCTAACCCATAAGCATGCAAGATCTTTCACGATTTAACTCTTGGTAGCTTTTCTAACCTTAATAAAACAACCCAGACAAAGGATTTTGTTTTGTTTGCTATTTTTCAAATATTCCTACTCTTTCTTGTTTTCAAGGCTATGCATAGACTTTCCATTACATGGAATCTACTTGTCTTCTTCCTATGAAACACCTACTGATTCTTCATCTTTTCTATGAAGCATTCTTTGACTTCTCTAGATCAGAGTAAGTCTCTTCTTGTATGTTCATATAGCAAAAATAATAATAATTATAATAATAATAAAAAATATAAATATAAATATAAATATAAAATTTTTATTTTATAGTTATATTTTTATAATTTTATAATATAATTTTATAATATAAAATTTGATTTTTATTTTATAAAAATAAAAATATAATTATTATTATAATAAAAAATACTTCTTTAAAAACAACTATATTTTCCCAATCCCACAGTGGAGAATTTAGGTGTAGTATTTTGCAGTTCCACAATGGAGGACTGCTGCACAAAATATTGCCCTCAATGGCTACGATTGTGTCCTATTCTTCCTTGACTTTTCTAGCACTTAGCAAAGTGTCTGTCATATCTCAGCCATTCAGTATATATTTTATGAATGAATGAATATGGAAGATATAATCTGAGACCTCTTGGGTGCTGCAAAACAATTGCATCAAAAGGTAAAACCTTCACCCTGGAGCCAGGATTTCCAGGTCCTGATTTTTGCCTCAGTTGAGCTTGCAGGATATAACCTGGCATAACCCACTGTCACTTTTCTGCTCTTGAATTTACTCACTTGTGCAATAGGAATATCTCTCAGAATGTTATCTTCCCCTCCCCCCCTTTTTTTTTGACTCAAGAGTCTCAATTTGTTACCCAGGATAAAGTGCAATAGTACAATCATAGCTCATCGAAGCCTCTACCTCCTGTGCTCAAGTGATCCTCCCACCTCAGTCTCCTGGGTAGCTGAGACTACAAGCATATGCCACCACACCCAGATAATGAAAAAGCAATACCCTAGAGATAGGGTCAGTTGCCCAGGCGTCATAAGTTTTAAAGACAGGTTAAAAAATTGCTTTGAGTTCCAAAGTCCCTTAGACCAGTTATTTCAAACTCTGTAACTGAATTGTTTTCCTAATTGTTCTAGATAAGTTTGCTTCTCCCAAACACCAAGAAGGCAAGGACACCACCATTGGGAAATGCCCCACATCTAGGCATGATAAGCTACCCACCACACCATGGCTTTGTTGTTCTCATTAGCAATGGCTAATGAGCAAGGCTCTTTAAAAGATGCACCCTTTTTGTCTGACCTTGTCTGCTCGACACTGGCCTCAGATGAGCCTACACTCAAGATCCACCCCACAGCTGTCTCCTTGGTAATCATGTCGTGGGCCAGGATTTGTTTTGTAAAAGATCCAGCTGTATGGAAAGTCCCAACAACTGCAAATAGTCAATAGAATAGAATCTTTAACTCTGTTGCTGAGACTTCCAGGTGGGAAAACCTGTGAAAGATTGGTTCCTCTCAGGAAACTTCATCTCCACACTGGTGCACCTTTCCTGAGAACAGTCGGACAAGCACATTTTTCATTTAGAGCATCAACCCTGGAGGCAGCCAGACATGGGATTCTGCTTTTTTTTGCTGTCTGACCTCAGCAGGTCTTATCTATTTGAACTATTGACTGTGCTGTTGTTAAATGGAAGTGTCACCACTCGCCTCAAAGGGCTGGGTGTAAGAATTCAACAACATCATGTGTGTAAGGCACTAGCACCCAGCAGGCATCCCCTTCCAGTATTTTTCCTCCCAGAAAGGAAGTCACCATTCTGCTCTGTAGATTTTTACTTTTTTTCCTTTTACTGTTGGTACTTTTTAAATTTTTTGGCCAGTCTTTTATTGTTCCACCCATTATATCATCGTTCATTTTTCCTTATTTAGGTAATATGTTTGTAGTTTAAAATTTAAATTTAAAAGTATACATTTCATAAATTTTAGTTAAATGTTGGTCATATCTCTCACATCTGCTTTGTGATGATTTCCATCTTTTTTACTTTATTTTCTTTCTCATTTTTTGTCACATTGTGTTCTCTTAGTTTGTTGGCTTGAAGAGTAATCCCAGATAGCGTTTGGGAGTGTTTTATTCAGGCATCCATCTTCACAGTTGGAAGGAATAGAGAACCAGGAGAGCCCACTCAGTAGAGGTGAGGGTAGTTTGGAGGGAGAGTTGGGAGTGATGGTTGTGGTTGAGGGGCGGGGAGTGATGGTTACAAAACAAAGAAGAGTCACAGGAATTTGAAAACAAGAAATGAAATAGCATGGGAACTCATGGGACTTGGAATCTTGCCAGGAACCAAAGCCACTCTTTTTTTTTTTTTTTTTTTTTTGAGATGGAGTTTCACTCTGTCTCCCAGGCTGGAGTGCACTGGTGTAATCTCGGCTCACTGCAGCCTCCACCTCCTGGGTTCAAACAATTCTCTGCCTCAGCCTCCTGAGTAGATGGGATTACAGGCACCCACCACCACACCTGGCTAATTTTTGTATTTTTAGTAGAGACGGGGTTTCACCATCTTGGCCAGGCTGGTCTTGAACTCCTGACCTCATGATCCATCCGCCTTGGACTCCCAAAGTGCTGGGATTACAGGTGTGAGCCACCATGCTGGGCCCAAAGCCACTCATTTTAGGGGTATTCCCCTTTCCTCTCTGCCCCCTTTCTCCCCCTTTCTCTACATCTGCTCTGTGCTCTTGTCATATAGAACATGTCTCATGATGGCTAGCCCAGCTTCCCAGTCTACATGACCTTCCATTTGTCTTCTTACAGCTAAGAAGTTAGTCTCTCAGTTTCTCAAGTCCAAAATTTTAAAGAAAGTAATCCAATTGGCCCGGCTCAGTTTTTCTCTTTTCTCACTGGCCTGCTTATGGATGAGTTAGCATTGATCAATGTCCATCCTAGTCCAACTGGATATTGCCTGGGAGAATAGCATTGCTTGGAATTTCTGTGACTTTCTGGGTATGCCCCTCCCAGCTGGAGCATGAATGTCTTAGAAGATAGTTTGACCAGAATTCCCAGCTCCAAACACAGCAGTGCACTGGATTGGATCAAAATTACAAATATTGGGATGTGGCCAGGCATAGTGGCTCACACCTGTAATCCCAGCACTTTGGGAGGCCGAGGTGGGTGGATCACCTGAGGTCAGGATTTTGAGACCAGCCTGGACAACATGGTGAAACCCCATCTCCACTAAAAACACATTAAAAAATTAGCCGAGTGTGGTGGTGTGCGCCTGTAATCCCAGCTACTCAAGAGGCTGAGGCAGGAGAATCCCTTGAACCTGGGAGGCAGAGGTTGTAGTGAGCTGAGATTGCACCATTGCACTCCAGTCTGGGCAATAAGAGTGAGACTCTATCTCAAAACAAACAAACAAACAAAAAGAAAACAAAACAAATATTGGGATGCTTATTCTAAATGAGAAAATCCCCCCGCCCCCCACAAAAACAACTAATGTGTCAGAAAAAGACTTATCCTATGATGTAGAGTGTTTTTGGAATTTTCTCTATTAAAAATTTAGGTACCTGAGTGATCACTCTCCTTCTTTTGGAAACTTTCTTTTATGTGGAAGCTGTTTGCAAATAATTCTAAAGTGACATCGTTCCAAACTTTAAAATCTCACCTCTGGAAACTCCTAAGATGTAGCACCACTTGTTTCTTCACTAGCTCATTTAAGAGGGGGCGACCAAGGGGCACATGCCACAACTGAGCCAGCTTACCTGGCTACAGAGTTAGATAGGAACCTGGCATTCAGGCATGTCACCTGCATACATCTCACACATAGGCACAAGTGGGCTTGATGTGGGAGGTCCTGAGGGATAGGGTCAAGAGGGATCTCTCCCATGAGGCGAGGAACCTGGCCCTTGTTCATCTGGGTGACCAAGCCCAATTGTTAAAACACAAACAATCTATTCCCTGAAATTTTCTTTTTTCAGAGTGAATCTCCCATGTTCTAGTTTATACCTAAAATTATTCTACACATATTCAGAGGCAACATAGTAAAATCTCACAAGCTTTTCTGAGTTACTCTCCTAACCTAGTTGTCTCAGCAATCTCTCTCTTTTCATCTCTTCACTCTCTTTTTCTCCTCTCCCACAACCCTCCACTCCTACCAGGTTGTGCTCTCCACCTCTCCTTAACGTGGTTTTAGGAGTAACCTTTAGGAAGATCTGACTAGTGGAGTCAAATTGCCATAAAACATCTGAGCTCTCATTCTGACAATATGGGAATACAGCTGTAAGGCCAAAGTGACACCATCCCTCAGCTGAAGTATTGAAAATGCTCTACTCTGCCTCTCCTCCTTTCCTTCCCATCTTCTCGAAGCCAGCTTTTGTAAAGGGTGGATGACTGTGCACAGGGAATTTGCTTCTTATCAAAAGCATGAAAACTGGTACATAAACCTTTATTACTTTCCCCTATCCATTTTCACTGCTTAAATCTGAAATGTTTCACTTTGCTTTCCTACCAAGTTCAATGGTTTCTTTAGGAAACAAGAGTGTAGGCCTGGCACAGTGGCTCATGCCTGTAATCCCAGCACTTTGGGAGGCCAAGGCGGGTGGATCACGAGGTCAGGAGTTTGAGGCCAGCCTGGCCAATATGGTGAAACCCCGTCTCTTCTAAAAAATACAAAAATTAGCCAGGCATGCACCTGTAATTCCAGCTACTTGGAAGGCTGAGGCAGGAGAATCGCTTGAACCCAGGAGGTGGAGGTTGCAGTGAGCTGAGATTGCACCACTGCACTCCAGCCTGGGTGATAGAATGAGACTTTGTCTCAAAAAAAAAAAAAAAAAAGAAAAGAAAAAAAAAACGAAACAAGAGCGTAATGTACCTCTACCATTGATGACAGAGAATTATTTTTCTACACTTTAATTTATAAACGATATAACTTACCCAAAAGGACAGTATTTAAACAAGCTAGGGAACAAATATCAGGCAGAGAAGGGAGTTATTTATTGTTATTACCAACTTTTCTCCTTTCTAACGAGAACTCTTTGAAAGAAATGGGTCAATGCCATGCCTCTATTGGAAAATATCCCCCCAAACAGTGCTAGTTAGTGTTTCTGTCTGTTTTCTACATAGAGTGCTTCGTGAAAGACACGCCCAAATAGCATAAGACCAGAGCTTGGGAACCTCAGTCTGTTCCAGAAACCAGAGTTCCCACATAACTACATAATGTGCTGCTATCAGGTTACCAGCTCACCACAATTGCCTAATGTGACAGTGAGTTTGGGGTGCTGCTGTGGGGAGGTAGAATTACCAGGGGGGATGACTTAGGCTGAGTGGTTGCAGTATTAACGTGCACAGCTCATAAGCAGGCCAATGCTCCACCTAAATATTTAATCCTAGGCCAAGGATATCCAGGATTAAACTTCTCAAGATCTTTTCCTCCACTTTGAGATAATATTGTGTATTAGCTATTGTTTCTATGACACAAGAGTCAAGCAAAGGACAGCATTTAATTGCACTGCTGGTCTTGTTTTCATGCCTCTATTTCAGAGTATGTTTTGATTTCAGAATCCCCCAAATGATTTCTGACAAGGTTTCTGGTTTTTCCTTTGCAGTGCAAAAAATTGCTTGTTGACTTTTTTATAACAGGTTCAGGATGGTGATGATGATGATGGTGGCTTGTGACTAAATGTATTTTGATTTTTTTTTAAGAGATGAGAACTTGCTACGTTGCCTAGGCTGAAGTACAATGGCTATTCACAGGTACAATCATAGAGTAGTACAGCTTTGGCTTTCTAAGTTTAAGAGACCCTCCTGCCTCAGCCCCAAGTAGTTGGGACCACAGGTGTGCACCATCACACCTGGCTTAAATGTAGTCATTTTTATATCAAATTTCAGCCTGCATCTGTTCTTGTTGCTAATCATTACCCGGTCCCAGAGCCTGACCTGGAATGGGCTAGGCTCACTAGTGGAATTTATGGAGTTTATCCAATTTAGGGAGATGACAGGGTTGAATGTTGACTTCACACATTCATGGAAATGACAGGTAAAAGTGGAATGTTTAAAAGACAAGATCCAGTCCTGTTTAATGTGGTTGGTAGCGTTTCTAGTGGTGCATCAAAGCTCCCAGGAGTAAAGCCTAACCTGGGTCCTAGGATTTAATAGAATTCTGGCATAGGATCCAAGTCTGGAACTTGATCCCCTACATTCACTTCTCAGTTCCTACACACTACACACATTCCCTGAAGAGGTCCTGCTTGGCTCGGAGTTCCCACTATCACAGCCTTGGTGGGCCACCTTTTCTGACCCTGGATGACCAAATCCCCATGACTTCTAATCCCATGTCTTAAGCATGATCATCACTCCACCCCCTAGCTCCCATGTGACAGTCTAGATCACTGTTTACCTCTCCTGATGGTAAATTCCTTGGCTGAAAATTATCCAGATGTCCTGCACAACTAAACAGGCAAGAGGTTAAATAGTCCTGTATAATGACGAATTGCAAAGATTTTTCCTAAGTAGCAAAATATTCTTCAACTTAAATCTTATGCAGATGTCCAATATCTAAGACAGGTGAAAGTGGTACTGCAGGGATGTTCCACCATGATGTCGTGTTGACCCTAAGGAAACTTCACAAACTTGACCCTAAGGCTCCCCAGAACATGGACTGGAAACCACTACTGTACAGGATTCTGAAATGGGATGAAGAAATCAAAAAGTTTGCAGCTCATTTCAACAGTTTCTTCACTTAGCAATTATAGCTTCTGTTCCATGACCTGCCTCTGAACCCAAGCCTCTTGGATTCTATTCAGAGCCAGGGAATGGGGTGACCTATAATAAAGCAAGCTTCCCACTCCCTTGTTCAATTTCTTCTCCAAGTTTTTCACCAAATTCCTGCTCTTGTATGTCCTGCAGGTCTCTAGTCAAAGGATCTAGATTCTAATTCCGGTTCTGCTTTTTCCAGCTGTATGTAAGGATCATTTGAACTCCCTAGGACCTGATTTCCTTCTGGACTGATGGTGATAATAAAACCTACTTTACCTGTCATGAGGATAAAGATTAATATAAGCTAACTGTATAAAAGTATTATATAAATTAGGCATTATACATACTTTGGAAGTTGTTATTAATACATACACTAGAGTACTGGAGACAAGAGATACATTACCAAAGATTTATGGTTAAACTGTAATCACTGTTCTTAACCTGGATAGCTCTGGAGGCACACACAGAGGATACAGATGTTGGAGAAAAATGACCTGCTTTTTTTTTTTTTTTTTTTTTTTTTAGCATCCTCCCGGTGCTATGAATGAGGAGTTGACCTGTGATGTAGAGTCACAAATCTCAGTGTATGCTAGCAGGAGATTTAAGGGAGATGGACATCTCCCCTGGTGAAGTGTCATAGAGCAGAAGATGATCGCCAAACTCAGACTTTTGGCAGCACCGGGAAAATGATGAATTTGTTGACAACCAGCATAGGGTGTTTGACCAAGCACCTATGTGAGGCTGCAGGCAAAGCAAGGCAAGTTTCAGCATTTGTCCTGCGTCATCCATGAGAAAGTAGCCATGGAGCCAATGACTGCTTCCATGCATTCACGCAGAAGTGCTCAGGATCCTGGAGAGAAGGACAATGAAGACCGACAGTGGCAAAGAGGAACCCTATTAGGAGTAGCCTAAGGCAGGTCACTGCTGTAATCTCTCACATATTATAGTATTCTAGAGTGTGAAAAAAGGAATTTAGAGATTATTTGGTGCAGAAGTCAGAAACCCATGGCACTTATACCATGGCAGACACCACTAAGCAAGACTCACTGTGAGACTCCTTAATCATAAAATGGATTAATAATGACACAATTTATGTAGATCACTTAGAATAGTGACTTTCACAGAATACTCAAAAATTGCTATTTTTCACAATGACCCATGTTAGCATTTTCCCACTTACTCATGATGTAGTCTCAGAATCCCTTTCCAGACACAACACTCTAGGAAGCCACCTCCAAGATGTGAGAAGAAACTAAGGAGCCGTTTCCAATGATTCCTAGTTCAATTCCTCCTCCTAGCCTTGCCCCCACCACCATTTTGTGATGAAGGAAACTGACGCTAAGGGAGAAGGAGTGCTGCCTGTCCACTGTACTGTACACCCTGTAAAGACTGATCATGGTTGGAAACACCGGTCATTGTATCTGCTTTCTGGAATGTTACTGTACAGCATCTCACCTCCATTTTAAATAGCCCTTCATAAGCGAGACATCGTCTTCTAAGATTTTGGTAACTCCCTCTCCCCATGTCAGTGTCACCAATGACTTAGTCATATTACTGTGAGACAAGGCGAGGTGAAGGGAGGCTCAAGTTCTGTGCAGAGTGACATTAAGCAAAGGAATCACAGAGTTTTAGAGGAAAAGAAAATGAATGACTTCACAGTCCATGTGAATGACAAGACAAGATGGAATCCATAGGGCTGAAAAGAGACTAGTATAACATTAATCATGTTATGCTGGCAACAATAGCTGGCCCTACCCTTAGTATTTTAACCACTTCTTAATTTGCTAAGCTTCTTGATGAGCTCAAGTAGTCGTACCAACCAGGGGCTGCGAAGCAAATCTGCCTGAGAGGCGGTGAGTCACTCCTCTGAGGCTGCCCCGGTGTGCAGCTATCTGGACTTGCGCCATGCTTGCTTTTCCCCCACTACCTCCCTCCTCCTCCCCATTTCTCCCCAGACAGATTGTGAAGTCTCTTTGCTTGGTCCACTCCCTGCCTGTCTCCAATCCTCTGATTGCTTCACCTTCCCCCGGCTGCCATTATCTGTCGCGACCCACCCTTTCGGCATCCAGTCCTCGGTCCACACCCAGTGTCACTTTTCTGTTCATCAGCCTCTTTCTCTGCTCTCACTCCCACTCTCTTTGCTGTAGCCCATTTCTTTCCATTCTTCTCACTTATTAGTTTCCTGAGCTCCACCCTTCCTTATTCATCCCAGTTCTTATCTTTTATGTCTATTTCTCTAGACATTCTTTTCTTTTTAAACATCACAGTGCTGAGATTTAAACTCAGAGGAAAGTGTGTTTTGACCTATACTACCCTTCATAGCACATTTTCTCAAGGGTTTGACATTTCTCATCATGATCTGCATTCAAACTATTCATTCTCTTTTGTCTACTGATAGACTTTCTTCAATACCATGTAGCTATAAAGTCCCATCGATTTTTTTTTTTCTTGTTATGTTACTGGAGGCGGACAGGAGGCTGAAAGAGCAATGAGCACAAGAACGTAGAAGGGATTGGATTGGATTGGATGACTTCCAGCATCTTCATGAGCTCTGCAGCCCTGGAAGCTAGATTTTACTTCACCATTTGTACTCATTCTCTCCATATCATTTCTAAGAATATATTCACTCCTTTATGCACAGAAAACCTGGACTGGGGTAGAGAGATTGGTCTCCCTGATAAAAATCTTGGACAAATTACTATTTGCTTTATCAAGTGAGGGGAAGAAAAGGGATAGGGATAGAAGGGAGCAGAAATAGTATAATCCCTCTCTCTTTCTCTCATCCCCTTCTGTCAACCTGCAAATGAAGAACTGGCAGCTAAACCATGGAAATTGGACTAGTTTAATCTGGTTTTCAAAGATGGAGTTGAATTGGATCCCTTGGTAGCTATAAAGTAGGCAAAGTTAGTTTGCTCTGCCAGAACAATTTGGGTTTCATAGATTCACAGATCTCTTCCATCTGGAGACACAGAGCTGAGCTAGCAGTCGGGACCCATTTTTGAAAGTTAGGGCTTGTGTGCATGAAGTGGGACCTCAGCTACTCCAGGTGTTTCTGGACATCCCCCGGGGTGCCTCATATGTGCTCCCACCCAGTTCTCACAGTCATTCACTCCAGCCCTCTCACAGGTATTTGCTGCCCCAAAGTCACAGAACACCTTGCCCCAACCCTGTAAGAATCCCACCAGCTCCCTCCACATGGTATTATTTCCTGGTGATCTCAAAGCTGAAACCCTGGAGATGCAAAAATGACAGCAGCTTCCCCTAGATCCTGACAGCACTGGAGCATCTTGTGTTCCCTGTGGGCCTGGTAGAAGGCAGTGATATCTGTCACAACTGTCATCCAGGCCCCAAAGCCTGTCTGCTCATGGCCTCTGGCTCTGTGGAGCTCAGAGAAGAAACAGAAATATGGAAAAGATCTCAGCTCCCTTGCACCTGCCCCCAAGCACCTTTGAACAGCACCCTATCAAGAACTCCCTTCCTCTCTCATCCCCACCCTCCTCTGGTGAAAATCAGCACTAAAAAATAGCCCAATCAACTCACAGATTGACTTAAAACCCTTTGCCTTTGATATGGTTTGGCTTTGTGTCCCCACCCAAATCTCATCTTGTAGCTCCATAATTCCCATGTGTTGTAGGAGGGACCCAGTGGGAGATGACTGAATCATGGGGGCAGGTGTTTCCTGTGCTGTTCTGATGATAGTGAATGTATCTCATGAGATCTGATGGTTTTAAAAATGGGAGTTTCTCTGCACTAGCTCTCACTTTGCCTCCTGCCATCCGTGTAAGATGTGACTTGTTCCTCCTTGCCTTTGACCATGATTGCGAGGCCTCCCCAGCCATGTGGATCTGTAAGTCCATTAAGCCTCTTTCTTTTGTAGATTGCCCAGCCTCAAGTATGTCTTTATCAGCAGTGTAAAAATGGACTAATACAGTAAACTTGTACCAGTAGAGTGGGGTGCTGCTGAAAAGATACCTGAAAATGTGGAAGCAACTTTGGAACTGGGTAACAGGCAGAGGTTGGAACAGTTTGGAGGGCTCAGAAGAAGACAGGAAAATGTGGGACAATTTGGAACCTCCTAGAGACCTGTTGAACGGCTTTGACTAAAATGCTGAAAATGATATGGA
Organism: Homo sapiens; assembly: GCF_000001405.40. Taxonomy (NCBI): domain Eukaryota; kingdom Metazoa; phylum Chordata; class Mammalia; order Primates; family Hominidae; genus Homo; species Homo sapiens. The sequence continues at coordinate 48,376,299 of NC_000015.10, forward strand.
CAATGAAATCCAGGCTGAGGTGGTCTCAGATGGAGATGAGTAACTTGTTGGGAACCGGAGCAAAGGTGACTCTTGCTATGTTTGAGTGAAGGTGACTCTTGTTATGTTTTAGTGAAGAGACTGCAACATTTTGCCCCTGCCCTAGAGATTTGTAGAACTTTGAATTTGAGACAGATGATTTAGGATATCTGGCAGAAGAAATTTCTAAGCAGCAAAGCATTCAATAATTGACTTGGGTGCTATTAAAGGCACTCAGTTTTAAAAGGGAAACAGAGTATAAAAGTTTAGAAAATTTGCAGCCTCACAATATGATAGAAAAGAAAATCCCATTTTCTTTAGGAGAAATTCAAGCCAGCTGCAGAAATTCACAAAAGTAATAAAGAGTCAAATGTTAATTCCCAAGACAATGGGAAAAATGTCTCCAGGGCATGTTAGAGGTCTTCACAGCAGCCCTTCCCATCACAGGCATGGAGGCCCAGGAGGAAAAAGTGGTTTCGTGGGCTGGGCCCAGGGTCCTCATTCTGTGTGCAGCCTAGGGACTTGGTGCCCTGTGTCCCAGCTGCTCCAGCCATGGCTGAAAGGGGCCAATGTAGAGCTCAGGCCATGGCTTCGGAGGGTGGAAGCTCCAAGCCCTGGCAGCTTCCATGTGGTGTTGAGCCTGTGAGTGCACGGAAGTCAAGAATTGAGGTTTTGGAACCTCTGCCTAGATTTCAGAAGATGTATGGAAACACTTGGATGCCCAGGCAGAAGTTTGCTATAGGGGTGGTGTCCTCATGGAAAACCTCTGCTAGGGCAATGCAGAAGGGAAATGTGGGGTGGGAGCCCCCACACAGAGTCCCTACTGGGGCACCACCTAGTAGAACTGTGAGAGGAGGGCCACCATCCTCCAGACCCCAGAATGATAGATCCACTGACAGCTTGCACTGTGCACCTGGAAAAACTTCAGACACTCAACACCAGCCAGTGAAGGTAGCAAGGAGGGAGGCTGTACCCTGCAAAGCCACAGGGGTGGAGCTGCCCAAGACTCTAGGAACCCACCTCTTGCATCAGTGCGACCTGGATGTGAGACACGGAGTCAAAGGAGATCATTTTGAAGCTTTAGGATTTGACTGTCCTGCTGGATTTGGGACTTGCATGGGGCCTCTAGCCCCTTTGTTTTGGCCAATTTCTCCCATTTGGAATGGCTGTATTTACCCAATGCCTGTACCCCCATTGTATCCAGGAAGTAACTAACTTGCTTTTATTTCACAGGCTTATAGACAGAAGGAGCTTGCCTTGTCTCAGATGAGACGTTGGACTGTGTGGACTTTTGAGTTAATGCTGAAATGAGTTAAGGCTTTGGGGGACTGTTAGGAAGGTGTGATTGGTTTTGAGATGTGAGGACATGAGATATGGGAGGGGCCAGGAACAGAATCCTATGGTTTGGCTCTGTATCCTCACCCAAATCTCATCTTGTAGCTCCCATAATTCCCATGTGTTGTGGTAGATGACTGAGTCTTGGGGGCAGGTCTTTCCTGTGCTGTTTTCATGATAGTGAATGGGTTTTACAAGATCTGATGGTTTTAAAAACGGGAGTTTCTCTGCACAAGCTCTCTCTTTGCCAGTTGCCATCCATGTAAGATGTGATTTGCTCCTCCTTGCCTTCCGCCATGATTGTGAGGCCTCCCCAGCCATGTGGAACTGTAAGTCCAGTGAAACCTCTTTCTTTTGTAAATTGCCCAGTCTCAGCTACATCTTTATCAGCAGCATGAAAACAGACTAATACAGCCTTTTTTCTGAATATTGATATAAATCTGAGTAGTGATGGATGTGTGTTATTTACAGTCACCTTTGTAGCCAATGGAAGAACAAAAAGTAACAATGTAACCATTAAAGATCAGGAGGATAAGGGGGAGGGAAAGAAAATATTCTTTCTGGTTGTTGCCCTTCTTCTTCCCCTTATTTCTTCTCCATCTCCTCTCTCCGTTTCACTGACTCTCTCACTTCTATTTCTCGGACTCCCATCGGCCCCTGACTTTTTGTTCCAACCAAAAGGCTCAGTTCCTGCATGCTTGAAACTCTTGTATATTAGAAAGCACCTGTGCCTTCCAGGTCTACGAACAGAAGTCAGCACTTTCAGGCACTGCAGACTGAAAAGAGATTGTTAAATGAGGCAAGAATCTATCATCTGTGAGAGAACAGTTTCCATGAGTTGCTGGGGTCAGGAGTCAAAATTGAAAGGTTTTTTGAAATTGCACTTTTTAATTTTTGATAAAACTTTAAGGAAATATGTTGATGAAAATGTACTCAATTTTACCTGTGAAAATTGTTTTGCAGCTGAGTGTGAGGCAGAGGGCTGAGGATTTTGAGTCTTGAATTCTGGTAAACTGTCCAGGAAGTGTAAGGCCAAAATAAAGCTCTTTCTCGACAAGCAAGGGTATCCTTGCTTGAAATTAGGTAAGGATGCACTTCAGAAAAAGTAAATGAGAATGAAAGTCAAGGAAGAAGCAGCATAGGATTCTGGAAACAGAAGGTTCAACCCAAAAGTACAAAAAAGGCAGGTCTCAGAGGTCAGTCACGAAACGGGAGGATGCACTGCTTGGAGAGGAAGGCTTGCATTTGACAGCACGACTAAGGGGATGAGAAAACTTGAGGAAATCATAAAAGCACATTATTGTTTTGTCAAAAAAAGGCAAAGTGCAGGACAGTTCTCTGGGTGGCCCTGGACAGACCCAGTTCTCAACTCTTTCTCACTTTTTGTTTTCAAGAATAGCTGTAGAATGTTCTGGGAAGGCAACATCCTGAGATAGGGAGGGACTGGCCAGAACAGCCTGGGTTCTGTCCCAGTCCAGCTACCTGCAGGACAGAACATCCTTCAGTGCTTCATCCCACAGGGTCCTGTTACCCCAGATTATAAAACTCAGAATGGGTTAGTTTTAGAGTCTCAGCTGTGGTGCAAGTAGGGCATGCACAGTTGAGACTTCATCTGCCCTGTGTAGCTTTCCTGAGTCCTGGGGAACTGGCTTACAATGAATTCTGGGATTCTGCAATCTCTTGCTACATATCTGTAAGTAATAAATTTGCTTCATGTAACTTGTTGCATATGAGTGTGTTCTGTCTCACCAGACTCAGGCAAGTTGGTAATCAATGCACAGTGAACTACTTCACACAAAGCACATTAAAAGTGTCAGGAAAAACAATAATCAGGACAGAAAATCTTGGTCTGAATATAGAGTAAATAATAAAGGGGTATGATTTTAAGCAATTTGATAATATATAAGAAAAGGGAATCTGTTTGGCCTTGATGCTATAAACATTTTCCTTACATATCCCAGAAGACCTTTGAGAAGAAAATGCAATTCTAACATGCTACTTGGGTCAGCATTGAGCAAGATTTACTCAGTCACAGAAATACAAATGCTCTGTATTCACTTCTACCTTCTAAAATTAATCAATAGACAAAGTACAGATGCCTGACAGCTAAGCATAAATAAATGTTAACTGCTATGGTTATGCAAAAACTATGTCTATATTTGTAATTTACTCTACAAAAAAAGGAGTTGAGATATTGACCAAGGTTGATGGAGGATGAAATAGTGTATAAATGTGTTATTTAAAGTCACGAAGGCAGTCAGTGAAAAAACTGAAAAATAGTAACAGAACTATTAAAGATCAGAAGCATAAGGAGGAGGGAAGGTGAAGGATGATGTAAAGAGCTAAATTGACATTTTAAGAGTAAATTGATATCCTTAAGTGCTAATAGATCAAGAAATAGAAATCTACACCTATTATCCAGTACTGTGGATGTCAGTGTTTGCCTCAGGGTATGGCATGGGTGGTAGGGAAAGGTATAGAGAAAGACTATTATTTTAAAGCTCTTCTCCATTTTTTTTCTTAAACCATGTGTATTTGTTCGTTCTCACGCTGCTAGTAAAGACATATCCAAGACTGGGTAATTTATGAAGGAAAGAAGATTAATTGACTCACAGTTCCACATGGCTGGGAAGGCCTCAGGAAACTTACAATCATGGCAGAAGAGGAACCAAGATGTCCTTCTTCACACGGCAGCAGAGAGAACAAGAAGGAGAACTGAGCCAAGTGGGAAGCCCCTTATAAAACCATCAGCTCTTTTGAGAACTTATTGTCATCAGAATAGCATGGGGGAACTGCCCCGATGATTCAATTACCTCCCACTGGGTCCCTCCATGACACCTGGGGATTGTGGGAACTACAATTCAAGATGAGATTTGGGTGGGGACACTGCCATATCGTCATGCTTATTCTTATATTCATACAATATGAACTTAAATTATGCCCCACTTTATTTGTACCTATTCAGGACAGGGAGAACCCAGCAACCACCAGGGATCAGGCTTTTTCAAATGTTCATCATACACTATGCATTCATTTTCATTTTTCACCCTCATATCCCCCACAATAAAATAGGTGAGGTGCTGACCCCTGCACTGATGTCATTTCTTCGGAAACAAACATCACTGTTTCCAAGCTTGTCTATTTACTAGGCTTGGTGAGGCTGAGAATGGACAGCAGGGCAGGAAGCATTGTCCCCAATGCCCATAAGCCTTTGTTTTCTTTTCTTAGAGGATGACACTTAGAACATTCTGTTTTCACAGGTGGCCTCCTTGCTGAAATGTGAAAGGAAAATTGTGAACAGCAATTTTCAACCTGTTTACCAATGTTTTCCTGACATAGTACTCTTGTAGCTCTGCCTGCCTGGAGGGGAAAACAGGAAGGAAGCAGTGATGATTCCTTCCCTCTTTTCACTCCCAGTGGCCACCTTGGAAGGATATGAGGTGAGACTCTCTAGCTGGCCATTGAGTGCTGGCCTTAGCTTAGTCACTCAGAAACCATTGAGGAGCATCATACAGCCCTACAACCCTCCCAGGCCACATAAATTCATATGTGAACACACTGCAGAACATTTCCCCGTTGGGTATGTCCATAGTTCAAGTGAATTGAGAGTCACCTGCCCATTTAATTGAAGCAGCAAGATGAACTCTGAGCATGGGTGAAGCCTTTTGAAGCCAGGGGCAGGCAGAGGGCAGGTAAGCACTTTTCCAAAATCCAAAGCCAAAATGTAGTTATTGGTACTGTGGTAGCTCTAAAGTGTTAACATCCCTTCTGCAAATTCCTAACTTCCTCTAAGGGAATTGTTTCTACACTTAGTTCAATATTTCAAGAGAAATGCAAAATTAAGTAAACGAATCTTTTTTTTTTTTTCCTTTTTGAAGCCATCACAAACTTCTGGGTCACCTCATATTGACAAATATTTGTTGGTCAAAGAACTTAGAATACCATAGACTAAATTTTATATCAAGTGAATTCAGACCTTTATAGTTAAACCCATTCTCAGAGAAGATGAGAAACAAGATACCAGACCCTATGCTTGAATTGGAAGACTAAAGGTTATTAAAAAAAAAAAATCTATCTAAAGTGGTTACCATAGTGCCTCACCCAAAGTAGATTCTCATAATTGTAAGAGTGTTATCATTACTACTACTACTACTACTAAGGTTCTACTTTTTATAAAATAGCATAAGGATGTGTATGCTGAAAAATTTCTTAGTGATTATAACAATTAGGATGCTTTTGACAGCAAGTAACAAAAGACCTATGCAACTCAACATGGCTTACATGATAAAAATATTTATGATCCATATGAGAAGTCTAGTGGTAAAACAGTTCCTGAATGGGTTAATTCAGCACTTCCTTTATGTAATAAGGAACGTAATTCTTTCCATCTTGTCTGGCCTGCCAGGCTGACTGTGTCAGGTTTTGTTTTTTCCTCTAACGGTCCTATGGCTGAGACTCTAAATATTGCATTCTCACACACGTATATCTAAGTCTGGAAGACAGAAGCCTCCTTCCCTATGTCTCTTTTTAAGAGTGAGAAAAACTTTCCCAGAAACCTCATTGCAGACTTCACTTTCATCTCAGTGGCCGGAATTGTATGGCATGCCCATTTCCAAACCAAGGAAGGACAAAGGACTATATAATGCTCATAACTGGTCTGGGGGAAGAGGCCAATACTTCCTGAAGCCCATGTACTCCTGATACCCGAACAACATCAGGTGAATTCAGGTTGAAGAAATGGGGAATGGTCATTGGGTGCACAACCAACAGTAACAGCCACAGTGTTGGAGCTTTATGTTAATGTAATCAACCTGATTTCAGCCTATACTTTTCACAGGTCTAACTTTAGACTCTTTGAGATAGCAATGAAATCTTATTTGTCATTAGATTCTCCCCAAAATGCTTAACATTAAATGATTTTGTAGCTCAATAAAGTAAGACAATTACATATCTTTTCCATAGTTATGTTTTGTTTTCATTATGAGAACTGAGAGCTCAACTAATTAATAAAAACAGGATTTCCGGTTGTTATTTTTCCCCTGGTGACTTTTCCTTTTACGTTTATCCTGAGTTAAGAAAGTCTGAAACTGTCTTCATTAGGGTTGAACATTACCATGAGAATAGAGAGTAGAAAGCTAAGAAAAGCGTGCCATCAGAAATTTCTTTTTTCTAGGTTTCATCTCTATTCTTATCAAAATTTCAAATGTAATGGAGGTAGTGGGAAGAATGAATATTTTTGTTTGATGGAATCAAAATACCAAATTTTTCATTGAACTGAAATGATTAAAACTAATTTTTATGAGAAAAACAAATATAAGTTGCTAAATCAAATCCAAAAACCAATTACTAAAGTGCAAAAAGGAGGTATGGGAGAATGTGTGAGTGGTAAATCTGACCCTGCATGAAAAAACACTTAGACATTGATTTGGAAAAGCGTTATACTGCAAAAGCAATCCCAAAATCTTGTGCACAATGCAATAACAGTTTATTTTTCACTCAAGCAAATTGTGCTGCATGTCTGGGCAGCGTGCTAGGGCTGCTGTCCTCCATGTGTTGGCTCAGCATTCCAGCTTGATTCAATCTATGACAACTCTGTATCAACACATGGGTTGACAATAGTCAGGATGGGCAAAGAGATGCCTGGAAAGATGAGAATAAGCACTTAAGTGCCTGAACCTGGAACTGACATGTGATACTCTACTCATTTCCTATTGGCCACAGCTGGTAACATGACTATTTAAAAAACTGTTTTTCTCTATTCTCACAACACTTCTAACACTAAATTTGTGGGGATTTTTCTCACACCAACCAATTTTTCCAATTTTCAACTAGGTGTCCTACAATTTAACTCATTTCTGACACTATCTGCCCAGAGTTGGTGCCGACCCCACAGGTTGAGGCCTCAGTCCTACAAGAATGCACCACTAAAGGATCCCGAGCACAGAAGTTTCTGTCTCCATGGAATTTGGGGTGCTCCATCTTCCCAGCATGTGGATGCATTCTTGTTCACCAACCTGGAAGCTCTTCAAACCCCTTTGCTTAATTTTTTTAGGAAGGCTTCATGATATAGGCATGATTGATTAAATCACTGGCCATTGATGATCAACTCAACCTCTAGCCCCTCGCCCCTCCCAGAAAGGCAGAGGGTGTGAAACCAAGTTCCAATCCTCTAATCACATGGTTGGTTCTTTTAGCAACCAGTTCCTATCCTGAAGCCATCCAGGAACCCCAGCCACCAGTCATCTCATTAGCATACAAAATACACTTATCATTTGGGAGATTCTAAGGATTTTAGGAACTGTATTCCAGGAAAGAAGGGCAGAGACAAAATATATATTTTGCATTCTGTCACAATGACCATAGCTATCTTCAAGAGGCAGGGGAGTGTACTACTTCCATGTGCTCAGAGAGTAGAGCAGAACTGGTGATTGGTGACCAAGGGCGTGGCCTAGTCAAAAATTCTAGTGGGAAGTAAATTAATTATGAGTTCAAAATACCACAGGCTTTAAGAAACAGATAAATAGGAAACAAAGTCAATAGAAGTAAAATCTCAGAATGAAGAAACTGATAATGGTGTTGGTTCCTCTCCCTGAACAGAATATACATTGAGTGCTGTGTTCATATGAGGGACTGAACTTCAAGAGGTCCTCCGGAGGTGTTCAGAGGGAAGTAACTAGATGCAGAATAGTTAAGAATTCTTATGGTTTAGACTAGAGAAATCTGAGGACAAAATAGCCATTCATTCTCGAATATATGAATATTTGACTTGCTTTAAGGAACTGTGTGTTGTAATTTACAAAGAGACAGACTCTTTAAGAAAGAGTATTTTGCAGTCACACTGCATTAGTTGCCTTGGGGAGCTCTCCTTCTCAAAGGGTGGGGCTCCAAGCATGGGATGAACGTCCTCTGGCACAAAGAGGAAAAGAGGGAATTCAGGCATCATATGGCTCATTGGATTAGATGATCCTTAAAGATGCTTTTACTCTCAAATTTGATAGCTTGGTGGGATAGGTGCCCACAATTCCCATTTGGGTGATTGCCCCAGGACCTCCAAAACTACTGGCACTTGCTTGGACTTCCTCTCAGATCCTGGGGCCATACATTGCTAGGATCTGGCTACACAAATTAGAAGCTGATGACTCATATCCCAAAGGTGAAAAGATAGGGTGTGGTTCTGAGTCCTGAGTTGCTGTATTTTATCCAGAATTGAATTCACAAGGCGGCTTCGAGTCATTCCAAAGCTAATGTGGAAACACACAAGAAGCCGCACACCCTATTGTCTTCCTGCAGTGAAGTTGGGTTGAACTCATGCAAACCAAAGTTGATTTAAACAACAACAACAAAAATCAAATTCTTGTCAGGCAAAGTCTTTTGACGTTGTTTTATTCTTGAGTGAATATTTACAGCTGAGTTGGAAACTCTATCAAATAGGAATTAGAACTTTGCCAACTCCTGATGTACATCTTAGCCAGGGTATGCAGGGTATGCACGCAGCCTCTTCAGAGCTGCTCTGCTTCACTGACCAGGGGTTGACTGAGTTCTTCACTCTGTAACCATTTCCTGACATCCTCTGCATGGACACTCTTGCACAGACATTTTTTTTTTTTTAATCTAGGAGTTGCACTTTCTTGGTTACTATGGCTGCAAATTGTTTATACTGGATTCATAGTCAGGTTTTTATTTCCTTTTGTAATTTTTCCCGTGAACTAATAAGCCACAGTGGAGTTAAAAGTGCGAGTAAATGTGAACTCTACACAAAGCATTTTTATGTTCTATTGCCATTCCCTTCCTACCCTTAATCATTTAGAGCTGTTAACATAAAAAAAAATAAAAGTGTTCAGCCTCCTCTCTACTCCCCTCCTTTGCCCTCTCATTTCCCAAGCATCAGAGGGGAAGAACCACCACCCATTTCCCATCAGGACTGTTTGCAGAGTAACACATGTCCTCAATTACTGGGATCAGAAACTGAAGGCACCTTGGGTTGGTGATAGATGACTGGTTGGCCTCTGCTGGATATGCGTCATGGATGCCACAATAGGAATGGCTTAGCAGGGCAACAGTTTTCTCTCCTATGATTCACTTCAGCTTTTAGCCTGGGCCATCCACCCAGTACTCATTGGATATGGGCCCAGTTTCAGCTTATATGTGAACCACTCTATGAGAGAATGCAAGCTGAGAGCCCATCTTAGGGGAGAAAGATCTCAAACTGAATCAAGAGGGGGAAATGCTTAAGAGTTACCTTTCAGCCAGGTGCAGTGGCTCACGCCTGTAATCTCAGCAGTTTGGGAGGCCGAGGCAGGCAGATCACAAGTTCAGGAGACGGAGACCAGCCTGGCTAACATGGTGAAACCCCATCTCTACTAAAAATACAAAAAATTAGCTGGGCATGGCGGCACGTGCCTGTAGTCCCAGCTACTCGTGAGGCTGAGGCAGGAGAATCGCTTGAACCCGGGAGGCGGAGGTTGCAGTGAGCCGAGATTGGGCACTGCACTCCAGCCTGGGTGACAGAGCGAGACTCCACCTCAAAAAAAAAAAAAAAAAAAGTGACCTTTCATAATAGGAAGAGACAAGGCTCTAGATAAAACTGCCTGGGTTTGAAACTTGGATCTACCACTTGCCAGTTGCATGACTTTTCGCCAAGCCACATAATTTCTCAGCCACAGTTTTTTTCATCTGGGAAAAGGAAATTAAGAATGATAATCCCTAACTCATGGAGTTGTCATGAAGGTTCAAGCACACTGCATGGCATTGATTAAATGCTCAATAAGAGCTAACAATTATCCCAGTCAAGAACTTTTTCGTAGCAATGGACCAAACACTTCTCACAACAGCTTAAGCACAGAAAGGCAGTGATTGATTCATATGAGATATGGATGGTCCAGGGAGTCAAGAAGTGTCAATAAGACTCAGTCTCTGCTCCCCTTGGTTCTGCTGGTGTGGTAGCCAGCCTACCAGGTGACTGCCAATGATCCCTACCTTCTGACAATGTCACCCTTGTGAAGTTCCCTCCGGCAGTGCACCAGGGTGGGTCTATGTGACCAATATAGTATGAAAGAAAAAATAGTATGTTGCTTCCATGTTTAAGTTATAAAAGACACCATGGCTTCCATTTGGCCTCTATCTCTGTCTCTGTCTCCCTCCCATTATTCACGCTGGGGAAGCCAGGTGCTATGTTGTACTCAGCACTACAGAGAGGCCCATATGGTAATGAGCTGAAGTCTCCTGCCAATAGCCACATGAGGCCATTTTGGAAGTGGGTCCTCCAGCCCTAGTCAAGACTTCAAATGACTGAAGTCCCTGCTGACAACTTGACTGTAACCTCATGAGAGACCCTCAGTGAAAACTATCCAGCTAAGCCACTCCTGGGTGCTATCCAGCTAAGTCACACTTGACCCTCAGAAGTTGTGTGAGATAATACAGATAGCCTTAATTGACTATGGTTCTATTTAAATGATTTTTTCAGCCTTATAATGGTGTGAAAGCAATATGCATTCGGTATAACCATACATCAAGTACCTATACAACCATCCAATTTTTCACCTTCAGTACAGTATTCAACAAATTACATGAGATATTCAACAATTTGTTATAAAATAGTCTTTGTGTTAGATGATTTTGCCCAACTGTAGGCTAATGTAAGTGCTCTGAGCAAGTGTGAAATGGGTACCATTTCTATCTCTATTCTATGAGGAGTAGAGGATCAGAAAATTTAAGTAACTTTCCCAAAGTCACACAGCTAGTAAGTGATCAAGCTAGAATTTGAACCAAGACACTTTAGTTCTAAGGTCCATGGTCACAACCACACTGCTAAAACACCAATACTATGAAGTATCACAACCTGTTGAGTTTTGATTTCAGGTATTTTGTCCTCTTATGTCTCAGTTTTACTTTCTTTCTTTTTTGTTTTTTGAAAAGGAGTCTCACTCTGTAGCCCAGGCTGGAGTGCAGTGGTGCAATACTGGTTCATTGCAACCTCCACCTCCTGGGTTCAAGTGATTCTCCTACCTCAGCCTCCTGAGTAGCTGGGATTACAGGCACCTGACACCATGCCCGGCTAATTTTTGTATTGTTAGTAGAGACAGGGTTTCACTATGTTGGCCAGGCTGGTCTTGAACTCCTGACCTCAAGTGATCCGCCCACCTCGGTCTCCCAAAATGTCGGGATTACAGACATCAATTTTTCATTTATGGAGTATGTGTCTCTACTGAATTAGAAATGGAGATGGCTTGGCCTTAACTCTGAAGTACTGGACAGATGCAGTTAAATACCAGTGTGGGGGGAATGTATAAACACTTTCTAGTGATGTGCATCCAGAGTTCTACTGTAAGCACCTCCTGACTGACAGACCATTCACACAAAGGCACCCTCTCTTCCAACACTAAACACCAGTGATGGACAAGTGGACATTTAAAAAGTCATGGATCTTCTGAGTGAATATTCATGTAGAGAGGTACCTTTAATATAAGCCATTTAATATTGGCTATAACCCATTTACATTCCTATGTTTATATTTGTTCCAATCAATTGCACAACAACCTTCCTCATCTGGCCATATTAGTAGGAAATTTATTGTTTTCTTCTGAAGCCTTGGCTCCCAACTTAAATTGTACAGAAACCTGGTGACTTGTTCAGTGCAGATGGGTTAGTTTGGCTCCCAAGCTTTAGGCTGTTTGGGCAGTTAATGCCCTAGTGTGGTTTGCAGGGTGCCCTGCATGTTGTCTGCTGTGGCAATGGGCCCTCATGAGTCCTGCACTGGCTCTGAATTAACCTCACCTTCAGGCTTCAAGATGTAGGCTCTCTTCAGTTATATGCAGAAGGTTATTTATAGCCTCCCAAACATAAATACCACAGCAGGGTGGCTGGTCTTGGCTGAGCATGCAGGAGTCCAGCCCAGGCTACACTCCTGGAACCAGCTCTTCCTATAAACCCGTGGCCTTGTTCATTGATCCAGACTCCTGCTTCCTGCCTGTGAAGTTCTTCTCTGGGCCCCTTGATGTCCCGGGGAACTTCTGTTAGGACTGTCTCGATCCATCAGAGAGGCTTTCATTCTGTAGAACTGCACAAACACCCCAGCAGTTCTGAACCTGGAGTGTGTAACACACCCTTCTTCCTGGAGAGTGGCCAAGTCTGCATAACCTAGACCATCCAAGTGTTGTAGGGAAACATCGAGTATCATCTTTCCCAGGATGACTTTCTGCATCTTCCTAAACACAAAAGCTCTTGGCAAATTTTCTTTCTAAAAATGTATTGAAGTTATACTTGGCTGGACATCCTGCTAGAGAAATTTAACAACTTCCCAGTGTATTAGAATCTTGGGCATACTCTCAGATGGAGCCGGCCTTTCTAGCCCCATGTCTTTAATAAATCTACTTGATTAGAGAAGAGACAATTCCCTAAAGAGAGGGCACTACCATTCCCAGAAAAAGAGAGGGCTGTTGGGCAGACAGACCAAAGGTGACAAATACATTGAACAATGTGTCTGTGTCTGGCTAGCTTTGTGCTTGAGAAAGGGGAAGACACAAACTTTTTGATTCTAGCTGGTCCTATTCTTACTGCAATAAACTAGGTATTGTTCACCACTTATGACATTTTAGTAGAAAAATTAATTTTGAGCTAATGAAAATTTGAGACAAGTATATGAATTCAGAGGTAACAGGGAGATGGGGAGTAGTTACTAAGTAGATTGTTGTTATTGCCTCAGGATCTTGACACTCTATTCATTTTCTATGCCCCAATTCCATTGGGAATAAGAGGGTAGCAATTTTATCAGTTAAAAATACACAGGTAATTACATAGTGGGCAGTTTCATCTCAAAAATAAGAAGGCACCGAGCAAAGCACCAGGAAATACCAAAACTATTTGGATGATCAATGTTGAAAGGAAAGAACTCACCATTTCTTCTCTCCTCTCCTCTCCCCTGCCTTCTCCACCTCCTTTCTTTGAGTGAGCAACTTGCTACGGATTAAGAATCCTTGGCAAAAGCATGTCCCTTTTGAGGCAAGGGGAAATTAATATTTGGGGGTGAAAGAGAGAAGGATTGGGAGAGGTGTAAGCAAGAAGCCAGGTGCCGATGATTTCCCTGGAAACCTAAGACTTTCTAATTAAAACCTGGCAGCCCCACCGAACAGCTTGCACCATGTGGGAAAGAAAAGCCTGAAAGGTTGGGACAAGGAGGCCTGATGTAATTACATTCCACTGAGTGAGGATCCTTTCCTGTGGGTCAGTATTGTCCTGGGAATATCATATTCTGTTCCTAATAAATTTCAACAGGCAAAGACATGGACACATCACCTAAAAGAGGTCTTCAAATGATTATGGTTCCTAAAAGTCAGGAAATAGGTCTGATTTCCCATTAAAGTAGGTTTTTCTGTTCAGCAGGGTTCCCAGGTCGCTGTCATATAAAAGTTATTTGCTGACTCATCTTGAAATTGGAGAATTTTCAATTTTCCATTGTGCATAGTTCTGTCTCTTTCCAGAGTTTTCTTTTTAAATAATTTTGTGCAATATATGTGAACTATGTTTCCCTGTTTTATATCCTAACAAGAAATGTTACTTGTTCTTGATTCCGATAAAGATGGGAGAAACACGGTTTTTTCAGGACTTCTCAATTTAGTGTGTAAAAAAGCATAAGACATGGAAAATTAGTGGCCTCATATTTTGAGACAAACTATTGAAAAATGTGTCTTTTATTTAAGTCTTTCCACATTTTAGTAAGACTTTAAAAAATTATTGCACTTAAGAAGTTTTTTTTTTTTTTTTTTTTTCTTTTGGTCACTCCTTTGACGCTTATTTACATATATGGCCAAATAAACTAGCTTAAAAAAACAAACAAACCTTTGTTTGTTTGTTTGTTTCAGTAGGAAAGAACATGGCTTCCAGTAACTCTTCAGTTACTTTTAAACAAATACTATCTCTCCGTTCTGGTACAGGGTCCTACTCTTCCTGTCTTGAGTCCTGGCCCTGGCTAGGTGACTGCATCCTGAGATTTGGGGAATGGAAAGAATTTTGGAGACCCTCTATTTTGTATCACAACTAGTAAGGGGTTCCATCCACACCCTCGTCCCTCTCAATTAGGCCTCTGCTTGTACATTCAGGGGTGTCTCTATTTTGTGAGGCTTTTTCCTGGAGGAGATAAACTCATTTTCAAAGTTGGGCAGGGCAGAAAGACTGGATACATTCAAATTCATTTGTTAATTCATGCATTAATTTATTCCTTTGACAAATATTTAATGAGCACCCTTGTGCTAGGCAGGCTTTGTGTTGGCACTGAGGACAGAGATCAACAAAGCAGACGTGTTCTCTGCCTTCCTGGAGGTCCCAATAGGGGTGATAGACATTGACCAAGTAAGTGCAGGGACAACTAATTGCCAACTAATTGCACATTTTGCAATTATGATAAGTGGCATGAAGGACAAGTAGAAAGGATGATAGGGCTAATCATAGGGAGAGATAGCTTAGACTAGGGGGTCAGTTGGAACTATTAACTAACACTCTTTTCATTTTTCTCTTATCACCCAAAGAAAGCCGGGAGTATGAAAGTATGGGTTAGAATTCCTTAAAATAACTACTTATTAGAAAGGGCAAGAAGTATCATAAATGAAACAGTATTGATACAACCTAGAAGTCATTGATAAGGGAATAGTTAACTACTTTATAATATACATTATTCAGCAATATTATTTAGCCTTAAAACTAACTTAGAAAGGAGTTGTTATGGGTTTCAGAAAATTCTTATGCTCTAGCATTGAGAAAAATTGCAAATGCAGCGATTATCTCAAATATACTATATATATACATATGTCTAGCAAATATCTGAAAACCATATCAACATGTTTTCCATTTTTATTTGTATTATTAAGGATGTTACAAGTATGTAGCTAAAACATATTTTTCATGAATACATGTAAAGCAAACATCTGTGTAACCACAGCTAGATCAAGACATAGAACACTGCCACCATCCACAGGCCGCCCTTTCCTCCCTTTCCCCTTGAACAGCTTGTATCATAATTCTGTCTTCTCACCTAAAGGTAAACACTATCCTGATTTTTGTGATAATCATTTTATATATATATATATATATATATATATATATATATATATATATATATATATATACACATACACATACACACACACACACACATAACATTTTAATATACATATATTATGTATATATATATACAGTTTTATCACCTATATGTATTCATAAGTAATGTAAGTTAGTTTAGCTCAATTTCAAACTTAATATATATAGAATTATACTTTCCTTGTGTTTTAACTCAACCTTGTTTGTGGAATTCATCCTTGCCATTGTGTATAGCTGTGGTTAATTAATTTCATTGCTTTGGTGTCCCTAGGTATGAATGAATGTAACACAGTTTATTTATCCATTCTACTATGAGTGGATATTTGAGTAGTCTCCAGCTTGGGCCTTTTACAGATAGTATTGCTGCCAACCTTCTTGTCCATGCACATTGTACACAGTGCATTGAGCCTCTTTACTGTACAAAGCTCAAGTGGACTTGCTGGGTCATAGGAGGTGCTGGTTATTTTCGGTTTCTACCCTTCCGCCCTAATCCATTCTTTGCCTTTCTGTGCCTTGCTCTGTGTTTCTTTATGTACCATATTACTAGAGTACCTTGCCTTCAGCTTTTAGTTAGGTTTGGGCAATGGGAGGTAACAGTGTGAGTTTAGGGGGTGGGAAAAAGAGTTTGGAGCATTCTCTGATTTCCTCTTGGCCTTCCCACAGTTCTGGCAGTGGCCGCACCGCGTTTTCTCTTAGGTTCTAGCTCTTACAAGACTCTGGTAACATTCTTTCCTCCTCTTGTTGTTTCAGGCTTAACAGGCTTTCCCCACTTTCTGTCCCATTATTCTCATTGCCAGTGGCAAGGAGCCAAGAACCTTCTTGTCTCTGCAGCATAGAACAGAGACAGAGCCTCCTGCCCAGCCTTCCAGGAAGCCCGAGTTCTCATCTTAATTCCCATACCCTGTTTCTCTGGGTTCAGGCTAAGGTTACTTCTCTGTTCACTAAAGCTGCATTTATTTTCTGGGTTTTTCTCTGATCCACTTCCAGAGACTATGACTCCAAGAGCAAAGCAGTCTGTTCACGAAATAGATCATTCCCTCTCAGTGCCCAGATTCTGTTGACCTAATAATCAATCAGGCCTTCTCATCTCCTTTCTCTCTTCCGTCAACTTCTGCTTCCCACACAAACGGTCCTGGTACTCCTGTAGCTGCTCTTCGCCCTCTCCGGGGATGTTCGGGTCTCCTGTGGATCTAGACAGGCATTAGTGGTGAATGCAGGTTTGGCGTCAGAGTGCCTGGGCTCAAATCCCTGTCCTGCTATTTATTAGCTGTGAACCCTTGAAGAGGGTACCACTCAATTTCTAGTAGGGCTTCTTTCTAGTCTGTAAAATGGTGATAATGTAAGAATAAAATGAATTACTCATATAAACTTCTTAATTGTGTCTGGTACCTGGTACATTCTTAATAAATGTTAGCTATAATTGTGGTTATTATCTGATACTTATATAAAAACCCATCATGTCATAAAAGCCTTCTGTCATGAAAAAGATATATATATATATATATATATATTTAGGTTCATGTAGTAGTAAAGTGTTTACTCCTCGAAAAAGCCCAAAGGCAAGCAGATATATGAGAAAAAGCATTGTCATATAAACTGCTTTATATCATGATGACCAATCCTCTCTTCCAACACTTCTCAAACCCAAATCCTTTAGGGTCTAATTTGGAAGTGGAGAGGGCAGAGGTGCATGGAAACAGAAGCGGCGCTGGTGGGGTGCTGTGTTTCATGCCTAGGTTATGGTGCACGACAGACACCACACACTGGAAAGTAGAAGCTTACCAGAGGAGATGGCAATTACAAACGCCCTCAGGAATTCATAGAAACCAGGGGGAGAGTTTTACATTTCCACAGGCTGGTGGGGTTGGGGTAGGGGGTGATGATAGAATTCAAGCCCATCTTACTCTGATCTAAGGGGCAAAGACACCCCATCTGAGTTATTCAAGTAGAGCCCAGAATGGATCACTGGCACCATCTCCCCCAGTTGTTGACAGTTGAGCAAGGAGCCGGGCGTTCTCCCCTCCCCTCCTCCTGCTGTGCTCTGTCTTGGCCGCCTTCCTTATGGATAGGCCATATGGGCCGTTTTGGAGCCTGTGTTTGCTTTGGCTTGGTGGTTCGCAGCTTACTTCCTGTTAACATTCCTCCACCTCTCACCCCACATTATGGGTCTCTCTCTCAGAGCCACCTGCTCTTTCTGTTCTCTGTGCCCATAACCTCAGCTCTCTGATTTCTCCATTCATTGCTTGGCTCTTAACTGGGACTCAAATCTCACTTCTGTTTAAGTATTTTCCATGCCAGCTTCTTGTTTGGACCAGATAGTGTTTCACCATGATGGGCCTTTATTAGGAGACAAAGGGGTGATCGGGGTGGTACCGGAAAAGGCAAGTTCATGTATCCAAATGACTGTCAAGTGAGACCAGAAAAAGCCCTTCTTCCCATGAGTTTTTGTCCAAAAAGCATCAGACCTAGTATAGAGGCGATTATGGCCAAAAAGGCGAGCGCTGAGTTTGAGGCCAAAAAAAACAGCCTAGGAGTGGAGGGAGGCACAAAACTGGCACACGTGCCTGTAGATTCTCTCACATTTACCCTCCTGGGTCTCCTTAACCCAGGCCCTTGGCCTAGTAAGAGTGCCAGGCCAGGCCACAGTCCAAGGCCAACATGTGTACGAAACTACCACACCCCGCATGTGGCATGACTTGTTCTGGCTACTCACAAACGACTCGATGTTCATCTCCTCTAGTGGAGTTCAGATAAGGCCTTTCAGCTTGGCTGTCTCCATCTGGTTCTTCCCATTGAGCCCAGGTCCAGTGGCTCCACAGAGAAACACCTTAACCTGCCTCAAGAACCTCTTCCCTTGACTTCAACTCAGGTGGATGTCCCAGCCAAGAATGCTTTGGCAGGATGAAACCGTGCTGTGAAGAGCGTGTTCAGGGTGTGGGTTTAAGTCTCACTTCAACCAGGTCTTAGCTGTGTGACCTTGAGCAAGTCCCTTCACATCATTCTACCTGTTTCCTCTTTTGTGAGATGGAGCTAATTATGCAAAGAGGTGTGAGAATTCAAAAAGATCACCCACGAATAATAAGGTGGGACAATTCCCTGAAAAGCACACCAGGCCTACTGAGACAGGAAATAGGCTTGGTGTTGTGTATGGAGAGGTAGACCTTCTTTGCCATTTAGGGGATGAGATCCATAGCACAGTAGGAAGTATGGTGGGTAGCTGAGTCTGGAAAACAACTGTGTGTGTGAATGCAGAGGACTGCATATAAAGTGCCAGAGCTGTGCCTGGCACTTGTTGTTTGCCAGCCAAGGGTCCCTGAGTTGAGAACACACACACCAAGGACAGTGGAGAAGAGCAGATGCCATCCTTACATGTGCAGTGTTTTTGGCCTTGCTCCCATTCTGAAAGTGCCTGTCTGAAGGGATCTGGCTCCTGGAATGGGCAGGGGTTTTTGTCATCTGTTTCGCTGGGAGGAAGTCCACAGTCAGGGATTTTGTAGAATCTTAATGGTGACCGCCAGGCAGTGGCAACTATAGCCAAAAACAATGAGGCTCCTTGGTACACTAAGGAAGGCTTCGGGTTTAATGCCTTAGGGCAATACTCATCTGGACCGACTTTTTAGACTGAAGAAGCCTTCCTGGGGTCTTGGGGTTTTTACATAGACATAACAGGGGTGCCAAGGCATTTAGTGTACACATTTGAAAGATTGTGACTGCATTTTTATCCCAAGCTTATGAAGCAGCTACATTTGTGAAGTGGTTAGCAGGCTGCCTGGCATATTTTAAGGGTTTCATAAATGATGCTCATTATTATTAAGCACGCGTGTCACAGCAGCCAGAGCACTGAGCAGCGCTCCTTGGCAGCTGCAGCTCCCCAAGGGGAGGGCGGTGCCTTACAAGTTGGGAGAAGACAGTGGAATCATTAAGCAGCTGACACATACCCAGTCACTCCAAGGAATCTCCCATCCCTGTTCAGAAGTCTGACCCAATTTGCTCAGCTTTTCTCCTGAGACTCTCTTGTTCCAGCCACAAATCTGAGCTGGGAGCACCCTTCCTCTTAGCCACCTGTGACTGGGAGGCAGCGGGGGTGGCCCAGAGCTCACCCTAGTTGGGAGACTTGAGCAGTAGCTCCTCTCCTCCAGCATTCCCTGGTGGGGGTGTGGAAGGCTGTGAGTAAGGGAAGAGAGAGGGTGTGGGGCACCTCACATGGTCAGGGAGGGCTCCCCTCCCTTGGAACTCACAGCAGCCAGGTCATGGGCTCACTGGGGTTGTTTATCATCCTCAGTCTTGGGGAGAACAGGCTCACATGACAGCGCTTTGCAAATCGGTAAGTTTTTTTCCAAACATACAAAAACCTAGGCCTGGGGTTTAGGACTTCTAGAACTTCAGAGCACACGGTCCTGTGTCATGACTCTCAAACGGGGACACACATCACTTAAGTCAAGTGGAGGTGGAGCTGTCACGTTAGTCACTGCAGTTTGCAAGGCTTGGGTGCCAGATTCTTGTCAGATACCTCTCTGTATCCCTATGGAAACCAGAAGAATGGAGAGTGACTTGTGATGGGCTGTCCCAGGCATTGAGTCTCACAGAATCAGAGAGCTGGGAGCACAGGGGGTATGGGAGTGGGAACAGAGGAGGGAGATGGGGGGCAGGCAGATGTGGGAGGTCACCCAGGACAGCTTTCAGGCAGAGCAGTATCATCTGCCTTTTACAGATGTGGCAACTGAGGCAAAAAAAGACTCACTGGCTTCCCAGACCCACCACGACCCACTGCCTCTTCCTGCTGCCGCGCCAGATATCCTCCTTTTTTCATGAAAGCAACTGAGTTCATGGTGTTCCTGTGAACTTAGCAATTGTAGAATGTGGTTTTGCCTGGTGGCTGGAAAAGATCAGGAACCTATATAAGAAGTAAACCCTTTTCAACTTGTACAAGTCCAGAAGGATAAAGGGAGGTACAATCTAATGTGGCAGGAAGAGGCGTTGGGCCCATGGTGGGTCAGGGCGAGTGATTTCTGTGGGGGTCCAGAAAGGTTCCTGGCAAGAATAAGGAAACCAAGCGAGGTTCCCCAGCTGCAGAGGCTAATGTGCTCTCCACCTCAGCCTGTCCTATGCACCACCAGCTCATACTCCCTTCACCTTCTTTTTTTGTTTGTTTTTATTTAAAAAAAAAACAACTGTTGGTGGGACTGTAAACTAGTTCAACCATTGTGGAAGTCAGTGTGGCGATTCCTCAGGGATCTAGAACTAGAAATACCATTTGACCCAGCCATCTCATTACTGGGCATATACCCAAAGGACTATAAATCATGCTGCTATAAAGACACATGCACACGTATGTTTATTGCGGCACTATTCACAATAGCAAAGACTTGGAACCAACCCAAATGTCCAACAATGATAGACTGGATTAAGAAAATGTGGCACATATACACCATGGAATACTATGCAGCCATAAAAAATGATGAGTTCATGTCCTTTGTAGGGACATGGATGAAATTGGAAATCATCATTCTCAGTAAACTATCGCAAGAACAAAAACCAAACACTGCATATTCTCACTCATAGGTGGGAATTGAACAATGAGAACACATGGACACAGGAAGGGGAACATCACACTCTGGGGACTGTTGTGGGGTGGGGGGAGGGGGGAGGGATAGCTTTAGGAGATATACCTAATGCTAAATGATGAGTTAATGGGTGCAGCACACCAGCATGGCACATGTATACATATGTAACTAACCTGCACATTGTGCACATGTACCCTAAAACTTAAAGTATAATAAAATAAAATAAAACAAAGTTTTTAAACATGCTCTTTAACTTTTAGTTTTCCTTGATCACTATAACTCCATCTCCTCAGTGTTCATTTTTAGGGGACTAGGTAAAGGTGGAAAAACTAAGACCAGGAGAGAAGTGACTTTCCCCAGGCCACTGGGCAGTAGAGCAGGGGCAGGCCCTCTTAACTCATGCATTGCTTCCTTCCACTTTCTGAGCCACCACATTGTGAGATGCCGCCCTGTGTGGACTCGCACAGGATTTCATTCTTTCCACAAAGGATTGAGACAGACACAGCCCCTGCACTCATGCCTGAATGTGCAATGGGATAGGTGGGCATTGGCCAAGTGACTGTAAATGAGCAATGCAAAAGAGAGTTCAGAGACTTTCTGAATTGTTCCACCACCCCAGTCTCTGGGCTTCCCAGACATATCCTGTGCACTCCTGCTGGATTACTCCTCCGAATGTTCCCAAAGCTGCCCGCTGTATTCCAAATTACTCTAGACAGGCATTCTGGCCCCTCTACGACCACACCTCCTAACCTACTTCCTTTACACACGGTGCCTGCCAGCTGGCCTGTGGCCCACTGCACTGCCCTTACTCGGGATATCCTCTCTCTGAAAAAGCCCAGCCTGGCTGTCTGATCTCCAAGAAGCTTTCCCCAACACCTCTGATGGCAAGGATCTTTCAGCACCTCCATTACATACCCCCCATACTAAATTTTAGGAATTCGTTTTGTGGAAAATACATGTAATGCGATTCAAGAAATTTACAACTCCCTTCAGGTAATGAAAAGCCCAATAGTAGACAAAATGAAACTGGAAGACCTTGAACTAGCCATCTCTCAGCACATTTTTTCTTTTTTTTTTTTTTTTTTTGAGACAGGGTCTTCCTCCATCCCCCCGGCTGGAGTGTAGTGCTGTGATCATAGTTCACTGCAGGCTCAAACTCATGGGCTCAAGCAATCCTCCTACCTCACCCATCCAAATAAGTGGGACTACAGGCCTGCACCACAACATTTAGCTATTTTTTAATTTTTTTGTAGAGATGGGGGGTCTCACTATGTCGCCCAGGCTGGTCTCAAGCTCCTGGCTTCAAGTGATCCTCCTGCCTCAGCCTCCCAAAGTGCTAGGATTCCAGGCATGAGCCACTTGCGCCTGGCCACTCTCAGCACATTTTTCTAAAGCCCACTCTTACCCATAGACCACTCACAACACATCTTTTCTGAGCAACTGTCAAGTTCTGGGTATTGAATAACAGAATACAACATACAAAACAGGGTCCCCAGCCTCCGTGATCTTACATTTTGAGAAATCCCTGGAAAGGCTGCAGTCTACATCAGCTGAAAAGCATTTACTAAGCTCCATTTTTTTTTTTTTTAGAGTGCTGCCCTCCCCTAGGAGCTCAACCGGTGATATATATCATTGCATGTGATACGTCTCATAATATATCTCACAGCACCACTGTGAGACATCCTTACCTTCCCAATTCTGCATGTTTACTCTGGTTCTTCTCAGCCAGAAATGTCTTCTTCATATCCACTTTTCAGCACCCTAATCGGGTTTCCTTCTTTGTGCTCCAACCTTATGATCTCTGAATCCTTTGATCTTCTTTCCGGACTTGTAATTTGGCACCATACAGTTTAGCTGTTCCTCCTACATGATTCAGAAGCAGTGAGGTTTGGTGGCCTTGGAGTCTGTGGCAGAGAAAGCTAGGATATTTGCTCTCCTTCCATTAGGTTAGGTTGTTTCTGGGAAACAGCTATCTGGCCACTTCATTTCTCAACCCCTCTGTATCTTATTGGGGCCATGTAACTAATTATGGACCATGAAATAAAAGTGATTTATCTCATTTTGGGGTAAGAGTTGTTGCAGTATCTAATGTGCCATCATCATTCAGTCTTCCTCTTCTTTGATGACCTGAATGCCACCTGTTGGAAATAGCAGAGCTTCAAGATGGAAAGGACTGGATTCCTGAGTCACCACTTGGAGAATCACCTCCCAGAAGAGCCCAGCCAGCCAGGAACACCTGCAGAGGATATTGGGCAACAAATACACTTGTATCAGGTCAAGCCACTGGAGGTTTTCTTGACCAAAACAAAGTTAGATAAGTTTAGGATTGAGTCCCATCTCTGCCACTTGACAGCCCTGTCATGTTGGGAAGATTACTCACCCTTCCTGAGCCTCATATTCTCCTTCAATAAGAAGAGCTCAGTGATACCCAACCTTGCAGGATGGTCGTGAGGAGTAAATAAGATATTTCTGAACTACTTGAAACATTGTAGAAACCCAATAATTTGTATATCTTTATGTGTTTGTGAGGGTGTATGTGCATCCACATAGTGAGTGGCTTCATATGTGGTACTCTTGCTGCTGAATTGTAAATAAGTGGTTTAATGTTGTAAACCTGTATTCTTTCTAAAGCCTAGCACAGTGCAAAGCAAATGGAAGATCTCAGTTAATATTTACTAAGAAGCAAAAAAAATTGGCTTAAAATATAAGGAAAACTAATTTGCTGTGCTACCTCCTTATAATATCCCCCTGTGCAATGGGAGGAGTTTACAGCCCTCTCCCGCTGGGGCAGTGCTTCCCTTGGCTTCCCACTGATCCTGTCTTCTAAAGTGGATTTCTGTGTATACTTGCTGCTCAGTATGTGAGTAAATGGGTGTATTTATTTGGATAAAAGTGCTTTTGTGGTTTGTGACAAAGGAGTAGAAGCCAGACAGGGAAGGGAGGGGGCAGATTATTGAATTCTTTGGAAATAGATGGTGAGGAAACCATGCTAGAAGGGACCTTGTTTTATATTTTTGCAAGCGAGCTGTAGACACGAGCTGTGTGATGAAATCTCTGAGTTGAAAGATATCATTAAGCATTCCTGCCCAGTATAAAATATCAAATTGATGATGATCAACCATCTCATCAGATTGGTATGTTGAGATTTTGGTAATCATGTCAATGTGTTTTTAAAAAGAGGACACATATTTGAAGAATAAGAGCAATGAAGGAATAATGGATTATCTGAGGTCATCTTAAGCCAGCACAGTTTAGTTTATCTTTTAAAAACAAATCAGACTTGTCCTCCACTATTGAAGAAGCAGTTGAAGCTCCTTTTACGCCTGTTCATTTTGATATGCCCTTTGCATGTTAATCCCCTGACAAAAGCTCTCTAAAAAAGCAAAGTAACACCAATAAGTATTCTGATTATGCTAGATAGAGAATAAATGCCCAACCAAGGGAAAGCAAAATGTTTTTGCTTCAAGGACCATTCAAAAAGTTTTTTTTAAGGTGGCTCAGGCTTGTAATCCCAGCACTTTGGGAGGCCAAGGCGGGCGGGTCTCTAGGTCAGAAGATCGAGACCATCCTGGCTAACATGGTGAAACCCCGTCTCTACTAAAAAAATACAAAAAATTAGCCGGGCGTGGTGGTGGGCACCTGTAGTCCCAGCTACTCAGGAGGCTGAGGCAGGAGAATGGCGTGAACTGGGAGGCGGAGCTTGCGGTGAGCCGAGATCTTGCCGCTGCACTCCAGCCTGGGCAACAGAGCCAGACTCAGTCTCAAAAAAAAAAAAAGTATAAACTTCATTTTAAAAGAGTATAGACTGGGCATGGTGGCTCACACCTATGATCCCAACACTTTGGGAGGCCGATGTGGGAGGCCAGGAGTTCAAGACCAGCCTGGCCAACACAGTGAGACTTCATCTCTACAAAAAAATAAAAAAAATTAGCCAGGCGTAATGTTGCACACCTGTAGTCATAGCTACTCAGGAGGCTGAGGCAGGAGGATTGATTGAGACCAGAAGTTCAAGGCTGTGGTGAGCTATGATCACACCACTGTACTCCAGCGTGGGTGACACAGCAAGACCTTGTCTCAAAAATAAAAAAAAAAGAGGATGTACGGTATACACACATACATGCATGCACACATACACCATCAAGAAATGCAGCATCCATAATTGCAGTGAAGCATGCTAAATATTATTTCTCTTTCATAGAAAGAGTTTCATTCAGGAGGAGCTGAAATTTCAGAAACAACATATGCACAATTAGCACACATGGCAGTGTCTTCTTAAAATTCGGGGTCTTTGAACACATTTTATGTATAATAAGAACCAGTGGTATGGAGAGGAGGCAGGCTGGGGGGATTGAAATTGGATTGAATGCAAAGAGAAGTGCAAATCAATCACAGAGCAAGGACAACAGCCAAGAGCCATTCCACTAGCATCTCACTCCTGGAAGTGTGGTCCACAGGCCACACCCAGGACCTGGGCTAAGGCAAGGTAAGTGGGGCACTCTTCCAGAACAACCTCAGCACCTATAATAAATAATATTTTATGCAATATTTTAAAAATTCAAACTGCAAACTGTAACTGTGGTCTGGTGGCCTGTTTTTGTAAACAGAGTTCTATTGGAGCAGTATGAGCATCCCATGGGTGTTTGTTAGAAATGCAGAATCTTGGGCCCTATACCAGCCCTTCAGACTCAAAATTTGCATTTTAATAACATTCGCAACTGGTGTGTGTGCACATTAAAGTCTGGGAAACACTGCTCCAGCAGACTTTAAGGCAGGCTAGACTGACGTATGGTTGCTCTAGGCAGGACAGTAATTTGTTGCCCTTCAAGGTGGATACTCTTTAAACATTGATTACTTAGCATTTATTTAATAAGGACAGGAATAAATTAAAATAGATTTCTTTCTTCACATTTAACACAGAGAATTTATTGCATGCATTGGAAGAAACGTAATATTTAAACTTACTTGGAATGACTTTTTAATTTCACATCTTTCTACTGTGTATAATTGCACAGCGTTAGTCCCTCACACATGAAGTACACAAAAATATAATTGAACTTTCTTATTCAAAATATATTTTAAAGTTCCTTTTTCTGACTCTCATATTGGCAACAACATCCTACTTTTCTGTAGCTGATTTGTCTTCAATTTTTCTTTTGTGGTTTTCTGAATCAGAAAACTTCTAGGGAGGCATATGAAAGGTTTAAATTTGAGGTAACAGAATGCATCGCCCCTGCCATGCTTTAACTTTAGCATTTCAAGATCAGTTCACTTGAGCCTGGAGGTTGGTGAGCATGCTGGTTGGCAGCTCAGCCTGTATCCCATCACTGCACACTTTTAGCAGAAACTGATAGCTTCTTGAAAAGAAAAAGCTTCTATTTTCACTCCAGAGGACTATTTTTTTCAAAAGAATTAATTTCTATTTTCCAGTTTTGTAAAAAGTGATATGAGACAGCTTCAGTTAACTGGGCCCTGTTTCTGATTTGTATATTTTAGGGAGTTTTTCAGTATTTTGCTGTGGACAGATTTCACATTGGACACGCTGACTCCCTGGGAACTACCCAGTGTGGAGGCAAGAATTATAATCTTGCCCCAAGGCTAGCGTGAGAGGAGTCAGGTAGCTGGTTAATGCAGGAAACCACCTGGCAGCATCCACGCCTCACTGCTGCTTAATTCTTGTCTACTGATGACATGCCGCAAAACTCCAGTAAAAACACAGCTCACAGAGTCAGGAAATGGCATGGTTAATATTGTTAGGTGATAACACAATGTCCTGCAGACTGCGGTAACAATAGTGGAAGGGCACATACCAGAATTAAATGGTGGATTTCCCCAAGAAAACACCCTCATCTGTGTTATCTAAAGATTTAGAAAAGTGTTTCTTAACCATGGCTGCAAATTGCAGTCAACTGGAGAGCTTTTAAAACTGATAATGGCTGAACCTCAAATCCAGATTCTGAATTAATTGGTCTGGGGTGCAGTCAGGACACTGGGATTCTTTTTAAAAGCATCCTAAGCAGTTCTAACATGCAACCAAGTTTGAGAACCGTTGCTGTGGATTCCTTATAGTGAAAAAGTGGAGAATATTTATTTATTTATTATTTATTTGTATGAGGGTAATTAATATAGCTGGTACAACAAGGAGTCCCCAGATATCAATGGTTTACTACGAGAAAGTTTATTTCTTGTGAGTGTGGATGATTGCATAAGTGTTTTCTCAGCTAGACCTGAAAATGGTATACATCACACCTCCTGACATCCCGCTGGTTAGAATCACATCACCCAGCTCCAACCTAACTGCAGAAGAAGTTAGGATATGCCATCTTTCTGCGGCCCAGGAGAAAAAATACAGGGTTGGTGAGCTTGTAGTCCATTCCTGCCACATATAAATATCATAAAAATGCTTATAACTTCCTAATTTAAGAACCAAAGGCTTAGAGTTTAAGTACCAATATTTAAAAATAACTTTATATGGCCTGGCACAGTGGCTCAAGCCTGTAATCACAGCACTATGGGAGGCCAAGATGGGTGGATCACCTGAGGTCGGGAGTTCGAGACCAGCCTGACCAACATGAAAAAACCCCGTCTCTACTAAAAGTACAAAATTAGCTGGGCGTGGTGGCGGGCACCTGTAATCCCAGCTACTTGGGAGGCTGAGGCAGGAGAATCGCTTGAAACCCAGAGGCAGAGGTGGCAGTGAGCTGAGATTGTGCCATTTCAATCCAGCCTGGGCAACAAGAGTGAAATTCCATCTCAAAAAATGAAAAAAGTTAACTTTATATATTATTTTTCTCTTCTATTCGTAGAATCAATCATACATATACATTTTATATGTATATTGTTTTTACATATATATGTATATATATACATACACACACACTTATATTCGAAATAAAAGGGTCCTTTATGGCCGGGCACGGTGGCTCACACCTGTAATCCCAGCACTTTGGGAAGCCAAGTCTGGCGGATCACGAGGTCAGGAGATCAAGACTATCCTGGCTAACACGGTGAAACCCCGTCTCTACCAAAAATACAAAAAATTAGCCGGGCGCAGTGGTGGGCACCTGTAGTCCCAGCTACTCGGGAGGCTGAGGCAAGAGAATGGCGTGAACCCGGGAGGCGGAGCTTGCAGTGAGCCGAGATGGTGCCACTGCACTCCGGCCTGGGCGAAAGAGCGAGACTCCATCTCAAAAAAAAAAAAAAAAAAAAAAAAAAGGGTCCTTTACAGTATGAAATATGTCTGCCCAGGCCGGAGTGCAGTGGTGTGATCATGACTCACTGCAGCCTTGGCCTTCCAGGCTCAAGTAATCCTCCTGCCTTGGCCTCCCCAACAGCTGGGACTACAGGCATGTGCCACCATACCTGGCTAATTTGGGTATTTTTTGTAGAGACAGGGTCTCCCTATGTTGCCCAGACTGGGCTCAAGCAATCTACCTGCCTCAGCCTCCCAAAGTGCTGAAATCACAGGCATGAGCCCACACACTCTGTTATAATTTTTAATAAGAATTGTCTTGGAGGCAGTGAGTGTCTCCAGGTTGCCTAGCTTGGCTTTAACCCACGAAGCCCTGCTTATATTTTATGTATTGGATTTCAGAGTAAGTTTCATTTAAATATAGAAATTTAACTTTAAAAATGAACTCACCACTGAAAATCACCATTTTATGTGAAAACTACCACAGCATTACATGGGGGAGATAGGTTAGAAGGGTGTTTTAATTTCAGTGATTCATAAGGATCTAGACACGGGGCTTTACAGATGTCAGAAGGAACATAGTACAGAAGCATAGCTTGCCTCCTGGCTTCTAGGACCAAGGCACTGAAGATCATACACCCTGCTACTTCCTTCAAGAGCCTCAAAGGCTCACATCCCCTCTGACTATAGCTGGGAGAGAACTGCTCTGCTACCCCTTATTTGAAAGTACCTCTGCGTTAGGAACTTGGCTTCATTCATCTTTGTCTCTACTGCTTCATGCAGATGGCTCAAGGCAAGTGCTCAGAAAATATTTTTTTCAGAAAAACGAAGGGAGGGAGATGAAGAGGAAGAGATAGAAGAAATAGGTTGCTCTTCTGCAGAGATTTTTCCTATTTTCCTTCTCCTAATCTCAGTCATTGATCCTTTCAACACATATTAAGTGCCTGCTATGTGCCAGGCACTGAGCTGGGTGATAAAGCTACGAGGACAAAGCAGGCCTAGTCCTTGTCATCAGAGGCCTCGTATGGCAGCAGCGGGTTACAGGGGCCATGAAGAGATTTACTGAGGGGCGAGGGAGGGGAGCAAGCAGAGAAGCAAGAGGACTGACAACGGTATGGCCCACTCTCTCCTTGGCCTTCTCTTGGTTTCTAGAAGAGCAGAGAGAAGCCTAGATCTTGAATCACAATATAATTTGTAGCTTACAGATTCCTATTTTACTTTCTTGTGTTACATTTTATTCATTCTTCTGGCAAGCACAGTGAACTGGGTATGCACTGTGTTGTCAGAAGATCTGGAGTTTTTATTCTCAGTTCCAACTCTTTAGGGTGAGAGACCTTTGGCAAGAGACCCCAACTTGTGCATGATTAGGATGATAAAAATCTAGGATTGAGGTGAGGATTGAGGATCAGAGGTCACAGTTCACAAGTGCTTGTTAAAACTGTGAAGTTCTACAGAAGTATTAGACTTTTATATATAGTGGGTAATAATGGTCCAGCAAGGACATAGGGAAGGTGTTACTATTATCCACAATAATAAGGCTCAGAGACATCAAGGAGTTGCCCTGGGTGGAATAACTAGAAAGGGATGGAACTAAGATTTGAGCACAGCTTTCTGACCCCAGATGTCCTGCAGTATCAGGACTCTCAGGCAGGCACTCCTCAGGAGCAAAATGAGCTCTCAGTGAACTTTCTTTGCAGCTCACGGAAAGGTCAAAGCTCTGTAAATGAAGAATCACTGACGCTAGGAAAAAAAAAAATCAAGGCTGAAAGCATCAGCCTTTAAGGATGGTGCACCTGGCTTCCGTGTCCTCTCCTGGTAGGGGTGAGGCCTGTGGGGGTGAACATGTGGGCATGAGATCGGGAGCCATTTTCTCCTGGGGAGCTGGTTAAACAGCACACTGACTCCCCAGCTGGAGGCACCACACCTCCTGTGAATGACCCACCAGAGAGCCCACGGAAGCCAAGCCACAAAGGCGCAGGAAGCAGCAGGCCTCAGGGAGGAGCTTGCCACCCCGCCTGATCATGGGACTGCCCAAAGAGGGATAATCTCCATACAGCTGAAGACAGAAAGGCTAAACAGCACATCGTGCTGATTTCATGTAGTTACAAAAATACACAGACACAAACCCAATCTAGTCTGTTGAGCCTTGGAAATTCTGATATATTCAGGTCTCATTAATCTTTTCTGACAGGTCTGGCCTCCATAGCAGAGCTGGTGGGGCCACGCAGAGCAGAGTTCACCACGTAGACACAACTACAAAGGCCTGTGACCTCTGTCACTGTCTAGTAGGACTGATGGGATGTGTGATTATCATCAGGATGTTTTCAAATGTCTCCATTTCCAGGAGAAGAAAAAGGTTGATCATGTAGGTTTGATTTAATTCTCCCCAAGAGAGTATTTCAGGGTAAAAAGGAAACAGATCTCTTCTTATTTCTGCAACTCCCAGCACAGCTGCAAAGAATACATCAGGTGGGATATGAAAGTTAGGAAATGCTCAATGGAGCAGCTGCTTTTTGCTTAAAATCTCCACCTCTGTGTTGCTTAGATTTGAACCCAAGCTATGGATTCCAGAAGTACTTGGAAGGCTTGATGCCTTCTAGCTGACACCATAACCAACCCACAGGGGGCACAGGGGAGCACAGAGAGGATAATTTTGCCTTCATTTATGAAATGGGGATGGTCACAAAGATCAAAAATCACAATGAAGAGATAGCAGAGGGTGGAGCTAGCCAGAAATCGCATCCACTTACCTGCTATAACTTGGTTCAGTCCTTCTACCATCCAACAGTAAAAAATGAAACTGACATCCATTTGTAGAAGTTATAATTCAGATTTTTTTTTTCTTTTTCTTTTGAGATGGAGTCTTACTCTTCCATGCAGGCTGGAGTGCAGTGGTGTAATCTCAGCTCACTGCAATCTCCGCCTCCTGGGTTCAAGTAATTCTCCTGCCTCAGCCCCTCGAGTAGCTGGGACTACAGGTGCGCACCATCATGCCTGATTACGTTTTGTGTTTTCAGTAGAGATGGGGTTTCACCATGTTGGCTAGGCTGGTCTCAAACTCCTGACATCAAGTGATCTGCCCACCTTGGCCTCCCAAAGTGCTGGGATTACAGGCATCAGCCACAGTGCCCAGCCATAATTCAGGTTTGAATCAAGGATTCAAAGCAACCTATGTCCTAAAACAAGGTTTATGACTTTGTTTGAAAAAAAGAAACCATTTTAGATTTATTAGCAGTTAGTTGAAACAACAGATTTTGTGATTTTTGTCAGGTCTTGCCAAATGCATGTCAAATGTACAAGACCCTCATGTTTATGCAGATATTTGTGAGAATGTCTTTAACTGAGATCCAATCCTGTGAATAAAACCAGTCATGAATATACATGGAAATTTGCAAAGTCAAGTGTACAGCCCTTTTCTATCTCTCCAACCCTAACACTCAGAATAATATAGATCATCCTTTCCTAACTCATACGTAATGTCAGGCTCATACTGGGTTTCAAAAAAAGCATAATGAAGTAAATTGTTTTTTTTTTCTTCTCTCTTTTTTACAAAGTGTTATTTTAAATTGGCAAGGGGTAAATATCTGTCTTCAGCTATAAATGTGAAACTAATATTTCTGCCAGTAATGATCTTCTAACTTTAAAAACAATGTCCTTAAATCATTTAATAATTACATTCCTAATAATTACATTTCTAATACAGTTCTCTAAGAACTACAGTTAAAACCAGAATAAAATATATTCTGTGGACCAAGTTGATGGTAATTTTAAAATCCCTAACATTTATGGGTATATAACTTTTAAGGATACTAATGCAGCATCAACCCAATTGTCCTTTATTTTGGCTCATCTAATTTACAGACATGATTTCTGAAGTTTAACAGTATTTGTAATGGCAATATCCAAAGTGATTTTGGCTGAGTAAACTGCTATTTGTTGAACAAAAATGTAGTTGTTTGTGCAAGTTTAAACATTTCACAAGGCCAGCTGAGTTCATTTCAACCCTACTTACAAAATAATTATTGGCAAATGAAATGGGCTGAGGGGGTAGAGACAAGATATTTTCAAGCTTCTGAGAGATTTACAAAGCCAAGTTCTTCAACTATTGAAAGTGAAATTGAAAGGTCACAGACAATTGAAAGGTACAGGTTTAAATCTCAGGATTAAAAAGAGTTCCAACAAGAGGAATATTTACAATGGAACAATGAGGAAAATGTTTTGTTACAGTCAGAAACATGGAAAATATGCTGTTCAAAATTGTTGGCTCAGGAATAAATAAAATCCAGACTTGGACTATTAAAAATATCAAAGTGATCCACTGTGTGCCAACTCCATTTTCCCCTGTTGTTTGTTATAAAGAAAATCCGTTATTGAATATAATGCAGTTCTGGTTAAATTATCAAAGACATTTTCCATATGCAAACTGTTGTTTACCATATGCTATATATTCTTCGATAACAATTTTAATACACCTCTATCACATGGTTCCATAGGTGCAGCGTTAGAAGGAAATTTTGAGTTATATTTTAATCTCTTACCCAAGGTACAAACCCCCTTTGTAACAGCCATTCAGCTCATTCTGTTGAGCACCTATTATAAACAAAATTAGAGATACAAAAATACCTTTAAGATGTTAATGGCCTGTTAGGTGGAAGAAAGCATCTTTGTCCAATGGTTGCCATTAAGCCTAGACTGAAACTCTTCTATCTTGTGACAGGGAGCTCACCACAATGCAAGGAAACCCATTCTTTCAGTGAGTAGCTCTATAATTGGGACCGTGTGTATTAAACTGGGGCTGACATCAGCTGACCCTGGTTTTGCCTTCCGGAATAGTATGAGCCAAATCTACTCCATTTTTTTCAGCTGAGCTCTTCAAAGATTTTTGAGAGCACTTTCCTGTGTCCTACCTAGTTTCTCCGCCCACCACCTTCATGCCATCTTATTTCCTCTTATTTTCACTACCACGAAATGCTTTCCTGCCCTTAGGGATTTAAAAAATTATTTCATATCGACGGATTGAGCCTAACAGCTAAATACTCAATATTGCACTTAAAATAAAACAGACTTTAAAAATTATGACATTAAGAAACCAAAAGTTACAGCAATTGGATACAGTCTGGGATTATCCCTTTGTAATTAGATGAGCATTGACTAACGAAAGATGTTTAGGGGAAAAAAAAATGGAACAGAACACCTAAGGCTTGCCAAAACTGTGTATATTTGAGAGGGGGGCATGATAAATCTATTATAATGAAATTCATGTGCTCTAAGACAATGACTGAACTTGGTATTTAAGACTATTTAAAAGTCACAAGATGAATTAGGTCATGTTTCAGAAATGACTCTACAATCTAAATTTCTCACAAGCAAGTCAGGTTAATGACACCAGACTCTGCTACTTTCAATGGATAAAACAAGGGATCGACTCATATGTTAAATTTTCTTCTAGTGGTTATACATTTGGTACTTTCATAAGCCATAAGTAAGAGACCCAGGATAATTTAAATCCAGGAGACTTTATTTAGCCTCCGGAATGGCCCCTCCAACCCCAAATCCATGCAAGAACACAAAGCCAAGGGGTAAACTAAAAAAAAGAAGAGATTGTTTTATTGTGACATTTATGACATTGACCCCTTGTTGACAGGAATGACCGAGGGTAATCTTGGCATATTGCACATGCTGTGATGAAGGATGCACTGGTGATCCTCTGGCCACTGAGGCTGTTTCCTGGTCCTCCCAGACCTCTATGCACGTGTGGGCCAGTCACCGAAATTTCATTACCACTTGGTGTATACATTTAACAAGTCTTTGGTCTTAATAAGCACCATTACAAACCCTCACATTAAGGGCATTATTATTCTAGTTTATAAATGTTTCAATGATAAAAAATAGCACGATTACAGTATACACACACTTAATTTACATGTAATGTATTATACTCATAACTGAGATAAGCTACTGAACTAACTTTGGTTGATTGAAATTAATGAAGTATTGGAACTGAATACTTGTAATTTGGTTTCTAAGTTGTGTACATATTACAGTGCATTTATAAATCTAGTTTGAAAATTTACTAGCACCAAATAGGTACCATAAATGGACAACCTAGTACTTGTATTTGGAGAAGCAAAGTTTACAAATTTGCAAAAAATAGAGTAGTCCATCAATTGAAAGCACATTCCCGTACGTTTGCTGGAAGGATGGCATGTCAGCATAAATGGCCAACCCCCAATGGAAATACACGTCCCAGTTTTCAAGAATCAACACATATGACAAGGTAGCTTAGCTACACACATGAGAAGCCTGAGAAAGTGGTTGTTTTGAACTAGGGTAGTCACCTGTACCTTGCTTTGGTAATACAAAGAATAGTGCTTATTTATACAAATTTACTTGGTGAAAGATTGTACCTATGATATGATGATTCTGATTGGGGGAAAATATAGTTCTACCTATCTATATTTGTTTTTCTTTTAATTATTTGGTCTCTGGATGGTGAATTAATGAAGCAAAACCTGGATTTTCATCTTCAGATTATCACCCAGTTCACCACTGAGGTAGTCTTTGTCATATTTGTCTTCTAGTTGGTTAAGTTCTTTCTTTTTATAAAGTGGAGTACTACTGATTTGTAATGAATAGGTTCCAGCCACTGGCTTCTTCTTTGTGAAGTGGAGGTAGCTGATCCCTTCCTTTTGGTTGATTTTAAAGAAGCCATCTTCATTTCCAGATTCGATCAAGTATCTGTTGTGATTCGTCAGAGTTGTAAGAGCTGGAAGGAGTTCTAGGATTCGAACCTTGTTACTGACGTGGGAAATATTGAAAGCAAAGATGGCTGTCTTCTCAACATCCCAACTTGCAAGACTCACATTGGCTTCTGTCTCAGACTGATCCTGGAAAGACACATGGCAATATGTTAAATACAATGTACATATGCCACTTAGCTCTCATATTAAAGAAAAAATGACTCAAATTTCACACTAATACAATTTTCTGCCTTATGCTGCATACACAATATTGAAAGCATTTTGTTTAGACCACAAGTGTATTAAATTGGCACATATTTGTAATATTTGAAAATATTAACTGATGTCAGGAAGAAAGGCAGGTTGAAATCATTTGTATCTGGAGGTCTCAAAATGTAGTCCCTGAACAAGCTGCATCAGCATCACCTGGGAATCTGTTAGAAATGCAAATTCTCGGCATCACCCCAGAACTACTGAATCAGAAACCCTGGGATGTCTCCCAACAATCAATTTTAACAAGACCTAGTAGGTGATTCAGATGCATGCTAAAGTTTGAGAACCACTGTTTTAATAGATTATGTTCTTTCCAAAGACTTATCTCATTTCTTAAATGACAGCAGATGGGTTGCAGCACCAATACGAAGAACCAGACTATTTCAATTTGATTCATTGACGTAAAACCATCTTCTCCTAAGGACACACCTATGAGCCTACTTCCTGACTGTGATGATCTGCTAATATTCAATGCTTTTCACCTGGCTTCTTACTTGCCTCTCTGGGACCACATGTGCTGGATTCTATGGGCCCAGAGCCAGAGGTCTGGGTGAATATCTGTGCACTTCTGAGTTGACTGAAAGGCTGCAGCAGCCGTAGGCAAAGGAAACCAGGCTGCTTCAGCTCCACGTTATTTTTGTCTACAATCCAAGTTCCCTCACACTCCACATGGCTCTTTTCAGTAGAGGAGCCTCTAGCTTTCAGAACTTGGCATTCCTATGTAGGGAGCACTATGTCACTTCGCTATTCTGCCCACTTGCTGTCCTGGATCTCAGACCTTATCCTTTCAGCAGACTTTGGGTGGGTATTTGACTTTTTTTTGGCGAGACAGAGGAAATGAGCAAGTATGTGAAAACCTTCAAATGGCCACTCCCGAAAAGCAGCAAGAAACTCCAGAAAGCCCCACAGCCTCTTGTAAAATACAGCCTAGAGCTCAGGGAATGTCTGGAGTTTCTCCCTGGGGAGCTTTTTCACACTTTGGAGCATCCTTGGAGGAAACCACAGGAATCTGGAAGGGCTTTCCACCACAGGAGACATCAGGAGAAACTAACTTCTGACCCACCTCGATATTGGAGGCATCAGTTTCGTTTGTGCTTCTCCGTTTCCTGCCCCGTTTGGGGTAGCCATTGATCTTACACTCGTAACAAGCCTCTGGGGAGAGTGAATTGTCATCCATTTCACCACTGACAGGTGGCTCTGGGTTTCCTCGGCCCATGCCCATTCCAGAAACACAGTGCCTGCAGCAGAAGGGGAGCATAGATGTTTTTCATTAGAATGGGAAGACAAGGTAGGTGGTACAAGAGTTCTGGTGAAGCCTGTTCCTTGCAGTTGTGAGATACAGCCCTTGCTTGTCCACTGGAGGATCAGCTAGTTCTGAGAACTACATTGAGGTCCTCTGTTTGGCCTCTAATTCCCAGTTCCCTGAATGTATTGATTTCCTTCTACTGCCTATCAAGACCCTGTCTTGGATATTTATTTATCTCTTCATTCCCAAACCTAACATGGAAAGCATTTTGCAGTACTTATACTGGGGAGGAGACACAGAGTGGAAACAAGAGAATAGTAGATGAGGGAGGCCATGTAACTTGGGAGGCTAAATAAAAATGGCTTCTTTTTATGAAACAGGCTCCATGGGAGTGAGCAAGGTGTGAGACATCACTGTTGAGTTTCTTGCATTCTCCCACTTCCATCATTACTTTTCCTCACTCAAGCTTTGGAGCAATTGCTCCTATTCCTTGACGTTTCACTTTTGCTTATGCTACTGAGGATAAGAAGAAAGCTCCGGTTGATAATGAAGGTTAATTTAATAATAAACTATGAAGATATGCCGTATATAAAATGCATGTATCAGAGTTTGCCCAACTGTGGGAAACTGTTTCAAGTCATTCAAAACCACTAGGGCCACTGGCTCCGACTCATGTGAAGATGGATAAACAAACCCATGCCCAAGAGAGAACTCGTTCAGCTGTTTTTCTTTGCCTTTCAGTTATCAAAGCCAAGTTACGGAGGGAGGCTCGAATGTTTCACAAGTACCTTGTTTTGTTATTCTGCTTACTATTTCAGAGGCCACTTGGAATGTGTATTTATCAAGCTCCTCTTTCCAAATGTGTTGAAACATTTGAATGGTCCTTAAAAGAATCTTTATTTGGGGGCAGAGTCCATTCTAGTGATTCGGAGAGGCCAAAACTGTTTTAAATGGGTAGATTTCTAACAATGGGTCATAATATAGACCAAAAATTATTTATCTGTTTTTCTGTAATAGCTGATCTGCTCTTTAGAACTAATTTTCCTATATACCCTTAGGATTCAAAATATGTTGCCAATGAACAGAATATCTGTTGTATTTCAAAGCAGTTTATAGGTTCCTACTGTTTCCCCCAATCTTGCCAGAGTCCAATACATTTCCTTTCCTCTTTATCTTGCAACATGAAATATGTAGAAACAATACAATGGATGAAGTGATAAATGCTCATCCTGTGGGTGTGTGCGCATGCGTATACATTCACACAATGATTAAATTATTAGGAGGTAAACTGCAAATTTGCAGGCTTTGGTTCCTTTCTCAGAACTCCTTTCCAGTATTTTCATATCCCGGGAGCACCACTTATAAGAAGTGTGACTACAAAATCCCACTGGCCAAAAGCCAGTTTAGAGTGTCACAATTTTTGCTGGGAAGAAATGGTTCTGGCATTAAACTATAAAGAATGAGTCTACTGAGAGCCAGACACAAACATCTGGGAATTTGTGTCTGATTGCTGGCATTCTGTGTGCTTCCCACGAAACATTCTTCTACCTACCCAGATCCAAAATGAATCACTTGATGTTTGTATGTCAAGAAATCAAAGACTGCTACATTAATAATTTGGTATAAGTGTGGATGTGTGTGGGGGTGTGTGTGTACACGCATGTGGAGGAGTACATAATGTATATATATATTTAATGTCTATGTGTTCCTAATTAAAAAGTTAAAATGTGCACTTCCTCTCAGGATAGCTAAAACTAGGTGGACACCCGAGTCCAGATTAATTCAGCAGGAAAAAAGATCCAAACTTTGAAAACTTAACACTAAACTTTTAAATCACTGGGTAAAATAAAAATAGGCCTTCCCGGCCGGGTACAGTGGCTCTCGCCTGTAATCTCAGCACTTTGGGAGGTCAAGACGGGCAGATCACGAGGTCCGGAGATCGAGACCATCCTGGCTAACACGGTGAAACCCCGTTTCTATTAAAAATACAAAAAATTAGCCGGGCGTGGTGGCGGGCACCTGTAGTCCCAGCTACTCCAGAGGCTGAGGCA
Source organism: Homo sapiens (assembly GCF_000001405.40). Lineage (NCBI taxonomy): Eukaryota > Metazoa > Chordata > Mammalia > Primates > Hominidae > Homo > Homo sapiens. Next base: position 48,414,803 of record NC_000015.10, read on the forward strand.
GGAGAATCGCGTGAACCCGGGAGGCAGAGCTTGCAGTGAGCTGAGATTGCACCACTGCACTCCAGCCTGGGCGACAGAGCAAGACTCCGTCTAAAAAAAAAAAAAAAAGGCCTTCCCTGCCCCAACTCTCACACAGACACACCTATAATTTGGTGAAGTGTTTTTTTTGTTTTTCTTTTTTTAACCAGGAAAATACAGTAAGTGTTTCAATGCACCTTTGGTAAAATTTAATGTAAATTCAAGTCTGAAATGTAAAATATAATTTAAAACCCTAAATAATTTTCAACCCAAAGGGATGTCTTTGACTTATTCTAACAGGAGCTAGATACAAAGGCATTTTAAGTCCAGATAGAATCCTCCCTGCCCCAGGAGAAGAGTGGATCAGTCGTGTGCAGGGTGAGCCCAGTTCTGTCATGGGTTGGCAGAGAGGTGTATTTACAGAGAGATGAATCACTTCCCAACAAGATGTGAAGATCAAGAGAATAAGATAGAGAAGTCATATAGCGAGATATTTACAATGTAGTTTCATTACTTTGTTTGACGTTTCCAGAAATCCAGATGCTTCCTTCCAAATAAAATAACCTAAAACTTTTGCCAAGCTAACTGGAATTAATTTTAGGATTACAAAAAGCATGGTTCTCCTCTGCTAGGACAGGTAATTTTGAGTTCAGTATACTTAATTATATTACGAATGAAAGAATCTCCAACCATGACCAGGAAGAGCACTGCTTACCCTTGGCCTATGCGGAAGTAACCAGGTGGACAGCCACACAGGTAACCGCCCTCGGTATTGGAACAGCCATAGCTGCAGGGGGCCTGCGCAGAGCCACATTCATTGATGTCTTGGCATCCTCCACTGAACTGTTCATACTGGAAGCCGGCGGGACACATGCACTTGTAGCTCCCCAGGGTGTTGTGACAGGAGGCTCCTCCGCAGATGTGAGCGCTGAGGCATTCGTTTTCATCTGCAGGCAAAATAAGAAGCGGCATGTGTGGCAGCAGCCAGAGATTTCTATTGAGGACATTGGATCTGGCCACTTGCTGCCGGCCAGCTGGCCCTCAGCTAGGCTCTCAGGAAGGTAAGACAGGCAGAGGTGGCTGGGTGGGGAGAGCAACAGCAGAGAAAGATGCGGGCATGGATGTGGCTTCTTGCTATGTTGTGAGTAAACATGGAAGATGAAACATGGAAGATGAAGTCAAATGCACCAGGCAGAGGGCATTAGAGGATGGCATTCTGAGGACCAGCAGACTCCAGTTCTCATCAGAAGTCAACACTGGTATCTTCTGCTCCATGTAAACATCCGGTCATGAACCAACATGGGGCTGGTCCGTAGCTAAGATTTAGGGTTCAAGGGGGGAGGAAAGGAATCTTGCAGTTCTCTGCGTACTTGCTTCACAAGTGCCCAGCGAGGAGACAAATCTCTCAAAAGCAGAGACCAACCATTTTCCCGCAGGCTGCTTTCCCTGTCAGCCTATTTCAGGATATGCTGATCTGGCAAAGGCTGATATCCTGCCCCAAGTGTCTGCCCCACGTGTCTGCCCCACTTGGACTTCCTTTTCAAAATTCTGCAAAAGCCCCCAGGTACCTGTTCTGGGAGATGAATAATGCCTTCTGGTATGTCTGCTCCCATCACCGAATCGGCCCCCTCCTTATTCAAACCAGCCTCCTGCCCAGAGTGTCTGAGCCCTGTCTAAAACTAAGTGTGGCTGGAAGAGATTTGGTGCAGACTTCACAAGCAGTAATTGGGGAAAACCCACAAGTGAGACAGAAGCTGCAGGGCTGGCTACCCACAGGGACCTGCCAAGTCTGATGCTAAGAAGCAGGAAAAAGAAATCTTACTTTAAAAAAATCAGCTAGAAGGGGGAAAACCATGAGTTTCTCATTATTTCTGATTTATAATTTTTGGAAGTCTCTAATATATTTTTGTAGATCTGCCTTTGCAGGGCAGGTTGGAAAGTTGCTGGTAAGACATTTCTTAACTGCCATAGTCCATTTTCAGGCATACGTTCATTTGAATGTAGATAGATTGGCCTTCTCTTCACTTAGCGAATAACCACTTCCTATGGAAGAGAGGAAGGGGAAGGGAATGAATGTTTATTAGATACCTATTTTATGATAGATAGGATACAGGTATTGACCATTTCCTTAGCTTTCCTAACAATCCTGAGAAAGAGGTATTATATTCTCTGTTTTACAGCTGAAGAAAGTGAGGCTCAGAAAGCTCTTCCAAGATCTCACAGCCAGCAGCAGCAGGGCAGAAATTCACAGCCAGGTCTGTTGGACTGCAAAGGCCATCCATGCGCTTTCCTTTATACCACAGTGCCTCTCAAGAGACGCTCCACATTTAAGCTGGTGCTTCCTTTCTCCTGTAATTAGTTTACCTTCTTTGCTAAGGCACATTCATTTATAAAGAAAAATAATGTTTCTCAACAAATCTATTTTTTCTTTTTTTTTAAATTAGAAAACAGGTGGATAAAAGTGGTGGGGAAGGATGCTCACTTGTATATACTTAGTATATATTCACATTTCCTACCTGCCTGCCTGCCTGCCTTCCCTCCTTCCATGTCTCCTTCCCTCCTACCTTCTTTCCTTCTCTCCTTCCCTTTCTTCCTTCCTTCCTTCCCCCCTCCCCTCCCCTCCCTCCTTTCCTTCCTTCCTTCCTTCCTTTCCTTCCTTCCTTCCTTCTCTCCTCCCCTCCTTCCTTCTCTCTTTCCCTCCTTCCCTTCAGCTACAGGTCTTTGATCTTAACTGCCTGTCTGAAAATCTTTTGTATCCAAAGACCTTCAAGTCTTCACCCAAGGTCACTTAGGCTCCAGGGCTCTTAAAATATAAATAATAATTTTATCTTTCTCATTCTTCCCTTTCTCTTTCTGTGCTCAACACGTTATCTGTGTTCTTTCTCCTTATTTTAAATTGAGGACGAAGTGTGCAATAGAGAGCAACAGAAACCACTGGCACCAAGCTCCATGTCAAACAAAGAATGAAGAACGAAGCATATTTACTTCATTGGAGAGAACACCCCTGGGCTGATGTCTTCTTGCTCCTCCACGTCCATCCTCCATCCTCTCCACTTGCTCTTGGCCCCAGGTGGCTGATCTATGGAGCATGAGCAAGCTCTGCTCCCCTGTCCCTCACTTTTGGTTGGCCTCAGCCATCTGCTTCTTGCTGGGACCCTGACTAATAAAACCTGCAAGGCGTGGGTATATGAGGGGGAAGACTTGTCATTCTATAGCTTAGATTTATTCTGTGTTTTTTCCTCCAAAGAGCAGAAGTAGGACCAATGGTGAGAAATTAGAGGGAGGAGAAATGATTTTTTTTATAGCAAAAAAAGACATTTCTAAGTATTAAAAGCTGTCTATACATAGATTGGGCTATCTTGGGAGAAAGTGGGCACCCTTCAAGGTGGTATTTAAGCCAAACTGGGATAAGCAAGGAAGTTAGAGAAGGATTTATATATTAGGAAAGAGAGAAGGCTAGATCTCTAAGGTTCTTTTTAACTTTGAGCATCTATCTGTGTTACTACAACTATCAAGAGTTCTCCCCCTCTCCTTTCACATTCTTTTAAATTTTATTTTACATTTTCTCCCTTCCCTGAGAATTTAATAAAGTTTAAATTAAACTTGCTTATCTAGGTTGGAGAGGTAGGATGGAGTAGAGCACAGATTAAAATAAGAAATTGGCAAATATTCAGTGTTTACAGTTTGAAAACAGCATGTTTGTGCACTCGCCCTTTTTATCAATATACAAACACCACGATTTGGTTAACATGTTTTGCACTTTTCCTGACCTTTTTCATCCTCTGCACTCTGGAGCAAATGACTCCACAAGGAATTTTTTTACACTCCAAAATATTTGTTTTATTCTTCCAGTTGGTACTTAGATTGGTGAGGGTTTTGTTTGTTTTATAAAAAGAGACAATTCGAATTTTACCAAAATAGCATTAAAGTCTGAAAACTACTCCTTAAAAGTGGATTGAAACCCACCACTCTGTCCTCTAAAATCAAAGGTTTCAGCATCCAGCTTGCACTGTTCATGTTAGCTGTGGCCTTAAGGGAGTACCGATAGGAAACTTCACAAATGCAGGATGGGCTTTCTTTTACTCATTTTCTCTAGGGGAAAATGGGTCAACTCTATCTATCTGCAAGCTGAATTTTTTGAAATTTACTTCTAGAAAGCAATGAAATTAGTGGCCCTCTTACCCCAAAGAGTGAACTTCCAGCCACCTGGGAGTGAGGATCCAGGGAGGGCTGGTCTAAGAGATCTGCTCTGTTTCTTGTGGTTCTGGGGAAGCTATTTTAGCCCACGGCAATGCTCATTCTAGATAACTCTAATTCTCAAGATTGATGAGAGCAATTTGGCATTTGGAGACATTAAGAACCCCAAACTTCTTCTGACTTCTAAATCAACTTGTTTTTTTAGAGTGTCCAGCCAGGAGATGATCTTCACGAGACCAGAGCAGAATCTCCAGGACACTAGTGCATGGCCTGGTCGCCTCTACCATCCTCAGACTGATGGTAGGAGGAGGAGGATAAGGTACAGGAGCGACATACCTTTCCTCTCTTATGTTTTTTTCACTTAGCTCCAGTGTTATTAAAATGACCTAAATAATGAGAACAGACAGGCTCATAAACTGGGTGTTGAATCAACAAAGTTCACTCTGGAAGTTCTGTGAACAATGTCAGAAACTGGTGATTAAAATCAAAGACCTCCCTGAGCTGCTAATGAACAAAGACATTTTTATTAAAACCAGATAGCTAGCCAGAGACTCACGCAGTCGAAACTCCTATAGCACAGGGGTCACTTCAGTCAACCCTACATGCCACTGCAAAACTGTCTTGTGTAGAATCAAACTAGATGACAGAGATGATTTTGATAAATGAAAACACACCAAATATGTCTTCATCTGCATGAAAGTGAACCCCTGCAATGCAGAGCCTGCACCCGGGAAGCAGTAATTCTTTGAGTTTTTGCTAAGGAGGGCTCTGTACAGAATAATGTGGCAACTAGAACAGGTTACCAAAGCACCAAGCTTGCAGTGGCACTTCACAGACGCTTGCTGAATGAACATAAACAAGTGAATGTGACACTTGAAAGGCAGCTCTACATCAGAAAGTTAAGAGTTGTGGGTTCTAGTTCCAAGCATGTCACAAAAGAACTGGGCAAGGAAATATTACCGTCCCTTTCTGGACTTCTAGGTCCTTATCTGTAAAACAAAGTGCCTGAGCTAAGTGGCTTCTGGTATCCCTCCAAACTCACAATGTTTTGATTCTCTGATGTGCATTAAGAGTTATTTTCCCATGACATTGTAGAATCAAAGATGACATCATTTCAATTTAATGAGAGAGTCAGTAGATCTCCCTTAATTATCAAAAGAATTTAGCAATCTTGAAAAACAAAACAAAACAAAACAAAACACACAAAAAAACACAACCTTGCTGTGTTTCCTGCTTGCGCTCTGTCTCAAAATGTGTAGAGCTGAACAGAACTACTTTGGCATCTTCAGGCCAAAAGCCACTCAAAATAGCCTTTGGCTGGCTGATATTTTTCAGTCATAAGTAAGATTTTTTGACCCCTGATATGAACATAACTCAAGTGTGGGCTGATGACTAGCAGTGCAGCGGGAGGGTGGAGGATATTGCGCTTCAAGAAATTCTGGGGGCATTTCATTTCAGATGCTCTCAAAGCACCCTCAATTATAATTTTTTTTCTTAGTTTGCTGTTTTGCAAAGACTGTTACTTACCTCGGGTTTCAACCAGGTTAGGGCAATTTTAAATGAGTATTTGTTGCTTCAATAACACATTTACAGCTTCAGAAAGCAAGCAGTGTTTTGCTTCATAGGACCTGATAGCCATGCATCTTGAGAGTGAGGAAAAGTTACTTGCCAACACACTGGTTCCACTGGTAGTGCTGGAGGTAGCCCTGGGGGCAGCTGCACCTGTAGCCCCCAATGATGTTCTGGCAGCCATGCTGGCAGCGGTGGTTACCCTCACACTCGTCCACGTCTGAAAAAGAAGCAGAGCCACCATGATGCCAACTCAACATCTCTCTCTGAAGCCAGATGGATTCTAATAAGAAATCTGGCCCCTACACATCCTACACATTATTCTACCACCAAAAACTTCAAGAATCTCTCTTCTGGAACTGCTGCTAAGTCCAAGGAGAAAATCATTCAGAGAGCCCTGGCAAAGTCTACAAATAAAAATTGTCAGGAAATTAGTGCAAAGCCCAAAGCACTCTCTGGGACAGCTCTGTAAGTTATAAGTTATTTGTGTTTGCTCTTTTTTTTTTTTATTTTTGGTGCCACAATTAGAAACCAAAACGTGTCAAAGCCACAGTCAACTTCTAAAAATATCATTTAAACTTCTAATTAAATGTCATCAGAAGAGCTATTCCTCATATGTTTAGTCCACATGGGGGAAATCCCTTTATGGCTCTGGACCCAGTGACCAGAAAATTAATGAATCAAAATCAAGTATATTTTTCTTGACTGAGTTATTCCCTATTAGGTTAAATTAAAAACTTAGCAGAAAAAGTCTTGATATACTTAGGAAAGGCATGTGTGTTAGACACAATCAAGCATGAAACAAAACACGACTCTCTAAGATACAGGACCTGTGCACACTATTTTAGCTGAGTGCCCCCCTGGGCTCAGATCTGCTATCTCATAGAGGCTGATGATGAAGGTGCCAATAGCCACACAGGCCACCTCCACAAGGATTCACCAGCTGGATCGCAGCTGAAGTCTCCACCCACCTTCACAGCTGGAGCCGGTCTGATCAAGTGAGAATCCCCGCTGGCATTCACAGGTGAAGCTTCCAGGAGTGTTCTGGCAAATGCCCTTAGACCCGCACAGATTGATGTCAGAGGTGCATTCATTGTTATCTATGAGAAGCAGTGGGGGCAAAGAGGGGTTAAAATTCCCCAAAGCTCTCTTTGTATCATTTAAAAGAAAATTAGAAGGATAACTCGGAAAAGGCCAAATAAGGCCAACAACGCTTCACATACATGTACAGGTGTGCTCACACATACATGCACTCATATATTTCTTTGAGCTTTTATTTTCTTATCCCAACAGCAGAGGAAATAGAAAATAATCCCTTAAAAGAATCGCTACAATCCATGTAGGATTTTTTCCTCTCCTACTCACCAATGCAGGACGTATGGTGTTGGGTAAATCCGGGAGGACATTTGCATGTGAAGCCGCCAATGGTGTTAACACATAGGAACTGGCAGTTGTGTTGCTTGGTTGCACACTCATCAAGATCTACAAGAAAATGCAAGAGAGGCATTTGAGTCAAGCCAACAAAACAGGATCAGGGAAGCTGACCCTATGAAGCAGCTCCACGTTTGATTTGGAGGTCTCAAATGACCCTGACTAGAAAGAAGCCACAGCAAAAGGCAAGGAGAGACACAGGGGGTAAAGATCTGAAAGATAAAACAAGGTGTCAATTTAGACCCTCCTCCCCTCAAAAAAATATAAAGAGATCTTTAGGGGATCCAAGAAAACACAATTCTAATTGGAGAAATGCAGGAATTCCTCAACAAAGGAATTTCAAATAAATCATGACATTTTAAACAAATTTTTAAATGAAGCGAAAGATGAATGATTCTGCAAATTTTCCAGAGCTTTGAAAAGATCTATTTAAGTTAAAACATAAAGAGAAATGTTGAAGCTGGAAATGAATTTGCTGGCTTAGTTCTCTTCTGTTTGCTGTTTTTAATCTACTCAAATGAAGTCATCAAAAACAAAATCTGATTTCTTTAGTCGTGATTCTTCTTAGGATAAACCAAAATTGAGCAATCAGGAAGGAAACAAAGCAAAGGAAAAATTCATTTTAATAGCTAAAGGCACTTTTAATAAAACTGCCTCCAGGCCAAGCGTGGTGGCTCATGCCTGTATTCCCAGCACTTTGGGAGGCCAAGGCAGGCTGATCACTTTGAGCTCACGAGTTTGAGACCAGCCTGGGCAACATGGCAAAACCTGTCTCTAGTGAATATACAAAAATTAGCTGGGTGTGGTGGTGTGTGCATGTAATCCCAGCTACCTGGGAGGCAGAGGTTGCAGTGAGCTGAGATCGCACCACTGCACTCCAGCCTGGGCAACAGAGTGAAACTTCGTCTCAAAACAAAAACAAAAACAAAAACAAAAAACAAAAAACAAAAAAAACAAAAATCCAAAACTGACAACTGCCTGCAGTGTTTATCCAACATTGTTTCCCACATCTCAATAAAACCCTCTGCTTTGACCAGGCCTCTTTTCTCAACGCCTCAACTTCTAAGTTGCATTCTCAACTCCAATGTTATTTCAAAATACCAAGAGATGAAATGTTGTGTTCTAGCTTCTAGCTAAACTTTAATGATAATTTTAAAATTGTCGCATATTCAGGAAAAAACATTAGTGACTTTATTTTATCACAAATTCAACCACTATGCCCTCACCATCTGCACAACTGCTTTGGAGCTGCAGATCAGTGCCAGCTTTGCCAGTGACTGCTTCCACTCCACAGGGCCAGTTCCTGGCTAGAGTAACATCTGGAGTGGACCTACACTGAGAGACCCTCCCGAGACCTGTCCTAGTTCCGGCTTCTCTTATAATGCTGCCTGTCCTGTGCTCTTTCCACTGCTGAGATCTTGACTGATATGCACTCTCTGTTCAGCTTTCTCAGAGTCTGTGGACTGGTTTCCCCTGTCTATGGCCCAAGGAGCTTGGCTGGAGCATCATGACACATTTGCTGAAGCTCACCTGCAACAGGTGAGGAAGATGACTCAGTGATTTCTCCTAACACCATTTCATGAGTACAACACATGAAGAACAGCAGCACTTGCTGCTCTTGCCTCCAAGATGCCCTTCCTCCTCTTCTCCCCTCTAATCTGCATTCTACCCATCTCTCACTGGGGATGTGCTGCTCCCACGGCCACCCTTCTGGCTTCCTCCTTCTCAGTGACTGTGGTGCAACTATCTGCACTATTCATTTGATATTTAGTTATATATACCAAGTAAGTGGAAGAATTTGAACCTTATGGGAAAAAACAGGAAAAGGGACAAGTTGTGAGTGGACATGTAAAAATTACAGTTGCTCTTTGCACTCCTAAAGCCATAAAGAGAACTTTATTGATGCATTTTCATTTTTCATCTTTTAATTGCTGGAAACTTTTGAGAATTTTCTGCCCCCAGAGGTTAGAAAAAATGCTATAAATTTGTTTTGCTTGTTACAGATAATATATACAATGAGAGATATTTTCCCCTTGAATTTGGTTCTTCATTTATATGAATAAATTTATGGCTCTGAGTTATAGCTTCACATTGCCTAGAACTCACAGTGACCCCAGATGTAAAATAAGTTCCACATTTGAGAAGAACAAAGCTATGAGCGACTTCATTTAAGATGTTTAGAATGTGTAAGTAGGTCTCTCAACTTCCTCTCCCCAAACTACAGGATTATACAGGCTTTGTGCTGCACAGGAAGGCCTCAGGCACTTGCCCATGATGTCATCCACTATTACATGTCTCTTAACTCTCCCTTTCAGCAGACACAGGAAAGAGGTCAAGAGCCCAACTTCTCTCTGCTCTCCACTTCTCTCCTCTCCTCTCCTCCAATCTGGATCCTCCGTGGGGATGTGCTGGTCCCACCCTCCACCCTTCTAGCCTCTTCTCAGTTCAGTGGTACACACAGCTGCATCATTCATTTGATATTTAGTTATATATACCAAGTAAGTGGAAGAACTTAAGCTTTATGAGAAAAAATAGGAAAAAGACTCCACTCTATCCTTTACCTTCCTTACTTCTGTATGTTTCTATAAATTTCCTTCAAAGTTTCATGGCATGACATGATATCTCTTGCTCTACCACTTGGTCTATCTTTTCTTCTCCAAATCTCTGATTTCCCAAATTATTGTTAAGTATGACTCACTAGTGCTATTCACTAAATATAATGTTCTTATTGTGGAGGAAGATGTTTACAGGAGTAAAATTAAACCAAAAAAATTTTGCAAAGGATAACTTCTGGTTGAGAAGGGATTTCTGCCCAGAGCTTTTCTGGTTCTTAATTCTGTGTGATATTTATGTCTCAGGGAAGCTCCTACAGGGCAGAAATAGACTTTTTCTGCAGAACAAAAATCTGGACACAGCATCTAATTCATTAGGCACAATGTCCTCTACGATCATGGCACTGATTATTCCGAGGCAGGACCTTCCTGGAAACCTGAACTATATAGCTATAAAGAATAAATACAAAAAACAGAAAGCAGAGAGGAGGTCACCAATTAAGAATCTGCCCCACCAGAGCCATTGAAGCTGGCCCTGCTATCTCTGAGACAGTCATGGATGGCCACCATGGATGCCCAGGGGGCATGCAGCAAGGACAGCTGCTTCCTCCACAATCTCCCTGGCTTTAGCCTCCTTCCCTCCAGCACAGGAGGTAGGTCCCATGGAGGCATTAACCCCAGGGAAGCACCTCCTGCCTGTAGAGCAGGTCTTTCGGCTTGCCTGTGGAGTTCTTACAGGCAAAGGAATGCAGCCATGTGTCAGGAGCTAGGTGAGGGGCAATGGTCAATTCTACTTTACCTTTGCAGCTCCTTCCATCCTCTTGCAGAATGTAGCCTTTCGGGCATGAACACTGGTAACTCCCTTCTGTGTTTTTGCAGATAAAATTGCAGGGTTTGGGAGCCTGGTTGCACTCGTTCAGATCTATGATCAAAGAAATACAGCGTGACTGTGCATCTAAAAATGATGTGTACACGCTCAATTTCCACAGGGTCTAACGAAGAATTTTAGTTTCGGGGAAAGAAAAAGGAAACTCTGTGTAGACTTTGATGATTGTCCTGTGCTTTCCTATGAAACTGCACAGACTTTTTAGATTTTTAGCTTTGGGTTTTTTTTTTTCCATAATCTAAAATTTCCACTTGAGGATAAGCCATCAGAAATAGACACTTACCTACACAGGAAGTCCCAGTTATATCTGGAGTGTACCCAGTTTTACAAATGCAATGATATGATCCTCTGTCATTGACACATTCCCCATTTCGGCAAACATCGTGAATAACCTTGCATTCATCGATATCTGTAATTTAACAAATATAAATTAAGAAATATATCATAAAATTGACAACATTAATATGTAGGGGGTCACTTCAGTGTAAATACTAATAAATTGTGTTACTATATTTTGGGCCTAAGAAATTAAACCAGTAAGATGACAGCATAAATTTAATATGTAACAGTAGCTATATCAAAAGGTAAACAAATAACTTCATTAGACTACAATTGATAAAATAATTCAGCCACAGAAAAACTTTAAAAACAACTGGTCTTCTAAATGTATATTTTTCTCTTCTGGATCCATAGAACAGCCACCCCATCTAGACATATTTGGCTTTTTGTGTCATCTCATGCCATTAAGCTTGCCTCCTGCTGACATCTAATAAATGAATCACAGAAGCAGATCCTTTTGATGAGGAAACCCCATTTCCACCCCCTAGTATTGCATGCTCAAAATAAGTAAGGTTTTTTGTTTTTTGTTTTTACATTATTTTTGTTGTCTTTGTGGTTAATCCTGAAAAAGTTCAAATTACATAATATTGGGGAAATGAGATGAACTTCTGTCCTCTGGTGAGGGGGGAAACTAACCAGGGCTCTGAGGTGGATGACAGTGCTGGGTTTTTGCAGCCTGCTAAGGAAGGGAGACCCTCACTCATGGCTGTACCACAGAGAGAAAGACTGGGTCAATATGCACTGTTGAGCATTAAAACCACTGTCTTCCACATCTTGACCCATTTTACCTCCTTACTGCTTGGCGAAGTGCCGATACAAGCACTTTCTACATGGGTTCTCAGCCCTTGACTGCCAAATAACCATTTTATACCAACAGCTGGGTGTATCTGACCTTTACAAGTCTACTCTGAAGTGCAATTTAGCACACTCTTATTGGTCTCCAGAAGTGAGTTTTTTCGGCTATCTTATTGCTACATCCTCCAAAGAATCATAAATTGCTTTTGGTCACTCCATCTTACCTTTCTAGGTCTGTTTTTTCTTTTTTTTTAAATCACATCCAGTTCCATTATTCTGCCTTCAGCCACATCTTTCCAATACAAACACAAATCCTTCTTAACCTCCTTCTTCCCCTTTCACTTCTAATTCCCTCCCAAGAAGCTCAAAAAAGCTCTCACCTTTTCTCAGTCCTTTTATGAACTAAAAACCAATTGTAGTTACAGTTGATAAACACAGGAATCATATTGGTGACAGGCCTAGATATCTCTAGAGTTGCCTTAGACAGTCTGACACTTCCTCATCCTGCTCTAGTTAAGGAGCTTGTGCTTTTCCAGATGCAATTGTGTCTAATTGCCAGGATATCAGCATGATTTATACTTCTTTTATGCAATACAGTTTGGCCAGTTTTAGGAGTTCCACATCTTGGTGGACTGGTTTGCACATTTAATAATCATTTATTTCAAAGTTTATCTAAAAAATTTAAAAATTATATTCTGAGTAGCCAATTGACTTATAGTAAACGGTTTAAAAAGTTGAAGACTCGCTGGAATGCAGAGGGAGGGTCCTAAGCACACACAGCTTAATCAAGTGGACCAAGGCCACTTTGGCAGCATGACCTCAAATGTCTAAAACTCCATAATGAAGAATTTTTGTTGGCCTCAGCTGTGCAATTCAACCTAGGCACATATTGCAAACTCCATATTTTCATCTGTGTTTCACACAAAAAACAAATAAATAGATTCCCTGCAAGTATTTTTGGACTATAAATGAAGTACCTGCTCCATTGGTCATGAATCCTCGGCCATGGGGACAGAGTTTCTTGAAAGCCACAGTCCCCTGGAAAGGGCAGATCTCACAGTGGGGACCCCAGCCTCTCCCTCCGTCACAGCAGCATTCCGATTTGGTGACGGGGTTCCTGTTGCTGGAGCCGATCTGACACATGTTTTGTAGCACCTCTGTGAAGCAGTACCCTTCCCGATTGTCTGGAAGGGACATTATATGGCAAAGGGGATGTCAGGAAATTTTAAGAGCAAACAAAATATTAAAAATTTGGTCAGATATAAAAACCAAAAAAGGATGTAACACTTTACCCTGGGTGAGAAGAAGCAAGAGGGGAAAGCTGGAGACAGCAGTAAAAGAGAAAGGATGACGTCTGAGGGAAACAAATAAGACATTCAGTAAGTAGGCAGAAAGACATTGGCCTAGACAAGCTTATAACTCTCTCTGCTCCCAGAAATACAGGGGAATAGCCATGCTTACAGACAGAGGGGCAGAGAAACATACGGAAGTGGATCCTGATCACCAAGGGCTTCAAAGGCAGCCAAGAAATTCCAAACAAGTGATTCAGGATCCAATTAGCAAAGGAAGAATTTAGCTGCAGGGTGGTGCTGAGCCCAATGGACAATCACAGTCATTACGGCATCTCCAAAATATGAACATTTTTTATCCTTCCTCAGATTTTGACATTTTCTTGTATTTTAAATAAGAAGTCTGGGTTTCCAGCATCCCAGTGTGGAGGCTGAGGTTAGGAAAGTGCGGTGCCAACTGTACTCACCAAGGCACTCGTCCTGGTTGGGGCTGGCGGTAAACCCATCATTACACTCACAGGTGTAGCTCCCACGGGTGTTGAGGCAGCGCCCATTCTCACAGATCCCTGGCTTCGTCTGACATTCATTCTCATCTGTTTGATTTTATTGAAGGACCAAAAACAAGAAGAGTCATCTGACCATTTTATAGAGGATGGAGCTCCTTCCTTCGTTCCTTCCTTCCTCCCTCCCTCCTTCCCTCCCTTTGTTCCTTTCTCCTTTCCTTCCTCCCTTCCCTCCCTCTCACCTTCCTTCCCTCTCTCACATCTTTCCTTCTTAACTTAGCTTTTGAATCACTAATCTGTTCACATGGCTCAAAATTTAAAAGGTATAAAAGAGACTTCAATTCATTCTTAACTGTTTGGTTTCATTGAAAGACTGAAAACAGAAAGAGCCATCTGAATCTTTTATAGAAGAATAGATTTTCTTCTTTCCTATATAGTTTGTAAATAGCTTATCTCTTCACATGGTTCAAAATTAAAAAGGTACAAAAGGAGATTCAGCAAAAGTACCCCCTTCATTTCCTATTTCCCAGACACCAAACTCCCCTCCTGAAAAGCAACCAATTCTGGGGCCGATTTCTAATGTATCCTTCCAGAGCTGGATTATGCATATAAAAGCAAATACATACATAATATGTGTATGTGTGTGTGCACTTCAGATCTTTTAAAAGCCTAACTGATAGCATTTTATATACTTAAACATAGATGGTAGCATTTTATGCACACTTACATTTTTCACTTAGTAAAATTTAAATCTTTTCATATTAGGACATAAAAAGGACTCTCAAAGTGTTATTTCAAGTGAAGGAGGGAAAAATGTGAATATCAGCATATGAAAGAAATATTTTAATACATGTTAGAATAATATCTGTAATGGTCAATATTGATCTGGGGGAGTTTGTCTAGATTAATCTTCAGATTAACCTAGATTATATCTCCAATATAGGTTGCATTTATTGTAATATTTCAACAATATTATTAAGAAATCATAAACTACAACTCAGTTTCCCAGGTTTAAAAAAACATTAAAATATCTACAGATTCTTAGAATTATCTGATGATTATTTAGAAAGATCAAAAATAATTTGCTGAGGTGCTTCCCTTCCTTTGAGAATAGTTCAGGGTCCCTCAGATGGAGCTCTCACTAGGAAAGAGAGAAAGTTGGAAGGTGAATCCAGAACAGTGTTAAAACAGGTTCAAAACCCCAATGCAATGCCCCAGCCACCCCCAGAACAATTCAATCAGAATATCTGAGGTTGGACTTGAGCTCCCCAAATGATTCCAAAGTGCAGCAGAGGTTGAGAATTACTGATCCAGGAGGATCCAGTGTGTGACAATTAATCTACATATTTTCTGATTCTGTGCTTTTAGAATCTGTTCTTTAATTCCTGCTTCAATCTGTATTGTACAGAGTAAAAGGGCAATGGGATTCTTAATCTTCTTGAATGACAACATAAAATATATCTTTATAATACCATTTATTATTAAAAAGAAAGAGAATGCGTGTGAGAAGGTTTTAATAATTTTCTCCTGTAATTATTATCTAAGCAGAGGTCAGGAAACTTTTTGTTAGGGTCAAATAGGAAATATTTTAGGCTTTGTGGGTCATATGGTCTCAGTTGCAACCACTTAGCTCTGCCATTGTGGCATGAAAGTAGCCATGGACAATATGCAAATGAATGGTTATACCTATGTTTAATAAAACCTTATTTATAAAAACACACAGTGGGCTGGCAGGCTGGAATTAGCCTGTAGGCAGTTTGCCAACTCCTGGTCTAAGGCTGAAGTCCTCAATGTTGGATCCCTATTAGAATCAGCTGAGGAGCTTTAAAAAAATATCAGTGCCTGGATGCTACTCTAGACAAGACCAGATTTTCTGGAGGTAGATCCCAATGGTTTTGAGATATTCCTGATTCAGAGGTACCTGGCATTTGTAGCAAAGCTAAGTCAATAGGGAAGCATTCCAATGTGATGGGGAGAATTGACCCCCAAATCAACAAAAGAGTATGGAAAGTAAAGGAGGAGAATAGAGAAAAGGCATGCTGTTCAAATCCTGGCAGCAAATGGGTCAAGAAAGCAGACAAAGGCCAGATCAGAGGGACAATGACAGTGCTCTTGGAATTCACAAATGATCACGAGGCAAGGGAACCACCATGGAGAGTCCTGACATGCGGTTAAGAGAACAAAATGGGTCTCGCCAAGAACAGTATCCCAAGAACTCAGAGCCCAGGTTCCTTCTGTCCACTGTCACTTCTGATGCACTCAAAGCTCCTTCCACAGGGATCCTCTTACCTACACAGCCTTCTCCATCAGGTCTCCGCTGATACCCGGGTCCACAGATGCACATATATGTGCCAATGAGGTTCTTGCATTCCATTTGTTTTTCAGTACAGTCATGTTTTCCCTCTTCACACTCATCCTCATCTGTAAAAAATGTACAATCACAAATTTGTCAAAGAAAATGCATATATCTGCCTTAATTACCTGACTTTTAAACATAAAATGTTAGTAAGTAACCAATTTTCATCTGTTATTTCACTACTGGCTGTATTTCCTTCTGCTCTGTTGAGTATGATCTCTAAAGAATGGAAAGGAATCTTCTAACCACCTTTGAACTTGAAGAAATTGCTCCCTAATCAACTGATGACCTCTTCAAGAAGCATGATTCTGATCATGCCTTTTCTCTCTTCTCCTTCCCTTATTTTTTATTTATTTTTATTTTTATTTATTTATGTTTTTGAAAGAGTCTCTCTCTGTTGCCCAGGCTGGAGTGCAGTGGCCCGATCTCAGCTCACTTCAACCTCTGCCTCCCGGGTTCAAGTGATTCTCATACCTCAGTCTCCCAAGTATCTGGGATTACAGGCATGCACCACCACGCCTGGCTAATTTTTTTTGTATTTTTAGTAGAGATGGGGTTTCACCATGTTGTCCAGTCTGGTCTCAAACTCCTGGCCTCAAGTGATCCACCCACCTCAGCCTCCCAAAGTGCTGGGATTACAGGCATGAGCCATCGTGCCTGGCTGTCCCTTTATGTTTTATACTCCTTTGTTGAAGCATGATTTCTAATTCTTGTTGACTAATTGAACTAAAAGGGCCTCATGTAATTATAATATAATGGATATATCTTAATATAACAATAATTATAACAGCATTATAATCACAATATATGATAAGGCAATAATTATAATAGTACTACAATCATAATGGATTGTAAGAGTAACAAACCAAAGCTTACATTATGCAATAATTATAATAATAACACAATATATTATAATATGATATTATTATTTTTTTGAGATGGAGTCTCACTCCGTCATCCAGTCTGGAGTGCAGTGGCATGATCTCAGCTCACTGCAACCTCCACCTCCGGGGTTCAAGCAATTCTTCTGCCTCAGCCTCCCAAGTAGGTGAGATTACAAGAATGCGCCATCACGCCAGCTAATTTTTTGTATTTTTAGTAGAGACAGGGTTTCACTATGTTGGTCAGGCTGGTCTCAAACTCCTGACCTCTGGTTATCCACCCACCTCGGCCTCCCAAAGTGCTGGGATTACAGGCATAAGCCACCGTGCCTGGCCAATATGACATTATTTTTATATGATAATATTAGTAAACAGGATATAATAGTAAATGACTATTTTATATTATATATCTCAAATATCTTATTCTCTACTGGTTCTTCCCTCCTTCATTTCCTTTTCTGGACTTGGTTGGGCCTTCCTCAGTCTTTACTTTCTGTCCTATTGTACTTCTTTATTTTTCTATCTTTCCCGTTTACATGCTCTGAGCTGAGAAATTTGAAATTTATTCTGCATATGATTAGGACCTTTCATTTAGGAAATTTCCCCACCCTTAAGCAAAATTATATTTACGCCATCTTGAGAGAACAGGTGTCTGTTCATTTAAGATATTGACAGGAGCAAATCAGAGCTCTTCAAGAGCAAACTCTATGATTACTGCAGTTTGTGAAATAGAGCCTAGTTCAGTGCTTAGGAAATTGCAGGTGTTCAGGAGGTATTTTTAATGGAGATGGTTTAGCTAAAGTAGATTCCACGTGTTACCCCATTCTTGAAATAGAATATCCTTTGGTGTTCTCAGAGCATTTTGTATATATAATCACCATAGCATTTATCACACTGTATTATGAGAACGTATTTATATCTGTCTCAATCTCTTCATATTGGGTTTTTTGAACGTGGGGAAATGTCTTTTTCTTTCTATTCCCATATCTTGTAGAAATACTGGCGTGTTGTGAGCATGCGATGCACAGTGAGACCTAATAAAGGATGTGCAGTGCAGTCCTCAACTTGGCTTGATGATGCTTCCAGCTACAATTTAGGGGGAAACGTGGCAGTGACAACCCCCGTATTGTCCACGGACTATTTATATTCCAATTCCCAGCCTTCTCCTACTAAGGGAAGCTTTGAGGGACATCTCCCCTCACAGATAAAGCTTCCTGGCTTAGATGACCTTGAACACGATGACTCACCTTTGCACATCCTACGGTCTTCTCTGAGCACATATCCCACGGGACATTTGCATTCATATGACCCATAAGTGTTCACACATCGGAAGGCACAGAGCAGAGGATTCTGGGCACATTCATTTATATCTGCAGCAGAGGAGAGTAAGTAAATAAGGGATCATGGACAGCAACAAAAGGGAACCTACCAATTGAACTAAAACTCTAAAACTTTACCAAAAGTTGCAATGCTTCATTGTCATAAACATGGATGGATCAAGTGGTCTCCCATTTCCCGGAAATTATAAAATGGGTTGATTATTTTATATTTGGTATAAACAGAGTGACTCTCCATCCCGGTTCTCCCAGCACAGTCCCAGTTTATGTTTGTTGTCCTGGTATAATTATTAATGATTATTTAGGTGGATGGGAAATTACAGGCCACCCAACATTTGAGGGGCTCTTCTGAAATTTTGGCTTAGAAGGCTCAGGTTGACCATTTGTCACTCCCAACAGTTACATGGCGTGGGAATCAGTTTTGCCCCATTCCGCCAAAACAATTGTGGTCAGAACAGAAACCAACTCCTCCAATATTGTTAACCACCTCTCTTTCCCCCAAACAAAGAGGCTCCTGTGAAATAACAGCAATTCTTCTGCCCAAGCAAATAGTGTTCCAGATCATTTTATACTGACAGAGACACTCAGTTTACACAGATGCCCATGTTCAAACCTTAAATAGATGGGAATGAGTTTACTGTTAATGGAAAAAAAGTCATTTCTGCAGACTGCAGAGTTTGGAACCATCAGAATGTGTTTTGGAAAAGCAGGATTAAAATAGACCATCTCAACTATCATGTTGCTCCCCAAGGCCAGTGCTGACTAAGAACACGAGTGAGAGCCCAGATCATGACTTAGTCACAACCTTTAAAGATTTACCACAACTCTGACAATGGGCATTTGATAGATCATATCTGATGAAGAGCTCTCTTTGCTACCAACTTTATTCTCTGCCTTCACCTCTCCTTCATTCTTTCCTTAGGCCAGTGAATCCCTACTTGAGAGTGTATCAGATCACCTAGAGGGCTGCTGGGCTCCACCCCACTCTCGGAGTTTCTGATTTAGGAGGTCTTGGATGAGGCCTCACAATGTGCATTTCTAATAAGTTCCCAGGTGATGCTGATACAGCTGCTCCTGGGAACCACCCTTTGAGAGCCACTGCTCTAGACACTCCCTCCCTTTCCTTCTTTCCATACATTCCACCAGGCTTACGGATGGACACTTTTCAGATGCTTATATATTACAGGCAACCGCTTTTGCTGTGATTGCCTCCAAATGGCTACAGGATGATGGTGGGTATCTTAGTGTGCAGTGCTCCTAGAAATAGAAAAGAAGAGAAAAAGAGAAAAGAAAAAGAAAGGGAGTATGAGAGACAGAAAGAAGGAGAAAGTGAGAGTAAGAAAGAAGGTATTAAACAACACGGAAGCATCTAAATATAAGTGGTAGGGAAACACCAATGAGAACTCTCTGTGATATACAGTGTAGATGTGCCATGAACACACAACTGTATCATTCTTGGATATCTCTCTTTCCCTACAGAGAAGAGGCCACAAAAGAAGAATGATCAAATGGCCCATCAGGCCTAGATGATCTTTATTATATACACCCTGAGTTGTATTTAATATTAAGACTTGTAATCAACCAATTGTTCCCAGGATCAGTACACGTAATCAACTGTTCTCTGTTTAAGAGATGTACCTTCACATGTCATCATTGGACCGGGCTCAAATCCCTCCTCGCAGGTGCATTCAAAACCTCCAATCACATTCTTGCAGGTTCCATTTCCACAAGGATTGCCAACAGAACATTCATCAGTATCTGCAAGAAACCAGGAATGTGTCCAAAACATGATGAATTGAGATAATACCTTTTATTCTATCAGAGGATTTTAAACTGTAATTTTGTTGTTGTTGTTGTTTTGAGACAGAGTCTCACTTTGACATCCAGACTGCAGTGCTGTGGCGCGATTTCAGCTCATGCAAACTCTGCCTCTCAGGTTCAAGTGAATCTCATGCCTCAGCCTCCTGAGTAGCTGGAATTATGGGTGCACATCACCACGCTCAGGTAATTTTTGTATTTTTAGTAGAGACAGGGTTTCGCCATGTTGGCCAGGCTGGTCTTGAACTCTTGACCTCAAGCAATCTGCCCACCTCGGCATCCCAAAGTGCTGAGATTAAAGGTGTGAGCCACCAAGCCCAGCCTGATCTGTAATGTTTAATTCTCATTCTGTTCTTGCAAAAAGGGAGTGTGCATGTCTTATTATCTCAGGTTTATAGCCGTGAAATTCGACTTGCTCAGTGGCAGTGGCAATGACAGTGAGAATGACAGTGCCTGGACATATAGCCCTTACAGTGCTCTTCTCCATGAGTTTCTCCAGCCTCCCACATTATAAACTAAATCTTCTACTTGGAGTAGATGCTCTAAGGGTTAAAAAAAAAAAGGCCCCTATCACTCGTCAAAAGTTTCTGCTTGTTTAAAGCAGAAATACATCCACAGTTTGGCCTTACATTACATCACTCCCCAAGAAGCCTTAAACATGATGGATTTTTGCCAGATATAAAATAAAAGACTAAACTTACGTAAAATAAAAGACCAGAGGTTAAGTAAAATTAATACATCAAATAAAATCAAGATTCAAGTAGATTGTGTTGATTCTGTTGAAACCAGATGGTTTACATTAGGAAGAGGAAAGGCTAGAAAAAAATATGTTTAGGTTATGACCGCTCTAAAACACAGGCGGAGAGAACAAATCTTTGACCAGAGACCTAAAATGTGTGTGTGTGTGTGTGTGTGTGCATGTGTGTGTGTATATATATGTGTGTATATATATGTGTATATATATGTGTGTATATATATGTGTGTATATATATGTGTATATGTGTGTGTGTGTGTGTGTGTGTGTGTGTGTGTGTGTGTATATATGCCTTCTAACCCATCCACCTAGAATACTCACCATTCTTATTCTGACACATCCCTTGGGGAGAATATCTCCCCTTAGGAAAGAAATAATTTTGAGAAATAACATTGATATTTTAGCTATCTAAGGCACAGAAGAGTAATGGCTCTTGTCAACAGTTGTTTCTTGTGCTGAGGTTCTTAAGTCAAAAGTAAAGGCAAGAGGCTATGGTGGGGAGCTCCTAGGCGAAGAGGCTCATTTCATATGCACATATTAGCACTAACTGAAGATTCTGAGGAGAAAACATTGAAATATTTGCTTTTGTTCTACTATAATATTCAATTACTGTCAAGAATATTATTTCTGTTTCAAGTTAATAAAAATCCCGATACCATTGATCTTTAGAGCTGCAAAGGTAATTAGAAATGTTATTTTACTTGCATAATATTATATTCTAAGGCCTAGAAAAGCTAAAAAAACTGCTTAAACTCCCACAGCCATAGCTGGAGCTGAAATCTTCATAACCTGATTTCTTGTATGGAAAAAGTACTTTCTAATTCACACAGACAAACTCTCAGCATTTATGCTAGTATTAATTATGTTATATTGAATCACTCTGGAATTCTTAGATAACTAAATATGATCCTTGGATTTAAGTTAGAGTTAGTGTTGATTAAGGGTCAAAGGCCAGCCAGAGGAGCCATTATTTGACATTTTAAAAACAGGGTTACAAAAAAAAGATTGTGTACTGGTTATATAGCCTTTCATCTTACTAAATGTAAAAGAATCCAGATAAAATTTTTATTTGATAAGGGAATAAGATTATGACCATTAACAATTTTTAAAAAATTTCACAAAGACTTTCATTATGATGTTGTCCTTTCTAGTATCTCTTCTGATATGTCCAGTGTCTGCCTTCACCATTAGGCTGTAAGGTCCATGAAAGGAAGGAACTTGTCTTTGTGGTTCAGTGCTGCAGCTCCAGAGCCTAGCACAGTGCCTGGGACCTGATGGTGACTCACTAGTATTCTAAATGAATGATGTATGAGTGGATGGATAAAACTTATTTCAGTGCCATCTTGGTACCTATATTCATGGCTATACAGTGAATACTGTATAGCTTAATTTTTAATTTGTAAAGTTCCTATGGAAGAAAACTTATTACTCACCTACACATTCATTCCCTGCTAGAATATAACCAAAGGGACACTCGCAGCGATAGGAACCATCTGTATTGATGCACTGTCCATGTTTACAGACATCGGGTTCTTTGCATTCGTCCATATCTTAAGCAAGAGAAAAAAAATAGTGAATAACAAGGTATTTTTTAAACGTGAAGATAAATTATGATCATTTCAGTGTTTAATCAAAAGATTATCTAATAATGCAATAATATAATTGCTATCTAAATGAAGGGACAAAAAAGTAGCACTTAATTTTCCAAGATAGATGGAGAAAAATAAGAATAACTAGAGAAGAAGCAGATTGAGAATACTGAGAAATGCTGAGAATCCAGCACAGGCAACTGACCAACTGCTGAATCATCAGGTCCCACGATGATCCCACTTCCATAAGGACATATCTGGCGGAAGGCCTCTGTGGTGGAGACACTCATTAATAGATAGAACAATAGCAATTCATTACAAGCTTCTCCACAAGTATTTTGAGGTAGAAAATTGCTACATGCTGTGCATATTGATAAATGATGGAAAAAACAAGCCCAGAAACCAGAGGAAGTTATTTAACGAGACTCCCTAAGATGTTGTGTCTACTCCTTGGGCATCTGTGATTCATGACATAATTAAAAAGAAAATAACTACCAAGCTCCTGAGATAAAATAATTTTTAATGAACATTCTAATTAGACTTACAATTAAATTAAATTGTGTTACTGTCTTTAAGGCCTACAGTCTTACTTACATCATGGCCAGTCTGCACCCTGCATGGCCCAGAGAGAAATGCAGATGACAGACATACCATCAGGTTCCGTGGGGCAGAGCTCGCAGGGGTCTCCCCAGCCTTCTCCCTTCAAGGCACAGCAGCATTCCTGCTTGGAGTGATTTCTGGATTTGGGTGATGAACACTTTCCTCCTTCAAACTTCGCATAACAGTAGCTCATTCGCAAATCTGCAGCATAAATTTATGACACCCTTCAGTTGCTTTCCTACTGAGTCCGTATTGCACCATAGCAAATAAAGAACAACCCACTATGTTATATATGTTCTCCTCTCAGGACCACAGCAATACTCCTTACGTGATTCTAATGGTAACTGAGCTGAGATTGTTAAAGTCATGGGTATCTTTTGTATAGTGAGATCTGATGAACAACTCTATGAACTTAAATTTATTACTTCTCATTTTAGTCACTATTTCAAAGTAACCCGATGTGAATCCAATAAAATCCAAAACTGACAGTTTTCAAAACTGACATCTGTCAGTGACTTCAGGATTGGAAAGTCCACAGAAGGAATCATTCACAAGATTCCTTCATTGATAGCTCTGCTTGCAATATCATGTTTAATGAGCACACTAGAGTAAGAGAATCCTCTTAGTTCTAATATTTACTGTGATATCACACTTTGTGGTTTATTCTGTGTCCCCTAAACTCTGGAACTAAAATAAAATCCCAGATCACAGGCACAGAACAAATACAGAAGTGGCAACTTTGTAGATGGGCAAAAATACAACACAAGGGTTGGTCACTGAAGCAGATACTCCCGGAGATGCTGGCTACAAAATGCAAGTGGGGCTTTTTGTAGATTTTACACACACACACATATGCAGAGCTGTGTCAATGTTAAATTTTTAAAAGAAGCTTGTTTAGCTCAACACAGAGAGGGAAGGAAGAGGAGGGCAGGGCTGTGGGTGGGTGGGAACAGAATAGTCTTTCTTTGAAAGAATATATTTCAATATTGATTATTGCTTTGATGACTCCAACAAAGAAGATGGGATCTACTTCCTATAAAATTCTCCAACATTGCTTGACATAATTTTGGAAACGGGCTTTTCCATTTCTCATACAACACATTGACTCCAAAAAGTGAGCTCAACCAGAGGTATGGACTGTGTTTTCCCTCGAACTTGACTTCTTAAAGCCTTCCAAAACTCCTCTCATTACACAGAGGCCACAATCTGCAGGTTTAAAAGAAATGCTTTCATACCCATATTGTACTATTCTTCTTTCTTTATATCTGACCACCTCTGCCTTTTTCATTCACTTCCATCACTGTTTTTCAATCCCAGGAACCATACTATCATAACCACCTAAGCACTTCTGTTAAGACAGTCTCACCAGCTTTTATTTCATGACAAAGAAGACAATGTAGGAATAACAGAGTTGCCAGAGATAACAAAGGAAAGGTTTTCATGAATTAAAGTTTCTATCTATCTATCTATTATATTTACCAAGTTATGTAAATCAAATTCAGGTAGCCTCCCCAGTAAACCTGCTCAACCTTTCATGGCTACCAACTCATCCAGATAAATCATCTCTCTAATTTCTATTCCACTTCCCCATCTGTTGTGGCAAGGACCTGGCAAGCACCTTTCAATGAATTATCCTTCTGAAGGTCAAGAGCAATAAAAGTCAATCCTGCGGCATCTCTGCCACCCAAATGTTTGCTTTGCTGAGAAACTTCAAGACTGAACAAATTCTTGTTTCTTGGAGAACACTTTTGATCTCTTTTATTCTTCAAGTTCTTTGTCACATATAATGTTTTGTATTTATCAGTCTTGTTTTTGTTATTTATGCCTCCAACTACCTTTAGATATAATTCAGTGACTACTCACAAAAATGTCTCAACAAATATATGAAAACTTAACTCTGCTTTGTCTTCCAGTTTGTAGTGTTTCTTTAAATATGTATGTTGTAATATTGGTGTATTAAAATTCTCATTCTCTTTTCCTTTAATAGCTGACTTCGTCCCAGACCCCAGCTCTATCTCCCCCACACCACTCCACCCCGAAAAAAAAAAATCTTGGCATTAGACAGAGACTCAAATGCACGAAGTCTTGAGTCAGTCTAAGTGGCAAATTCTCTTCGTTGAACTTTGCAAGTGGGAGTGGCTCATTTACACCTGTGGTCTTTTGTGCCAGGCTCTGTCCACCTGAGTCCCATGGCATTCGCTTTTTAAAAAACATTATCCACGGTTCTGTGGAATTTTCTCATTTCATGAGCAATAGAAGTCTGACTCCTAATTTGTCATCTTACAAGAAAAACCCAGCTCTCAATTTCCTGGCTCCAGCAAAATCTGTGCTCTGTAGGAGACTTACTTTAGCTTGTGGTGATTCTCTAGAATTGGCTTATTAATCAAGGGTGTCTTGCATTGGGGAAGAGAGCTGTGCTTGCCCACATACTTCAGGACTCACTGGGATGCCTGTTTACCAGTCCATCTGCAAAGAGCCCTTAATGACCTCGAAATTTCATCAGAACTACAAAAGTCACTTTCCCTGCTTGCATTCCTCAGTTCTGGCTCTGCCTCCTGGAGCTGAGCATGTGGCAGGGCTGCTCACAGCTGGGCTGATTCTTCCTGCAGCGTTAGCTTGCTCTGTGATGGGCCAGTGCAAATTGAATTAATAGCCTAGGAGTTTCCTCTGGCCTGCCACATCGGCAGATTCACACCTGGTTTCTCACTGCTTTCTTTCCAAATTCAGGCCAAGCCAAAGGCACACAAAAACAAGGGAGTAGGAGTTAGAATTTATCTGACTGGTCTGTACCATGCAGAATATCTGTTCGAATTAAGCACCACCCTGAAATCCACACAGACCACTGACAACTACCAACAAGCTGAAATCAACCGGAGAACTCTCAACCCTCTCCTTCTTACTTCCCAAATAACTAGTTGAAAAGTAAAAAGTTAATCAGATCATTAGAATAACAACAAGAGTCTACAAAGGACTCAGAAACTAACAAAGCTTTGTCACAGTAAGGCTGGTTGGGCAGATATTATTGTTGTTTAAAATGAGGAAATTGAGCTTCCAAAAGATTAAATGACTTGCTCTAGACTAAATATGGCAGGGCTGGGACCCCAAACTCAATTTTTTGAACCTTAAATGATATCCAGTGCCTCTTCCATATTTGGTAATACGGAAGCAAAACCAAAAAACCATGAAAAAAAAAAAAAACCCAACTCAACATCAAAACAACAGTAACAACCAAACAACAAAAGCTACAAGTGGAAAAAAAAGAAATACATGTGTTTGTTTCATCTCCCTTCCCCGGAATTCATGAAACTAGTTTGTGTATGTAGATATCCATACACAACTGTATTGTTTAGAAAAGTCTAAACAGTTTTCTGGGACTTAAGTACATACTGTGTTATGCCAAAGTTCAGGATCCTTTTGATTTTTGTTTAAAATTTGAAAGTCATTGGCAAACCCTTGAAAATCTTTACTCAAATAGTTGACAAGTATTATTCCTAAAAATGAACAATGGCCCAGCAAGAATCCTGATCAGTTTAAATTTATTTTTGTTTTCTTGGAGAATTTGTGATATAAGGGATGGTTACCATATTGTGGGGGCAAATGGGTTAATGTGCAGTTTTTCAGTCTCAAGTCTAACTTTGGACCCACATTTTTCAGCTTATCTCTTCAGAGGTAGGGGATATGTAGCTCAACTTCCCCCAGGCTTTGCTGTTTCGGTGGCTCAAGGTGTTTCCCCACTGATGGGCCTATCAGCATTTGTGTTCTTAGTGGGAGAGAGGTTTATGTGTCAGTACAATTGTATAAGCAACCATAACTTGATGGATGAGTTTTTAACCTTAAAAGTGAAAATGAACCTTCTGACATATGGTTATCATTAGACCTCTGGGTGAATGAAAACTCTCCATCTTCCTGTTCACAAAGAAACAGAGCTTTGCCATGTTTGAAAAATAAGACCACCACAAATAAACATGCAGCATTGAAAGCCCAAAGCCTTCAAAGACACTTACCTTGGCACCTTCTTCCACTGGAGGACAAGGAAAACCCTTCTGGACACAGACATTTGAAGCTGCCTTCAGTGTTACTGCATGTGCCCAGGGCACAAATTTCTGGCTCTTCGACACACTCATCAATATCTAAAAGAATCACATGAGTCAAACAAAGTCAAAACACGATGGAGACATCATCAGGTACCAAACACACAATGTGGACACACAAAGGGCAACTGAGTTTCCAAACTCTTACAATAATAAAGGTATTTTTCTGTACCATAACACTGTGGACTGGACTTCTAGGTTGTCATGACTTCAAAAGAATTAGTTTTGACAGTTATTGATATAAAAATGGAATGTGCAACTGCCTTCTAAGGGGTGCAGTGACAAACGTCTCTTACCCAGACTGAGTTGCTTGGCTAACTAGAAAAGTCAGAGTAATTTCATAGTACCCTAGGCCAGGAAAGAAGCATGAAATTCTAGAGTCACACTGCACCATTGTTCAGGAAGCAGAAATGCTGAGACTTTAAGCACATTGCTAGTGACTCACTCAATGTGAGATCTAGGCCTTTGATCCAAATTTACTCCCCTCCAACCACCCACAGAACTTTTCCCAATACCCTATGCTATAGCCCTAAAACTGTGAATTTTACAAGAACACTAAGACTCATGAAAATAAGTATAATCCTATGAAGTGCAAACTAACGATATCATAGAAGATGACGCTCCTGATTTGTGGGTTAATCTTTCTGAAGACACAAAAATACCTTTCTTGTACAGGCTTTTTCTTTCATCATATAGACAATAGGAAACTGTACACTTAGAATTGTGGCATGTTTTCTTTAGTATATTATACATCTTAGCTCCTGTACAGTGGTAGTTAAGAGTAGCCAATAAGAAGTTTGAATGGCTTGAGTAACCATATGTCCTAGTTTGCCTGGGGGAGCCCCAGCTCATGCCAGTTGGCCTGACTTTATTGTTAATAGTGCCCTTTTCTACTTTCAAAATTGGCTTGGGTTGGTCAATAAAACATACGATTACCTATGGAAAAATATGCCCACTCTATTCCAACAAACTCACTTATCTTTCCTCCTGACTTTCAGCAGGAATTTTTAGTGAACAAAGTGGTAAGTCTTAATTCTGAGCCATGCTACTTTTATGAGAATACTTTTTTATTTTTTCAACAAAACACAAAATATCCTTGTATCCTGGGCTCTTTATTTTTATATTTGTGCAAAGGTTTCTACTCACACCAAAATGTACTTGCATTATACAACTTTATTCTCAAGAGGCCCAACTAAGGAAAAGTTGAGAAATTAACCTTATTATCTTGACTTAATATTGTAAATACCACACAATAAATATTCTAGAAATGTGCAATGCCAAGTGATTCTCTTTCTGTGCAACGCAAAATCAGCTTCTCCATCATGCCATGTTATTGGGTTGCATTTATACCTGTGTTATGTTCCCTGTGGTTTATTAATGAATCTGATCTTCTATTGCCGATTGAATTACTCCATTCTGACACTCCTTCCACCCCTATATCCAACCTTTTCTTAATATAAAAGTTAACTTTTGTGAAAATGCTCAAATGTTTTCAGTTGTTTTTAATTATTACTATGACTATTTATATTATGGTAGAAATTAGCCTGTACATGCCAACTTATTAGGATAGGGCCAAATATTGTAGAATGGGCACATTCATTGACTGTGCAGTTATTTTTCTTTCTATATATATTCTGTTCAATTTAGCGAACTTATGTATTGATAATAAAGCCAATTTTTAATAAAAGTAAAATAACATGCTTAAAAAATTTGCATCTAGACAATTTCAATAAGGTGTTTCCATTTTAAATATCACCACTTGATTGTTACTTAAATTGGATATATAATAAAATTTCTAATTGACGATATTAAAAGTAGAGAAAATTCTCATTGTGGATTAGATGCAGACCTGTTTAAAGTCAGGGGTGTGAACTAGGTGACTTCTTGAAAATCCTTTCAACCCTACTTATTTATGAAATTCTAGCAATTAATGTCCTTCACTTAATGATATGACATATTTGTTGAGGTTAAAGGAAGGCCCTTGGGAGGCTGAGGAAGGAGGATCATTTGAGGCCAGGAGTTTGAGGCCAGCCTGGCAACATAGGGAGGCCCCATCTCTACAAAGAATTAAAAAATCAGCCAGGCATGGTGGCACATGCCTGTAGTCCCAGCTACTCCAGAGGCTGAGACAGGATGATCACTTGAGCCCAGGAGTTCAAGCTTACAGTGAGCTATACTCGTGCCACTGTACTTCAACCTGGTGACAGAGTAAGACCCTGTCTCCATTAAAAACAAACAAACAAAAAGGAATGTAATACTGTAAAATTTGCTGAGAATTTATTTGAAATAAGACATTTCCACTGCTCTATAGGTAAAAACAAAATAGACAAACGATATAACCACATTCATCCAACCTTGAATGTGGTCATTTAAAGTTTTTAAATGGAATCAGGAGCTATTTTTAGCTGCAAAGAATCGCCACTTAAAAAATGTAGTTCGGAAATACTGGGAGTAGGACACAGCATTCCTAACAAATGTGTGAAAGCACAGTGGAAAAGAGTCAGGATCATATGATCAGTCATATGCACAGAACAAAATAACTTCATTAGAGATTAGCATGATAATTAGTGCTTCTTGTCTTGCCAGAAGGATGAGACCATGTCATACCTATGCCCTTGCATTTGTTTCTGATAAAGTATTCCAAAATGAAGACGTCATTACAAAAATTCTCATTCTGCTAAGTCCAGTGGACACCCGACACTCCTCATTTGCTACAACTGATAGCTTTCCTACCTTCACACTTCTCATTTTGAAGACTGTATCCAGGTGGGCAAATGCATCTGTAGGACCCATCCAAGTTTTGACAGGTACCTGGTGCACATTTTCTGGGTTCTAGAAGACATTCATTGATATCTGCAAAGAAAAGGGAAAAATAAGGAAGAGGTTCCCACTGGCATGACTTCCATCAAACAATTAAAATTCAAAAAAACTAGAATGAATCAAAGAAATACATAAAGCAAATTAAAGTTCATAAAATTCCACCATGGAGAAAAATAAGCAATAATAAAAATAAGCTTTATCAGCTTTCAAAAATGTATAGCATAACAACCATATTTTATTTTACCTGCATCAAATTAAATGTTTCCAGAAAATTGTAGCATGTGAAAAGTCAGTGAGTATATAGATTTTAAGGATACTCAAAAGATATGAGAGCTTACTACAAAAGTATTTTAAAGAAAAATATTTAAGAAGGGAAATCACAATTGCTTACAGAGCAATTTAGCAATTTCACTGTTTAATAGTTTGAGTATTCTTGGTGAGTACAATAGCTTAATTTTTAAAATAAGGGAAAAAGTGATTATATATATATATACACATATATATATATACACACACACATATATATATACATATATATATACACACATATATATATGTATATATATATACATATATATATGTGTATATATACTTAAATAAAAACAAGCCTTTATAGGGAGGATTAATATAATTCTACTCTGACTTTTCCTCCAGGTTTCCAGAAAGAAGCATTAGAACAGAGACTGCATGATTCCTTGAGTGGTCTCTGGAAGCATTCTTTCCAGGTCTTTCTAAGTCCTGTACTTACCCACACAGGTCCTCCCATCTGGAGCCACCTCATAGCCTTCATTGCACTGGCACTGGAAAGACCCCACTGTATTAATGCATTGGCCATTTCTGCAAAGATTCCCATTTCCACTTGCACATTCATCAACATCTGCAGAAAAATCCCCAACAATCCTTTAATATATTCCAAAGATGTCATAATCCCAGCAATAATCAAAACTTCTAAAAGAAAAAATACTTTTTCTGAATTTTAGTGGCCTTTGCTGGCTTAGCCAAACAAGAAATGCCAATGAAGATCTAGTTTGCAACAACAGAACTGGCTTTAAGCACCTATACACATTTAACAATAAGATTACATTATTATATTAGAGACTGACAATTTACATTCAAATTTCCTATCAGTTTTTCCTTGATTTTCCTTTAGATTTTATTTTTAAATTTTAGATTTAAAAATTTTTTGATTTAAAAAATAAAATCCTAATACACAATTCAGCTAAGGGCATTCCTTTGTATTCTTGCAATTAGATTTAAATTAGCCTATAGCACAATAAAATTTAAAGAATTTGGCTTATTACTCTTGCCTAGTATGTTTTAGAAGGAGATTCTGTAGATTCAATGATTTATTTAAGAGAGGCTACATGAAACATCTAGACCAGAAGGTTCATAGTCCTGAATCATATAATTTCTATACAAAGAATCACTTTTGTATATTTAAAAATTTTTTGGCTTAATCTAATTCCATTTATTTTGAAATTTATTTAATTTACAGCAAAGTAGACATAAAAATTATAGCTGCTAATAAGCATTTTAATAAAAGTAATGGATATAGTTACAGTGGTTCCCTCTTATCTATGGTTTTGCTTTCTGGGGGTTCAGTTATCCAAGGTCAGCTGCTACCCAAAAATAGGTGAGTATAGTACAATAAAATATTTTGAGAGAGAGAGAGACAGTGCACAAGAAAGTACAGTCATATAACTTTTATTACAGTATACTGTTATAATTGTTCTATTTTCTTATTAGTTATTGATGTTAATCTATTACCATGCCTAATTTATAAATTAAACTTTAGGTATGTATGTGTAGGAAAAAACATGGTATATAGAGGGTTCAGTACTATCTGTGGTTTCAGGCATCTGCTGGGGGTCTCAGAATGTATCCCTCACGGATAAGGGGAGACTTCTGTAATATATTTCATGTTGAGCACATTGTATTTGACAAGTCCCATAACCAATTGTTATGCATAAGATAGCATACATTTTTAAAAGACAGCTGGAACACTAGAGATGATGCTAATTACAAAGAACACATATAAAACTGACTTCCTTTGCTGATGCACAATTTTGCACACGCACCTATACAGTCATTGTTGTGAGAAAGGATGAAACCATGATTGCAGCGGCAGTTGAAGGAACCAATTGTGTTCCGGCAAGTTCCATTCCCACAGGCATCTCTTTCACATTCATTTATGTCTAGTAGGAAGAAAGGCCATAAAGAAACATAATTATAAGTAGAAAAAGTGGTTACACGGTTACAGTGGCTAAAGAGCATTTTAGGGTTCACCAGGCCTCATCCATAGGCTGAGAACTTCTTGATGTTGGTATCAGCTCCAGCAGCAGTCATCCCTGCAAGATACCAGGCAGCGGCAAAGCTCTAAATCTTGGGAATAAATGGTTTCCTTGGCTGGCCAGTGAAAGGAGGCAAGCTAAGGACATGAGACCTGAACAAGAATTATTTTATTCTATTTACTTCTAGAATTCTCCACCCTTGCCACTTTTCTCAAATATTTTCACTTGAAAATGGAAAAAACTCTGTGTGCATCTGGGTCTTGAGGTGTTGCCACCTTTGGCAAACTTCAACCTTCAAGATTCTCACTCCAGTTTACCAAAAAGCAGTGACTCACCTGGCATTACCCCACAATCAGCAACAAAATAACTCAGCTTTCTAGCTCACCTGTCATTTCAGACAACTTTTCCTTTTTCCCTACACCCATAAAAACATAGAACAACTTCCACCAATGATGACTTCTCTCACTTTTCTAAACTACCCCAAAGAGATGGCACTTAATTTGTTCTTTTCATACATGCTTGCATTCTTATTCGCCTTTTGATTGGTCCGTACTTTTCTCTGATGATTT
Source organism: Homo sapiens (assembly GCF_000001405.40). Classification (NCBI taxonomy): domain Eukaryota; kingdom Metazoa; phylum Chordata; class Mammalia; order Primates; family Hominidae; genus Homo; species Homo sapiens. The sequence continues at coordinate 48,447,488 of NC_000015.10, forward strand.
TGTAAAGCTACTCTGACATCTTATATGTCTTTGCATCTCATCACAGCAGCTAGCATATTTCTTATAAAGAGTAGATGCACATTATATTAAGGAGGAAGTAATAAAAAATTTAATGAAAGAAAGTTGTTACTGCTGGTTTGAAAGAATGAGGCACCATGAAGAGGGACAAGGATGAAATGAGAGAGAGAGAGAGTGGAAGGTAACAACGGAGAATAGCAAAATGTAATGATTAGAGCTAGGATTCCCTTTCTTTTCACATTTTGGACATGAAGATAAATGATCTGTGATTCCTGAATCAGGAAGCTATTGCTAACCCAAAGGGACTCTAATGTGTGTCTGTGGTTGAAGACTACACCCAGATGAGTCATTGCTAGTAATCAAGAATTTTTGCCTTGATTCATTTTTAGCCAAACTGGTGAAGTTCTTTGGTTGGGAAGGTTCTATGTTAGGGGGCTCCAGAAAATTCAGATGAGAGATGTAGAAAGAAAGTTGGGCAGGATCATCATAGCTTTTACACAGGTTAGCTGCCCAGTGATGAGTAGGGCTGTCAGTGCTCTTGTCATTACTCTGGAGAAGATACAACTTTATGAGAAATGTTCCCAAATGGATGAACCCAGTCATAGCCAAAGTCAAGGACTTAAACATTACTATATTAATTGTTCTTTCAGCTGTGAATCTGATTTATGTTCTTAATGTCCCAAAAAGACTTAATGGTATTGCTTTAAAGTAGAAAAATAAAGGAAGGAAAAGAAGAAAATGATTCATTACACACTGAAGTTTATTCTAAATCAGCATCCTGATAATAGAGAAATCAGGAAAGAGATTTAAAATCCTGAGCTCTTTTTCCTCTAGAAAAATGATTAACTTTTCTTTGCCTTTGTAGGATTTATAAATTTGCCTTTGAGAATCTGGTACACACTATAAACCCTTCCAAAAAAATGGTCATCTCACACTCAAAAACTCAAAAGAAAATCCACATCAATATTACATATGAATAATAGCCTATTAACATTAATATTTTTGTATTAATATCTTTTTCAATTTACCCCTTAGTCAATTTTTTCTAAACTGACAGCCAAATGAATAACAAAGGAAGAGGTTTATCATGTTCAGATTGCCAAAGATTAAATAGGATATCACTGCTGCATATCTGTCTGTGTTTTTATTTTGTATATAGCAAAAATACTACTAAAAGACTTAGTATTAAATTTTATCCATATTTAGAATCAAATGAAGCTTTCAACAGCATATGAAAAAAATAATAATAATTGCATACTTACCCAAGCACATGGTTTGGTCATCATTTGTTTTAAAACCAGTGTGGCAAAGGCAATAAAAGCTTCCAACTGTGTCAATGCACTGCCCATGACTGCATATATTGGGGATTTCTTGACATTCATTACGATCTGTAAATAAGAAGCATCTTAAGTGAGAACTTAGAAGACAAAATATAATTGAATAACTTACTTCTAGCTATCATTCTCAGGAGTAATCCTAGCTCTAAACTAAGTTAGTGAAACAGATATATTTATTTTTGCATCAAAATGGATTAAAACTTACTCTCATTTACCAGGCATAGTCAGAGTATGTTAACAATACTTGACACAATAAAAAATAAGGGTAAGTAATCAAAAAATATTCTGAAAGATGAGAAAACTTAGAAGTAAAATGGGGGGATTCAAGCCGGGAGGATTTTCTGTTTGATTATCGGCCTACGCAGCACCACAGACTGTGGAATTAATTGAAGTATTTTGTCTAGTTAAGATTTGGTGCCTTAAGTCATGGATAGTTCATGGCTTCCTTTGTAAATTTATATCAAAGTCAAATCCTATGACTAAGATTAAGTTTTTCTTGATGGACAACCTACATGGCTGCTTGTTCAAGTTGCATCTCTTTGTTTTGTCTTATGCCTGTAACTTTTTGTTCCATCTTCACCAAGTATTCACGTCTACACAGGGCTCCTTTTAGCATGTGACAACCTGAACACTGTCTCTTTCTTTTTACTCTCATCCATTCAAAAGGAAGCCCTCTCATCTTGCTTCTGCCAGTCTTTAAGTTCTAAATTATATTTATCATCAACTGAATCTTTGTTGCTTTCCTGAAATCTGATTATCTGAGGGGCAGAATTTAATGCATGAATTCACATATGACATAATTATATGCCAACTTACGTCTCTAATTTTTTAAAGCTCTATGTTTAGAGTAAATGTACTTTGAAGAGCACTGTGCCATTCTGATTTTCCTACTGTCACAGAAGAAAGCAAATGGAGTGTCATCTTTGCTGCAGATGCTGTAGGGCAGATGGCATTTCGCTCTTAGTTAAATAATCCAGACTTGCCGTTTGCCTGCAATGTCTACTCAGAACACAGTAATCATGAATGGACACTTTTTGCTGCACACAGCAACCCTCCCTGTGCCAGAATCATGGACATCTCCTCCATTTCATGTGTCCGGGATGCCACTGTTATGGTTATCTCCTATTTAGTAGATGAATCATCATACCATTTAGAAGTTCCAAGTGAAGTGGAGTATATCATTATGAGGGGAAATTGAAATAGAGCAGCTTAGGAACTACTACTAGCCTATGCAGAAATGCTATTTAACAAATTATGATTATTCCCTTTTGAGAAAATGAATTTAAAGTGAGCCAACTGCTTCCCAGTATAGGCAGAGGAGACTGATTTCCGATCTTGAGGAAGGGTGTCTCAGGTCCTACCATAGTTGGCCCAAAACTTTGGCACCTTCAGGTAGGACTGGACCTGGAGGTATGCAGGGGACGAGGTCTGTCTCATATCTGAGTTCCACAAGGAAATGGAGAGCCTTAAGGATCTTATTAGAAAGGGATCCCCAATTAGGAATTTCCTTTCATCTACTGCCCTATTTCATGATGGTTTAAATAAATGAAAAATGAAACATGGGGAGTACTTTGGAGTTCTACTGGTAAAACTAGAGCAGAAATCTAGGTTTCCACAAGCACCAGAATTTGAACTCTTAGATGATCATATTTGAGGTTGGGATAGGAGGTCTGAACAGGCTACTGTGGAAAGAAACCCAAATAGTCAACAGAGAAAGAGAGGAAACCACAAGGAAGTAGCTGGGAAGAAACTGTTCCTTGTCTTTTGTGGGGCAAGACATTTCAGAAGGGGGTTGCATTTGTTCTAACTATCCAGCTTCTGCTGTCAGACTAGCATCCTGAGCTCAGATATCTAATTATTCTCTCAGCTCTCTCAGCAATAATGTGGGTGCTATGGCCAGGTGTGATTTGGGATTTGAAATAATGTGCTTATGAATTCAAATAAGGATCTCATGATGGAGAGAAAGTTTTAGTTATTTTCATTTTAAACAGATGCACAAAGGAGTACTTTGCAGCATGCCTGAAAAAAAAAATGCCAAGTATAGAATAGCATTTAAAGATATTTTAAAAGTAAGACATAAATAAAGACATTTCTAGAATGAGGTCTTCAACCCAACAGGCTGAATGGTTGCAAAACTCAAGTTAATTCCCTTTCTTCTGAGGATTTCAATGAATAAAGGAAATCAAGCTTTTGGCTGCAAATGATGCTCACTCACAACACTTATGGCTGGCTGCATTTTATGTATGATAGTCTCCTACAAGAAAACAGTAAATGACTTAAGCTCCAGCAGGCTATGGCTGAATGTCTTATCTTGATCTATAAATAGCTCTGTCCCACTTCTTACCTGAGTGTGAAATGGTGTGAAATGACTCATTCTATATTATCAGCAATTCTTTATTTTGACTGGAATTATTTCATCCAGTTCTAAAGAAATATAAATTATGAGCAAAATGCAGGGAAGTGGTATCAATGCCAAGTTTCTCTAGGGTATTGTGGTTCATATCAGAGACGTCCCTGCTTTTCCTGTCCTGTATTTTTAATACATGGATAGCAACAGCTCTGTTGACAAAATGCTAAATACTTACACATTTTCCTTTAAACTCAACAAAACAAGTCTTGATTCTCAATGCGATTTTTTTGTTTGGCAATTACACCCTCTTCCCACCAAGGTCTCATAAAACAATGCAAAATACCCTAAAGAGAACAGTGCACTTCCTACCACTTAATCACTGGTAGGCAAGGAAATCCAAGGAAAATCTGACCACGTTCCCCTGTGTTGTTTCATTCACAAATGCATAAAATATCCAGGAAACCCCCCGTGAAATGAACCGTGAGCAAAATAACACATTCTTCCTGACTAATATACAATGATTTGCTTTGCTAAATATACAGTGATTTTTGCTAAATATACAGATTCAGAATTACTTAAAAACTTACAAGAAAATCATTCTGAGATATTATTTTGTTTCTGGGCTGAAACAGCAGTCTTTTAAATTTTCACACCACTGGCTACAAGATACCATCAGATACTGAATAACTTCACCGTACACTGAAGTTGATAACATGCCAACGTGCTTCCTATTTCTATCACATCCCTGACAAAAGTGAACACCAAAAAAATCTAATCTCTAGGGGTCATGGGAATAAATAGCTAATAAAGGCTGTTGATGTTTGCTGCCTTCAGTGAGTGACCCTTTCCCTGTAAGATGACTGGGAAGAAAAGCGATGGCTTTGTTTGTTCTGTTTCTGCAGATTAATCTGACCCAGCTCAGGAGAGCTTCACTGTCTAGATTTGGGGTATGCAGCCAAGATGGTGAAAACCTCACCTTTCTGAGAGGGATTCTGTGGAAGGAAAAAAATCATTTGGTCCTAAATGTTGCTTAGGGGAATGTGTGTATGCATAATTGTGTGTGTGTGTAATGTGTGGGGGTGAGTGTTTGCAGGCAGGGCAGCAGACAGGCAAATACGAAATCTATGTATGCGAATGATTTACTTCTTGTTTTGAAAATATCTCATCCAGAAAGAGGATTAAAAAGCTAAGTGTTTAGATATTTTGACAATATCCCTTTTTCCAATTTAGTTTAATATTAGAGTTCATCAATCTAAATCTTAACTCATATATTCTTCAGCTTAACTATCTGAAAATAAATCCAGATATCTGAAGCTTCATGAAGACAAACTCTTGGGTAGGCATGTCCAGCCTGTGGGGCACTACATACCATTGCACTGTCCTGTGGAGGTGAAGCGGTAGCCGGGCTTACAGTCACAGCGGTAGCTGCCTGCAGTGTTGATGCATTCGGCGTTGCGCTGGCACACTGGGCCGTTCTGACACTCGTCAATATCTACGAGCAGAAGAGAACTGAATTTGAAGGAGAACAGAATCTGGTGTCCAGTCAACAAAGCCTCTCACATGAAAACAAATTTATATTTTATTTTGATCTGTTCTATTGAAAAGACAACATAGATGTGTACAGCAGCTTTATTTATTGCCAGAATTTGGAAGCAACCAAGATGTCCTTCGATAGGTGAATTAACAAATAAACTGTGGTACATTCAGACAATGGAATGTTACTTAGCACTAAAAAGAAATGAGCTATCAAGCCATGAAAAGACATGGAAGAAAATTAAATATGGCCAGGTGCGGTTGCTCACACCTGTAATCCTAGCACTTTGGGAAGCTAAGGCGGGCGGATCACCTGAGGTCAGGAGTTTGAGACCAGCCTGACCAACATGGTGAAACCCCGTCTCTACTAAAAATACAAAGTTAGCTGGGCATGGTGGCGGGCACCTGCAATCCCAGCTACTTGGGAAGCTGGGGCAGGAGAACCGTTTGAGCCTGGGAGATGGAGGTAGCAGCGAGCCAAGATCATGCCATTGCATTCCAGCCTGGGCAACAAGTGCAAAACTCCAAGTCCAAAACAAACAAACAAACAAACAAAAAATAAAACAAACAAAAAAAAAACACACACAAAAAAAAAGGAAAAAAAAAGGAAAAAGAAAAAGAAGAAAAAAGAAAATTAAATGTATATTACTAAGCGAATCAGAAGCCAATCTGGAAAGGCGACATAATGTATGATTCCAACCATATAACATTCTGGAAAAGGCAAAACTCTGGAGACAGTAAAAAATCAGTGGTTGCCAGGGGTTAGGGGAGATTAGGGGATACACAGGCAAAGCACAGAGAATTTTTAGGGCAATGAGATTATTCTATGAATAGTTATGGAATGGTGGATACATGTCATTATAAATTTTTCCAAACCCATAGAATGTACAACACCAAGAGCGAGCTCTAATGTAAATCATCAGAGTGGACTCTGAGTGATAATGATGTCAACGGAGATTCAATTGTAACAAATGCACCACTCTGATGGAGGATGCTGATGATGGGGGAGGCTGTGCATGTGTAGGGGTAGGGAATATATGATAAATCTTTGTGCCTTCTTCTCAATATCGCTGTGGACCTAAAACTGCACTAGAAAATAAAGTCTATTAAAAAAAAAAGAAAGAAAGAAAGGAAGACCGAAAGTCCATTATCTAAACTTTCCCACTTAGTAATATTTATAAATGCAAGGCTTGATTTATGACCACATATGGACTCTAATGATGCTCACATCTAAAAAAAAGTCATGAAACTTGGCTGCTAGGGCCAGCACTTGACATGGGTATAGATTAATATCCTAGGAAGCCTTGTATTTACTCAAAGATCTGGATTTTATGATTCAATAAGGTTGCTATTGTCTGAAAGGCTGCAAGAGCAGAATGTCTCAAATCTTAAAGTCCACATGAATCACTTGGGATCTTGCTAAAATGCAGATTCTGACTTGGCATGTCTGGAAAATGGCCTGAGAGTCTGAATTTCTAATAAGTTCCCAGCTGATGCAGGTGCTCCTGGTCTGTAGAGAGTGCTTTGAGGTACAGGGCTGTAAAGACACCTGCTCAAATTACTACCACAAGGCAATCAAATCAAGAAAACCTAACATGGGAGTTATCATAAAACTACTGAAAACAAACCAACTCTCATTAAAACAGAAAAGATTTTGGATAATGGATATTGTGTGTTCCAGAGTTTTGACTTTGCTTAGGGGGTTGTCTGTCTACAAAACAAAACAACAACAACAAACAACAACAACAAAAAACAGATACTAATATAGTTCAAATTCATGGCATCACAAAAGTTACTACATGTCCATGCTATATCATGGGGCAAAATACATGTTTCCCTCTTCCCTGCTCCAGTGGAACAATCTAATTTACAGACTAAGTCCAATAAAGGGGATGGCCTATAACACAGGTGAAGGTTGGCCCTTAGTACCAGTTCTGGGCTTTTACACAGAAGTTGGCTCGACCAAAGAAGTTCCTACAAGGGGGTGGCAAATACATCAGCCGATGCCTCTTGGGCGTGATTCTGTGGTGGAAAACCCTCAGGACTGTCAGTCAGTCAGTGGGGGTTCCTGTCTAAGGCAGGTGGATTGTGCCTCTCTGGGCAACAGACACAGGAGCAGGAGTGTGTCTGCCTTGGGTTACAAGGGACCCAGCACCACCTCACTCACCAGGTCTGCCCTGCTTTGTATTCAGGATGTATAGAAACACAGGGGGCAGATTGCGCCACTGGAGAAACTGAGTAGTGTCACAGAGAAGCACTTCTATGATGTGGCATCTGATAATGTGGCTACTTGGCAAGAGCAGAGGCGTGGAAGCTCCCTAAATCACCTCTACAATCCATTCCAATTTCAGCATTGCTGAGGCATGTATGCACTCAACCTTCATTTTCCTATTCTAAGAGCTAAGAGTATGCTAGGAAGCAGCTGACCCTGGATTAAACATTCACCCTGAAGACGGATATTCTGTGAAATGGAAATCAGAAGTTGGAGCACTTAGTTATCTCAATATCCACAGAATGCTACCCTGACAGCAAAATGCCTTGCATTGGTACAGTTGCATGTGTTTAATCTCATGGATCTAGCAAGGTCTAAGTTGACTTGGTGGTCATGGGTGGTCTTGTCTATGGGTTCTGGCCAAGGCCTGCAGCTTCAGCAAATATAAGTGGTTAAAAGGTACCTGGGTACAGTCATCATCAAAGCCATCTCTGAGGGGAAGGGTGGGGAGGAAAATGCCACAGGCAGGTGGCAGGCATGCTGAGCATGTTTGAGAGGGGGAAAAGTGCGGCTGTGAGGGAGGCAGCCAACTCTAGCACTGTAAGATCATCTGCCGTGGGTTCCCTCTCCCACATCCATGCTTCCTCTCCAGGTACCTGATCCTTGATGGCTTCCCAGAGCCCAGGGACTTGGGCCAAGGTCTGAACTGGCTATCTTCTTAGGAAGGCTCGGAAGGGCTATTACCCCATTCCCACTAACTCACACAGCAGGCAGAGTAAGGGACATGTGCCCACTTGGACACAGTAACTGAAAGCCTGGTGACAGGAACTTAACAAGTATGTGGTTAGGACTATAACTTTACTTGTGGTATATAAGTTGTCTTCAGTATAGACAAAAAAGTTTTTTTTTTAACATTAAAATGTTGACATATGTGCTATAATACGTGCTCTAAGGGGTAATAACCCTTTCTAACATGAATAAAAATTCTGCTAGAGGCCTGAAGTGTAAGTATTAAATAGAAAATTATTCCAACTATCCTGGGCACATGGTATATTTAATAACCAGTAATGTCCCTTTTACTAAAATGTAAGAGAACTATCTTTCCCAGATGCAGGAAAAAATATGAAGTGCTATAAGGAATGCTCCGAATCACAGTACATATACATGGCAACAGGAGGTAATTTGAAAATGAAAAAAGTACATGTGCATGCCAACATTCTTCATATAAAATCAAATTTGCTGTTCTTGCCATTTGGAATTCTCTCATGCATTTGGAATATCTGCATTAACCTTGTTTTCACTTGGGAGTAGCAAAGTCTCTGTCTGGAAGAGAAATGATTTTGAGAGTCAACTAGGATGACTGTCCACTCATACTGATTTTCCAGCAATGTGAAACGAAAGCAATCTATGTGACACACCCAGGAACTCAAAGCTTTTTCATATCAGCTGGGAAGTCTAATATTAACACACTGTGTGTTGGGGGAAAGGGGCTGGGAATGTGCCTCCTGGTTTTTCCACTGAAGTTAGTGAATTTTTTTTTTTTGCATGAAATTTCATGTTGTTCCACACCATGCCCTTTACTATTTCTAGAGCTTAATGCATTTCTGAAATTTCAATGTTGTGAAATTCGCCAAGTGTGTATCAAGTAGCTCATCAGTTAGCTCTTTTCTGGATATGATAAAGTCATGATGCCACTTACCTTCACAAACCAACAACTTGTCATTATAGAAGAATCCCACTGGACATTCACATCGGAAGCTGCCAACCATGTTGATACACACTCCATTTTCACAGACCCCTGGGATCTCCCGGCACTCATCAATATCTAGAGACAGAGTAGTCATTCATGAGTGACAGGACAGCACATGATCCCTGTGCAGGGTAAGACAAGATGGAAAGTGCGTGCGTGTGTGTGTGTGTGTGTGTGTGTGTGTGCGTGCATGTGTTGGGGTGGTGGTGATGGCAATAGGGACATCAACGAATAGCAAATTGAGATAACTAAACCACTTTCCAGACATGAGTCTAACTGGATTTAAATATATGTTCTGGGTTTTGCTTCAGAATGTCAATTTTGTACAGGTAGGAGATATCTTTGTATCCTCTGGGCACTGTGGATGCACCAGATGAGTAGAATAGAGGGATGGTCAAGGGTAAACAGCCTCTCCACCCAAGTGTGCCTATATTTAGGGAAAAAGGCAGAGGTGAGCTGGTAAAGAACCACAGAGGAGCACATGGTCATATGGAACTCTGATCTTTCAAATTCCAGTTTAACTCCCCCTTCCTACTTCATGTGGCTTTAGAAAGGAGGTAAGTCAGGTGTGGGGATGTCAGCTGGGCTGGGGCTGACAATAAAAACGAGGTCAGCACCAAGGAAGAACTGTCGCAGTAGAATGTGTGCTTCCTAAGACTGGGAGTTGGGCTTGGCTCTCCAACACTGTGTTATGGTTCCTTAGCACTCTACATGACAGGTAGTAAGTGCTCAATTCAAATTTGTTCAGTTAAGAGCAAGTGTCTGGCAGTGTGTTGGTGAGCACTAAAACAGGACCAAGAGTGAGAACACAGCCAGGATCCAGGCTGCTAAGGCAGGGCTGGCCAGCTATGGATAGAGACTTTGGACACCTCACCAGCTTGGCCATGTCCCCAGCCTGGAGTGGTCCCATCTCTGTCTTACCCACTCTGAACTCCTGACCACTGAAGTGCCCTCTAGGATAAGAGTAGTAATAGTAGTAATAATGGTAATAGTATTAATAGTGACAGTATCTCATTTGCTGCATGACTGGTACATTTCTCAAGCATTCAACCTGTATTTATTGGCTGAATTATCACAGCCACCCCATGAGATGGTCTCGGTACTATGACTATTCTAACTAAGAGATGAAGCAAGTGAGGCCAAGCCACAGGATATAACCTGCCCAAGACCAAGCAGCCAATGAAAGGCAGAGTCAGGATTTGACACTGGGACTCAGTTAACAGGCCATCCTGCCTCCCTTATCATATAAGGGAAGATCGTATTATGGTGATTTCCTGCATCACCCTAATACAATCTTCACAGAACTGTCATCAACACTTTTGTTATCCTGGAGGGCCCTTCCATCAGCCCCTTGGCTGGGTTTGATGAAACACCTCAGCTGGGAGGTATGCAAAGCCTTGGTCTACAATCCAAAGTCTTCCAATTCACTAGTTTCTATGACTGTTGTTGAGATACGTTGTTTACTTATTATAGTCAGGAGCCTTTGCAAGGTACATACTTTGCTTGCATACTTGTGAGAAGATGATCACGGACTGAAGTGGAGCCTACAAGAGCTGCTGCAATTTTAGAAGAACCACACTCTATAACCAATCTGTTTTAAAGGAGAAATTTGATGTCATAGATTTATTTTAGACCCTTTTTAAAAAAGGGCTTGATTTTGTGTGAAGGCAAAATTGACCTATTTAATGAAAAGAAACAGCTTAGAATCTCAAAGGGTTCATTGCTATTTTGAATACACGCAATTATGTCTTTAGATCTTTCACACCTTTGTCATTCATGTCATGAAAATGCCATATAAAGTTACATCACAACTGTGTATCATAAGTAAACAAAAAACAAATTCAGATGCCATTCATTCAGTGTGGGTTAGAACACGAAACATCATATTCACATTCGTTTTAAATATAAGTGATATATTATTATCAAGTTTAACAATAACGGGCTGAGTCTAATTTCCAGCCATTGTTAGGTATAAAATAGCAAAAGGATATATTAAAAATTATATTTTCTTTTCCTGTCAGGATTTTATTTGAACTTCAACTTAGTGAAGTTTATATTTTAAGACAAGATTGATAAACATGCTATAGTTTTAACCCTATATGAATGGACTCCACATGCCAACAATCATAAGATCTTCCAAAAGGAGAGTATAAAGCTTAAATAAAACAAAGTTTTTCAGTCATCTAAATATTTTGTCATGCTGGAATTTGGTAACAATAAGCATATAGCTAAATAACAGATGTCCAGTTTTCAAGAGCTAGAAGCAAACTAAGCCATGAGTCAGGACTGTGTTCTGGTCCCAGCTCTGTTATTAATTAGCTGGGTGGCCTTGGGTGAGTCCCTTCCCCTCTCTGGGCCTCTGTCTCCTCAAATATGAAGCAAGGCATTTGGACTAGATGAAGTCTGAAGCCTTTCCAGCTCTCCTAGTGGACAACGCTAATGTTCTTTCTAGTCTTTGCTTACTGCCAAACTTGGAGGGCAGCCTTGCTGGGGTACATGCCTGGTTGGTCCGTGGAGAACCACTACCATTACAGACCACTTATCTTGTGATCACAGATTCTAGGGAGGTTAAAAGATCTGTTTTGGGAAGGGGAAAAACAAAGCAGCTAGGGCCAGGTGTTCCATGCCAATGTCATTTAGCAGTTTTTCTTTCCAAACCATGAAGTTTCTTTGGACGTGGACGAGACTGTGGAGCCATATGGATTTGGCACTAAGGGAGCCAGGCTGATTGCTGGACCAGACTCTTGTTTTCTTAAACAAGGTCACTGGAAAGGCTGATGTGGATTTTAGTTTACTTATTATGAATAAGGTGGAATAAAGCAAGTGGTGATGTTTGCTACTAGACACAACTGTGCAGACTTAAGAGGGCATCTAAGGATGCATATAAATCACACCAGGGAAAAACTCAGAGAATGCAATAGCTTTCCATCTACTTTTATGTTATTTGGTTTTAAACCACAAGGGCATTGCCTGCACTGGCTGAGTGCTGTGTAATACTTCTGATTCTTGCACAAGCATCTCTCCCAATGTTGTGTTCTCTGCTTCATTTACCAGGCAGGGCCTCAGACCGAAAAGATTTTTATTTCACATCTGAAATTCCCAAAGCAGATGACCTGAGGAGATTCCATGTAAGATAAAATTGATCCACGAAAGGACTTTATGTAAACAATCTACACGTAAGGATTGGTGTGAAGTCACTTAACCTGGTCTTAGTCAGAAGGAAGGATTGAGAATTACAGTTAAATCAAATGTCAACTGGCCCCACTCCCAGAATCTCTCCCCATGTTGATGCCTAAGGTTGGTGTAACTATGCTTGATTGTAATTTTGGGAAAAGCTTTCCAATCCCCTTAATCATGAACAACAAATGTTGTTGCCAATTAGGTGGAGCTGCACAGGGTGTTTGCACAGTTTGTTTCAAACTAAGAATCAGTGTTTCAATAAAGTGAAAGGCATTGTTTAATATTTTTTTTCCTTTAAGAAAAAAATGGGAACTGAAAAAATAATGCTAACACAAAGGCAAAAAACCAGAAAGTTCTGACAATGCCGTCATGACTCACCAACGGGTAAACCGGTATAAATGTCGATGACAAAGCCTGGCCTTTGACTTCCACAGAGTGTAGCAAACTCATCTGCAATGATTAAACAAAGGTGGGATGGGAGGATAGGGGTCAGCAAAGAACAATAATTGGACTGAAAAAAATTATTTTGTAAGCATTCTTGAAAGGTATTTGTCTGTAGTTTGAAGAATTTAAAATAAAAAGTAAACCTGAAAATTCCTACAGATATAATCTTGCCTGTAAGACAAATATTGAAGAAAAAAATGACCTAATGTTGACGTGATAATGAAGGAGAAGTAGAGATCCCCAGATCACATGCCACTCATTCACATGAGTTTACCTGTAGGAGTTTGGATTTCAATATGGATGTTATTCAGCTCTGAACTCAGGGACTGGTAAGAGTGCCTCTCTCTACTCTGCATTTAGAGATCTAGGGTTTGAGGAACACGTATAAAAGCCATTTTCTCGGTAGATTATAGGAGACCATAGCAAATCTAGCCACATTCTTGACATCAGATCTATTAATGACTAATTTGGGTCAATCAACCAACCTTCACCAGTTTTTCAGTTTTTGGAGCTGGATTTCATTTGGTACAGCTCTGTCATATTCTCTCCCTCTCCCTCTCTCCTTTTCTGTCTCTCTCTGTCTTTCTCTCACTTGAATTAGTCAAATTTAACAGATAATAAAGGATGAACTAAATTCTATCAGCAGTCCCTTCTAACTGTGAGATTTTGTGATTCCAGATCATGACTGTAACTGGTAAGGTATGGTATCAATCTAAGCTTCAGATGGCCATTGCCTTATTGGTCACGCTCAGTGAAAATCAGTAAAAGATTTCTGGAAGTATTTTAATCAAAATACAGCATGTTATTCTCCTTGTGTTTTGTCTCCTTAATCTATGAGTGTTCACTTCCAACACTGTAACGCCAGCTGACATTGGTCACCTAAAGAAATTACAGGGACTCTTAAAATATGTGCAGATTTCACAGCTAATGAAAAGCCATGACTGAATTTGGTGAATATCCAACATCAAGAAGAAATCTTGCATTTTACACAAGAGTATGTAGATATTCAAAACTCAGGCAATCATTTCTAAAAGTAAATGTTAGTCTACATTAAGGGTTTCCAAAGTGGTCTCCAGAGGAATATGCAATAATCCATTAGGATAAAAAAGAAAATGCGAGGACTTCTATCTATCTTTGGAAAAATCTAATCTTTAAAAAAATTAATTTTGTGTACACTTTATATTAGAACAGCTCAGAAAAATAATAAATGTATTTTTCAATATAATTGAAAACAAATACATATACACATACATAGATATATATACATAGACTTTTACATATAAATGCACACCAGGTGTGCATAAGCTTCAGATTTTTTACCAACAGGTAAGTACCACCTAAAGTTGTAAAGACCATTATTCAAGATCAAGGGTCAGCAAACTTTTTAATAAAGGGACAGAGAGTAAATATCTTAGGCTTTGCAGGCTGTACAGTCAGTCAAAACTATTTAATGTTGCCATGAAAGCAGTAGTAGACAATATGGAAATAAATTAGTGAGCTCTAAAAAAGTTTTATTTATGGGAAACAAAATCTGAAGTTCATGTAACTTTCATATTATGAAATACGATTCTCCTGATTTTTTCCAACCATTTAAAATGTAGAAATCCTTCTTAGCTTGCAGGCCATTCAAAAGTAGATGGTGGGACAGATTTGGCCCATGGGGTGTATTTTGCCAAGCCCTGGTCTAGAAACATTTTGCAGGGTGGAGGTAAATCAGAATTCTAAGTGGTGGTTATTATATTATTTCTGGAGTAAACAATGGATGGAATAATACATTTTACTAAAAAACAATTTTCTGTTGCATGCAATGTCAGGTAGTACCAAACAACAGATTTAATATTTTATATATCACTGTGGAAAATGGTGTAGGATTCCCTTTATAGAATACCCTAATCAATTCCTTGCATGATAATTTCAACTAACCCAAATCATAATCTTGGCAAATGATGTCATCATCATATACATAATGCACAGCATATACCATATGATATAAGAACAGTACACTAATGTCTTTATTTATTCAAAGGATGCAATTTAGCCTTTTTTTTTTAAGACAAATAACATTATTTAGTTTCTTTCTCCATGAGAATATAAGAAGAAATTTATCTCGATCTCAATATCAAGAAAAGTTGCACTTTCCTTTCATTTTGAGTTTTCTTTATGCTCATTGAGAATTTTGTACTTGATCACATCTCCCTTTTCATAGGAGCTGCTAGAAAGTTTGGGGCTAAAATTATTGCTTATTTCAGGCAAGTGTGTAGAATTCCCGGCTTGAATTTTGTGTATTAGTCCTGCTCCTGGCTCTTTCTTATTCTTGTTTGCCATTTGCCTTATGCTTATTTCTTGTTTAACATTTACATCTTTGTAGGCTGCCTTTAACTATTTTTGGAACAAGTTTAGCTTTAAATAAGTAAAAAGACAAGGAATTATGTTTCCCTTACTGTCACATTGATTTGTCTAATGTTTACAGTCTTTTAGATACATGAAGAATTCAGTAACAATGAGAACATTGTTTATAGTTTATATTTTTGTGATATGCTGAGTCTACAAGTCTGGTTACGTATTAGGGTATACATTAGAAAACATATTCTGTGACTCAGTGTTCGGCTGGAATGACCAGCACCAACTGTGAATTTAAATCATGAGCCGTTTTTTTCCCTGTAAAGATAAACAATGCACACTTTGCTTCCTTCGCTAAGACTGATTTCCCCAACAATTCATGGGTAATTTTTCAACCTATATTTTTGATAATGGAGAAACTAAAACTCACCTGTACTTGGGATGGGACACTGTTCACAGGGCTTGTTCCACGCCCGGCCAATGTTGTAGGAACAGCAGCACATCTTCTTGGTCATGTTGAATAACAATTCTCCATCACAGGTCTGGTTGTCAGCATAGTAGTTTCTGTAGCACAAACTTCTTCTCATATCTAGAAGGGAGGTAAAAAAAAGGATTGGAGGGTTGGTGATGCCATGTGGGAAATCACAACAAATTTCTAAGTGGATACTCAACAAGCAAGTTTCATTTGAATTGTATTGTAGCTTGACTTTGATAAGGACACAAAAAACTTGCTCTTACACAACTTTCTAGCTACCTATGCTGCTACAAGATAAAGGACTTTGAGAAATACATTCCCTGATATTTCATGCCACAGAACTAAGTCATTATATAGCTGTAGCATTAATAAACTTTAAATGACTCTCTGCCCAGTCTCCTAGTAACAATTCCCTACTGCCATTTGGCAATAAGTTTCTCGTTTCCGACTCGTGATGTTTTAATACTGTAGGTCAGCACTGTAAATATAATTGTACAAAGATACACCCAAAAGTCAAACAAAAGAAGTACTATTAACTGTTGTTTGGGATTTTCCAACATACATTTTAGAGAAAACTCCCAACCACCCACCCGTGGTGGTGAAAAAATGCCAAGTTATGATTTATAGGGGAAGAGTCTCCTAACAAGACAGTGAAGGGATGCCAGCACTCAGTCTGATGAGTAACATCACCCTAAGGTGATGAACTTGTGAGCTCTCTTCCTCTTTGTAGATGAGAACCAAACATGCATTACTGAGAAAAGCTTGGACTTACCCATGCAATTATTTCCCCCATTCACTTGCATGTAGTCTGGAGGACAGATACAGGTGTAGTTGCCAACGGTGTTGTAACATGTCCCTGGACCACAGATTCCAGGAGTCTCACATTCATTCACATCTATAATCCAAAGAGAAAGTGGTATGTGAATATGAAAACTTCACATTTTGGAATGGCCTGATACTTAATGAATGTTGACATTAGAGGAGAAAATCTATAGGGTATTTTCAAATAAGATAACGAAAATAGGTATTTCATTCATCCGTGTCCTCTCTCTGTGTAAATGTGTGCCTTTTGAGGAAAGAGGGTTTTAGAAAAGGAACTCTTGGCTGGGCATGGCGGCTCATGCCTGTAATCCCAGCATTTTGGGAGGCCAAGGTGGGTGGATCACTTGAGGTCAGGAGTTCCAGACTAGCCTGGCCAACATGGTGAAACCCCATCTCTACTAAAAATACAAAAATTAGCCAGGCGTGGTGGTGCACACCTGTAGTCCCAGCTACTCTACTCGGGAGGCTGAGGCAGGAGAATTGCTTGAACTCTACATGCAGAGGTTGCAGTGAGCCAAGATCATGCCATTGCACTCCAGCCTGGGCAACAGAGCAAGACTCTGTCTCGAAACAAACAAACAAAAAACAAAAACAAAAAAGAAAAGGAACTCTTGCCTTCTGACATGAGGCATTATCAAATATAATAATGAGTCTCCTAATAAATTAACCTATAATATCCTCAAAGGTAGGCAGAGATAGAAATGTGGAGAAATTAAAATATCAAATATCCCTTAGGAAGACAAGTACGCTTCTTATGCTCACAAAATCTATGATAGGGTATATAGTATCCCGAAGCCATTAACAGCTGGCTTCATGAATCTGCATTGGTAAGGCAGCATGGAGCATATTTCACATCCTCTCCCCACTTCCAAATGAAGGAGTTGATTCTAATCTTTGTTAACTCCATGGGTCTTAGAGCTGTGCCATATACACTGTGATGTTCAACTAATACTCAATAAGGTTGCCATTGTCTGGGTGACCTAATAAGCCATTAAAGAGCCAGGGGAATATTTCTTATGCAGAGCACAAGGAGGTCTCTTTCCTAAACAATTGTGTGATTCCTCCATGTAGATGAAAACCATGGCTCATGGCTGAAGTGCTCTGAAACCTGTAAGTGGTTAATATTCTCCACCTTTCCAGTAACACAGGATGAACAAGGGCCACCACTCATAGCATAAAGCCAAAGGGCCGCCTTCTAGGAGAAGCTTATTTGAATACATGAGCACCAATGGTAAGTGGTGAAGGATTAAAAGAAGAGGGCCCAGAACTCCTCCAAATAGAGAAGGAACACTGAAATTGGACCTGTGCCATTCATGTAAAAAATGGCTTTTCTGAAGAGCATGGAAAAATATTTTGTAAGCATAAATGAGGCTATGGTCCAGCAGAATAAGATTCTGTTTTTCTCAGGAAAAGAGGGAGATTTAGGACTTACCAGAAATGACATCACTTGAGTAACATTAGTCCAAATTGCCACATGTGAGACATATCTACCTGGCTATGTTCGTGTTTAGAACATTGTGCTACACTGCTAAATTCTATTTTCCTAGTAACCATATTCTGGTTTTGCAGGTCAGTTCTTGATATCTGCAAGACCTTATCATCCTACCAGGACCATTTACCATCACACACTCGTGTATCTTCATTCAGGTAGTAGCCGGTTGGACAGCGGCACTGGAAACTCCCAAAGGTGTTGATACATTTTCCTCCTTGGCACAGCCCTGGTAGCTCCTGGCACTCATCAATATCTATCAAAATCAAAACAAAGGCATTCCTTTAGCATTGTAAATAAACCCAAGGAAATTCAAGTTGTGTGTGCTTTAAGACAAAGGAAACACAATTACCTTCCAATATAACGGTGATAGGATTTGGTCGGAAACCTTCCCCTCCAGGACAAAGAATTTTGTACTCGGCTATTGAAACAAAAATTCAAATTGAGTTGTTTTGAATCTAAAGTTTTTAGAAATAGTATCCTCAAGAGAAATACTCACATATCCAACTGAAAATGTTCATTTTCAGGAATCTTTAGTTGTTACTCTGCCCGTCTGAAGTAAGTTAACACCTTTGTGTACACTTCCCATTTTCCAGTGGTTTTTATTATGTGTCCCCAGTGCAAGGCCACTGTCCTCAGTCCTTGAACTCTAACCACTCCCTGGTCTTACATGTGTGTGGACTGTTTTATACCTTACCTTCATCCCTTATTTCTTTTTACAGATTTTCTTTCCCTTTTTATTTTCTGAAAAACTTCATCTTCATTTTTATGTTCTGTTCAGCCTACTTTCTGGGAACTACAGCTTCCCTTAATAATCTTAATTGGCTTCTTTCCAAAACCCTTTCCAAATAGAGCCTTAGGAAAAGCTGTTCTCTGTTGATTCCCATCCCAATTCTCTCCTTAATGACTAGAGACATTTCTTGCACCTCTGTTTCTATGGGTGGCAATATTGATTCTCTTGGTTTCCAAAAACAACTTTCTATAGTGTCCTTGGGTTTCCCCCATTAATTCTTTCATCCAAGTATTTTACCCAGAAACATTTATTTCAGTGGTATGCACCAGGACGGTGATATGTACAGGACATGTGAATAAGAATGTCTGTAACCTGCTGCATCATCCCAGTGAGGAGCTATAAGATCAGTTCTTTCATAATGTCATGGTCTGTCCAGATCTGCTAATCCCTGTCCTGGCTCCCTGAAATTATATGTACACATGCCTATATGTATATATTCCAGTTCTAACTCTGGTCCAGATCTGGTGTGGTGTGGATATCTATTGTTTTGCTACTGTCATTAATCTACAAAGCTGACTCCCCAAATTAAGTGTCTTAGTTTGCCCCCTTCGACACCAATGAAATGAAAAGTCCTCCTCTTTTACTTGTTCTCCTCTTTCTGCAATCATCCATACTTTTTGAATTTCTTCTTTCATGTCACAACCTTCTTGAAGGCTCAATTAAAAAACACACTAAGTCCCCACCCTCTCCCAAGCAGAACTGACCTCCCTTTCTGAAGAGAAGAGAGAAGGAGGAGCCAGCTGAGCACTCACCCCTGTGCTGGGTGCTCTGCATGAGTGATTTCATTTAATCCTATGAGGTATTTTATGAATGCTAAGGAACTTGCCCAAGGTTACATGGGTGACAACTAGTGGAGTCCTAATGTGCACCAGGTGTGCTCTTTGTACCAACACAGCACTGTGCCTGCTCTTTCTTCTCTTTCTGAGGCCTATTTTGAATTATAGCGCTTATGTTTAGGTCATAATTTGCCTACTATGCTGTATTCTCCTGAAGGGCAGGATCTAGTCTAATTCATCTTTGCACATCCAGAGTACACATTCTAGGTACTCAACAAATATTTTTAGAAGAATTGAATAAATGACCCTTCAGCAAAAAAAGAATCCATACCTATCCCAACATACGCTATAAGCAGTAGCCACTGAATTTTGCCAAAGAAGCTACATCTAATTCTGAATCATAATACAGGACTCACTTGGAAAAACGAAAACCCTTTTATATTTTTAGGAGACATAGTTTGTATGTCCTTACAATCATATGCTAAAGCCTTCTTTCAAGCCACCCCATAACAATGGAATAATCTTCCATTTTATAGTTGCTTAACTAATTGCTTCTCTTCAAACCCCGGGACACTGAGTCTGGCGTACAGCCTTCCAAACTAGTCAATAGATGAGAAGAGGAGAGATAATCAATGTGTCCCTGGAACGTAAGCAACATGGTGAAAGTACCCTAGTCTGGAAAATCTTTAAAGTAATGCTATCTGCTTTTCACTTACACAGAAGTGAGATGTTACCTGCCCTACCTGATCTTTTAGTGTGAGCCAACCAGGAATATTTTCTGACTCTCGAATTGGGAATAAGGTCCCCTCTACAGGGCTGAGAGGACTGATCTTTCTTCTCTGATCTAAGAGTAGAAAAGGTTTGTCTTCTGATCTAGAAAGGAGAACTGGCTGGAGTTGAAATAATAATAAATAGGAGGATGTCCACTTACATGTGTTCACAGCAGGACACATCTCACAAGGAGTACCCCAGGCTTTACCCAGAGAACAGCAGCAGGAAGCTTTGGAAACACCAACTCCAATTTCATTGCTGCAGGCTGTATCTCCATTGTCTCCTCGAGGTCGAATATCCAAATAGCAATTTCCAGAGCGGGTATCTATTTACCATATACAAACACAAAAGCATCAGGCAGAATCTTTCTACTGGGGTTGAAAATTCAAACCCACTTCAGGAACTGTTCAAAAACCGTAATTTACTTTTACTGAGAAACTAAAAAGTGCCCATGAACATTATACACTACCGAGAATTTTCCCTATGGAAAAGATATCTGAATCTAAAGTAGAGTTAGGAAATGTTTAAATTTCTGTATCATTCATTTTGCAAACTTTGAGAATGGAATGTTTGGTGCTGTTTTCAAAATAATACACAGTATGCTTGCTTCTCTGAAAAGTTTTTAAGGTCTTACCAACACAGCCAACTCGAGTTGGGTTCAGTTCAAAATCAGGTGGGCAGTCACAGATATAGCTGCCTGGAGTGTTGACACAGTTCCCACTGATGCACGTGGTTGGATCCAGGCATTCATTCACATCTAAAACCGAACAGTGAGTAGTGGAGTTATCACCTGAGCCAGTGTAGGCAGACATCACCATAAAAGAACAGGGCCCAATCTAGAGCTCCAAACAAGAATTTTAAAGCTACTAGTTATAACTACATCTAGAAATGCAGTCTTCCACTTCAGAGATAAAACACCTCAGGAAGGAAATATGATATAGTCTTTGGTGGTCTTTCCCCAGAACACATTTACCATTCAAATTTGTCATCAGGATAAAATATAACTTTGGGCCGGGCACGGTGGCTCACGCCTGTAATCCCAGCACTTTGGGAGGCCGAGGCAGGCAGATCACGAGGTCAGGAGATCGAGACCATCCTGGCTAACACAGTGAAACCTCATCTCTACTAAAAATACAAAAAATTAGCCAGGCGTGGTGGTGGGTGCCTGTAGTCCCAGCTACTCGGGAGGCTGAGGCAGGAGAATGGCATGAACCTGGGAGGCGGAGCTTGCAGTGAGCCAAGATGGTACCACTGTACTCCAGCCTGGGCGACAGAGCGAGACTCCGTCTCAAAAAAAAAAAAATATATATATATATAAAATATAATATATATTACATATATATATAAAATATAATATATATTACATATATATATATAACTTTGGCACTAGGAAAAATATTCCAGTCAAGGTAACTGAAGGCAAAACACTGTTGTGACCTCGGTCAACCAAAAATTCAGACACAGGTTTTAAGAAAATATATTGAGTATATGTGGCTTGTTATTTCATCAAATTAGAGCAAGATGTCCCAGGAAACCCTCAGAAGGGCAACTCTTGCTGCTTCCCCTGACACACACGCGTGAGGCTTAGTGTGTTCCCTGAGGTCGGCAAGGAGTGTCTCTCCCATCATCCATGCTGAGTTGAATATTTCCCTTTCAGTTTCTATTCCAAAAATATGTACAGAATTCCAGATATTTAGGACATGGGTTTTGGCAAATTCCACTCTGTACAATTCCTTTTGTCTGTTTTGAACACTCATGAAATACTCAAGAATAGACAAACGGCTTCTGTGAGGAGGGACTGGAGAAGAGGGACAACACCTTTGCCTTGGTCCTCCCCTTGGATCTGGCAACCCTCCTGCGGGTTGCGCTGCAGATGATTTTTTTGTTCAAATTGCATGTGAATTTGGACGGACAGGGCCAGAGTAACAGAAACGAGATTAGACAGAATGATGTTGATAGTGATCTGGGGCACGCAGGACAGGGTACAGGCCATGGAGAGGGGGACTTCCTGAGGCATGCAAGAGACCCAGCCTGGTCTCGTAATAGCTTTAAGGAAAACCAAGGGAAGAATGTGTGGCTGGAGAGGAATACTCCATCCAGAGCATTTGCAGGGTGGTGGTGGTGGTCATGATCTGGAGAGCCCCTGAGTCATGGTTTGTTTAGGTGGTTGAAAAGACCAGATTTTTTCCGGAAATTTGAACTCATACAGAACATAAGTTGTTTCTTCAGTATCCTTGAACAGAGGGGTGAATTAGGAAGGGGAAATGCAAATGGCTTTCAAAGTCTTAGTGCCAAAGAGAACCGAGTGTCAGTCTGCTGGGTGCCTGTAGTTTTTCTAAGCTTTTTCTAATGTTCCCTGAGAGTCCTTGGCTCAACAAGAAAATGATTTATACACTAGAGATAGGTGGCTGAGCTCTGTGTACCCAGTACTCTGGTGACCACGAGCAGGGCAGGGGTAGGAAGGAGTGGGGTGGGTATTGCAACAACGAAGTACAAGGAGAAAACCCATGATCCCGGGGCATGGCCTCCAAAACGAAACTCTCCAAAAATGTACCCAAGTAGAAAAGGAAATGGCTGGGAAGCTACACCACTAGAGCACCCCTAGAACATTCCTTTGTAGCCACAAACTCAATTTCAAGGCTACAAACTGTGCTCCTTCAATTGTCTTAGACTCTTTCCTCTGGATCCTCACCTCCAATCAGTTCCAGGTCTGAGAAAAGGTATCTGTGATTCTTAATACTTCCCCCTTGCTTTTCTTGTCTTCTGTGACGGCCCTTGTGTAGTCCCAGGGAGGCTCCAATAGCTGGGTCCCCCGGGACACCAGGGAGCTGATTTTGATGCCAGTGGAGGTCTTACCTGTGCAGTTCCCGCCGCTTCTGTCCAGTTCGTAGCCTATCTCACACTCACAGCGGAACAGGCCAGGGAGGTTGTGGCAAGTTCCAAAGACACAGATGTTCGGAAGGGAGCACTCATCAATATCTTGGGGGGAGGGAGAAAAAAGCAAAAAACTTAACTTATATTTTTCTAAAAAAAACCTGCCAAATATAATTAGGCAACTAATGTAAATACTAAGAAAATGCAGAGTATCTAACACCAATCTGGGCACTTCTCCTATAGACTTTTAGATGATTTGCCATGCACAGTGAAGTCTCGTAGGTGAGAGGTTACTTTTCCTCAGTCTCTATTACATGCCAAGCAGCGGGCTGAGCATTTTATAGATACATATCTCATTTGTAGTGTTCCACGTAGGTCCACATCACTTTCGTAAAGTAAGAGGCAAGCAAGCCACCTTACGCTAAATTCGTTTTTTTTTTTTAATCTATCTATGTAGTCACTGTTTTTGTTGTGAATTAAAATTTCACAAGCCACAATGTCTTTCAGGGAACTGTCATAATTAGTTGCATAATCTCCAGTGTCCCTAGTCCTATGGCATGTGTTTGCCTTTGTTGACGGAGATTGGAAAACCGCACACGCTTCTTCCAGGCCTCTGTCTCTGCCTCCTGTTAACATTCTTCGTGTGCAGTTGACACACAGTCACATTTTCAGGCTTGAGACTAGCTTTAAATAGCCATGACCACTCCACCAGCCATGATTTATATTAAGAACAAACAAACAAACAAAACCTTCTCTTATAGCAATAAGAGAAGCAAAACTTTCACTGTGACTATTTGTGTCACCAGAGGTGGCACAGTACCTGTTTTCCTTGGATATTTGGAGTAACAAAAGTAAACAAGGTATTAGGCACATGATCAAGAGCATAATCTGGTTTCTTGACTCCAAGGAGTTTTATATCAAACTCTGCATATTTAATATAAACTGTATAAAGAACACCCAACGGTTCCATAACAAAGAAAAGTATTCACATAAAAATACATGAGGGAATTAGTATACATGTCATAGCTAATGACTGATTTTGAGTTCACGTCTTGTTAACAAGGAACAACTATTAACTAATACATTAATCAGGGTCTTGTTTAAACTTCTACTGACAATCGTTATCATTTGTTTATTTCTACTGAAATCTTCTTTTCAATGAAGGAGAATGTGCTTAAATTTGACAAATGTGGGTAAAGGGAAGAATCTTGTGTTCCCTAATGGGATCCAGCCTTAGCTAACAGGTTCCCAGGACTCTTCGTGTCTGACCAACACTTATCAGAATGACAGAGCCTAAAGCTGAGCGATACCATGCCATATGGCAGTATCCCAAGGGTCCCCTATTGAACAGATTTGCAAAACTGTTCCATGTTCATATATGTTAGATATTTAGAGCAAATGTGAGACATACCATTCTACGTATGGACAAGACTATTTGCTCTGCTTTTATTTCTACAAACCAAATACAGTGGAGATTAAAACCTGTGTTTCCATATTTAGTGATAATCCCACAACAGGACATTATCAGGGAACTTGCACTTTCAGCTCTTTTCTCCCTCAGTAGGGATTAACAGGTTGCATCCCCCTCCGTAGGGATAAATGGGTTGCACTGATTTAACCACACTTGGTTACCCTCATTGACCAATGGATACACCCTTGCAGACCATGCGGCCAAGGCTGGATGTACAGCTTGTGGCCAGTCAGCTGAGGTTTTCTGTGCAGCAAGAGAAATGGTCAGCTGGAAACCTAATCCCTCTACAAACTGAACTGACCAGCTTAGAAATGAAGCTAAAACACACCTCAGTTTAAAAAAAAAAAAAAAAAAAAGCATCAGGAATGTTTAAATAACCTAATCTCATCAAGCCCAGCAAGGCTCCCAGTGGCTTCCCCATCAGTTACCTTCACAGGCTTTCCCGTCAGCACTGGGCACGAAGCCCATGTCGCATTCACAGCGGTATCCTCCTGGTGCATTGAGGCACTGGCCATTGCCACAGAGATTCAGGTTCTCAGAGCACTCATCAAGGTCTACAGCCAGAAAGAAACACACGTTACTCTTCCTCGGTTAGGGGCTTTCTAATTCCTCAGGTCTATCAACTTTCCAGTGCAGCAATGTTTTGGCATAACTTCAATTTGACACATTTAAAGTCATTTATTTTTCTCTTTGGTAGGCTAACACTGAATATGAAATTTACATGTGGCTGATTCAGAATCCTGAATGATAATTTACCCTGAATGATATAAAATGAATAAGCCGAAGGAATCATGCAAACTAAGGCCTGTTCAAGAAGGGTCATCCGCATGGAGGGCACACCCATGACAGGAAATGACACATCATGTTTGTGTCTATTTCTCAAGTTTCAGGCTTAGCTTAGATGGGCACCAAAAGTGCAAAAGAATGGCAACCATAGGGAGAAGAAAAATTCCATCTGCTTAATCTCTACCTAGTTTTCTTAATAATCACAGGCATTTAAATATCAAACACATAAACCACACATGCCTAATACATGGAATTTGAATATGTTCTCAAAATGATGGGAGGTTTTTGATGACAAAACATCAATAAGTTAGGCAAAAATGATTTCATCTGAGATAAAACTTTCAGGGAATAAAAAAAAATTCCAGGTAAATCACTTAATGAGCCTTAGCCTCTATTGTGCTTAAATGACTTTTTATGAACAAAGTGCTCAGGATAAATCAATGTTTTAAGTTATAGGAGCAGCTATGCGACCTAATGGCTAATGGATCTTATTATTTTATTTAACTCCAGAGCTCTGATATAAAAAGTGCTGTCTGTAAATATATGCACATGTAAGTATATGTATAATTTATGTAATGACAAGTCTAATCATGTATGTTTACATGTGTATAGAAGTTTATGTTAATTCTATGGCTATTAATTAGAGCCAAAAAGAAAATTTCATTAATATATTATTGCAAAACTGGAAGTGAATGAATTCCATAGCAGGTTTGAAATTTTTACTTATACCAATATGGAATGTTGATGATGACGATAATGATGATGATGATGGCCTGTTGGAGAGAAATACATACTGTTCTTCTAATCTAGAACATCTAATCCCTTCTCCTTACATAGTTCCCTACAGCAAGCTTATCCTTGTGTTGGTACAGAAAGGAAGTCATTGGTGAGAAATAGGCAAAAAAAAAATAATAATAAATAAAGGCTAGGCATATAAAAGGAAGTATGATTTGTTTAAACTAATGACATCATTATATACAGTCATATAATGATATATATGCCAATTGTAACTATTATAAGGCCTAGCTGACTTGAGGTGGAGAATGGTATGACTTTTTTGGTATCATTTTATGTTAGAGCACAGATCACTGTAAATGATGTGATAATGGCACCTAAATATCTATCTATCTATCTATCTACCTACGTATCTACCTATCGAGAAGCTTTTGAGGTCTCCCTAATTGACCTGGTTCCAATTTTTTTTTTCCCACAGAGCTCTAGTGCCAAATGATGAATCTTTTCTATTAACTGACCCAGTCTTCAAAAAAGAATTGCTAGCCTGAGAAATGTGGAATGCCTGGCTTCTCTGACTAGTGTTGACACAGTTGTTTCCAGCGTGAACATACCTGTACAAGTGAAGCCATCACCTGTGTATCCTTCCTTGCACAGACAGCGGTAAGATCCCATGGTATTCTTGCAGTCTGCATGCTGGCTGCACATATGGGTTCCATTGGAACATTCGTCCAGATCTTATAGAAAAAGGTTATATCATTATTAACAGAAAGGGTGGTATTTAAAACCAATAATACACAAATTAAAATAACTTTACATAATTAATATTTTCATATGTGTAATCTATGCAGTCCTTGATAAGCAACCTCTGTTACTTTCCTACTCACCAGTGCACTTAATGCCATCTCCAATCCACCCGGGACTGCAGCTACATTTGAAGCTTCCTGCTGTATTGGTACATACAGCATGTTTGCCACAGTTGTGTGCTCCAATTTCACATTCATTGATGTCTGGAAAAATGAGCAGTGATTTAGAAAAAGGCTCAGCACAAATGTCTTTTGGTTTTTAAAATAAGTAATATTCAAAAGTTGACTTGCCTTCAAACTTCCCATGGTATAGTATAGACTGGTTTTGCATCCATATATAAACTCTACATATATCAAACAGCTTTAAATTTCAAATTATAAAGATATAACAATATGATTGTACTAGCTATTGTTAACTCTAATTATTTTCCGTATTTTAATGTAAGTTTCCAGTCACTGCAAAGTGACTTTTTACAGCTGAAGACCATAAAAAATGAGTTGCTTAATTTTCTATGGTTTTAATACTCCTTGTCACATATTTTCTTTTGCTAGTATTTTTAGTAAGTCAACTATGGAGTAATGATGCACATTATTTTCATATCTTGTATAGACAAAAAATACAAACTTGTTGGCAAATTAGAAAATTTTTGCATTATATTCTATATATAAAATATATTTTATTCTTAAACTTAAAACACTTATTTAATTATGCTTTATTTCTACAAAAGCTTTCCTTTAGGTATTGCTAATTTAAGCATTTGCAGAAAATGTTCCTTAAGACAGTATATAAGCCATCTTTTCCCTAGCTTCTTAGAGTCCTAGCACATTGGAGAGCCAAGCCTTCTTGTATATTTCATGTAAAACTCAAGTTAATCCAATGGGGATTTTGTCAGAATATAAGGAATACCAGATTAGGGTCACATTACTAAAAGACTCCAAATTTTCCAAAATGCTCTATTCTCCAAAATTCTATTGTCAACTTTAGCCAAGATAGACTCTCTAACATAAATATGTTACAGAAAAGAACATAAAGTACTAAGTGAAAATTTTCCAAAACGAGCCCATTCTATAATGGGTTACCCTCATAATCAACTTTGTCATTAACTAAGAACAAGAACTCATAAATATGGTACTCTATATGGAAACCAACATCTAACACCAATCTTAGGTCAAGAAGAACAATTTTGCCATACAAAACACTGCAAGAATTTCCAGTGAACACTTGAATAGTGGCATGAAAAAGAAACTGGGCAAGTAATTCATGTTTGCCTTTTTGTTTACTTATGAAGCCCAATTAAATGATTTGAAAGTGTTTGCAAACATGCTATCTGCCAAGTGTTCCATCTGAAGCTCTGAAATGGTCCTGGGATCTTTGGCTTCTTCATAACTTCTAGAGCAAACACAAAATGAAATAAGAACAGATTGCTCCTACAAAAGAACTTTATAATATCACTAATGATCATAAAAATGAAGCAGCATGCCTGGAAGAATGTCCTTTCAGTCATGACACATTGTATAGGTGGATTTTAGTGTAACCTTGGCAGCCACATGGACCTATCAAGTTATTACTGCAGGTCAAGAGAGACACATAGCTTTAGACTGTGACTGGGAGCTTTAACCAGCTAAATAATTGAGCATGGCACATTCCAAGGAAATGAGGAGGAAGGCCAATTCAGGGATAACAGTGCTAAGTAGGCACAGGAATTCAAGAATGTATGTCTTTCCATACCTGACCTAACAGATCCCGCAGAACTAGCACAAATACTCCCAAGCAGGGCTGTCGAAACTTCTTTCTGCCTCAGGTAATTGCTCCCCTCAGAGGTAATGCAACAAATCACCATTTTTGTGGAGTTTTGCCTAAATTTCTCTCCTATATTTGTCATGATCTCTGACAAATAATCTTATGTGGACACAAAAAGCTTCAATTGCATAAGTATCAAAGCCTCCAGATGTTATAGAATCAAGGAATTTTCTAAGTGGAAAGAACTCGTAATTCCATTCTCCCAATCTCAGTTTCTCAGAAGAAGACAAAGAAGTTGGGCCCTACAAGTCAGTGAGGGGCAGAGCCAGGACCTCCTGAAACTCAGTTTCCCCATCTGGTGATTGGCACTCCTTCCCTTGGGCCACAGCTGCCTAGCTGAGCTTCTTTCTTTCTTTTCTTTTCTTTTTTTTTTTTTTTTTTTGATGGAGTTTTGCTCTTGTCGCCCAGGCTGGAGTGCAATGGTGCGATCTCGGTTCACAGCAACCTCCGCCACCTGGGTTCAAGCAATTCTCCTGCCTCAGCCTCCCTAGTAGCTGGGATTACAGGTGCCTGCCACCACGCCTGGCTTTTTTTTTTTTTTTTTTTTTTTTTTGTATTTTTAGTAGGGATGGGGTATCACCATGTTGGTGAGGCTGGTCCTGAACTCCTAACCTCAGGTGATCCACCCGCCTTGGCCTCCCAAAGTGTTGGGATTAAGGCGTGAACCACTGCGCCCAGCTGAGCGCATTTCTTTAGTCATATCAGGATTTTATTCTAAGCCTTGCTTTATGGAGTTACCAAAATATTGGTGAATATTAACTGACTTATAGAAATACTCACTAATATCTTCTACTAAGCATAATTTTCAGAGATGACCACAACCTATTAATCTAGTAATTCTGTAATCTTTTTCTTTCCAGTTTTCTAATGACCAGAGGTACTCTTATTTTATGAGTATTATCATTTTCATATGGCTTTTACCTTCCATGTTTAATCTTGCAATTAAGAAAATTATCATTTCTTTTTAATGGAAAGTCTCCTTTAAAAATCATCAGTAATATGCTAATAGAAATTTACAACTTTAGAAAGTGTTTTCAGTTTTATGGCAATGTTTTCAAGGTGAAAAGAAACTATATTTACAACAGGCTGTGTATCATGGGCTTTTGGGTAATAGGAGAGAGTAACTCAGGAGCCAATATTCAATTCTCCATTTTGTGACTATTTGTATAAGTTATTATCTCAATGTTTTACACTCTCAGTATGTAACAATTGGAGAGACTTCAAGTGGTCATAAAGTATAAAAGCATCTCCAAATAAAAGGTTTTTGCATGTGGGTGTGTGTGCATGCATGCACCAACTATCATTCATTAATTGTTTCTGTGGCAGACTTGGACTGTAATTCATCATAAAAGCAAACAGAAGGGGAAAGTGAGCCATAAGGAAAACAAGCAAACAAAAATGCTGTATTGAAACACTCTTCAATAACATGAAGGAAACATAGTACATGTTTGCCAAGAATATCTCTTTCTGTAAAAATGTTCTCTTTCCTGCACAAGTTCGCTGCAAACAGAAAATTCCTGTTTAAGATTAAGAATAGCATAAGCCAAGAAAAGCAAAGAAATTCAAACTTAAAGTGACACCGCAACCTTCTTAACCCCACCAAACCTTTGTCACAAAGACTCAAAGGTCCTCTTGCATGGCTCTCTTGAAGGGCAAGGGTGTGGTGTGAGCAGACCCTGCTCACAGGCTCTGGGTATGTCCCATGCAAGTATGTCATCCAAGTATGGGCTTGTGCCCGGGGCTGCTGTGGCCTCCTCTTACAGTCACGCAGGGAGAGGCTGTATCACCCACACAAACACCTGCCTTCTCTGCCATCTGGGCATCTGTCTCCTGGATCCTAACCTGGCAGAGCTGTGCACTGCAGAAACTCCTTGATTAGGCATTGAGGAAGAGGGCGTTACCATGAATGGAGAGGCCAAACGTGAAGGCTACTTGGATTTCTTAATTTGGATCCAAATTTGAGCCAACACTATTAACTGAACACCCATGGAGTTTTCACAGGCCGACAGCCAGTGAAGGAAAATTAGCAGTGATAAGAAACTGGAAGGAAATGAACACAAATTCTCACTGACTGTTGGTGGTTGAAATATATGATTCTCTCCTATGAACCAAGATCCACCAGAGACATTTCTCTTATGAAAGAAACCAGCTAGTTTCCAATATGGAATTACCCAGAAATCCCGCTATTTTAACTGAAAACAAGTCTGATTTAATTCCACTTAATGGTATGCTTGCTTTATTCATTAACTAAGTAAGCACATGATGGGAGGTAGGGTCTTAAAATTAGCTTGTGAAAGCCAGGACCACCCATCAAAGATGACACCTAGCAGGGCCTTAATTATGTAGAACAAGCAGCAGAAGCCTTACATTGGGTCATAGAAAAATTGTAATCCAGCCCACTTAAGCCAAGGATAGAAGAGCTGTGTTCTGCGTTTCAAGCAAATGTGTTCTCTCTCCATTAAATGGAACATTCCCCCTTGGCAATACCCAGGGTCTGAACAAAGCTTACGGAGTAAAAAGAAACCCTTAGCATCTGTGTGGGCTGGGAATGTAAGTCAGTGGGTGGATTCTGAACATTGCTAAAGTGATTGGGGGAAAAAACATGTTTATTTGTTAAAATGGAAATACTCAGTAATGACAGGGAGCTGAAATATTTAGACAAAACTGTAATGGAGCCCAGAGGTCTTTTTCTTAGTTCTCATGAAGCAAAATTTCTCCTTATAAAATAGCATACATATTTTCATAATTCTTTTCATTAAACAATAATCTATCTAAATAAATAAATAGATAAATAAGTAGACATATTCCTTTTGTCTGCTTGCTTATCCAATTAGGCAAGATACCTATCTCTACTTACATTAGTTGCCTGGAACATTATTAGCAAAGCCATCACCAAGGTAACCTGACGGTGTTCTAAGTTGTGAATGACACGAATTTTAAACTAAAAGCAGCTAAAAGAGCCTTAGTGACATGGCATTCAAAAAACATTTTGCCCCAGATTTTTAAAAACACGTTTTCAAGTATACCAAACTTACTGTTTGGTTAAGCCATTTCCAATCAAATGTGATGCCCTTCCACAGGTCAGGGCTGTTACTTACCCAAGGAGAACATTTGAGTAACTGCAGAGCACCCTGGTGATTTGTTCAAGATCATGAATGAGTGGATTTACTAAGAACACAATTCAGGGTACTACTCCTTCAGATGAGAATATCACATGCCATGTTACTCTGGTATCAAAGGGGCATAAAACTCAAGTCTTCCTACAGTGCTAGCTGGATTTTAGCAAATTGGAAAATCATTTTAGGCTGTAATTTTCAAAACTGGAGGAAGAGCTCAAGTGTTTCTTTGACTTCAAATCTATGAAAAAGATTTGAAGAGGATCAAATGTTTCTTTGACTTCAAATCTATGTTCATGTGATTGACTCAAAGGCTGCTGTTCTTAACGTAAAGCTGGTGTCACTTCATGCAACTGTAGTGCACAGCTCTGTTACCATGGTCTTAGTATCTGTGCAAATTCAACTACGAAAAACAAGCCTTTCAATATAAAGAGTAAGATTTTCCTTCTTTAAACTGAGTTCAAGCATGAATCAGTAAACAGTAGCATAAAATTTTTGCTAGACTGTTAAATTCTCAAATGAAACAACAAAACAATGGACAATAGATATAGACTAGAAGCAATGGCTTTCACTAAAATGGCCTCTAGACACTGTGTCTATGTTTCATTTGACAATAGCTTTTATTTATTGACCAGCACTGCGCCAACAGCATTGTATACATTATATGTCATTTACCTAAAACTACATTAAATAACATGAAAATTTAAGCTTTCTTCAGGGTAAGGCCTAAAATAATCAGCCACTGCACATGACCCAGTTAGCTAGAATTTGGAGCATTGAATTCTAGAGACCTCTTTCTTATGGGGAATGAAGGTTGTTCCATGAGATTAACTTCTTTCATAAGCATCACTGCCTCTGGGTTGAATTTCAATGTGCTCAGCTTAACAAAACAGTAGTATTATCCTCTATTAGTTAAAACATAATACAGAACTATCTTACCTTTCTTTTCACTACTGCCAGACCATCATCCCTTACCAAGTCCTATATTTATACTGGAAGCTAAAAATAAAGCTTGAACCATAGACATACAAAGCTAGGCACCATTTGTACCGAGAGGCCGTATAGGAGTTGAGAGTTTAAACACTGTGCCATTTATCAGAATGGACCCCTAGACAGGCTTCATGTAAGGAGTAGCATAGTGAAAATGAAAACATTCCAGCTTCATGCTTCTTCTCATAATTTGGCTAGCATCTGTTATTTTTGAACCAACAATAATATTATTGCCCTTATCCTACATATCAATAAATTTGAAATAGCATTATTGGCCAGTTTGAAACAATAATAAATATATTTTGGTGTTTTCTTGAAATATGTTGATATAATTAAGAGGAGGATCTGCACATTTGCCCCACTGCCAATCTGCAAATATTTTAATATTTGTTTTAAGTCATAAGAGCTTGCCAAACTGGTTTTTGGAATTAAAGACTGTTATTTATTAAGAAATTATTCAGTTACCTAATTCAAGCTCACCATGGTTTCCATTATGTTTTAAATTATGTTATATGCCATAATCTGTCAAATTAATATAAGTAACTAGAGTAAAACTTTATTATATCATTCCATGGACTTAATGTCATTGCCTCATATTTGAAAATACCAACTAAACACTTATAAACTAAACACAATGTCATTAGCACAGAGTAACTTCTTCCATTTGGCATTTAATAGGATAGTCTCCTACAAATATTGTGAAAACATTTTCTCATGTGCTATTGGTAACAGACAACATTGCAAATGGTTTCATTATCACTTCATAAGATTTGCTAAGTCCCATGAATAAAGACTTCCTTGGACTAATATGACTTAATACATCAAAAGTACTCCTATTTAAGGCACTGGAAGACTAGTGAGAATTGATGAAATATATGAATTGTAGGATGTTTTCCTTTAAAGAGCAATTCCAGTTATAAACCTTAAATGAAGTGTTGGCAAAGGAGGTTATTGGAAAAGGCTTGCTTCGGTGAAGGGCCATGAATATTTGGTAATTAGCATGTTCACTAATTTGATATGAAAATGTGATTTTTAACCTCATAAAAATGTGCTATTTACAGTGTTAATTTATTCAATACACCTTTTTCCCCCCACAGGTCAA
The DNA here is from genome assembly GCF_000001405.40 of Homo sapiens. NCBI lineage: Eukaryota > Metazoa > Chordata > Mammalia > Primates > Hominidae > Homo > Homo sapiens. The sequence goes on from NC_000015.10 coordinate 48,481,456, forward strand.
GAAAAAAACCTGCAACTTGGATCCAATATAAACGATGACAAATTTCAAAGAAGTGGAAGCTAAATTAATGAAAAATGTTATGCAAAATGTTTTATAATATAGTTAAAATGTATGAGTTTTAAAACATGTATCAATCTATAATTATGATACCAATCTCTTAACTACTTAATATTTTATTGTTCTACTTGAACAAACACACCTGTACAGCCAGTTTTTCCTTTTTTGCCGGAGTAGCCCATATCACAGTGGCAGATAAATGAGCCTTTCGTGTTTTCACAGGTCCCACTTAGGCAGATATTTGGATTCAGGTCACACTCATTGACATCTGTAAAACATATATACTATTAATATATGTAGCTATTTGATATCATTGAGTACTTTCCCCTCGAGACATAATAACTATGACAAATACATTAGAAAAGGTAAAATGCTTTCCCTCAGAAAAACAATGTTAAATTTTAGAGGCCAATTTACATTTGCTCTTCATTCTTTACATTGCAAGCTCATTATTCAGACTGGCTTTCATCTGGCCCATAAGCAGCAGGCCAGTTAATCAAATAAACAGATGGGCTCCATGCTGAGTTTAGAGCTCGTTTATGTGACAGTCTAGAAAACTTTTTAGAACAGCATACTCTATTGCAGGATGAAAAGTTTAATTCAGTCTGCATGATGATAACAATTTAGTTTTCATATTTTGAAAGAAAGGATAGATGAACTGGTTGTCTTAGTGTAAGTAGTTTAAGACTTCACTTCTTTTCCAAATTAAAAATTATTCATTTTTTATGACATTCATTTTAATTCTAGGACTTCAAACATTTTCAGTAAAGGCTTTCAGAAGATAAATGTGATAAAAATGTAAATATAATCAATACCAGACTCTTGCTTCTGGCCAAGATAGAATAACAGGAATTAAAATTATATTCTCAGATGAAACAACCAAAAAAAATAGACAATAGATACCTTAAAAAGTGGTTTTCTAGACATTGGACATTAGGCAACAAAAGACAGTGATCCCTGAGAGAAAGAAAAACTAGGTGAATCCTACAATTGCCCGAGATTACTGAATAGGAGAGTTTTAACTTCATGGCATAAGGAGGAGGTACCAGATGGAGCCAGGCACTGTCCTTGAGTTGAGGAGATGAATCTGGGCATCCTGGAAGGCTGAGGTAGTTAGGGTTCATAGGGCAGAGTAAAGGACAGGAGAGAGCTACACAGAAGAAAGCAATGCCAGAGATTTGCTAAGAGTCTTCTGCAAGTATTCAGATGAGTAGTGACCAGCACATTCATATAAGGAAACAAACTACTCAAGGCTGGGGAAAGCACTACCCAAGAAAATGAGAGGGAACAATCCTCAAAGTTCACAGGGGGTCTGGGATTGTGCCTGTTCCCACCAGCCTGACTGGAAAGCCTCATAATTCACAGGGAATTGGGTAGAATATCCAGAAGGGTCTTACCTCACTAACAGAGCAAAATTACCCCTAGACTAAGTGTAGCTTAAAAGCTTAAAAGCAAGACTTTGAAAGGGATCCATGTGTTTCCAAGTAATTTACACTTCAGAACAAAGTTCAAAAATATTTCTAGGAATACAAAAATATCTAGCACTCAGTAAGGCACAATTTACACTATCTGGTATCCAATCAAAAATTACCAGTCACTCAATGAAGCAGGAAAATATGACCTAAAATAAGGAAGAAAGTCAATTTATTCAAATGACCTAGAACCAATGCAGATGACAGAATTAGGAGACAAAGACACTAAAAGTTGTTATAACTGTATTCCATGTGTTCAAACAGCTAGAGGAATGATTGAACTTATGCAGAGACACAGAATATATGAAAAAATACCCAAGTCGAACTTTTAGAGGTGAAAACTACAACATCTGAGATGAAAAATACACTGTATGTGAGGAAAGGCAGATTAGAGATCGTAGAAGAAAAGTTTATCAAATTTGAAGGCATAACAATAGAAACTATACAAAACAAATAGATCAGTTCTAAAGTTTACTGCATTCTTGTCAGAAGTAAATTTTGTTTGCCTTTAGTCAAGGATTTAAAAAGCCTACATGATAGTCAAAGCAGAAGGAGGGTTAAGTGGACAAAAGTAATGGATAGGCATAAAAGAAATGTCCATCTGGAGCTGACGAATGGCCAGTCAGTCCTCATAACATATCTGACAAGAGTACCATTTAATAGCCACAAGAAAGCTCTCTTTGGAATGCTGGTTAAAATATGAGTATTGTGCCTCTAAATATCCTTACTTTTCCTATGGAATCTTTCTATCACTGACCCAAACTAACTTTATGTAATTTAACAGTGCTTATGACTAACAAGACAAGATGAAAAATTCTGTCTTCTTTGCTTACCTACACAAGTCTTCATGTCTTCAGATGCCATGAATCCATCATAACACAAGCACCTGTACTCTCCAGGGATATTTGTGCACTGACCACCATCACAGATATTGGGATTATCTTCACACTCATCGATGTCTGCAAAGAATAAAACCAACAACCACAGGTTGTTGATATTGGTTCCACTGTTCAGTGAGAAAACATTAACTGACCGCAGTCAAATAAACTTAGCCTACTAGCATAAGACTATTAACTCTCAAATCCAAATGAAGCTTTGCATAAACTAGCCCATTGGGTTATCCTTGGTAAAAAAGGAAAAAATATTTTTCAATATTTATAATATACTGCTCAAGGGCAACGTCCACACCTGCTTAAAAGTCTATTATTTATTTAAAATCTTTCTTTCATTTAATTTATCATTCAAAAATTATTATAAATCTTATTTTCCCTATTGTCAAATTATAAATGCCTGAATTCTATCAACTGTTTTAGCAATATTTTAAGGTAAGAATTACTTGAAATAACCATACCTACTTAGATGCTCTTAGTAATAATATTTACTTTCAACAATTTTTTTTTTTTTTTGAGACAGAGTCTCACTCTGTCACCAGGCTGGAGTGCAATGGCGCGATCTTGGCTCACTGCAACCACCGCCTCCCAGGTTCAAGCGATTCTCCTGCCTCAGCCTCCCAAGTAGCTGGGATTACAGGCATGTGCCACCACACCCAACTAATTTTGTATTTTTAGTAGAAATGGGGTTTCACCATGTTGGTCAGGCTGGTCTTGAACTCCTGAACTCAGGTGATCTGCCTGCCTCAGCCTCCCACAGTGCTGGGATTACAAGTGTAAGCCACCGTGCCTGGCCTTATTTTCAACAATTTTTGTAGCCAAATTTATATCTAGATTTTTTAAGGGACATTTTTCTAGGTCAGTAAAATAATTTTGGTTCCTAAATCCAAATTCTCTTCTTAAGCCAAGCCAAAATCAAAGCCTATGTTATTACCCACTTTGTTTCTCACCTCTACCTGGCTCACAGCTCTCGCAGCCAGGGTGATACAAAAGGAAGTGTAAATTAGACCACTGGTTCTCAAACTTTAGCATGCATCCAAATCATTTGGAGAGATTGTGAAAACAAATTCCTGGGATCTACCTCAGTAGTTTCTGATACGGTAGATCTGGAATGGGGCCTGAGATTTTACATTTTTTTAACAAGTTCTCAGGTGATGCTGTTGCCAATGGTTCAAGGAATAAACCTGGAGTTGCACTGAATTAGGCCAAAACATCAAACTCTTCAAAAGTCTGGTCAATGAAGGAAAATGTATTTTATATTCCATTTATTATATGCCAGGTACTATGGTAAGCTCTGTAAATACTATTTTATGCAGGCAATTTGAACTTCATTTTATAGATGAGGATTCTAATAATAGGTATCTTGATTAAGGATACAGTTAAAATATATGACAAACAAGGGTTTGGACTCAAGCCTGCTTGACTCCAAAGCCTGGGCCCTAAACTACTTTACTTAGGAACCTACTGAGAGATTCAACATGAGGCTAGAACCTACTCACCGGTGCATGATCTCTGGTCAGGCATTAGTGCAAATCCCGGCTGACAGCTACATTCATAGCTGCCTTCAGAGTTTGTGCAGAAGGTTTCACAACCACCATTCATTATGCTGCATTCATCAATGTCTAAAAGAAATGAAAATAATATCACCTTCTGATATGGTTTGGATGTCTGTCCCCTCCAATACTCGTGTTGAAATTTAACTGCCATTGTAACACTATTTAAGAGGCAGGGCCTTTAAAAGAGGTAATCATCCTATGAGGGCTCTACCCTCATGGTGGGATCGGTGCTGTTATAAAAGATCAAGTTCAGCCCCCTCTTGCTCTCTTTCACCCTCGTGCTTTCTTCAATGGGATAACGTAGGAAGAAGGACCATGCAAAATCCTGGCTTCTTGATATTGGATTTCCCACCCTCCAGAACTGTGAACTAATAATTTCTATTCATTATAAATCACCCAGTTTCAGGTATTCTATTACAGTATCACAAAAATGGGCTAACACACCTCCCTCTGTGTTTATGAGCATGGCACATTTTTAACATTTCCAGGCATACGTCAAATAAAGGGGAAAAAGCATTCTAGGGCAACTGAGTCACTGATTCCTTCAACAAATGTTAATGACATACCTACTATATGCTAGAGATGAGACTCTAATAGTGAATGGGACAGACACAATCTTTGACTTCAAAATGATTACACTGTGGCCAGGAGACAGATGAACAATTAATTGCACCATGCATGATGTGCCATTTGCAATGCAGGAGAAGTATTGGGTGCTAGGAGAACACATCTCAGTTATGATAATAGGCACGTGGATGAAATTCTCTTGGCCACAGATTCACTTATAAACTTGAAATTCAGTTTGATTGGCTGAGGTTCCAATCTTTTTCAATAACCTGAGTTGAAGTTCTGAGTTGTCCTGGGCCATGTTTCAGAAAACTTTGGGCTGATTTATGGTTTTGGGTGGAAACCATGTGAGACTTGGCAGTTCCACATGGTGTACACCCCAAACCAGGCAAAAACTGGCAGTTTCTACAAAGTTTCACTTTGACTCGGGGCACAATAAAGCCACAGGACTGTCTGTGCCACTCTTCACAGCACGACTAAACCTACAGAGGGCTGACCACAAAGCAAAATTCTTGTCCCACAAAAACCCATCTTTAAGGAGAGCCAGGCATAGCCTCAATTGCAGTGTAAGATATGAACATTCCATGGTCTTCTTTCCAATAGTTATTTTTTTGAAATCTTTTAGCTGATCTAAACCACATAAGGGCAGTGATTTCAACTCAGCTTTCTGCTCTTTTCCACAGCACTCACCGTGTTTAGTTTATTTCAGGTGGTTAGTTACCATTTGTTAATGTGCATTGGTATGCATGTGTGTAGACAAAGCACATGCTGCTACTGTTCCCTATCCAAACGGCATGGGTCAAATTATGCTTATTAGAGCTAAAACATCCTATGTCCTTCACTTAACTGGCTCTTTAAACAGATAATGGAGATGAGATCCAAAGATCGTGAGCCACTATAAAAAGAATATTGCAGGGAAACAAGAAAGATAAGTAAAAGTAGCGATGAAAACAAAACTCAGAGTACATAGAGTGTTTTAGGGAGAGATGAAATAAAATAAAATAAAATAACATAACATAACATAACATAAAATAAAGTAAAATAAAATAAAATAAAATAAAATAAAAAAGAACTTACCAACACAAAATAGCCTATCGGGAGTTGAATGGTAGCCAGGGTTGCAGGCACACTGATACTTCCCTATGAGGTTCACGCAACGGCCATTGGGGCACAGGTGTGCACTCAGCTCACATTCATTGATGTCTGTCGGGAAAATAAGAAGAACAAACACCCAAACATAAGCTTCCAACTTTGGCAATGATGTCATTCAAACAACTGACCACAAGTAAATGGTGTGAAAGTCTTTCTCCTTACCGATACACGCGGAGATGTTGGGGGACAGCTGATGGCCAGGCGGGCATTCACAGCGGTAACTTCCCTCTGTGTTATGGCAAACACCACCTCGGCATAGGAGAGGATCTCTCTGACACTCATCAATATCTGCAAAATGGAAATGACCATGTTAAAGGTGGGGGCCTCATCTCCTCCACCAGACCAAGCACTCCTCCCCCACCCATTGCTGGGTGTCCATCTTGACCTCCTTGTCTCAAGGTGGGACAACTCTCTGGTGCTATTCATACACCAGATCTCCCTGCAGGATCAGACTAAAACCAAAATGCAGCCAAACTCTTGGTTTATTTTCTTCTCCTGCACTACCCTGCTCTCCTTACTTCCTGACAAGTACCTTCTGAGAGAATTTGCTCACAGTAAGAAATACCACTTTTGCAAGAATCTCCATTTCAAACTTTGTTTCTAGGAAACCAGACCTAAAGCAACAAGTTTACCAATCACCTTTTCTAGAAGTGTTGGACAGACATCTTGTAAAGGGACCTCTACTACAGCTTCTGTCTCAATTGTCCTCTCTTCCGCCTGGGTATCCATTTCAGGTGTTAAAATCACTTCTCAAGGGCCCACAACTGGTCTCCGCCATCACCCACAAACCCACAGCATGAATTCCCTCATTCTTTCTACCTCAGTCTCCCTCTGTTGCAGACTGATTCCTAACTTCACTGGTTGCACTGGGGCAGCAGGAAGAACCTGGAACATAGGCTATGAGCCATCAAAGCTTCATGGAATCCTTCTCTTTCTGTGTTGATCAAATGATCCCAAACTTACCCATGCAGTTCTTCATCATCATGAATCCACTTTCATAGCCTTCGTCACACTTGCATTCAAAGTCCCCAGGGGTGTTCACACACTGGCCTCTGCCACAGAGGTCAGGAGATATGCGGCATTCGTCAATGTCTGCACAAAAACAGCAAGTGGCAGCAAATGAGTCTCAGGACAGCCTTAATTCTTGCGACAATATGTTAAAGATAAAGAGTTTTAAAGGACGTCCCCTCTCCTGGCCCTTAAGGCTCATTAACTGACCTGTGCAGTTCCTTTCTTCAGAATCAAGAGCAAAGCCGCTGTCACACCTGCACTTAAAGCTGCCAATGGTGTTTCTGCACTTGCCGTGGGTGCAGAGGCTGGGTATCATCTTGCACTCATTGATATCTTCAAGAATAAGAAAATGTGGGGCAAAATAAGTTTATGAGCAAGCAGTCAGGAGGTCTCAATGCCCACCATTTTAAATCATGAAGGTTGGAAGTTCTTGATTTAAGGTCTTGGCAGTATACATTTCCAAGAATGTGTGATGATCCATGAGATATATGACTTTGTAAACATTTCTAGCCTTTCAAATTTCTACATTTTATAAAGCATTGTTAAAGAAGCAAATAATGTGTCTATTCAGACTTCTAGGGCCCAGCACACTGCCTGACACATAGTGAATATTTAACCACTACTTGCTGAGTGAATAGATAATATATTCTAAACCACTAGTATCTATATTTAAAGCACATAGAACATTATTAGAATATATTATCCTACAGCTATCAATTGACTGTGTAGCAGAATGAGATATTCACTTAATACTGTTTGGTGCTTTTTTGGATATGCCAAAAATATAAAAATTTCAAAGATATAATTTATAATTTAAATTATTTGCAAATAATTTGTACAATTTAAAAATATTTTCTTAATGTATATACCTTAAGATGTCTTTCTTTCTTTTTTTGAGACAGGATCTGCTCTGTCATCAAGGCTGGAGTACAGTGGTGTGCTTGGCTCACTGCAACCTCTGCCTCCCAGATTCAAGCAATTCTTGTGCCTCAGCCATCTGAGTAGCTGGGATTACAGGTGTGCACCACCATGCCTAGATATTTTTTTTTTTTTTTTTTTTTTTTTTTTTGTAGACACAGGGTTTCACCATGTTGCCCAGGCTGGTCTTGAACTCCTGGACTCAAGTAATCTGCCCACCTTGGCCTCTCAAAGTGCTGGGATTATAGGCATGAGCCACCGCATCCAGCTCAAGATCTCATTAATATAATTTAAAGAGCTTCTTGTACACTAGAAAACTGCATACATGTAACATGTGACCTGAGTTTCCCACTACAGGGCCTTTTTCCAAAACAAGACCAAACACTCAAGAAATACGCAAGTAATTTCTACATGTAAGACAGAACTGGGAGATTAAATCTCCAGAACACCAAGTCCTTCTTCAGCAATGAATTACCATAGCTTTTGGAAGCAAAATTAAAGTTCCTTTGAGTTTACGTAACTGACATTTAAGAGGGCCACCTAGAAACTATCTGAAACTATCTCTCCATACAGAACAATTTTAACCCCCAGGACTTCTTGGACCAAACAGTTAAAAACAAAAAGTTCATACTTTTCTAAACAAAGATAATTATATAATTCAGAAAGCAAAAAGTCCATGCTGGGATGATCAAGTAGAGTGCTGAGATCATGAAAATGCATCCTATTTGTCTAAAAAGGGAGGCAATTGGCCATGGAAAACGTAACATTGTACCTTTGAAGAAAGGCTTTCCATTTGTAATTTCTTTTGTGGCAAATCCGGGTCCTCTCGGACACAGCTCCTCGTACTCAGGAGTATTTCTCATGGGACACTCCTCGCATTCCTCAGTACCCCAGGCTGCCCCGACGGAGCAGCAGCAGGCGTCCATGCGGTGGCGGCCAGCAATAGGCAGGGTGCACTCCTCGTCCTCGTACCTCAGGAAGCAGGTTTCCAGGCGGATATCTGTCAGAGGGAATCAAGGGAGGTTAAATAGAGCCACACGGCTTCCACTGCCCCAAACTGCCAACACTCTGTTAGGTAAAATACTGCACACATAATAATTTGCTGTATACTTATTGACTGGAATTAGTTTTATTCCTCAAAAAAAACCCCAGGCTCTGGGGTAAGTATCCTTGCCTAATAAAGACTCTCTTTGTCAGCCCATGTTTGCACCTCCTACTTCTGAAAAGTTCCCTTTCAACATCTGATAATTCTACATAAGGAATGGTATTCTGAGAGATCCCACAGTGTTCTTTCGGGAGATGTTTTTCTCCTGTACAGAAATACCTATCACCGATGCGTGCATGCCATGATGTCTTGGCATGTCCTCCACAGCTAAAAGCCAACTGTACTCTTTATTGTTGGAGCGTGTCTGCCCTAGTGCAATCACCTTTTCCTCCGACCCACTTCATTTTTGGAAAGGTGGAATGATGAACTCTGGAAAGAGGACTGCTTTACTTGAGATTAAAGAGAAAAATGCAAAGAAAAGCCATTCACTTTACTTCTCAAATATTTCTTTCACCTAAACACGTGCTTAAGGGCACATTCTTCAAGGTACTTGTGGGATACCTCTAGCCCCAAACCCAAATTCATGGGATTATAAAGAAGAGCAGAAAGCCTAGCAGAGCAGAGGTCAGAAGAGCTGGATTTTGGTCCTCTTCTGTAACTCAGTGGATTGTCTTCAATAAATTATCCTAAACCTGAATTTCCACATCTGTTACAGGATGTTGCACTCATCTCTCAGAAGGTTCTGTGAAGCTCAACTGAGATTATGCATCTGAAAATAATGAAGTGTAATTGAAATGTAAGATGTATCTTCCTTCTCTTTCTCCTTCACAATGGGGTCATTAACAATATATCTAACTCCCTGGGTTTCCTCTAACGTTAGAAAGTTTTTGAAGTCTTTATATTCAGCTTTATATTCAGACTGCCCATATTAAGATAAATTATTTTTAAGTGAATCCTAAATTAAACACTGAAGCATCTTTCAACTGAAGAACCTAGAAGAAGATTCTCATTAAATACTGATTCTTCCTAAACAAATAAACTAAGACTCAGAATAGCATTAACTGACATCCTTAATTACAAAAATACTTTTGGCTTTGAATTCCCGGTTCCATTCCATATTATTTATTTACACTATAAACTATAAAGTTCAATATTTAAAGGTTTGTTAATTCTAATTCGTAAGTGATCAAAATCCTTCACTGTATACCACTTTCTTTTTCTTTTTCTTTTCTTTTTTTTTTTTTAGAGACGGAGTCTCACTCTTTTGCCTAGGCCGGACTGCAGTGGCACTATCTCGGCTCACTGCAAGCTCCAACTCCCGGGTTCATGCCATTCTCCTGCCTCAGCCTCCCGAGTAGCTGGGATTACAGGTGCCCGCCACCGTGCCTGGCTACTTTTTTTGTATTTTTAGTAGAAACGGGGTTTCACCATGTTAGCAAAGATGGTCTCGATCTCCTGACCTCGTGATCCACCTGCCTCGGCCTCCCGAAGTGCTGGGATTACAGGCGTGAGCCATCGCACCCGGCCCACTTTTTTAACTACCTACAATAGTCTTCACTGAGCCTACACTTCAAAGTAATGTGGTTTCAGATGCAAAGTACAGGTAAGCATCATTTCCAGAGTCATGAACTCAGAAACCAGTGATCCAAGGGATATACTCTAGGCAGGCAGAAGCCATAGTAGTAACACCAGAATAAGTCTGCCAGACCTTAGATGCATGAGATGTGCGATCTCAAACTTGCCACTATCACGAGCCCATAGGGACTTAGGACTTAGAGTTCTAAGGACTTAGGGTTGGGGTGAGACAATTTGGCTAGAGGATCCCATTTGGGCTCTAGCAGTTGGCACAGAATATCCCACTATGACTAGCAGTGATACCTACCCTGGGCTGAGCTTTCTCAGGTTCACTTTTCAGGGGAGTGGCATCTTCACTCCTGATCTCCACAGGTGTTTTTGCAAGGACCTGTCCTTCTGGCCAATGTCAGGGTATGCTTAGAAGACATGGGCTACAGTTTCCAAATATGTGCAAATATTGTTCTTTTCTCCACCACTCAGCTTGTATTTTATAGTTCACGGCATATGGGGCCGATTTAAGAGCTCTGGAAAAATAACTGTGATGCTAGTGATTTAAGGAATAGTTGCATATCAACAGAAACTACAGTTGCTGCTTACTATTTGAAAGACTGTCAAAGGAGTGGCCATGGACCCTATCGGACATGCTGAATTTTGGAGTGTGTGTCTGTACCTGAAGCTAAGTGCTCAGCTATATCTTGTTAACTTCATTTTTAATAATCGTTAATAAATTATTATTAGAAAAATAATGAGCTCAGTATTTACCAAGACAGATCCTTCCTGTGGCATCCAAAGTCATTCCACTGGGACACTGACACTTGAATGACCCCCTAGTGTTAACACACAGGCCATTTTTACACACTCCTGGGAACACTTCACATTCATCTATATCTAAAAAGAAAAAAAAAGTATAAAGTTAATATATCTTTATAATATCATTCTACCTTATTCTACTCATAGAGTCATAATTATTCCCCATTTTGAACCTGGTAAGTTCATAAAACTAGTTTGCCTACAAGTAGTTTGTGTAGAATTTCTAGGGTGCCTGAATAGCAACCAGAACGAGCCCACCTATTACTAAATATGTAAGAGTTTCTCCATTGGTTTCAGGGAATAACTTTTGAGTTGTAGAGACAGGCAGCTGGTGTGAGTTCTTGGAGACAGCTCTGGTAGCTGCGGACATTTCAGGTAAGGTTCCCAGCAATATAATTTGCTTTATGAGACCAGATGTCTGGAAATGAGTAGAGAAGCAAAAACCTGGTTTTTCAAACTAGCAAAGAAGAAACAGCTTGAAGTTCAGCATAGAAAAATATCCCACCAAGGAATATGTGGGCCAGTGAAGGGTCTCTTTTAAGAAGTTCTGATAAATCACCAGAAAATGTACAATCAATTCTAACTCAGCCATGGTCTCAGGCTGTTCTGTCCATGCTTTGGTCTCAGCTTGGGTTGAGGGGAATTAAAAGATACTCATGTTCATTCATTCATCATTCATCCAATCTCTCTCAAATGTACCAGTCCTTCCCAGTTTGCCTAATGGAGAGCAATATGTTCTCTGCACTTAATTTGGAAAAGTATTCACCACCAAGTTAATCAAAAGAAAGGCACTTACTTGCCAATGCCAAAAAAAAAAGAGGGGGGAACATTAGCTAAGAAACTCATACACACTGTGTCTCTATTTAGAAGAAATAACTTTCCACAACAGGAATGTTGAAAAAATATTCTGAATCTTTCCTTGTAAGAGAGATCAATGGGGAGAGGGTGGAATCTACCTTTTTGGGTTTTTTGTTTTGTTTTGGCCACTTGTACAACAAAATATGCTGCTGAGGTCAGATAAGTTATTAACAGCGGGTCTGGACCAGAGAAAGGCCAAAGGATTCAGTCATCATTTGGAAAGCAAGACCTTGGGTGGGGGTTGTAGTGTGCCTCTTTGTTTTAACAGGGAAAAAACTTCATTTCATCCCACATATGGGACTAATTGCTGTTTTTAAAATTTTTCAGCTGCTGTGTCATGTCAGGTTGTGTTAGTCACCATGACCTATGTCTATCTGAAACTCCAGGAGAAAGAATCACAGCAAACTGAAGAAACTCCATGCAGACTTTCAACAAAGAGAAAACAGAATGTGTCCTTCTAAATCACCCATGACTGTGAAACAAACAAATAAAAAATGCCAGGACAAACCAAAGAAAGGCAAATTTTACAGACTCATCAAAAACTTCCTGTTTTTCTCTTCCTGATAGCATTTTGAAAGTGCAGTCTCTCTAAACTGCGATCAACCTAAAACATTTTCAGCCACCCACCCTGTCCTTTGGACATAGCGTTCTGACACTAGCAACAGTATATATATGCTTGTGAAATTAACAGCTGTTCCGTTTTGTAGTTCTCATTATTTTTTTTCTCTGCTGCATATTTCTCCCTGTGAAGTTATATGACAGCTTTATCCAGTCCGAGTTAACACAAACATTCATTATGCACACAAAAATGTATGGTTTATAAGTAATCAGAAATACCTTCACATTGTGTTCCTTTAATTCTTGAGTACCCTTTACCACATATGGGATCTGTAATAAAAAGCGAAAAACAAAACAGAAAACAAATTTGAGATAACAATATCCAGACTTTGCAGTTCTGACATAGTGTAAGAAACATGAAAGATGACCTGGAACATGAAGTAGATTGTGTTGCTATAAGTATGAGATAACAAAATGTTTCTGCGATTGCATAGGTGAGGAAGAACAGTAATGAAATGTCTCCTCAAATAAAGCTCAATTCCACTAAGATACTCCAAAAGACACAGACGTGCCCTATAGATCATGTTAAAGTGATAGCTAAGAGGGAAACTGAAGGTAGCTTTCTCTCTTGCTGTTCACCTGAAAATAGGAATCACACTATAGAATTACTTTAACCTGAATATAGAAAACTCAAGTCTATAATTTGGAGATCTCATGGCCTCCAGCATTCACATAAATTTACACATTTATATATTTAAACATTAAATCAGCAAAACCATGAGCAAGGTTCTCAAACCTCAAGTTCCCAACAGATTTAGAAGTTCACCAGAAACCCTTATGAAGTTTAGTCATGAATACCGGTTTCTTTACATCAATTAGCTTTTTGAAAGATAATCTGTACCTATAAAAAGCTCAGAACCCCTAACCACAAGGTTCCCAAGAGAGCTGGCAGGCACTGGTGCTCCAGGGAAGCAACACAAACTAACCACATTACAATGTGAAGATAGAAAATAATAAATGAACAAAATCACATAAAATTTGACACTTCTTATTTCCCATTCAGCAATATGTTCGGGGCCATCAGGATTAAATCTTTGAAAATTCTCATGTGAGCCTAGATAAATGAAATACTAGGCTTCCCCTTTTTATGCAAAGACCATTGGAGTGGTATAGGAACCACAGCATGGGTTTCTCTTACCAACTTGGCATAGGGTGCACGGGCTTCCCCACGCAGCACCGAGGGAGGAGCAGCACTGGGACTTTAAGGTGGCTCCATTGATGTTGATCTCACATCGCCCATCAATGACAGTCTGCCAGCAAGTGCCCTTGATGGTTTCTGCAGAGGAGGGAATAATATTTAATAGAATCTATATAAAAATTCAAACATACACCTTGGAATTATAGACAAAAATAGCATTTGAAACAAGGAATAATGAAGTTTTTAATATTGTTCATCCATACTTAAATTCTTTTGCAGGAAAAGCTGACATTAAGTATAACAACATTGATAAACATAGAAAAATCATTCTCAGAAAGATAAATACCTATGCAGATGGTTTTTGTTGGATCCAAAGTACTTTCAGAAGAACATTCACAAATAAAAGAGCCTGGGCTGTTCTTGCAGACTCCATTAATGCAAGGACTTGATTCGCATTCATCAATGTCTGAAACAAAAACAGGTCTACATTACTGCTAAAATCTAGTCTTGGGCCTAAAAGAGTACTTCAACTTTGACCCCAATTGCTACTACATATCCTTAATCCCACACAGTAAAGCTGGGCTAAATAGTTTTTCCTACACTAGATGGAATGCCAAAATAATAACTCTATAGTATAGACTAGTACATCTCTATAGTATAGAATACGGGACTTGGCTGAATCTTTTTATTTAGAAAATCTGGAGTAAATGTGTATGTGATTTCTGAATGAATAGCTCAAATAGCAGACACATAACATTTTCTTTATCTATTAAATGATGGCAATTAAAATGCCAATTACAAGTAAATACCATAAGTGGCTTACAAAGTACATACTAGTGCCATGTAGAACCACAGAATTTCAACTAAACTGGCATAACTGTCTAAAATACAGGAGACTCTAATTCAGTCTTATGGTTTTCTAATGGCATTCCAAAAGATAGCAAAGTACACAGTATAAGAACAAAAATATGGTTTACCTTCACATGTTTTTAGATCAGGTTTGTAGATAAATCCCTTGGGGCAGGTACAGACAAAACTTCCAGGAGTATTTCTACATTGTCCATTGTCACAAAGGAGACTGTTCAGTACACATTCATTAATATCTGCAAAGTCAATGAAAATAAACACTTAAAAAGGGCCCAAACTTTGCCTGTATCTACTTTGCTCTTTTACATTAGATCTTTAAAGTCATAACGACGTGATCAATTCAAGCAAAAAGGCAAAACTCCTGTAGCATTAGCTTTTACCTAAACTATCTCATTTTAGGAAAACAGAGGCTTGACCTGGTTTTAAACTAAGTATCTAAACTAAATATCTACAAAGCCTAAAGTCACTAGGCTATTTAATTCACTTATTTCTTTAGCAGGAAGAAAATACAGATTTGCTGGAAATCATTAATCTTTATAGAGTTACATTATATAATTAAATTTATATAATTTAATTCATTTTGTCGAATTAAAAGGATTAACCTTATTGATTTAAGGAACTAAATAAATATTTAGAAAGTATGGTCCAACTTTGAAATGTGTTAGTTCCAGAATGGGTGTTTCTTCCTTATAATAATTCAAATTGTCTCCAGGTATGATTATAAAGTACAAAGTAATCTGTAGCATTTATGATTGTCATGGGGAATTTAGCTTCATGATTCAGGGACCTCAGGAAAACTGCTTGCTTTTAGCTGAATAATATGCCTGTCTGAAGCAAAACCCAACTTTAAGAGAGCAGGTATTCCTGAAAATAAGCTGTGTTTTTTTCTGATTAAGTCTAATAAATGGTTGGGAGAAGAGCTGCTTCTCTCTCAGTAAAATCAAGGTTGACTTTGTAGTCACATGAGAATGGCTCAGAATCTCTGCATCTTATATCTAAGGAGCTTCTCTTTGAAGGAGTGAAATCTGATACATCATTATTTTAAGGAGCAAATCATTTCAAGGAGTGAATCTGATACATCGTTATTCATAAACTGTGAAGATTCAGTGATGTAAATTTTTGTTACTAAAGATATGTATATGCTGTGCTAACATCCGAAGTATAAAGTGTCCATTTGCCCAGTCCTCTAAGCTACTCAAAGGCAGTTTTCTCCCAGCAATGAAAGAAGGAATGCATTATGCAGGCAATGTTTCAGAAAATGGGTAAAACTTCTCACCAACGCAGTTTTTCCCAGTTGAATCCACTTCATATCCTGAATTGCATATACATTTATAGGTCCCACGAAGGTTTTCACAGATTCCATTTGGGCAAATATCAGGATCTAGTGCACATTCATTTATATCTGCACCACAAAAAAGGTCAAAATCAATTAAGATTATAAAATAAATACTGAATGAATTGTTAAAAATATAACACTACAATAAATGTAATGACCTTAGGAGCTACAGGAGGAAAAAAATCGATTTCACTGGAAAGAGAACACTCTGTCTCTTTTTCTCACTGTAAGATATTCTGAGTCCAATCTTTCTCCCACAAGTTCCTGAGAGGAACTTTGCATCTCAGCTGGAACTACAAGATAACCAATCCTTAATCAAGCTGAAGGAGACCTCCTGGACTTCTCCTAGTCCAAGCACCAAGATGGAAAAATGGATCGACAGCAGATCCCAAGTCCCGACAACTGGTCTCCCTACCACCAGCCCCTCTTTCTTCCATCTACCCTGCACTACTCTACACTGCAACCATTCTTACCATCCTAAAAACAAGGTATTATATCGTTCTCATGGTTCAAACTTTCATAGGTTCAACAATATCCTCAAGATAAAACTAAAATATAAATTCTTTGTTTACTTATCCCAGACTTCACACTCTTCTATGAACATATAATGCCCTCTTCACTCTGTGTCAGGAATGCTTGGAGCAGGCCTATTTACAGGTCAAAAGCCAGCTCCAACACCACATGCTCTGAAAAAGCCTCCGTTGCTCTGCCCACCTGAGGTGGGGCCCTCCCTCTTCTGTACCCTCACAACTGAGGAGGGAATCTCATAGTCAAGGCAGGTGCAGAATGACAACCAGTGAATGGATAGTCTCAAATCCTGGTGCCTGACTCTTCTATAAATTAGGGTTGACTTTTTTTTTTTCTTCCAAGTCCCTATCACAACTTACTTATTCCCCATTAACTCCTTATTCGTTATAAGTTTCCTTACCTCTCCTCTTTCCTCCTCTAAATATCCCCTCCACATTTTCATTCACGCACAATGATGAAACTAATCATACTGAATGAACTGACAATCAATTCAGCCAGTCCATGTTCTTTCAGATCTCCCTGAATCAAACTATGTAGCTTTATATTAATAAAATAATCCCTTCCTCTTTCTTGTCACCTATTGTCATACTTGTTCCAATTCTCCTTTTTAACTTTAATTCCTTGCATGGCACCAATATTTCTCTAGCTAAATATTTCATTCTCTTTTAACTCAGTTAATTGTTGTCACTGCTCTCTATTGCCATTTTATAATACTGAGCACTTAACAGTTCAGAATCCTTCAGAATGCAGATGGAGAATGGTTCAACTAGCCCATCATCCCGAGTGGTACTTGATAGTGGAAGATCCACAAGAGAGTCAGGCTGCCCCTTCTCAAGCATGAGCAACAAAAGTCATTACACATCATCTGCGAGCACCCATCAACCACACTGAGAGAGCACCTGACCCCCTCAGTGGCCAAGTCCCACAGCCACACCCAGAAATCCTAGAGCCCACAGTGCCCCGGCTGCTCTGCCACTGAAGGCTTCTGAGCATCCCAGATACATGGCACAGTGATGGCCAGAGAGGGAGTCAGGCCAGACTAGTGTAAAGGGATCAACTGGAAACCCACAAGAAAGCCTGATGCTGCCTCTGCACATACTGAAGGTAGTAAATTTTGAAAGGAATCCTTACCACTGCCTGCTGACGTCATTCCTGGCCCACTGCTGCAGAGTGCCTGATATTCCGCTGCAATAAATTAACAGATAGTAAATGATTCCCTTGTTTGCAGAACAGGTAGATCCTGCCCTTGGTTTTGCACACATCATTTCCTCCAAAGTGAGTAGAACCAAACTTAAGTGGTAACGGAAAAGGAGGTATCTCCCCAGGGAGTCACCTTTACACCAGGCTCCCATTTTAAAGGCTACACATCATCAAGGAAAACAACTTTTAAGGATACAGGCAAGTTATAGCAATTCCTTGTGCAAAGCCCTTTCGGAAAAGGTGTTTTTCCTATAACTTGATTTTGTTCACCAGGGAACACTTTACACTTACGGTGAAATGTGCCTGTTAAAATGTGGTTTCTTAACTGTTAATAAAACTTTCTCCCACCATCTTGGGGATAATTTTGTTTCTCAGTGCTAGCTGTTTTTTCAGTACAATTGGTTCTTAACATTTCCTCATTTCTCTCTGCAAATTCTCTAGCCTCCTCTCACAAGAGCAACAACAGAATACCTACTCTTGCATTTAAGTGTATTTTTAAAGTTAATATGTATCAGGATACTGGATTCATTCTCTATGGTATATCCATAGAGAAAGTATTGCTTAATGTTAAAACTGTGAGATCATATTGAAAAAACTGAAGTATAAAGAATATGTCCCCAAATTTGAGATAGAATCAAATTTCTATTTCTTAAAATTAATACCATGTTTTATATACAATTCCAACAATACTTAACATAAGAGTGAATGATGAAAATGTAGAACTAACTGGAATCACACTATCCAAGGAAAGGAAACTAGTGTCCCCTTAAGTTGCCAATGGTTTCTGGCAAACACAGTCTCATGGTCATATGTAAATCATCTGTGCTTAAGTGGAAGGAGAACTGGATATCAGGGCTGGGGCTTATTGTAGAGGCTGACTGCACCTCACTGCTGAAGCAAATAGTTCCTATCCCCTGCATGCCAGAGAATTGCATCCTGATGACATTGGAGGTAAATGAGTTATACAACCAAAGATTATCATGTCTTCTAACAAATGTGAATTTGAGAAAGCAGTGATGATTTAATTTTCAAACCATCTTAGAAGGGGTCAAAAAAACAACAGATGGGAAGGTGTGTTTGAAAGCCAGGTGTGGGAACAAAAAGAAATTCATCTTTTTTATTCTGCTGTATCAGCAAAAAGCTAAAATATGCATGAAATACTGTAAGTAATAAAACAAGAAAACCAAAATCATACCAGTTTTATAAAAAGGACTTTTAGAGATAATGACAATTTTGCTGATGTTTGGCCTAAATGGAAGCAAATTATTGTCACCATTGTTTTCCATTTAGGCAGGATCTGGTACTAGACCATTTTTTGTAGTGAGTTCAAATAAGCATGGGTTTTAATACCGATGACAACGCTAATTGCTGGGAGTTTTGGAAGCAGCCCTTTTCCTCTGTTAGTTTCTTCTCCCATAAATTTGGAATGACAACTCCCATTTCACCTGGTGGCTGTACAGAATTAACATTACATGTTTAATGATTGAACGTGTACTGTGCACAGCTCAGGCCCTGAATAAAAAAATAAGTAAATAAAAGTATTATAAACACATAGTGAGGGGTAGGTGTTGATGAGCTAACTCCGCGTAGTGCCATGGAGACAGTGACATGAGGGATCCATGAGAAAATCCCCCCGAATTACCCTCCTGTGGGTTTAACTGACCAATTACACTCCCGTGGGTTTAACTGATCCATGTCTGTGAAATGTCATTGTCAGAAGGCTGAGGACACAAGAGGGCTTGCTGAACAATGTGAATCAGCTCCAGCAACCAGTGAGAAACAGCTTCATATGTAGCTTGCCTGACTTGCAGACCACAAAGATGAACTTCAGATTTTGTATATTTGGAGTCTCTCCCTCAACTGACTGAAGACATTCCTTTTGAATATTTTCAGTACTTTAAACAGCCTACCCCCCATTCTTGAAATGAGGGATATCCTACATTCGGATGGTTCATGACCAAAGAGGTGGAGAAACCAAATGAATGAAACTACTTCCATGTGTGGACCCTTTTTTGGGTAAATTCATTCAAATATAAGACAAAAGTTAGTGGAACCGGGCCTTACATTTAACTCTCTTTAAGCTTTACTGTTGCTTTGGTTTGAATGTGTCCTCCAAAGTTCATGTGCTGGAAACTTCATCCCCAATTCAATAGTAATGCTGGGAGGTGAGGCCTAATAAGAGGTGATTAGGTCGTGAAGGCTCTACCCTCATGAATGGATTAATGTCATTATTATGGGAGTGAGTTAGTTATCATGAGAGTGACTTTGTTATAAAAGCACATTCAGTCCTCTCTAGCTTTCTCTCACTCCTGCATGCTCTGTTGCCCTTCCACTTTCAGCTGTGAAGTGACTTGGCAAGAAGGCCCCCCACAGATGCTGGCACCTTGATATTGGACTTCCCAGGCTCCAGAACTGGGAGAAATTAATGCATTTTCTTTATAAATTACTCAATCTGTGGTTTTCTGTTACTGCAACAAAAACTGGACTAAGACAACTGCTTAAAGAAATCTGGTCTTTTGGTCACCTTTTTATAAACCCACATAATTTCCCTGTGGATTTTAAGAATTCTTTGGAAGTGCACTTGGTCCAGAGGAAAATACAAAGGCAAATAACTATATGCACCAAGGTTCCTGGATTCTAAATCTTGGCTCTTCCAATCATTCAACATGTGAACAAGTCACCTGTACTCTTGTGTGCCAGCTTTCATGATACTTGTCTGTATTGCAAATTCAAAGTAGGTAAGTAAAGTACTTTGAAAAGTTAAAGTAACACACAAAAGGATGATATTAATAATATACAACTATAAAGTTATAGGCAAATGTCTTCAACAGAATGGTATTTGTATATAATAAAAGTATTATAAACACATATTGAACTGATTGGTGATCATACATAAAATGATAATTTCTATATTATTCACCGGGTGAAGTCATTAGCCAGAGCAGTTTTTTTCTTTAAATAGGCATCCCTCATTTCCTTTTTCTTTCTTTATTGAGACAGAGTCTCGCTCTGTCACCCACGCTGGAGAACAGTGGTGCTATCTTGGCTCACTGAAACCTCCACCTCCTGGATTCAAGTGATTCTCCTGCCTCAGCCTCCCGAGTAGCTGGGGTTATAGGCGCGCACCACCACGCATGACTTTTTGTTTGTTTGTTTGTTCGTTTGTATTTTTAGTAGAGATGAGATTTCACCATGTCAGCCAAGCTGGTCTTGAACTCCTAACCTCAAGTGATACACCTGCCTTGGCCTCCCATAGTGCTGGGATTACAGGTGTGAGGCACCATGCCTGGCCCCCCATTTCTTTTAAAGTCTTCCATTTAACTTTCTCTAACTTTTCATAGTGTATTTTAATTTCCAACTGTTACTTTCAAATACTATCATTTTTAAAATAACAAATCTTTTAAAATTATGATTTACTCTTTAATTTGTTTCCTTTAGGGCAGAAATAAACTGACTAAATCCTATATGTAAAAACAACCAACCAGAGCTACATATTTTCAATATTAGGTCTAACTTTATTTTAGGACATTAGAGGTCCACTGCCAAGCTACCTTAAAATTGTGTTTAAATACTGGCAGAACATTGTTTTAATTTCAGTAATCTATTCTTGTTTTATAAATAGAAATAATTTACAACTGGACAGGACCTTTTGGATTATCTAAGGCAACTCATTTTGTAGATGAAGTGTCTAAGGATAGCTTGTCTGCATTATTCTATTTTATAATTATGTTTATTAATATAAGCCACCTCAAATCCTTTTGAAAAGTAGGTGAGGAAAATTCAGAAATAAGCAAAATACACAAATAACTAAATCCCCTGATTAAGTAATTTGGCTGCCTGTTGATGGAGGAAGAGAATTCTGACTCGCTATCCAGTTCTCTTTTCATTAGGCCATGTCACTTCAACTGGAGAAAAATAGTTTTTTCTCTCAGGTTAAATCAAATCATTAAAGAAAACCACACCGGTCCGGGCGCGGTGGCTCACACCTGTAATCCCAGCACTTTGGGAGGCCGAGGCAGGTGGATCACGAGGTCAGGAGTTCAAGACCAGCCTGGCCAATATGGTGAAACCTCGTCTCTACTAAAAATACAAAAATTAGCCGGGCGTGGTGGCGCACACGTGTAATCCCAGCTACTCAGGAGTTTGAGGCAGAGAATCACTTGAACCCGGGAGGCGGAGGTGGCAGTGAGCTGAGATCGCGCCACTGCACTCCAGCCTGGGCAACAGGGCGAGACTCCATCTCAAAAAAAAAAAAAAAAAAGAAGAAGAAGAAGAAGAAAGAAAAAGAAAACCACACCAAAATCAATACGTGGGATGTAAACAAAATTTACAAATGGCCTTTTGGAAAGCTAGTGGAAATAGTCAAGTAATATGACAGTTATTTACTTTTACGCTGTGTAAAAGTCTGCTTTTATAATAGTTTCTGCAAAATGCAAACATCATGAAACAACTTTAGAAAACAAGGCAAGGTGCATGTATTGCAAACAGCTTGAGTATTATTGAGGTAGGAGAGTTTATACGAGAGGCACAAATGCAATGCCTATTCCAAATAATTATGAGGCTTAGATAAGTACCTGTGACTAGACACTGGCTGGCCTCTGCCAAGACCCCAAGAAGGCACATGGCGTACCTGGAGAGCAAAATGTCATCTTCCCTGTGAATTCCACAAATGCAAAGACCTCAATGGTGGCAGAAGGCTGGCAGTACGAGGGCATCTCCATGATACCACATACCTGAATTCTGTGCAGGACACGGCTGGCAAGGTTCCCCAAATGCATACTCAGTGCTGGCGCAACAGCATTCAGATTTAGTGACAGCACCAAACAAAGGTTTGATACACTGGCCTCTCTTGTATCCACCATAGCATGTGCTCCGCATGTGTGTGTCTAAACAGGAAGAAGCATCTGTCATCACACTGTCACTTCAAACAGATGAGAACCCCCCAAGTCAAAGTTGAAGAGGGCTTTATTTATCCATCATCCCTGGTGTAACTCACAGGGAATGCCTCTGATATCGGGGCTCCATTTGAAGAAAAAATAAACAAAAACAGAAAAACAAAACACGTTCAGCTTCTAAGCACTGGAAACCAATGGCCAGATTGCTTCAGTTTTCTAGGGAGTATCATGGTTTACTAAAATGTGAGGCCCTTCAATGCTGGAATTATATCTCACTTATTTTGTCTTTCTCGGGCCTGTGCAGAGCAGGCACTTAATAAATGTTGAATTAATGATGGATGAATGTTGAATCTCACATCCTGCTAAATAAGACCTTTATTAGAAATGCGGCCTATCCCAAAATAAACACGCAATTACTGAATGTCTGAATTAGGTATACTTTCCAAAAAGGAGAAAGTTTAATCTGTAAAAGGTTCGTTATATAAATATGTAGATGTTGGTCAACTAAGCTGTGTTATCTTTACCACCAGGAAGACAGTCTCCTGCTATGCCCTATCCTTTTCCAATTCAAATGGCTTACTGAGTACCTTTCTTAAAAATAATCTGGATAAAATTGGTATCAATTTTTCAACAAGTCTCATACTTTTTATAAAGCCTCATAAAACTACTATCATACAGGTTTCTGGATTATCCATATTCTCCTTTGCATTCTATACTGCCCATGGACATCAATTCTCTATTAAAATGTTCATCATGAGATAATAGCATATGCACATCAATTTCAATGACCAATATCAACAAAGGAGGCCTGGAGAAAACTGAAGACAGCTACGGGATTAGGGAAGAAAAGGGGGAAGGATAGGTGGGGATTCCCTTGCTTTTCACTTAGCTCATCTTTCTAATCCTCAAATTAATGTTCAATTTACACAAAAAGAGAACTGACCCTGTTGGTTTGTTGCTCTGCAAATATTCTTTATATCTTATCTGCTACAGTAGAGAGCGTTTGTTACCATTGGGCTTTATTGAGTGACAGAGGCTGAACCTCTCTCATAAGGTTAGCCATGATGTTTTCTTACCAACACACACACGGCCATCCAGACCCACAGCCAGTCCAGGGAAGCATTCACATCTGTAGGAGCCATCAGTGTTGACGCAACGCCCATTCATGCAGATCCCAGGGGTTTCACACTCGTTAATGTCTGTGGCAGAGAAAGGCACTTATTAAAAATGAAGTGACATTTATCTAAAATTATAACATGTTGACAATTATGTTTTAACCCTTGAAAATGGGGAAGATAGGAAATAATATGCAGCATCAGCAACAAAAGCTCAAATGGCATTCTCATTTTCCTTTGAAAGAACAGTAACAAAATCAAGAGAAATCAACTGTTGGAACTTATTTTCCATAAAAAGTAACTTTAATATATTCTCCCAAGAGATTTTTGTATCCAAAATAATCACAAAGGCAAAAACAGAATCAGAGGAAGGAGAACAATGGCTGCTAAAAGACAAAGGGTTTTGTGAAATGTATAACCAGGGTAGCTCTTCCAGGGCTCTCAGAAATCTAGGGTAATAGTAAACTACAGGAAGACTTTCCTTTTGGTATTCATCACCCAGACTGGCATCACTTCTAGTATCACCCATGTCTTGGCTCTCTGGGAAAATTCGCCTAAAATTAAAGGATATACAACTAAAGCCTTGATGGAACACCACAGAAAAAGAACAGAAAATGAATATAGATTATTTTCATGACCATTCTTGGCCAATAACAGCACTGTATGCAGTTGGAACCCAGCAAAGAAAAATCTTTCTTAAACTTTACAAACACTTTATGGTATTTTATGTGTATACTTAAGGAGGTCTGGTAAAAGACTTTATCGGACACATATTAATAATAGCAGAGGGTTTTTTCCCCCCTTAATATGGGGAAGTACAAAAGGCACCAAAATTGTGGTTTGGAAAACATACAACACTTAGAAGTAAATGATTTTAGGCCAGGTGCAGTGGCTCACACTTGTGATCCCAGCACTTTGGGAGGCTAAGGTGGGCAGATCACTTGAGGCCAGGAGTTCAAGATCAGCCTGGCCAACATGGGGAAACTCCATCTCTACTAAAAATACAAAAATCAGCTGGGCATGATGGCATGCGGCTATAATCCCAGCAACTTGGGAGGCTGAGGCGCAAGAATTACTTGAACCCAGGAAGCAGAGGTTGCAGTGAGCTGAGATTGTGCCACTGCACTCCATCCAGCCTGGGAGACAGAGTGAGACTGTGTCTTAGAAAAAAAAAGAAAAAGAAAAAAGCAAATGATTTTATAACAACTCCTTTTATAATATACAACTAGTGTATGGGACTATTAACTTTCTCCTGACCTTAAAAAGGCAAATTGAGAGTAAAACACCTTCGTGTTTTACTTAGCTTGTGTTGTTTGGCACAAAATATATTCGGGTGGTCCAAGGTTCTGTGTACAGATTGTATTTGAAACAGCAGTTATATTTAAATACAGGAACTCAAATTGGTTAGTTATTCTGGTCAACTTTTTATTCAAATTGTGACACACAGCAAAACGTGGAGACTACAACCTGAAAGGTAACACAAAGGGTTTTTAATAAGAACGGAGATGTAAGGTAGATCCAAAGGGAGGTAACCTTGGTCAAAGTTAGTGGCTTCAACTTTCAGAGAGTGAACAGAGAAGCCATGTTGTTGATCAGATGAGTTAACTGTGGAGACTGAATTAGCATTGATGATTCAGCTTTGAACAGTCACATCTTTGTGGGCTCAGAACTAAGTGCTCAGGGCTAGGAGAAAATCTTACCCTATGGCATAAAGACAAAAATTATAAAAAGGAAGAAATCCAGTATACATGGGATTAATTTCTTTTTTCATCCTTTAGTCTTATTACAGTGTGTGTACTCTATGCTCTATAAGCTAGAAAAAAATAAGACATTGATAATAATACAGAGCTGTGGAGCTCTCTCTCTCTCTCTCTCAGATCCTTAAGCCAGAATGCTAAAGTCAGAACAAACCATCCATATCATCAGCACTTTCAAATTAATAGAACAACCAATTTATTGATAGGATACTATTTCACTGGTTGCCAATGGTTGCCAAACCTGGTTTCATCTATGAGGTCACAGCATTATCTATTGGCCATACTTAATGTTGGGACGCTGTGGCCTGGGTCAGCAGGAGCCTAGAGGCATGAAGAGTGAATCTTAGTGTGCTCTGTGTATCATCAAGAAGATTATGTATTCTCCTAGGTCTGCTCACAAAGGGGCTTTCATATCTCTTTCTATTATTTTTTTTTGGAAGCCTAATTCCAAATATTCCAGCAATCATTCTCTTCCCTTTTCTTTTTTACTTGTACAGTGCTAAATTTGCACAATTTGGCACTTTGTTTTATGCTATTTTACACTGTAGAATATTTCTATGTGTTAATCCTGTCTTCTCATATAAGTTCCTCCTAGCACAGGGCTCAAAAGTACAGAAACCACCTTCCTCCTTCAAATTTGAAACACCCAACTGTTTTCTCTTGCTGGGAAGACAGGTTTGCACAATATTAAGAGCCATTGATGTGAAGGTCATAGAGAATGTAGGTAAACAACCAAGGGCTTGAAGTTCTTTTAAGCCTGGAGAAAATGCACATCTTGCCAAGGACTTAATACAAGGCTTTCTTCCATAACACGTTTACCAAAGCTGTCCACTAGGGGCACACAGAGAAGAGGCACCATAGGACTTTATTCTGCTTTCCTCTACCTTGAATAGCTTGACCCTCTACACTTCTGCATCTGAAACTATGCCCAGAAGCTCTAAGTGCAGCATTTTAGCAGATTTTCTGGACCTGCTTTGAGTATGAGGTTCTTTAAGAAGTCTGGTTCCAACTCAGATCCTGGACCAAGTGCAGTAATCACTGATCCCTACATAAGACAGGAGACACTAAGCACAAATTTGTCTCCAGTAACTTTTCTTAGGACCCCAATTCTCAACAGCAAAAATAAAAATCCTCATTTTTGCTTCGATACCTGGGGCAATGAGATTATTTCAAAATGGTTTACCAAACTAAAAAAATGGTTCTTGGTTGTTTATTTATTCTGCTTAATCCTGTTTCCCTTCTTGCTTATGTAACTTGATAAAGCCGAAATAAATTATCCTTAAAAAAAATTTCTGTGTCTTAAGATGCCTAGAGGAAATTATGAGGAAGAGATCATTGCAAATAACAGTCTACACTATTCTGTCCAGGTAAAGATGTAAGAGGTGGCAAATAACAGCCACCAAGAAGCCTAACCACCATTATTCCCTAACTGGAAAGAAGAGGTAGAACTCAGCTTCTTGAGAACAATGCCCACATCTGTTGGAAGACCAATAGGCAGTTTGGATTATTTATTTGCTACATAGCTTTTGACTCCTTTGAGAAGACCTCAAATACCCTTTCTGAAATAACAATAGTCTTCTGGGCATAAACTGTAGCTCTTTGGATGGCTGGATTTAAGAAGGAGTTTCAGTCAGGTTTCCCAAACCAAAATTCAAGGTACTTTAAGTGGGGAGAATCAGTAAAGAAAGGTAGTACCTCTAAACAACATAAGGAGGAGAAAAGGCACGTGAAGAACATGATCTAGGGTTTTATAGCACGAACCTTTGCAATAACGTCCATCTGATGCCAGCTGGAATCCAGGTTTGCAAATACATTTAAAACTGCCATCTTCATTGATACACATTCCATTAAGGCACATGTTCCTTATGCTGCATTCATCCATATCTGAAAATACAAAACATACATTTTCTTATGACCAGAAGAGTAAGCTTACGAAGGAAACCAATCTGGATGAAAATAATTCTGTTTCTTCGTATTTCTTTCTTTTTGTTATTACAGCCTAAGGCTAACTTTCATCCAAATAAGATCATCTAAGGAAGGAGAAGATGGGACATATGAAATACATATCTCAAGTTCTTGAGTTTTGGCATGTGCATGCAAACTCTAGGGCTAGATGTATAGGTATATCTATTTATAAAATTTGACTCCATAGAAGTTATCAGGATCCTTTTTAGGAATAATAGTTTACAAACTGAAAAATGTGCTAATAGCCTAGTGGGTATATTTATTTCACAGATTCATATTACTTCTAATGCTCTGAATATGAACATAAGTCAAAACTAAGATTAGTGGAATTTGAAATGTATTTAGGCTACATCCTAATTCTTTTAAAGATGAAAACCAGAAGATAACTTGTAGTTTGA
This sequence comes from Homo sapiens, assembly GCF_000001405.40. Taxonomy (NCBI): domain Eukaryota; kingdom Metazoa; phylum Chordata; class Mammalia; order Primates; family Hominidae; genus Homo; species Homo sapiens. The sequence continues at coordinate 48,509,184 of NC_000015.10, forward strand.
AGCAATTTTAAATAGGGGCAGGTAAAAAGTGGACTTTTAGAATACATGGCTCAACTATGGATTATAGCTGTGGCAGTGAACCTTTAAGATCCCTTAAACATTGGGGATGGTTCTTTAAATTCATCACTATGTTATTTTATTTGATATTAAAGCTGTCTTGGGAGGCACTTGCTCTTTTAGACACAGTGTTTTCACTTACAGGCTTTAGAAAGACCAAAGTGATTTATTATATATACATATTTTAGATATATATAATATATATATTAGACATATATAATGTATTTTAAATATATATTATTTATATTTTAGATATATATTATTTATATTTAAATATGTATTTTATGAATATTATCTATTACATATTCAGAAATACATATATACATAATATATATACACATATTACATATATAGAAAATATACATAACATGTATTTTTACATTATATCTATTTTAGATATATATTTCAGATACTGATTAGTAGCATTTTATTACTAGGCAGACACTTTAAACAAAAAGATTATAAACGGCTAGATAATACACAGACTTAGGTGTGTCCTATTTTTAAAAAATGTACAAATTCTGATTGTAAAAAATTAGAAAGTATGAAATTGTGCCACAGAAGTTTCATCACACCAGGGATCTTTAAATGGCAAGCTCTCCTAGCATATTAAAATGTTATTTGATTCACACAAATGTAAATTAAGAAATGAATATCATGGAAAATTAGGCTTCCTTTTGAGATAAAATATATAAAACATATTTGATACTTTGACATTTCACTCATTATTTGGTCTTGTTAAAGACCCCTGATATTGAAACTGCAATGGAAGGAGAGGACTAACATTAGTATACTATTATTACCTTCACAGTTCTTCCCATCTCGTGTAACATGAAAGCCCGCATTACACACGCAATGAAAACTGCCATCTGTGTTGATGCAGCGTCCATTATTGCAGATCCGGCCATTCTGTAAACACTCATCAATGTCTAAAATCAAAGTTTAAAAAGAAGAAATAGCTTTATTTAGGGGAGTTAAAATTATTTTATTTCCCCCTCCCTCCATTTGCAAACTCATGATCTTGGCTTTTGGTTTTAATTACTTAATAATATTCTCCAACATAAATTGGTTATCAAATAATGTGATATTTAGGGTTATCAGAGTTGAAAAGACATGATAAAAAACCTGTATAATGGCATTAGATGTAACTCTAATTTCTAATAAGACTCCTTAAATCCGAAGTCTGTAAACAAAATAGATTCTTCTTCACCATTTTCCAAGCACATCTATTTAACCAGTATAAATCACTATTTATACTGAAATTTGGCTGGCATCTTTAAACATATAATTTTAAAAGACATATTTTATAGCTATCTCAGAACAATACAACATATGCTATTTTTTTAAACAATCACCTTAATTCTGCCTGAAAACCGTCAATCACATCTCTAAAATGTCCATCTTCCTTATACCAATTCTGGTTTACGTGCAGGGTTACTGCTGATAGATTCTTAGTCTTTTAAAAAACAACTTTATGAGTATTCTACCAACCAAATAAAATATTGATTCTATGAGGGTATTTTTCCTTTTTTTCTATTGTGGTTAATATTATGCCAAGGTACACAACAGAGCTTGACACGGAAGTGTTAAAATAACAATAACTGAAACAACCTGTATCTGATTTCTCCCTTAAATATTAACAATCTACCCAAAGTGGATAGCATGGTTCCCTGGATTATCTGTTTCTCTCAGTTTCTAGAAGCTACAAACCTGGATAAACATCAAAGAGGATGAACACAAACCTCTTTGTCTACACAGGCACACAATCACTTCCAGGGCTTATTCCCAGAAGACAGGGACCAAGAAACTATGTGGAGTTGGATGCGAGCATTCCTATCTATGCAGAGTTGAGGTCACATTTGTCTGAGTATAAGTGCCCTAAATATCCCCTGAACAATGAGCACGTGCGTTCATGGCATGTCAGTTACTCTGACTGTTTACCCTGTGTCTGTGTGGTGTCTTGTGGTTGGCCCTCAGATGCACTTTCTTTCTGGGCAGATCCTGCAGTGGTTTCCACACAAGTCATTGGACGAGCTGAGGCAGTCTGGGCTTTTCTTCTGTCTGATCTTTGTGCCAACAACCTACGATCTTTTTCTCTCTCGTTTATTTCTTAATCCTTGCTAAAAATCAGACTTGCTCCACACTCAAAAAAAAATGGTAAAAACCACATATTCTTGAGCAGACTTTTTTTTTTTAAGGATCCCATAATTTTTTGAGGCCCAAGGTTAAAATAAACAGGATAAAAAGTTCATATTTTTCTCTCTTCCTCAATTTCAGAATGTCATGGGGTTCCCCATTGCCCTATAAGACAAATTTAAAGCTTGTCATTCAAAGTTCTCCTCTACTGTGTTTCTGCCCATCCTTCTATCCCCTTCTACTCGGCCCCTCACTTACTTCCCAGTTATGTGCACAGCCTTTTGGACCATTCTGTGGCAACTTTCATCAGCAAAATAATGTGAGCACGTTCTCAACTTCTTATTTTCAGGATAACCTTAGTGCTAGCTCTTAAAGAAGGCAGTGCTTTAAGTATTCAGGTCATCCTCAGTCTCCAATACTAAGTCTCAGATTGATAACAACCACATACATGAGTTTATACTGGCTGGTCCTTGCCCCAGCTGAGTGCTCTCAATAACCACCTCTCTTTGCTTATTTAACAGTGCAGTCTCTGGACATTGATTTCATTTTATTTTCTGTTATTGCAAAATGCCTAGTATGCTATTTGTACATGTTAATTATATTAAACAATAGTCATAATATTAAGAAGGTTCTCAACTCAGTTACGTGTTCAACCTATCCATATTTATAACTAATTAATAGAAATGTTAGTGAGTTCAAAGTCCTTGCTCCAGTTTTTTTCTGCTTAAAATGGTCATTTATATGTAGTGCACTAAAATACACTGGTGGCAAGAAATCTCTACGTGAGAACAAAATTCATAAATTTTGAAGCCAGTTCACTGATAAAAATTAAAACTTCTATATGTCTTCAACTCATGAAGAGCTTTTGCTAAAAGAGGCAAATAAGATTAACTCTTGTCAATGGCTACCAATTTTCTAAAGTGATATAAACCTCGCTATCTTTTACTTAACTTTTAAAAAACTTTTAAGTTTAGGGATACATGTGCAGGTTTGTTAAATAGGTAAACTTCTGTCATGGGGGTTTGTTGTACAGATTATTTCATTACCCAGGTATTAAGCCTACTACCCATTGGTTATTTTTCCTGATCCTCTCCCTCCTCCAACCCTCCACCCTCCAATAGGCCCCGGTGTGTGTTGGTCCCTTCTATGTGTCCATGTGTCACCATTTAGCTCCCACTTAAAAGTGAGAACATGCAGTATTTGGTTTTCTGTTCCTATGTTAGTTTACTAATTATAATGACCTCCGGCTCCATCCATGTCCCTGCAACGGACATGATCTCATTCTTTTTTATGGCTGCATAATATTCCATGGTGTACATGTACTACATTTTCTTTATCCAGTCTATCATTGATGGGCCCTTTTATTTAACTTTAACAGAGTATTTGCCTGTTTTTTTTTTCTGTCTTTACTGAATTAATGATACAGTTCATTTTGTGCTTAATTTAGAGATAGAGATGGAGATAGATGTTTGGGCTCCCTGACAGTGATCATTGTATCTTATTTATTTCTGTTTTAGAAACTCAGTACATAAGAGTCATTTAATAAAAGGCATATTGGGTGGCTTAATAAATTAGTTAATAAACCTGATGGGAAATTTTTTATGAGGGGACATTTATAGCAGTGCTTCTCAAACTTCAATGTACATACAGATTGCTGGGGGATCTTGTTAAAATATAGATTCTGCAATAGTATGTCTGTGGTGGAACCTGAGATTCTGCCTTTCCAAGCAGCTCTAGGAGATGCTGTTGCTGACCACACTAAAAAGCAGCAAGGGCTTAGAGTGACATCCCTATCTTTTAGAACTTTCCATTAAGAAATTAATTGCACATAATTTCAACTGAAATTTTCCTCAGTTGCTGTGTCATAAAGGACAATTCCACTCTCTACTTCTCAGATGAAAACTTAAGAGGCAATAATAGTGACGAGACAACAATACTGAAAATAAGATTTTCCTTCAGGCATAGACGCATCTTATAAAATAACTTCAATGCTTGCCAGATTTTATGACACTGTCTTTCAGAATGACAATAGGTGGAACTAAGTTCAAAAAAGCCACGGGACTGTATTAGTCTCTTCCGGCATGGGTTATTTAAACTCCATGGAACTCCTTTGAAGCCAACCCCCAGTTAGCATATATGTCCCACATTCCACGTCAGGAGCCAGGACCATACCTCGGCATTCTGTCCGCGTGAGTGTGCTCTGATATCCAGCTCGGCACTGACAGGTGTACGAACCCTGGTTGTTAATACACTCACCACCAGCACAGGGGTTTTTCTCACATTCATCAACATCTGCAAAGCACAATGTATTTTAGTGCAAAATTACATAGCAATACCTCATAATTCTAAGACTTTCTGGGTTCCTTTTATACATATAAAACATTTTCCTTTTGAGAAATAAATAACATAATAAAAGGATCTTTTTTCTTTCCACTACAATATGTCATTAGCCATTTGAAGACTGGTTGAGCAGTTAAAGTGTATTATTTTCATGTGTCATTTTGCAGAGAAAAATTCCAAACATGTAGCAACTCAACAATCTGATCTAATAAACATTTTTTCTTCCTTGAGTCTGATCTAAGAGGACCAAACAGACTAACATTTCAGAAGTGGCTTCTGGATAGGATTCCGAGTATCTCTTGAAGCTCTGTTTTTTTCCAATAAAAAGAAGGTCTAACCATATCCAAGCATTCCCTGCTGAGTTCCACTAAAATGTTAGAACAAAACATGAAGCAACTGTTGTTTAAAGGGCAGTTCTCAATCACCACAGAGTCTCCCCCATCCCCAGATGTGTTCAATACACAGGCTCACACTAGTTTTACAGTCACTTAGAATTATCAGTACATTTAGAGATAAACTGGTTTATATGACCCTACTTGTAAACAAGAGGAAGCTAAAATTTAGCAAAGATAACCCACTTGTCCACATGCTTCTTAGTGCCAGATACAGATTTGACCTCACATTCCGCAACCCTGAGTTAGATGTTCCCACTTCTACTCAGCTCTGGATGACCTCTAGAAGGGGTGTTCATATCATCAGGAAATTAAATAGTTTGGGAAAGTAAGAACTCATCATTTCTGACAAATCATAAATTTATAATTATAAAAGTAGAATTCATAACAGAACTAAGAGGTGAACTTATTTTAAAAACAAGTTGATAGGAGCTGAGTGTTCTTATCCAATCCAAAAATTGATTATTCTTTCATTACATTTCCTCCCTTCACCAGCTTAAATGCCTCATCAGCAATTTAAACTTTCTTTCTTCCATTTAAAATAACTAGTCTAAGAGAGTTGGTAAGCTACACATTTAGACTAGTATAATGTGCAAAATTCCATAATTTGGGGATATTTTTAACGCTTTCTTTTAATGGTAGGGCTTTTGGTAGGGTGTCTTAAATTGGAGTTACCAGAAATGATTTGAGTATCTTTTACAATGAAAGTTAAAAGTAACTTTAATAGGCAGAATAATGACCTCCCAAATATGCTCATGTCTTAATTCCCAGAACCTATGGATATGTTTAGCTAGCAAAGGAGAATTAAAGTTGTAGATGGAATTAAGGTAGCTAATCAGTGATCTTGAGATGGAGAGTCTCCTGGATTATACAGGTGGCCAAATGCAGTCACAAATATCCTTAAATGTGGAAGAGGGAATTGCAAGAGAGAGCCAGAGAGAGACAAAGAGATTTGAAGATGCAACACTGCTGGCTTTGAAAATGGAGGAAGGGGTCATGAGCTAAGGACACAGGCAGCTGCTAGTAGCTGAAAAAGGCAAAGAGATGGATTCCTCCCAAGAGCCACCAAAAGGAAGACAGCCCTCCCAACACCTGGATGTTAGCCCAGTAAGACTTCTGTTGGACTACTAACCTACAGAGCTGAAAGATAATTTAAATTTGTATTGTATTAAGCCACCAAGTTTGGGGTAAGTTGTTACAGCAGCAATAGAAAACCAGTAGAGTCAAGGAACAGAATTACAACAGACCCTTGGTGCCAACCTAGGATGGATCACGTACCAATACACTCCCCACGGAGGTCCAGCTGGAACCCTTTGTTGCACTCACACCGGTAACTCCCAGGAGTTGGAATGCAGCGTCCATTTTGACAGAGATAGCGGACCAACTGGCAGTAATCAGTAACGTTTACTGGCAGCACCCCTAGAAGAACATTAAGCCCCATTAAAATTATTTTAACTATGGTATCTTTCATCAGTACTTAATCTGACAATAATGAACAAGATGTTGAATCAGAAAGGAAAGAGGATACTCTTTGGGCAAAGGTCGTCTGGTGACAACAGAGCATATTTCCACCCTGCCAACAGAGATCACATTGCACTGTGAGCACTGGGGAGCTCACAACCCAGCTGCAGCCTGCTTTTCTCTGCCCTCTTCACCACCTCACTCTCAAACCTCTAGTTTGCAGAAATAACAAAGGCAGAGAGATATTGGTATTGAACTACTTATAAAACTGCCTTGCAAGCTCTGTAACCTAAAGTCTAATATTATACCTCCTCTATTAATCCTTTCTGTGAATCAGATTTAACTATCGCCCATAACTCTCCCATAGTTGCCTGAAAACACCAATAACAAAAGGACATTAATCTCTGGAGAATAGGAAGCCTCCCGTTTTTCTCTATGCAATAGGAAAATTGAGACATACATATGATATAGATATAGATAACATTATGTAAACCAAAAATTAATATAACAATTTACAAACTTATTTAATGACTAAAGTAGCATAAATAAATAATAAAAAAATGTTAACTTGAACAATGCAAGAAAAATAACTAGATGATTTTTGAATTCTTACTTGGTGGCTCCCGAGATGGATACAGATATTCCACTGGTGGTCGAGGGACCGGAATTTGAGGTCCAGGAGGAAAGCCAGGAGGAACAGGGAGAACTGGAGGAATGGGGCCAAGGGGTGGGGGAGGATATTCTGGTCTCCCAGGAATTACCATAGGAACAGAGCACAGCTTGTTGAAATCCTCTAGAAAAACACAACAAAACAAAACACAACAGCTGAGCTGTAGCTTATGATCATAGGCCCACAGAAGTCATCCTTATTTTTTTAAAGATATTTTTGAATAAAATTGATCCTCAAAATTCACAGGTCAACTGGAGAAAAGAAAAAGAACCAACTGACTGGATTCCCATTTTTAATACCTGCAGCAGCAACCACTCTGGAACAATAATTCAAATCCAAAACCATGTTCCTCCCAAAACCTCAGAGTCTTTATCTGTATCAAAATTCACCTCATGGAAAACATAAAAGTACTACTTTCTCCATCCAGTCCCACCTGTGGATTCCACAGGGCTCTACAGAATACATTAAAAAATTTGAATTTTATTTTATGCGCAGTGCAAAACCACTGGATGTCTTCAACGGGGGTGGGACATGATCAGATGACCATTTTCAGAAGATCATGCTTACAATTACAACATATGAAGAACATTACTGCGGGGAGGCAAGGCTGTTGCAGAAGACCAAGGGGGAGATGATGATGTCCGGATGGGGGAGTCAGTGATTGAATCGGACAGAAGTGGACAAATCTGAAGCACATTTTAGAGATAAATGTGTAGTGTTCAGTGAAGTAGATTTTTGAGATAAATGTATAGTGCTCAGTGAAGTAGTAAGTGTCAGAGCTCAGGACACAAGAAGTCAAGAATGACTCCTAGTTTTCTGGTTGAGCAATTGGGTGAATGTTGGTGCCCTTGCCTGGACGGGAAAAATCATGGTGATAGCAGATTTGGTGGGTAGAAACCAAGTTCCATTTTGAACATAGGAGTTTTGAGATATCAGACATCCAAGTGGAGCTATCACTTCGCAGTTGTAAAAGACAGTGTGAAGCTTAGACGAATCAAGGCTAGACGTGAGTTTCAGAGTCATCAGTACAGAGAGGTGATACTCAAAGCCATGGGGATGGATGAGCTCATGTAAGAGTGGTGTGGAAGGGGAAGAGAAGGGAGTGCAAAGACAGAACCCTGAAGAATACTGATTCGTAAAAGAAAGCAATATCAATGGAGAAGTGGCCCATAAGGGAGGAGAAACACCAAGGGGTGTGGGTCGGGTATGAATGCTGCATAGTGACCCTCTGAATGAGGACATCCTGACTTCATCATCTGCTTCCCTATGATTCTACATTTTTAGGATGATTACTATTTTTCACAGTGTCAGGTCTTTATCAAATAAATCATCTTTAGGTTTCCACACATTTGTTCTGGGCTTCCAAAAAGGTGTTTTTAAGCAGTATCCAGGTTTCCAAGGATGTATTTATTTTATTTATTTTCATGTTGCCTACAAATAGCCATGTTTTTTCATAGTTCCCTTCTATAAGTAACCTATGTGACTTTTAAATTTCATTTTTTTCCTCTTTTGCTAGGATTTTGGTAATTTTATTTTCACAGTTGTACAGTGATTTTCTCATGGATACCTTCTATGCTAGTTTCAGCCATTAATAGAAATTAGACTAATATTTTTCTTTTCCTTACAGACTAAAATTTAACTTATTTTCAGACAGTAATAGGTCTTACTGAAATGCATTCATATTTCAACCTCACGGGACATTCTGCCAATTTACATGAGGTTAAATAGGAAAGTACTGTTGGTACTTTCTGGTCCATTTCTAAAATTTCTTCATTCATATTTGACATTTCCATCTCAGGTCAAGTTTATGTTTTCAGATAATTCTCTTACAGCATTTTAATTACGATTTCACTGGAATTTCAAATTACAGAGATACTGACGTACTTGAATGTATTTGTAAAGGAATTCTATGTTGTTCATGCTTCCCTGACTCAAGATGTCTCAATCCTGTTTGTCAACCAACAGTGATTCTTCCTATAGATTTATCATCTGTACGTGCCATATCCACCATTCCCTGGGAACCTGCTCTCACCAAATTCCCACCACTAAGACTGTGTAGTCTGTGAAGTCAGGGATCATCTCTAACTCATGACTAGTTCCCACTCTCAGCCTTGCCCTGCAAATTGCACATAACAGGAATTCATTAACTATGTGTTAATTTTATTAAATGACAGTTACATTAAGGAACTCACTTTGCTTCCAAGCATTTGTAGGTACCAATTCGGCCTTTCTTTTTAAGACTTTTTGAATTTATATAAAAGAAATTTAATAGCTTATCAGCATTTCTGCTAATTAGGTGGGTATTTTACTTTAAGAATGCCATTAAATTCATCTTAACCTCTCTAGGAAACTGTATCAGACTGAATCTGATATTTCTTCCTATTTTTTACAGATTTAGTAATCTTCTCATTGCCCCTTTACATTCAGGATCAGCAACGTGGGGCTAATTTTGTTAAGCTGATGTCCATCTTTCCTATCTCCACTTAACCCAAGATGATGCTGATTTATTTTTTAAAGAGTGAAAAGCTGGCCAATCTAAAATCCTTCCTGCATCACTCTCTGTAAGAGCCCAGATCTCTGTAGCACCAGTACTGGAACATTTGGACAAACAAAAACCTACCTGCAAGTTATTTTGCTCTATAAATCTGTTTTGCCCAAGGCCTCTGAGGGCTGTGCATCTCTCAGTGGTATACCTGGGAGGACAGCTCCCTGTAAAGCCACACACAGGAACCTGGTCTTCTGCTCCAACTGTCCCAAAGTAGGTCTTCCTGCAGGCACCTAAACCTGCTCTAGTCCTCTTCTCTATTCAAAGCCTCAACACAGGAAGGAATCCACATCAAAGCTGCTGATTCCTAAGTTAACATATGCATTTTAAAAGCCATTCTCCTGGTACCTAAGCCATGTCTTAGTAGGAAGTCATGTGCTTCTAAACAGTGATCTACTAAATGGTCCCCTACTGGACTCAGGAAGGTAAACTTCATCTATGTATTTGTTTATTTATGTATTAGTATTTTAATTGACAAGTAAAAATTGTATATATTCATTGTGCACAACGTGATGTTTTGAAATATGCTCAATTGGTGGGAAAGATGTTGCCTAATAAGTTGCTCTCTGTATTTGAATGCCTCCTATAAGCAAGATTTTGCTAAATACTATGGAAGTGTAAAAAGCATGAGAAATATGAGACTACAATAATGAATGAGATTTCCTAATGAGATTGATCAACCAGTAAAAGAGCAAGATGTGAACACACATATGGCACTCATGCCATAGTGATAGTACCAGCCAGAACCACAGGAGCACAAGGAAGAAGGGAGCACTTCCAGCTGCAGGTACCTCGGGATATTCATGGATTAGGTCATGTTTGAGCAGATCCTTAACAAGAAAAGAGGATATATAACAGGCAAGGATGGCAGGAGTAGGGAGAAAGAGCCTGAACTGGCAAGAAGTTTTAGAAAAAAAAGCCAACTTGAATTCAGAAATGCTCGGATTGGGTGCAATGAAAACTCAATCATATAATTTAAACTACTATAAAGAACAAGAATTAAAAAGATGAACTGGGATTAGATTTGGGACTCTAAATACTGTGCTAAGTAGCAAATGTTCTTTGCAAGAAATGGAGTGAATTGGCCACTAAATATTGCCTGAGTTCATCCTGGGGAAATATTTTTGGACATCTTTCTCGACTAACGAAAGTGTGCTGTATTTATGTATTTGTTTAGTTATGTATTTTTAAACTAATGAATAAAAATTGTATGCATTCATTGTGTACAACATGGTGTTTTGAAATAGGCTCAATTAGTCAAAAGGTGTCTCCTTTTTCTCCCCTAGACACAATTTTTTAAACTGAACTTCACTGACTCATACTTTGGGAAAGGTACATGGCAATGGTGGATTTCAGAGACTAGTTAGGAGACTACTGGAACAGTCCAGACTAGAGAAAATACGCTTCTAATAGAAACAAAAAAATGGACAGATAAAAGAGATACTGTGAAGGAAAAAAAAAACAAGCAGGACTTAGCAGGAAGGAAAGAGTCCAATGTTAGGAAAAAGGAAATGTGTCTCCTGAACAACTTACCTGAAAAATTCTGAAAGCTGAGTTTTACTCTACTGAGCTTTTGAGTACTCCATGAGAGCCATTAAGTACTAAAATGAGAATAAGTACTTCCCCAAAAGGTTTCTGTTTAGTAGTAATAAGCCAGCTAAGTAAAAAGCAGTACCTGAAAACAGTACTCTTTGTACAGACCCCTTTTTTTTTCCTGTGCATTTTCTAGGGAAATTTCCCTGGACGTCATCTCTTATATTTCCTGGAGACTACTCATTTACCCAAGTTTCCATTACATCTGCATCATGCACATTGCCACTGGGCTTGTGAGGGCTGGGATGGGATATTCTGCAGATAACTGGAAGGGCTCTTACCGGTTGCTCTGATGGGACACATCTCAGGGGCGACAGTGACCCCTGGAGACCAGCATCGGCCGGCATCACAGCAGCACTGCATTTTGGTTATGGACTGTGGCAGCTGGTTAGAGCAGCGCCCGTTTGTCAGAGCTGTGTAACAGTATCCTGGGCGAACATCTGAGGACAAAGAAACACATACACACACACACATCGCTGAGATAATACTTGTAACAACACTCCCCTGCCCGAGCAGCTCCATACTTCACACTGGGGCTACGGCAGGATTAACTCACACCTCTGCCCCCCGGAAGGGAAGCTGCGAGCGCTGCACAGGAACAGTGCTCAGTCAGAAATCCCTGGTCTCACACCTTTTGCCCCTGTGTGCTAGTGCACTTGGCTGAAGTCCCACATTCCATACCCAAGGTGGGAACGAGTGATTAAAACCATGTGTGCCATAGGAAAAGAGAGACTAAGAAAATCACTAGCAGTGACAGTTTATTATTTATAAAGACATGTCTCTATGCTGAAGAGAGACTGGGTTGTCCCTGGTTTCAAACTGCTTAATTCGAGCCATTTTAGGAAAATATGTAAATCTATTTTAAAACAACATTTAGTCTACATTTCTAAAAGATCTTTCTTATTTTCCAGTCTGCAACTGTGAGAGTCAGACATAAGTTTTTGTTGTTGTTGTTGTTATTTTTGAAGAATGAGTCACTTTGCATTTAGATCCAATGCTTATTAATCAAGATTTCCTTTTGTCTTAGGGCCCTAACAGATTTTATAAGGTACTAGTTATTTATAACTTCAAAATGGCCCTTGATTCCAAGTTCTTAGTCCTATAGGATACAATAGCTCTAGAAGGATTTTGTTGTTGTTTTTGGCAGAAAGTGTCTTCTCAAAGCAACATGGTAAGACGCATTTCTATATCACTTTTATTGGGTTACATCATGTCTAATTGTCATGACATCCGACACACTGCAGCGCAGCTCTGGGTTACGGAAAGAGTTTGTGGCATAGGAAAACCTAACTTCTCCATATGCCTTTGAGATATTACCACGAAACAGTGAAGGCAGGTAAGCAAAATGCAAAACACTTTTACTGCCTGACATGTGCTGAGGGTGTACCTCTCTTCAAGTAAACTATATCTCTACAGAGATCATATAAAATTAAATTTTGAAAAGCAAATAATATCGTCAATATGCTTGTTATTTAAAGCAGGGGTCTCTAACCCCCAGGGGCCCCAATCCCCAGTTCTGGTCTGTGGCGTGTTAGGAACTGGGCTGTACAGCAGGGGGTGAGCGGCAGGTGAATGAGTGAAGCTTCATCTGTATTTATAGCCACTCCCCATTGCTGGCATTACTGCCTGAGCCCTGCCTCTGTCAGATCAGTGGCAGCACTAGATTCTCATAGGATGGTGAACCCTATTGTGAACTGCGCATGCGAGGGTTCTAGGTTGTGTGTTCCCAATGAGAATCTAATGCCTGATGATCTGCCAATGTCTCCCATCACCCTCAGATGGGACCATCTAATTGCAGGAAAACAAGCTCAGGGCTTCCATTGATCTACATTATGGTGAGTTGTATAATTACTTCATTACATATTACAATTTAATATGTAATATTAACTTGTATTAATTAATTTAATACACTTTATTGTGTATAATAAATTAATATTGTGTATTAATTTAATTAATTTAATATAATACACTTTATTGTGTATAATAAAGTGCACAATAAATGTAATGTACTTGAATCATCCTGAAACCATCCTCTTCTCCCAGTCCATGGAAAAATTGTCTTCCACAAAACTAGTCCCTTGTGCCAAAAAGGTTGGGGACCACTGATTTAAAGGAATATAAGGGTTAAATCCTTTTGTAAAGCAAAGATCTTTCATAGCCAAAAATCCATCCCTGGGTTTCCTGTAAGTCTGAATATTAAATTTCAAGTTTTCTCAAAGAGGGTCATACCTGTAATTGTTATCATCTACATCATTCTTAAGAACACAAAGCCCTCATGTCTTGAGGTTTCAATAAATTAATAAAATGAAATAAAATAAAAACAAGGCTAATTTAGAAACATTTAAATTATTAACATCAAGTGAAGAAGACTAAAACCAACCTAGACAAACCATAAAAGAAAATTATGGGTCAGTTTTAAAGGATACAAGATTATTTCCGAAAAGTACTTAAAACCACTAGCCAGTATAAATGTGCTTTCCAGAATTTTTTTGTGGTTCCAGTTCCTGTACCTCTGGTCAGACTAATAGTTTCACCAAAGAGGCAGAACAAGTTTTATTCCAGCCTGGTCCAGGATAAACGGCTGGAGAGGGAGTATAGACAAGTATGCTCTCTGTGAAGCCTCAGGTGGTACCTCCCCCGTCAAGAGGGCAGAGAAATTGAACTTCCTACATTCTAATTTGTAATGCCTTAAAACCACTAATACTTTATATACTTGGGAATTAGTAAATATTTGGGGCATGGAAACCAAAGACTGTTCAGAATGGGAAGAGATATTCAAAACTGGCTTATATCCCAGCTTCAAATGAATTCGGTGGTCAAAACCCAGTGTAAACACTTGACCAAATTATGGAATTTGTACATATAATTTTCAGCATGGGCTATCTTTCAGAGCAAAACTAGGGCCTACAGTTGCCAATGACAAAAGCTTAATGGGCTAATGTCTATTATTTTGCAAATCAACTATGATACCATGTTATTGCCCATCTGGCTGACTTATATGTTAAATCAATGGATCACAAACTCTTGATCAAAATGGTGAATGTTGGGGGTAAAAAAAATTACAAATCAAGTTTGGGTTACTGGCAGTCCCTGATTTACAGATGGCACCTGCACATATAATAATAATTTTTCTAATTTATTTTTTTGCTGAAGAAGCACCTTTGTTAAAAATACACATTTATATAACTTATAATTTTAATGAAAACCTACAGGCTAATAAGTAAAGGAAGAAAAAACTGAAAATTGGAAACCATTTGGAGTAAATGACCTCCAGGACACAGCAGCCTGAAGTTTTTCACTTCGTTAGGCAGCAGTGCCACACCAAGGGTGGCTGGGGGGGGGGGGGAACCGTTGTGGTGGTATGTCACTTTGTACAGAGGGTAAGGGGTGGCTGTAGAATAACTTGAAGACCTTCAGGACTCAAGCTAAGGGGACATAAAGGGACACAGAAGGAACCACAAACACCTTCCATTTTAAATCTGCCCTGGCCAAGACATCTGGCGAAGAGGAGGAGGAAATCTCACTCTTTTCTCCCCTTTTGAATCACTTGGCCCTTATTCTCAGGACCCAGAAATCACATTATATCAAAGCAAATATATTATGGATTAAATAGGCGTTTGCAGGTCGTCTAGCCTGTCAACAGGCTTCTCCTAACCTGTCACGAACATGGTTGTGTACAACCAGGAGTTAGGAGTTGTGAGGCTCAAACTAGGGAAAGGACATCTTTATGACTCCTAGGAGTCGAAGAGAGAGAACACAACAATATAAAAAGACAACCCTACAGGCAATATTACAAATGCCACAGGAAGATCACAGAACAAGAAATAAAATAATACTAAAAGAGCTTAGAACACAAAGGGAGCTCGGGGCTGGGAGGTCTGAGAGTCTCAGAATGTGGTGGCAGCAGGTGACAGTTGGAATTTTACGGTTAGAAGAAATGTGCACGGAAGATACTGCATACCACTATCTACATAGGAGGTTTTCTATTGGTGAGACCTACTCATTCCAAACAACTGTCTTACGAACAAGCCTTGGATTTGTTTATACTGTCAGGGGCTATTTGTATTTTCTCATCACTACGGATAATTTTGGGGGTCTCTGTTGCTTACCATGGAGGGAAATAGGAGCACCAGAAGGCAGAAAGGTCACTTGGATCATTTTGTATGACAAGTGTCTAATTATGGGCACAACAGAGTTGCAAAGAAGAAACGGGGCTTGCCTAGGGATCTGGCAAGAAAGAGTGAACTGCATCCAGAGTTGAGGGGTAGAAGGCAAAATGAGGGAAATCTGGGCTGTGCACTCAGGTCACGGTGGAATCCCAGATCCCTCTCTCACTACCCACTTAAACTATTGGGCCATTATTTATCTAACCTCTCTCAATCTCAGCTGCTTCCCATCTACAATACTGCTGTGAAATGAACATCAAGTCAGATAATTTACATAAAACACCTCATACCCTGTGATCCATGAATCTTAGTTCCCTTCCATTCCTCCTTTGTAAAAAGTTAGTATGGATACATTTGATAAAAAGAAAGTAACTTTTAAAATGTGAACCATCTGATATGTAAATATGTCTTAATCCTCATGTAGTTTGAAGCTCTCTTAAAATCCTTAAATATCAGACTGTGCACTTTGGAACTTGAATTTTAATCTAGAACACTGCACTTTTAAAGAAGTCTTAACAATTATTAAATCCAGCAGCTGTCAAATCTATTTTTTTTTTTTTTCAGATGAAGTCTCGTTCTATCGCCCAGGCTGGAGTGCAGTGGCGTGATCTCAGCTCACTGGAACCTCCACGTCCTGGCTTCCAGTGATTCTCCTGCTTCAGCCTCCTGAGTAGCTGGGATTACAGGCACCCGCCACGACGCCTGGCAAATTTTTGTATTTTTAGTAGAGACAGGGTTTCACCATGTTGGCCAGGCTGGTCTTGAACTCCTGACCTGACTGAAGCAAACTGCCCGCCTCGGCCTCCCAAAGTGCTGGGATTAGAGGTGTGAGCTACTGCGCCCAGCCAAATCTATTTTTTAAACAATAGAACCCCTGATTTAATTGATACCTGACATGGAAGTCTAACACTCACAGCAGATAAAGTGAAATTGCTATGCCTAGAATGTGTGTGGGAGTGTGGGGGGACAAGAGCCCTTTCCACTCAGCTCTCTCCCTTTTCTCTGTGCCCTCCGCAATCCCTGCAGCCCTGGAGGGCTTTGAAACACTTGAAGGATCCACTGGACACAGACTGAAAACCACTAATTTCTAAGTCCTAATGGAAAACTACCGAGGGTTTGAGCAAGAGTGTTATTTAATCGAAGCACTATTTTAGGAAGATAAATCTGACAAGATGGATTGTAGAGAAGCCAAGAAGCAGGGAGACCAATTAAGAGATTATTGAAAAAATTCAGGCCAAATTAACATAGGTTCTGGGGAATGACTGAAGGTGGGGGTAAAAAGAGAGAGACACCTGGGATGGCTTCAAGGTTTAATGCTGCACGACTGCAACATTAATTAATAGACTGAAGATACCTGTAAGGTCTCCTGGATCATCCCTCTTTTATGGGAGGCAAAACGTCTCCAAAATGACCACAAGGTGCCTCTGTTCTTTAAGAGGGCAGTCAACTGTTTAACATTTTTCCAAAAATGTACATTTTACCTCAGTTGATAAATTATATGTGCTCCTTAACAAGCTTGTTTAGAAAGTTGTTTGTTATGGAACTGACTTACACAAACCATGCATGCTGTTTGTCATTAAACCTACCTATGCATCTGGTACCATCTGGAGAGGTGTAAAAACCAGGGGGACATTTGCAAAAGTAACTGCTGACTGTGTTTGTACATTCACCCCCTTCACAGATTCCAGGAATGGTGCTGCATTCATCAATATCTGGAATATAAAAAAAAGAATCTCAGCATTTGTAGAACACAATATAAAACCATTCGTCAGTAGAAGGACTCAGATGTTAACACTAGTCAAATCATGTCCCTGGAAACAGCCATCATTAAAAAGTAAAAACCGCATGGAGAACAGTCAATTCAAAGGTAGATGCTGCTTCTTTCAACACAGACTTACCCAAAAGATTTACCAAATTCAACAGATTAGGGCAAAATGAAATCACCCCCCTTTAAAATCTAAACCTGTGTACTGTTGTTTCACCAAGTAACTATAGCATGTTAATGTTACAAATGTCATTTATTTTAAAATTTTGTTTTCCTTTTGTTTCCATGTTTTGCATTAAGTTAAACTCTCCTACTAATTATTTTATATTCTGTATCACTTCTTGCGCTGCTTTTCAATCTATTTTCCACAACGCGGATACTGGAATCCTACAGAAGAGATCTTGTGGTCTGAGTGCTGATCCCAACTTGGCCAACTTGGTGTTCTCAGTGGCACCCAAACTACCATTATGATGGTCTTCTGTGGTTGGTGAATGAACTGTGATGGACACTGGGTGCCCTAACCAACGTCCCCTTCAAAGAGGGACTTGCTGCCCAGGAGGCTGGGAATACTGTCAACACACGGTCTTTGGCTCTCAGCCCCTTCTAAGATTGCCTGAGTCGCAGAGAGCCACCTCGCCCGAGGTCACACCCTTCCCAGGCACCCGACACCCAATAAGCAATTGTGAAGGAGGATCAAAGTCTGGTGCATCCTGCCCCAATGGGAGACAACACTGAAGGCCCCTCCGATTCCCCAATTCCTTCTGGGGCCAGTGGAGGCTGTTGATGGGCTGCACCCCAGCTTGCCTTCTCTGCACGCTCTTGCCTCTTCCTCTTCTCTTCTGCAGGTGTTGATCCCAAGGACATCCTCTAATAAACATCCTGAATGCTATGGAGGCCAAAGCTGGGGTTAGCCCTCAGGGCTTGACACCACTGGTTCCCATCAAGGAAGCAGTAAAATTCCCTTAGGACAAATATGGCCATTTCCTTCAAGGAGAGGTTTTCAATAGCCTGACCCACACACTGACAAATGTCAACAGATACGGCACCAGCAGAAGAAGAGAAAAAAATGACAGCTTCCTTCTTAGGCTAGAAGTAAACTCAGGGCACAGGGAATCTGCATGGCCTCCTCTCTGAGACCAGCAGAGCTTTCTGCACTGACCTTGGGAAAGGAGACATTTGAGCCAGGCCTCCTGGGAGTATTACAATGGCCAGGCTGACACCGTTAAAACTGGGAAAGGCTTACAACCCCCAATAAGAACATTTATTCTACAGGCTAAGTACTCTCTTCATTTATAAGACAAAATAGAGTTCTAAGTGAACCAGATTCAAGTATCTTCTGACTCAAGTTCACCTTGTTAGTAAAAAAGGCAGCAATGACAGTGTTTACATGCAGTTTAACCTTTTTAAAACCAAAATCACCATTCTTCCATGCTAGGCTAGAGGCTAAACCAAACAATATTTCACTGCTTATATTAGAGTCAATGCTAACATAAACAGCACTGTCATTGCAAAATTATGTAACGGTAAAGGTGCATATTCTATTCTGACAGATAGAAATTTCATTAGAGTCTGTGAAAGGGTCAGGTAGAGAAACTGCCAAGGGCAGACAGAGCCTAGGGTTACCCACGTAATATCTCAAGGCAGCCACACTTCTACTTAACACAAACAAAAAGCAAGTATGTCAAAGAGCCTACAGGATTCAAAGCTTCATTTAAGGATAGAGGAAGCTATAATTGTAATTAAGAAGAATGTACCTTTTTCAAAGTGTCCCTAAAAGTTAGTATCTGAGTCCTACAACACCTGCCAAAGATCGCATGAGGAGACAATGTGGTATTAAATATTTTTTCTCAACCCATTAATATAAATGACAGCTACCATTCTTATTAAGGCCACTTAGCGTACATCAATATCTAAAAGGTTTAAATGACAGCCCATGTCAGAAAAATTTGTTTAAACAATAGAATTAACATTGGCAGAATGGGGGAAACATCTTTTCCATGCTGGCTGAGTGAGATTTGGGCCCTTTATTGAAGATAACAATAACAAGAACAATAATGATGAGAGTTTGCATGTGCTGAGTGCTAGACATAGTCAAAATGCTTTATGTGTACCCAATCATCTAATCCTTATAATGCAGGTAGGACTGTGGGCCTGATTCTATACCTCTGGTGCCCAGGTACGCCTCTTGCATTACACTGAGGCCTTCAGAAAACTGACATGAATCAAACCTGAAATAAGAGCAAAGAGGCCCATCATTTATAAAGTGAGGCTAAACCCAAGTCTCCAACTGGCAGGGGTTTTTAGGGTGGGTGTGGGGAGTTTCCACCTAGGTACATGCCTTTGAAAGCCAGCAGGTCAGGAAATATGTCATAGTGCACACCTCCCTGAGTTCACATAGATTAAGATAAAATGGGACTAGGCCAAATTGTTACATTTGAAAGAGCTTAAACGACTTCAAATTCCCCTTAATATGTCCCCTTCTCAGTGACACACCCTTTTGCCTTCAGGTGTCTAGTGCCTTTCCCCTTTCCTAAACCACCTTGTTTCTCAGTGGCATGGCTTCGTAACAAATAAAAGCAAGAGTTCTATCTATTACCAGGCTGTGGTGGAAAGTTCCCGACAGCAAAGGCCAGAATAAGGTGTTTGAATAGGATTGACTCACACTCTGAAACTCATTCATATGAATTTATTATTTCTCCAAGTTCTTCCCACTCTGTGTTCATCTCCTTTTAATTGAATTTGAGGCATCCCAAGTTAAGAGGGAATTTGAGAACGGTCACTTTCTCAGTTTCTATAAATCAGGCTGTGTCAAATGCCAGCCATGAAAGCAAACCAGGTGGGGACGCTTGCTGGGGAGTGGTGCTTGGCTGGGAAGAGCTATTTCCGTGCTCTGGACATTTCTCCCTGCTTCCTTGAGGCAGAAAAGGAGGCAGAGCTGCTGGGGAGTAGCTGTCCCATGGTAGCTGTCCATGACCCCACTGGCTTCTTGCTGTGACCTTAAGAAGAGTCACAAATGGCAGATCTCTTCCTTCCTTATTCGCCACCTGTCCTTTGTTTCTGCTCCTTCCCATCCTTCAGTCTCATCTGTTCTCCCAGAGCATTCTTCCCATGCCTAAGCCCCTTCATCCTAGGGCTCCTCTGGCAGAATGGGAGGAAAGAGTGTGGAGGGCAGATGGATGGAGCTTGGTGTCTGTTCTGGGACAGGCATCACCATCTATTACTTGGCTATCTAGAAGCTCCATCCAAGATTGTGGACTTGACAAGAGAAACCTGATCCTGACAGTTAACCTGATCCTGACTGCCTAGATACTAATACAATGAGAGAAAAAAACTAAAAACTGTGGCAGCTGTTTAAAAGTAACATGTGACACACTAATGATCATGAATGCCACTGAGCCTGTGAGCTTAACTTTGATTGTACAAACTCAACCCAGTGTAAAATGTATCACTAAAAACTAAACAAGCTGACTCTTCATGTTGACAAAAACGTCAGCCATACTATTTTATAGTCACATCACGTACGCCAGCTTTTATCCATGCTGCATCCGCCGCCCGATCACAACTTGAAAATGGAGTCTGAATTCTTATCCATGCTGCATCCGCCGCCCGATCACAACTTGAAAATGGAGTCTGAATTCTTATCCATGCTGCATCCGCCGCCCGATCACAACTTGAAAATGGAGTCTGAATTCTTATCCATGCTGCATCCGCCGCCCGATCACAACTTGAAAATGGAGTCTGAATTCTTATCCATGCTGCATCCGCCGCCCGATCACAACTTGAAAATGGAGTCTGAATTCTTATCCATGCTGCATCCGCCGCATCACAACTTGAAAATGGAGTCTGAATTCTTATCCATGCTGCATCCGCCGCCTCATCACAACTTGAAAATGGAGTCTGAATTCTTATCCATGCTGCATCCGCCGCCTGATCACAACTTGAAAATGGAGTCTGAATTCTTATCCATGCTGCATCCGCCGCCTGATCACAACTTGAAAATGGAGTCTGAATTCTTATTCATGCTGCATCCGCCGCCCGATCACAACTTGAAAATGGAGTCTGAATTCTGGAACTGGAAAGAACCCCCACATAGCATCTTGTTCAACCCCCTCATTTGAAAGCTGAAGTAACTCAGAGATGGTAATTGACTTATCTAAGATCACACAAAGCATTAGGGACTTGACCACGGGGCATCAAGGACGGGAGCCAGGCCTGCCTTATTTCCAGGGCTCTTTGACCTTCACCGCAGAGATTTTTTTTTTTTTCAACTAATTGTATAGAGAGAGCCAGTTACCTTGAACAGTGAAAGTCTAGGGCCTGCAAACAGCTGAAAGAGGATGGAGCCCCATCTATGGTAGTGGGTTAAGCCGCCCCGGGAATTCTCCTTAGCTCCTGAGAGGATAAGAGCCCCTAACAGTAAGTAGCCATGAGATAAATATGCTATTATTTTGGAAAGGGGAAGTCCTGAGGTTTTTGGCTCACATATTATGGAGTGCATGGATTTAAAAGCTACACTTTTAAAAAGGTCCTGTGCATCATGCAGTGCTATTATAATTGCTAAAGGCTGGGCTGGCGATAATCTAAATCCCAAAATATTAGTGGTTAATTAGGAATCCAACGGACTTCTTCCAGAAATAAAACTTAATCCCTTAATTACGCTTTTTATTTCTTAATTTCCTCCCATAGTAACCTATGCAAATATGGACTTGGTTTCCAAAGAAAAATGTTCATGTGTTCTTTCAGCATGCGTACTCTACAGTCATTGGAAAGATCAACAAAGAAGGTGGGCATGAACTCTTTCCTTTTTTCTCAAATCACAGCTATAAATCTCAATCTTTTCCTTCTTAAATGTATGAAAATTTAATAATTGTTATTTAAATCCCTTCAACTTGTTAATTTACATTTCAAAATGTCCTCCAATTATATGTATTTATAAAACACTTTTCCGTAACATTTCTTTTTTTTTTAGTTTTTGGAAAGAGGGACATTTTAGGAAGGAAGTGAGAATTCTGCAAGAGGAAGATCTCATGGAAAGCAACTCGAATAATGGCATTCTCAGATCTGAGAGCGTGAGGGTTAGCATCTTGTGAATTTGCTAAAGCCAATTTGATGGAATTGGTTTTTCTTGAAAAAATTCTATGAAAAGTACTCAATTCCTTCCCCTCCAAGTCTAAAGGAAGCTACCTTTAAAAAGCCACTCAAAGCAATGGCAAAGGTACCAGGACATTTTCACAAGGGCACAGAACCCCATGGTTATACTCATCATCTTTCTAGGGAACATATTCAGTGATTACGGGCCAGACTTCCTGGGTTCCCTCTATTGGCCATCTAGACACCAGCCGATGCCCAGAGTTATGCCATTTCCACAGTGAGACACTGTAACCGGAAAAGAGCAAGGACGTCGAAAAAGTGAACCCGGCTTGCCAAGAGCTCTCAGGGTACTTCCTGATTACTTTCTTACCAGAGTAAGACAGGTCAACCCTGTTCACACCAGTCTCCAGGCCAGAGAATGTATAGCACTAACAGGACATTCTCCTCTAGTATCAATTTTGCATTGATACTAGAAGGAAAAGAAGGAAAAAACCATTATCTAAATTAATGTAATAGTAGATGGCAAAGGAAAAAAAAATCTAGCCAAAATAGTCTGTTTTTATCTTGCTGCTGACTTTCACATGTAGCTGGAAAATTTTTGTGTGTGGAAAAGGATTAAGTAATAGACTGAGTTTTTGGTCCACTGGATACACCACCATAATAGGTTTCTTAGCATCAATAAAAAGATTCGAATGATTTTTCTTTCAGTCTGAGCATTAAATTAGAATCTTCTGTCTAGTCCACATCCATAGACCATTCCTGTTAATTGACTTGTCTGAATGAAAAGCAAGAGACAAAATCAATTCTACTCAGGCTGGAAGCCATCATAATTTCAGAAAACAAAACACAGACTGGACAAGTCATAAGGACTATACTCCCCTCAATCTTGAAGCTGATTATATATTCTGAAGCTGAATATATTAAACTGAGAAAGCCTAAAAGATAAAACACAACCTATCGTTGATGTAGGTTTTGCATGTGATAAACTTTAATGGCTTGTTAAGTTAATGTCATATATATATGTGTGTGTGTATATAGATATATGTGTGTCTATATAAAGATATGTGTGTGTGTATATGTGTGTGTGTGTGTATATATATATGTGTATGTGTGTGTGTGTGTGTATATGGCCCGAAAATCTATTCCAGAATAATAACTTTCATCTAGGAAAGAGGACAATGTAATATGGCTCAGCAAGCACCAGAGTGTGAGTTAAAGAGGTAAATTTGAGCAGTCTTGTCTGAATGGCCTCAGACAGGGTACTTAATACACCCAAGACACCATTCCTTAATATATAATGTAGAGTGTGGAAATAGCTGAGTTCTTTGCCCCTTTCAGTGCCAACATTCTCTGCTTCAAATTTAGATCTACAGTACAACTTCTAAAATACATTGGCCTATCAAGAGTCAACTTTATTGTTCTTTGAAACTTAAAATGTTTTTTTAAGAAGTCTTTAGAAAGAACTATTTTTTCACAACTACCCCGAATAACTATGTATAACATGTTCAAGAATGCAGTATCAATTATAAATTCAATGATGATTTATAACCTAAAAACAATTCCAACTCATAAAGATAGTTCTATCAGAGTTAGATTATTCAGTTTCAGGGCAAGTAGATATTAAATGTCTTACATGTAACTTATGAATTGCACCTTAAATTTAAAGCTGTCTTTTGCTCATCTGATATACAGTGGCAACTGACAAGGTTAATTATCCAGCCCAGACAAATAACTTAGAATGTACTCACTGTTAGAGTCTAGGGGCATAAATATAACAGCATCTGTTTTCAATAAAAATGCATCCATCTAAGTGAAACCTCAAGGTGGGGTGAGTTGAGGATGAAGGAAAAAGTTTTCTCTTCTGATCTTGATGAGAGATGTAGCCCTGAGAATGCTGTTACACTATTGTTGGACATTACTATATATAAGTTACATGCACTCATCAAAGAAAAGAGAGTCCAATGCTGCCTACATATTTTCTAGATGCTCCCCTCTCACGAAGAAATTATGACTGTAATTGGAAGTCAGGCCTCATTTCGGCAAAGAGCAGTAGCAGTAGTGGTGACTATAAACACATCCTCTGTATATATATTTGTAGAAGTTCAATCTATAAACTAAATGTAAATATAAAAATTATCTCAAATTACTTTTCTGTTTGACTAACATTAAAAGCTTTTCATTTGATAGGCAATTACCATCCCCCAGAAAAGAAAATCATGAGCATGTACTAGGAGCATAAATATAAGGGTTAATAGATCAATCTGCCTCCCCACACACAAAATCAAACATACCTTTTAACTAGAAAAACTTCGGAAGATATATTATTCTGAATGATATCTAATGACCAAATTTAAATTCATGTCTCTAGAACTATGCAAAAACATGTGTGTTGAACATTTTAAACCAAATGTTGGTTCAAAAATATTTCATGTTTTTAATATTTAATTTGATTCAGATGGACCTCTTGTTTTGGGTCTATAAAAGTGGAAAAAGCTACAGGGTTTTTCTGGTCCAATAGCACAAAGGCATATTATTACTGTTAAAAATATTATATTTACACATTCACAGGGATGACAAAGACAGAAGGATTTAGGAATAATTTGCAAACAAGCTTGTTTCTAATGTTGAGTTTTGCCTGCCCCCACTACACCCCCCAACTGCAAAGCATAAGATTTCTTACCTTCACATTTTTGTGACACTTCATTAAGTTTGTGTCCAGCAGGGCATTTGCACTCAAAAGACCCAACAGTATTAATGCAATTTCCTCCCTGACAGAGCCCGGGGATGGCCTGGCATTCATCCACATCTGTCAGATTACAGAAGACAGAGAGAAAAAAAAAAAACTCATATGAAATTCATTGCAGAATAAAATGTGATAATTTGTCCACAATTATGTTACCATATTTATATCGGTGAGTTATTTGTCCATCACAATATTTGGAATATGATTAGAGAAACTGTTTCTCACAATTGCATTATGTAAAATACATCGTTTGATTAATAATGTTCCATAAGAAGTCACAAGTATTTTTTGTTTTCCCACCTTCCATGTTTCCTAATGTAGAGGAGAGTGCATTAACTTTTGCGGGTTTTAGCACATATGCAGCAAAGTATAAAGATACGTTTAAAAGGCCATTATTCACGGCCTCATTTTTATCTCCAGATTGGTAGTAATAATCAGAGTTATTCAAAAAATCTTGCAAATCAAAATGCAATACATTTCTACAATGAAACTACCTTTAAGAGTTGTACTGAGTGATTTAGTTAAAACGGAATTTATTGAAGGTCACTCAGACTACACGAGACAGCTAATGTTTTTGCGCAAATGAAGTGGAAATGTTCACTTCACATTCTGGAGAAGTGCCTTGCACAGTAAAAATTAAACAACTCAGAAAATTAGGCCAAGAAGTGAGAGAGATTGTTAGGTGAGTGAGTGTGTAGTTTCAGCTGCAGACTTACCTTGCTGGCACAGTGGCCACCAGAAGCCACTTTTGTAAATGTCAGTGAGATCATGTCTTTCCCCAGCTCAACGTGCAAGTGTGTACTATGTCCTGGGGAGTTCGACATGACTTCTCTGATCTTTTACCCATTTTCCACCCTCCTATCTCTCCCACCACACTGGATTCCTCAAATATGCCAAGGATGCACCTGCCACAGAGCTCTGTAAGGCTGCCCCTCTGCCCGGAATAGTCTTCCTCCAGAGAGCTGCATGGCCCACGATGTCTCATCCTCCAGGTCTGTGCTCCAATGCCACTTTAGCCACGAGCCCTTCCCTTGACAGTCCAACAGCAACACCTGGCTGCTGGCTCTAATCATCCTTCCTTCCCTGTTTATTTTTTTCCACAGGACTAACCACCCACTGACCTAATACATGCCTGTTTGTTTTATTTAATAAATTGAATGTCTTCAAAATGTCTTCAATATAAGCTTCCAGAAAGCAGGGACTTTGTCCATTTTCTTCACTGTTGTATAACCAGCACCTAAGGACTAACTTGGGTTCTTATGTGTAAGCCCAAATATTAACCTTCCAGGAGCAAAATTAATCATTTCAGGCTCACTACTTTTGTTATAAAGATTATAAAGTACATGTACATTCTCTCCATCTCTTTGTTCATAACAGAAAAGTCTGATTTAATAAAGAATCCCCAAGCAAACAGTCTAATGTATTCTTTTTGAAACCTGGAAGCTTAATGTGCTCTTTAGTTTCACTCTTCATTGAGTAAAGAAAAAAGTGATTGCTGTTTATAAGATCTCAACCTGTGTTCTTGAGAAAAGTCAGCATGCAGTAAAAGGGATATTAAAGAAACAACAATTTAGTTTATTATAAAAGTATCACTTACTGTTTTAAATGAAATATCTTAACCCACAGATACATGATTATATGTGGAAAATCATTAAATTATGTTTTCTAGCCAATTTCAGTTTTGTCTTAGACCAGAATTTTCCATTCTCTTGATGTGTTGAATGTATTTTTTAAAATGTTTTTGAAAATCAAGATTTTTACATATAGGCAGAACTAGCTGTCTTGTTGATCATGATTTCTGGCCAACAGAAAATATAGACAAGGCAATTCTCCACTGGCTGTATACTCCAGGTCTGAAGACAGAATAAGCTCCTTTATGAACCCATTTGCCCACAGCCCCTCACATCTGACCCAAGGACTGGAAACACCAGCAAGGAGCAAGAGCCACAACCTGGTGGCAGAATCTCTTAGAAAAAACAACAACAACAACAACAACAACAACCAAACATGAAGAATTTCACTCTCAAAATAGCAATATAACTGCCATTGTGATTCAATGGGTTTTCAAAACTTTTCTTATAAAAAACATTTTTTTTCTTGGATGTTGAATAGCAGAGTTAGAAAGAAACAGGAAGCAAATGCTGGAAAGATCCAGATTTATGAAACGAATAGCAAAGCTAAAGAGAAGGCAGTTCATTATCCCCACCCCCCCAATTCCATTAGCACCCTAACCTCTGACAATGGGTCACTGATGGGCAGCTGAGGCAGTTAAAAGTCTAGCTCTCTGGTCACTGTCAACAAGTTCATGGGTATTAGCTAACTTTGTAATCCCAAGATGAACAAATTCTTCAAAACTCACTGGGATTTTCTAAAAACGGGAAAAATAAGAAGGCACCAAAAAACAACTAAACTTTTGTAAAATACTACAATCCATCCCTTGATAATTTTAGAGTTTCAAGGTGACTTATTTCTTCTCCTGACATTCAGAGGGATACATTTAAGGGCATCCAAAGGAGCTGTATGTTGTACATGGGAGCTGAAGGCCAGGAATGACAATATCAGAAGTGGAATTTATTGAAGTGGAATGTAATGGAGACCCACAAAACTGTGTGACTAAGCTCAAGTTCTGTTTTATTGCACATTACCCTTAGAATTAACATACAAAACAACGCCAAAGTATTATCTATTTGCCTCAGAAAAGCATATCCTGAAGTTTCTGAAAATATTGCAACTTGCTATAAAAAGTCCTGAGGCTGTCTAAAGGAAACAGATACAGGCTGAGAGTTTTCAATCCCATCAGTTTAGTGTGGAGCTGCCTCTGTTCACTTCCTCCTGTTTCCTGCCAGACATCCAGACAATAAAAGAATTTGTACAGCTGGAAGAACAGGAGTAAAAGCCAAAAACAGAGTAAGGGCTTCTACGGGAGGCAGGAGAAGCAGCTAGCAGGCGACATCTGGGGATATTTAAAACTGTGAAACAAATCCTAATTTATTTTGGACTTGTAAAAAAATGCAAAATGTAGCATGCAAAATGTCGAGAGAAACAATTTTCTTCAGGTCAATTAAGCACAACCCATGAGAGAGGAACTCAACAGTTTCAAATGAAGAAAAAAAATTAAGAAAAACATAAACTACCTTGTTCACAAACCTTGCTTTGTGTTTCTACACAGCACTGCCATAATGCACTGCATCGCTGTAAACAGAATCACACCACCCCTGGAGTCAGAGGTACATACAAACACCTCTGGGGTCAGAAAGGGGGAATGGTTGGCAAGAAAACATTCAGTAAGACTTCAGCTGCTCTCTCGAGAGCCACGTTCCTAATGCCTTAGTTGGATATCATGCAGTCAGCGAAATTGTGAAGTTATGTAGCTGACACTACTTTTCCATTCTCTTCAACTTCATTGGAGAATGGCTCTCCAGAGCAAATAAGATTAATCCATTAATAATTCCATCAGCCCGGGTTTACCTTGACAAGCTCCCGTGCGGATATTTGGAATGAAGCCACGGCGGCAGGGGTGAGGCTGGGCAGGACACATCTCACAGGGGTGGCCCCAGGCTCGGCCGACTGTGGCACAGCAGAGCGTTTTTGTGCAGACAATCCCGCTGAGTTGTCCCTGGCACATCTGGTTGCTGATCACAGTAAAACATGGGCCTGTCCTGTAATCTGAAAATAAAGAATAAAAATCTGATGAAAATCCAGAAAAGCAGGAACCATCATGCAGAGGAACAGCTGTGCTCCATCTTGCTTGACTCCAAATTGAGAAATGAATTTCAGGGACAGAATCATGCATCACTGTCCCTGTGTAAGGCCTTGGATAGACCATTCTACTTCTGAACCCGATTTCCTAACCTACAAAATAGGGATGAAAACATCAGTTGTTACCCACTTTGAAAACGGCATTGTGAGGATCAGGCGAGCTAATGGAAAACTCTTTACAACTGTGAATTGCTATACAAATGTAACATGGTAATATTATTATCCACTCATTACTTAAGAAAATATATCAGTGCCTACACTGAATCAGCTCCTATGCCTGATACAGATGCTTCAGTGACTAAAAGAGGCCAAATCCCTGACCTCACAGAGCTTCCAGTCTATTGTTATTTAGGGCTGAGAAAGCAAAGAATTTTGAAGCTTGCAGTGAGGCAAGTCATGGCACCTTCTTCCTGGGAGTTCCTTCAATAAAAGAAATGGTTATCTGTTTCTTTTGAGTTGGGGTCATCTTATTTCAAATACAAAACAAGCAAACCAACAAACAAGAATTTAAAATTTTGTCCATGCAAAACACATTAGGTTTTAATATAAAGAGTGAGGACACTGGTCTGAAATCATTGTAACCCCTAGGCAAAAGGACCATCTTAAAGCAAAACAGGGATAAGCTAAGTCCACAAGAGAATTTCCAATCAGAGCAGTCTACCACCAGCTATAAGATCTGCCTCTTTTTTTTTTTTCCTACAGAGAGAGAGCCAACAACAAATAAGAAAGATAAAGACGTAGTGAGCACAGAGGACCAAACCCAGGTTGTCCCCTTGTGAGAGAAATCAGGGCCATAATATCCATTTCCGTGGTTCTACAATGACCTTGACAGACAAGGGAGGCTGGGCTGGGGTAAGACTCATGGGCTTCTATCCACAAACCAACATTTGCATGCTTCCAGGTCATTTTCAGAAGTGTTTAGGTGCAGTGATCCCTGTGAGTCTAAAAATGGACTCAATGACCCCAGTAAGTTCCTTTCACCTGTGAACGCAACAGTTTTATGAAAATCACTGGCTGTGCTAATGAAACTACTGGGATGCTTTCATTATTTTCTTCTTTCTTTAAGTAGCTCATAGGACATCGCAGACATGCTATTTACTAAGGAAAAAAGGACAACTTTTCATTACAGTACCAGCAAGAGTCAACATTCTGGATCGTAACAATGTTTTGGCAATAGCTGAATCTTATCTGCTGGCATCCCTCTATCCTGTGTGTTCTCTCTTGCTTTCTTTTTCTTGCATCTCCACTCCAACCCCTCCCTTGGAATTTCAACTCCATCTGCTCCCCATCACTACGTGCTCTTCCTCCCTCTCCTCTGCTATCTGCAATGAACCACCTCTGTTCAATGGTGTTGCAGAAACAGCACTGCTCTGATGCCCATGCTGTAAGATCAACCTTCTGAAGAATTCCAAAAACAAAACTCCATGCCAGTCATATATGTAAAGAAGACTACCATATCCAAGCTATGGCAGCACTGGAGAGACAGACAGGATGGTCCAAATGCCGAGTCCCCAGTTCCCCAGCTCCCTCCCTCCATGCCAGTGTTATGTCCCACTCACAGGATGCAAGATAATTTTAGATTTTAGTAGTCACATATTAATTTTAATGTGTATTATGAAACAGCATAAATATATCAGACTCATGATTTCACAGTTATGTCTGCTATGAGGATGATGAATTGAAAAACCTTTTAATTCAATTTTTTAAAAATATTAAATACTAGTACAGGTGATATGCAAACAGGTCAAAAATTGTGTGAGTGATATCTACATGCAACCAGACTCACCATGCCAAAAGACAAGCCTAAGACCTCTGTGTCCCTCTTCTCTGCATGATATAGCCCCACCCACCTTTCCAGCCCTGTCTCCTGACACTTTCTCTGTTTATCATTTGTCTTTTTTTTTTTACTTTGTTTATGCATTTCTTACTCTACTGTTTTTTTAGTTTTATATAGTCAAGCTGTAGGTATAGTTTAATATTTTACATTGTATGCCAGATTTATTCAAAACCTGCTATCTTCTTCCACAGATACTGAATTCAAACAAAAATATAAACAAGTATTAAATACTGAGCTGTTGAATAAATCTCAGCCCTCATTTCGTTCTTTCGATGAAGAAAAAGTCACTCAGCACTGCAGTAATTTGGAACAAAATCTCTTTAAAATGCAGGAACTATGTGGACAAAGTGAAATACCAAAGTCATCTTTATTTTTTTGGCTCAATTCTCCCAAACAAATACCTATAGGGATTTAATAAATACATCTTTGCTGTTTGGTCTTTCCTTTCTATTTCAATATTTTATTATGTATTTTAATTCAAAATTAAGTAATTACTTTAGACAATTGAGAAAAGGCAGTAGCATATAAACAAATGTAATTACACCTAAAGAAACCCTTGATAACGTATTGATTATATTATCGTACGTAAGATTTTGTGTGTATGCATGTGTGTGTTTTATTTTTTTAATCATAAAATAAGGATTATACTAAAAATATACTTTTGAATCCTGCTGGATTTTCTTCACTTAACATTGCCAAAGCTTTTTCCCATGTAATAAATGCTATTCTACAATATGATTTTAATTGCTGCATAATTTTCCATCAAGTTATAACAGAATGTGTTCAGTAATTTTCTTACTGTCTATCATTTAAATTGCCTCTAATTCTTCATTATTACACATAGCATTCAGTGTACATTACAATGAATCCTTTTCAGGATAAAAACAGTCATCAAGATTTTTATGACTATATATATCCTACATCTGAGACTAGAAAGATCACAGCAGTGTAATCTTTTATTTAAAAAATAAATAAAACTCTCCATGTTAGGTAACAAGAAAGAGAATTTAGGCTTGTTTCTTTCTGTTAATTTACTGAGACAAGTGCAAATGCTTTAATCAAACAGATTCAGGTTAGCTTGCCATATTCAATCCTTTTTAAAAAGCATAACGCAACATGAATTTTAATTTATAATCCTCTCTTCAACACTGTTGGGATTTGTTTTTCCACCTCCTCTTGCCAAGATACTCTATGGAATTATCTTATATATGAGGATTGCCAAGGTTCAGGATAGATACAAATATGGTGTTTTGTGAGTGACACCAGCAAAATCCAGACACTCTACAAAATGCTAATACAAATCTGATTCAGTTCTGTCTGCCACTGATTCATAACTTCACATGTGAATTTCTCATTGGAAGATCTTCATTAAAAAAAAAAACCCCTTAAGACTTTTCCAGGGTCAATAACGTATTATTCTTATTTCAATATGAAATACATAGAATCGAGATGGTAGTTGTTAATTCTGACAATCTATATTAGGCATCCCAACAGTCCACAGGGATCCAATTTATTAAGTATACTATATATTTGGCGAATACTTTATGTAGAATAGAAACTATGGACTTAGTACATTTCTGTGCTAGATATTTATCACTATAGACAAAGTTATTTTGGAAACAAATTCAAACTGGCTTATTTGACAGTACAGATTAGCAAGTGGATATAAATGTATTTGTAGATCCATATTTTAAACAAAAATTGCTGATTGTAGAGGGAGAGGCATAATCTGGATGAAATAAAATTGGATCTAAAAATGTCTTGGAAGGTAAATGCTGTATTAACATGGTTTTCAAATGTCATTCCGATTTGGCGGCATGTGCTTTTCGTCCTGTACTTCATTTAGATTGCCAAGGTTATGCTGTTTTTAGTCCAATACTCCAACCGCAGAAAGAAATCTGCCCACACTCCCAATTCCTTACTAATAATCCAATTATTTACAATTATTCCCATAGCACTTACATGATATTAAGCTAAATTTACATACTCTTTTTTTTTTTTTTTTCAGATAGTCTCAGCATTAGACAGGGAGTGTGCTTAACTCAAAGCTTGTGTAACGTCTGACTCATTCCTGGCTTCA
The DNA here is from genome assembly GCF_000001405.40 of Homo sapiens. Taxonomy (NCBI): domain Eukaryota; kingdom Metazoa; phylum Chordata; class Mammalia; order Primates; family Hominidae; genus Homo; species Homo sapiens. The sequence continues at coordinate 48,541,819 of NC_000015.10, forward strand.
GTGTAAATCATTATTCCTAATGCAACTAAAATATAGTATTAGAAATGCTTTCTATTTGCAAATTGCTCTACAATCACTTCCTTATAAGACCTTCATGAACTAGGGCAACAGGCCAAGTCTTTCCAAAATTAAAGTGCGACTCTAATTGTTTTTAACTGGCTTACTCCAGTGTGGCTGGTTCATGGGAAATTCTGCATCTCCATGTTCCCATTCTGAGTGGTTAGCTCAAGGATTGCTCTCCAGTCCCGTTAGATTTGGCCTCAAGGCTTGGGCTCTGACCAACATGTGTCTGCAGCCTCTGATCCTCAGCTCATGCCCAGCTCTGCAGCTCAGAATGCTGTGGTCTACAGCATTATTTCACTTTCATTTGTAATCAGACTTCACCCCGAAGCAAATGCATCGTTTACAGGGAAAGAATATTCTGTGGTACAATGAATTCTCGTCCCTCCTGCCCAGTCACTAAACCACAAACTGCAGGGAAGGCACAAGGATATAATTTTGGGCACTAGGCTCCAATTATTTTAAATCCTTCTTTTCATAAAAATGACAAACAAAAGAATGAGATATCAATTTATCCATGACATAGAGGGTCACAGCACACTTATTTCTCCCAGGTAGGTTGGCCTGGGGAACATTAGGCTCCTAATGTGTGGAATTTCAATACAACTTTCTGAGGAAGGAGTTCAGAGAACTTTTAGTCTAAGGAAAATTAAAGTTAAGAAGTTCCATTATCATAATCAGCCTCCTAACTGCTGTTACTTCTTCTTACTGCAATCATTCTTAACCTTAGGACATAATAGAATCACTTGGGGGAGCTTTTGTAAAATGCTGATGCCTGGGTCCCACCCTGTCCTCCCCCAGTTTTCCCCATGGAACCCGATTCAGTAGATGTGGCATGGGGCCCAGGCATATACGTCTTGCAAAAGCTCCCCAAGATTATTTCTGCCCTCTAGGACTCTAAGATGTGTGTGTGTGTGTGTGTGTGTGTGTGTGTGTGTGTGTGTGTGTGTGTATTTTTTTTCCTTCTTTCTCTTTTCCTTTAATGAAGAGTACTCGTGTGCCATGATTAATTGGAGATCTCTGCAAGATAACAACTACTTATCTGAAAGTCTAACTTTAGGAACATAAGCCAGCCCATAAACTGGCATCACTGCCACTCGACATAACCCAGTATTTCTCAACTAGGACTGACATCCTAATCATGGCAAAATACTATTCATTTCCACAGTGCTGCACTGATTATGAGGCACTTTATTATGTTCTTTACTAATTATATTATAGTTAATTATACTAACTACCAGCTCATCAAAGCAAACAACAAAGTCAAAATTTAGGAAGGTTGATCATCCACTACTGCAGTGTCCTAATAGTTAGTAGAATTCCCATTTCCAGTCTCTTTCCTTCTAGTTTTACAAAGCACACTGATATACATGATCTCATGCCGCTGTCAGGAACTCTCACATCCAACCCCTACCCACTGCTGCAGCTTGTATCTGAGTGGAATTCCAGGGGCATTCTCCAATTGGGGCCCAAATACAAGGCCTATTTAGCATCAGTAACACCAAAAGTCAACTCTTGATTCATTCCAGAATTGCACTATCACGGAGATCGTCTGAAATTCTTCCGGGACTCCTGATTTTATAAAATATAAAGTAGTGCACATTATCTATGAAGTTTCTTGTCAAAAAGTGTCAAGGCTTAATCTAATCAAACTTCCACACCAAACTTCTAGCTGAAAGGGAATATAGGGATAGAGGAACAAGGTAAATTACACCACAAGGAAACAACCAGAAAACTCAGAACATGTGATATTTTCTAAGGCAATTGTCTAGAACTTTTCCAAAAGCAAATTACTTTCTCTTCACCAAAAGAAGTACAGAGATTATTTTAGATTAAAAATCATAATAATCAAAACTCAACTGGATACTGTTTCTAAAAGAGACAATTTCAGAAATCTTATGTGGACTACATACTACATGACACTGCAGAATTGTTGTTTTTCTAGGTGTGATAACGGTATTGTGGTTACATACAAGAATGTCCTTAGTGCTTAGAGGTGACGTCTCATGATGTATGCAACTTAACTTTCAAATAATTCAGCAATGTAAATAAATAATAAATACATATTTTAATATATATTTTACATATTCTATATACACATATATACATACATATGTGTACATACACATAGAGAGCTATTATGTGTATAAAAGTGGGAACAATTATTCAATATAAGTGGAAAGTATATGTGTATACTTTATATTATTCCTTCAACTTTAAGTTTGAAATTTTTTATAATAAAATTTCAGGGGAAAGAAATTCCTTTCAGGCCTACTTTTACTATGCAATGTTGCTTCTCCCATCTTATTTAAGCTACATGGCATTTTTAAAATGACACAATAAGGTTTGAATATACTTTCCAATCCATGCATTTATATAAAATACTGCACACAAGATTACCTATTTAACATGGTCTATACAGTGTTATTAAAAGAATACAACCTTTTGGCAAAATTTACCAAACTGTATTATGCAAAATGTTTACCTTTAACAAACTGCTTCTGAGGTATGGCTTAATTGTAACTAAATGTTTTTAAAAAGCACTTTAGAAATAAACCATATAGGAAAAAAACAAAACCATTTCTACATTAGTATTTTCCCTGATTTTATTTTCTTTATTCCATAAATGAAAAGTATTACCACTATGACTTAAATGTAAATGTCATTCAAAACTGCAGAAACAAGGTGATTTGTTGTACACCTTTTAATCTAACATGCAGACTAAGCAATTCACCAAAATCCAGGCCATAGTTCTGTGGGACCCAATTATGTGTGGCAGCAATTCAACTGCAGCAAATTGTTACCACATTTTATTCTGTTCCATGATGAAGAAAACAGTTAGAAATCTTGTTCAGAGTAAAAGAATATCTCATTTTGAAATAATCATTTACCTGATATTATTTGTTCCTTCACTATAAATCCTACAAGTCATTACTGACTTTCATCTTCCTGTAAAGTTATCTCTACTTTTACTAGAAAAAAAAAGACTGGGAGAATCGGTAAAGTCAAATCATAGTTTGGGTGACATATTTACCATCAAGATAATAAAATCATACAGAATACTTTCATTCTTAATGGTCTGCAAATTCCACTTTAAAGAACCAGTTGGCTCTGATTCATTCCCTTTTAAAACAGCTTGTATGAAATGCCACGTTAAACCAAACACTGAAGTTTGACCACAGAGCATCAGCTATTAAACAGCAAGACAAAAACAATAATATTGTATAACAATTTATTTGTTCTTTTATATTTTTTCAAAGCCATGAAGCATAAAATATTCTCTCCAATCCAAAAACAAGATTAGTAGCCCAAGAGGAAAGGGTCTTATGATTAAATATAAAAATTGTCAGGGGCAACATATTCTTAAATTAACCTGTATATCATAAAAGTACCTTGTAATATTGTTTATTTTCCAAAAATAAGTTCCACAAAAGATGAATTAAGTTCATGAAGAATCCTAATAGAATGTTTTATCATTAAATAATTATTAGAAATGAGATTTTCAGTAGCAAGCCAATTTTAACACTGAATATTGTGTACGTGGAGGGTGAAGGCATATGTTGGTAAAGAGGCAATAAAAATAAATTGATATAAAATATCAATCGATTGCAGTGCACTAATATGAGGTACCCAGAGCAGTCAAATTCATAGACAGCAGTGCAATGATGGTTGCCAGGGATTTAGGGGAGGGAGGAATGGAGAGTTTTAGTTTGGGAACATGAAAAGGTTCTGGAGATGGATGGGGGTGACAAGGTGCACAACAATGTGAATGTACTTAATGCCACCAAACTGTACACAAAGAAGTGGTTAAAATGGTAAATTTTATCTTATGTATACTTTAACACAATAAAAAGAAAATTCTAGCTGGCACAGTGGCTCATGCCTATACCCCCAGCACTTTGGGAGGACGAGGCAGGTGGATCGCTTCAGCCCAGGAGTTCAAGACCAGCTTAGGCAACACAGCAAAACCCCATCTTTACAAAAAATACACAAAAATGTAGCTGGGTGTGATGGTAGGCGCCTGTACTCCCAGCTACTCAAGAGGCTGAGGTGTGAGGATCGCTTGCCGTAGTGAGCCGCGATCACACCACTGCTCTCAAGCCTGGGCAACAGAGTGACACCCTGTATCAAAAAAGAAAGAAAGAAAGAAAGAAATTCCACAACCTAAAATTAAATTAAACACTTTGACTTCAATGCTTTACAGTTGTAAAGGCCTACATTTTACAACTGTAAAACAGAATCATGGGTTTCCTTAATGCATTCGACAAATACTTATTGAGCCACAACCCTGTATCAGTGAATAGCACAACATAAAACCTCTGTTCACATGGAGTTTGCAATCTTGTGGAGGAGGTAGTGAATAAATAGATCAACACATTAAAATAGTTTTAGATTTGAGGTTGTAATTTAGTTACAAATGAAACAAGCATGCTGCTGTCATAGAGAATAATTGGGTACACCTGCCTTGGTAAAAGTTATCAGAAAAGACTTCTTTGAGGAGGTGACATTTAAACTGAGGCCTAAAGGATGAGCACAAGCCAGCTGTGCAACATCTAAGCGCTTTCTAAGTATGGGAGACAGCAAGAACAGTGGCTCTGGGCTGGCAGATAGCCTGGCTTCTCTAGGATTAAAAGAAAGCCGCTGTGACCAGAGCTTTGAGTGCAAAGGGGAAGGGGCATGCCATGAGGTTGGATCCTTTGGCAGGGGCTGGATTATGCAGGACATCTCGGGATATGATGAGGAGTCTGGATCTGGCTCAAAGCTCAATAAAAAGCCACTGAAAATAAAAGCCACTGTTATTTGAGAAGTGTGCTCCTTTAAGGGCTCAGGAGTTGAAATGGAAAGGGTTTCAGGGAGGCTACTGAAGGATTTGAGGTGAAAGTTGGCGAGAGTGGTGGCATAGAAAGGGTGGAAGGCCAGCAGGTAGGGGACGTCCTTGGGCCAAAGAACCAACAGCACGTGTGGATGGATCAGATGGGAAGCGTGAGGGAAACCGGAAGGCTCCCGGGCTTCTGGCTTCCATCACTGAATAAATGGTCATTTGCTGAAACGGGGAAACTAGGGAAGATTAGGCTGTAAATACTAATAATCCGTTAACAAGTTCTTCCCATTCTCACAATAAGGTACCTGGTGTAGAACAGGTAACTTGAATTAGTGAGGCTGTCCCTAAATAAAATCATATTATCTGTAAATCTTAATGCTATCAAAATGAACAAAAACAAAACCTGTGTATAATGTAATTATACCCTGACTTGTGTGTTTTTGCTTTTTTATAAATTTCTTTTCCTTCCCTTCCTTTTTGTGAGCAAGCATTTACTCCTATCATATTCAGACATTTATGTATAAACATTAGGGTTGAGATTCTTACTTCAAACACACTTGGTGAATTTTCACAGAAAACCAAGTATGAAGTACCCACGGCCCAGACCAACAATATGTGATGGAATCCTGGCGTGGTGGGTGGGATTTCCTCCAGAGGAACTCCACTGCCCCTTTCGTAAATGACAGGGCATGGGAATCCAAGACCACTAGCTTTAGCTGCCAGCCCTGAGTTCATTCTACAGGAAATGGAGACACACCACATTCACATTCCATGATAGCATCAATTCTGAGAGATCTGGTGGAAAACTTAAAGCAGGGACAAAAGTTCAGCCATTATTAACCACAGCTGAGAAATGCCTTCTATAAATATGAACTTTCTGTAATATCAAGACAGATAAACGGCAGGGAGATGGTTTTGATACATTGGTTGGCAAATGTTATTTCTAGAATTGGCTTTTTATCAAATATCCATGTGCTAATAGATATGTGGTATATAGGTTGTTTGTATATCTTCTCTCTTTCACACACACACACACACACACACACACACACACACACACACACACACACACACAGTCACAGAAGCATGCTAACATACTATCAAGGTGGCCCTCCTCTTCTCAGAACTTTTCTTTGGAAGAAAATGTCTGATGAATGAAAAATTCCTGAGACTGTTTCCAGCTCAGAGTCTGGCACTGAACTCAGCTGAAGAAAGACAAGTTGGAAGAAAGTACAAGCATTACTCAGAACACGTGAGTGAACCGTGCAAAAGACAGGCATGGGAGCTGAGGGGGTGGGAGAGGCAGCAGCACCAAAACCCGATTATGTAGATTTAATTCATCAACAAGAGAAGATTCCTGACAAAAATCAGTACGTGCTCAGATATCAAATACAACAGATGATCCATATTCTTAGACACCAACAACTAAGGCAGCAGACCCTAGAACTGAGTTTTCACTGTTATTTTATGGTCGTCCATTTTTCAGACCTGCTAAGTGGAGTGAGAACACATCACTAATGGGACAATCACATGGGGTCTCTTGGCAGCTCCACTGGAAACATACAGATTTCGATATTCTGGGCCACTGGTGAGTGACAACTGTTTTATGGCACAGACTAGCAATTATGCAAATATTCATCCTGCTCTTTGGAATTAATAGTTATTTCCCAGACACCCCAGGTACACATGATGTGAAGAGTTAAATCTTAATACTATCCCATGGGCAGATAGGCCACTCTAGTTCTAGCTAAGTGTTGCCCAGTGGAGCCAGTGGCAGAATAGTATATGCCTTAGAAACTTCCATTCTATAGAACTAGAAAAAAGATTTAAAGTTGCTCCTGAGACTATAAGTCCTACAACTACTAAATCATGTACTGTCTGAACACTGACAGGGCACTGTGTTACTCTGTTCCCTCTTACCACTTACTAGAGATTTACATCAGCTTGGCCAGACACTGGGGTTTCATCTAAGGCAGCTAGTTAGATACGTTCGGAAAGTGTATATGGTTAGAAAATAATAAGAGACAGCATTAAAAGTGGTTTAAAATGCCCCAAGAGGGAAGCCAAACACCACAATTTTCTCCAACTGTGGAAGAAAAAACAACTTGAGCCAGATTTTAGCTCTCTGGATGTATTAACAGGTCTATGTTTTATTCCCTTGGATATTTATGAAGCATGTTAACAATAATTAAAATGGAATTTTCCAAACCTTTAAGGGTAAAAGTTAGGAATAGAATATCAATGACCTTGGAAAGTGTTATAATTTAAAATACATCATATTCGCCATCCTGGGATTTCACTACTAATATTTAAAATTCACAACTCCTGCACAAAGCAAGTGTTCTTAGGAACTATGCTCATGCAAATGCTTTCTATTCAAATGTATTTTCAAATTTCTGCAGTAGTTGTACGGCTAAAAGTTAGTGCTGCTGGTCTATGGGCATTCAGATTTCTCTAGTTATGGGTTCTTAACTTGAAGACCACAATTGGGACTTGGTAGGTCTAAAGGTGCCCTGAAACTATACATAAATCACATCTGCAAGTTCGATGAATCTGAACACAATTAAGTGAGCAATCACATATTCTCTTCCAGAAATCTGGAATTGGGATTGACGAGCACTGGTGTTCACCTCTGCAGCTGGCTAGACCTCAGGTGACTTACCTTGGGAGCAGGGAGGCGGCATGTACATGATGCACAGAGCAGTCCACCTGCATGGGGCAGGGATAGAGACCAGCTGGCTCCAGAAAGAGTTGGAGAGAGCATTTGGTTTTTGCTTCCAGCCCTGGGTAAAGCCCTGCTATAGTACCTGCCCTTGGGTTTCTTATAACCTGGGATTTCCTTACAGTAAATCCCCTCTTCTGCTTAAGCTAGTTCCATTACTTGCAACCAATGCACTTGGACTCAATACAGTGCCTTCATTTATTCCTTTTTGGAAGAAGAACGTGTTCTTTCATCAAATTCTTAAAAGTGTCCATGGCTCAGAAAAGGTAATAATCCCCTGCACTATTTAAAAAGAAGTAACTAATAAGAATTTGGCATTACTTAGATAACTTACTCTGATTTACTAGAGTTTTATATGTTCATTCTCAAAGAAAAGAAAAAAAAAAACTCTCCTAGTTAGTGACACAAGCACAGACAAAAAAACGACTCCAGTTCTCCCCTTCCTTTACTTGTAATTCCAAAGGGAGCCACATAGAAACATAAACCTGCATGAAAGTCATCACTGCCCTCTATAAATTGATAGCTAACTTTTAGTAACACATACCGTCCTGGTTAGTTTTCCCCAAACGGCAGCAGGCATTTGTGGATAATGTTACCTTGCCCATTTAGGCAGAACACAGTGCAGGGCTAGAACCTAAAGACAATAAGCCTAAAAGTGAGGAGGCCTGCACGCCAGTCTCAGCTCAGCAACTAATTTGCTGTTCGTCTCGAGTTAGACACATCACTCTCTGATGGCATTCAAGTGGTCAAATCATGAACCATTCAGACGCCCTCGTGGCCTTTCAGCTGGCCTGAGCCAGGATGGCTTCAGCTAGGTTAGGAAGAGAAGGTTGTTTCCATAGTGCAGGAAGGGCAGAGCGTGTAGAAAGATGTCTGATAGAAGCTTGTTTTGCCATTAGACTTGCTCCTCCCACACTTCTTATTTTGGGAAAGGGCATCACCACAGCCCACATCACAGGGCCACAGACTCAGGGCAGCGGGGATTACAGAGTATCCCTCACACCCCCACCTAATCACCCGCAAACTTTGTCAAATTTACCACCTCAACAGCTTCTTTATTGCCCCTCCTCTGAAATTCAATTGCTACTGCTTTAGTGTAGACCCTCATTTCCCTTTGCCCTGCTGGAGTGAACCTAACTTCAGTTAGACCCTAAAACGCTCTGTGAAATGCTCCCTACTTGGCTTCCTCTCTGGCCTCTTCCCTAAATGCCTTCCCCCTCCATTGACACTGAGTGAACTGCAGTTCCTCAACTCACGGTGCTGTTTCTCTTCCACACGTCTTTGCAAATGCCATCTCCTCTACCTGGAATGCCTTTCCTCTCCCTATTTTTCCACCAAATTCCTCCACTTGGAAGTCTCCCCTGACGACTTACTCCTTCCCTCCTCTGTGGCACTAACCAAACTCCATGGTAAACTCTCACTTATATGATTGTCTTTCATCAGATTGTGAGCCTTAAGGATACATATTTTGTCTCTTTAAACTTTGCATCTCCATGGCCTAGAATATCCCCATGGGCCCATAATAAGCACTCAAGTATTTATGAATGAATGAATGAATGAATGAATGAATGGAGGATGCAAAATGACATATCTTTAAGTTAGTCTAAATCCTTAATCTTTTGAACTATTCATTCCCTTTGCTCAAGATGTAATTAACTACTTATAATTCCGTGAATCTATCATGCTTGATTTGAATTCTGGAATGCTGATTATCAATGTGGCAGTGAATAAAGTTACCCTTTGAGTCAGTTTTCTCTGCTTCCTGGGGTTGTATGAGTAGTAAATAAGTATACAAAATACCTACCATAGTCCCTGGTCCTTCTATTTTTCCTCTCCTCCCACACATACCATGGGTACACATAACCAATACATCCCGCTATTCTTAGAAACAAATGACGTCAATGACCCACAATCTGCAAGACACACCTTTTAATCCATTCTGAAGAGCTAAGAGATTTGTTCTAAGTTATCTCTACTCCCTTGCCTGGCCTTTTGTTAAAAACAACAGTTGAATTTGCAATATAGAGCAAAGATAAAGGTGACATGCAGATCAAGTCCAAGCCTGGATTCATGAAGACCTTGTTCTTTTTTTTTTTTTTTTAACTTTTAGTTTAAGTTCAGGGGTACAAGCGCAGGTTTGTTACATAGGTAAACTTGTGTCAAGGGGGTTCGTTGTGCAGATTATTTCATCACCCAAGTATTAAGCCTAGTTCCCATTAGTTGTTTTCCCTAATCCTCTCCCTTCTCCCACCCTCCGCCCTCCAAAAGGCCCAGTGTGTGCTATTCTCCTCTATGCGTCCATCTGTTCTCATCATTTAGTTCCCACTTATAAGTAAGAATATGTAGTATTTGGTTTCTGTTGCTGTGTTAGTTTGCTAAGTATAGTGGCCTCTAGCTCTATCCATGTCCTTGCAAAGTTCCCTTTTATGGCTGTATAGTATTCCATGGTGTATATGTACCACATTTTCTTTTTCCGGTCTCATTGATGGACAGTTAGGTGGATTTCATTTCTTTGCTATTGTGAATAGTGCTGCAATGAGCATACACATGCATGTGTCTTTATAATATAATGATTTATGTTCCTTTGGGTATATACCCGGTAGTGGTATTGCTGGGTCAAATGGTATTTCTGTAATTAGGTCTTTGAGGAATCACCACACTGTCTTCCACAATGGTTGAACTAATTACACTTCCAACAACAGTGTATAAGTGTTCCTTTTTCTCCACAACCTCTGCAGCATCTGTTATTTTTTGACTTTTTAATAGCAGCTTTAATAGGTGTTAGATGGTATCTCATTGTGGTTTTATAAAGCACAAAGAAAGAAGAACCTCAGTTTCAATGACTTTTTTTTTCTTTTTTTTTTTTTTGAGACAGAATCTCATTGTGTCGCCCTAGCTAGAGTTCAGTGGTGGGATCACAGCTCACTATATCCTCAACCTCCTGGGCTCAAGCAATCCTCCCACCTCAGCCTCCCAAATAGCTGAGACTACAGGCACATGTCACCATGCCTGCCTATTTTTTTATTTTTTGTAGAGATGGGGTCTCCCTATGTTGCCCAGGCTGGTCTTGAAGTCCTGGGCTCAAGCGATCCTCCCACCTCAGCCTCCCAAAGTGCAGGGATTACAGGCGTGAGCCACTGGCTGGCCTGATGACATTTTTGAGCAGTGGAATCACCACCAGCTACCATATACCTCCAAATTCATTCCTGACATAAGAAAAATTAACCCCTATTTGTTTAAGTCACTGTGGTTGGGTTTTGCATCATTTGCATCCAAACTCATTTCTAACTGAGACACCAAGTCCACAAATTATGTTGTCATTTGACATATATATGAGTGAATAATCCAAGCATAAGATACTACATTTCTGGAATTTTTATGTAGCTTGTATTTTAAAAATTAAGAGCAAAGAGATTGAGCAAAGTAGGTCAAGTGCATAACCAAATTTTACCCAAATGCAAATGAGAATTCCAGATATTCCTTCCTAAGCTCATATTCCCCAAATCAACTTAATTTTTCTTCCTCGAAACCTAGTAAGATATCTAATGTTGAGACATGACTCAACTCTGATCATCTCCGTTAATCCACTGTTCTCTGATGTACACATATTTTTCCAATTAAATCAAATAAATGGTCATATGCATCATTACCATCATAAGATTACTGCCAGTTCTCACTTGTAAGATACGTTCTATTTTTTAAATAAGCTCACTAATATCTCTGTTAGATGACCCTCTTTCTCTATTCTATTTTTTAAATAATTGAGATATTTTGAATGTGATATGCCCTATATACTACCGTCAATTGAAAGTAAAGACCACCATCCCCTCCCCTCAGTTCCCAAATGTTACATATTTGATTGCTTACCATAACAATCATAAAAATATAAACAGAGTGGACACATGGAAATAATGGAATTTTGGAGTTATTCCCAAACAGTGGCCAATTTCAAACAATACGTCAATAAGAATGGATTGAAAAGAAAGCAAAGAACTATGTAAATGCCTAGGTAGGTTCCCGGGAGACAGTAAAAGGTAAGTATTGCATTCACAGTGACATTCAACCTTTAAATAGGGTAACGGTACTGACACTTTATGCAAATGCAGATGGCTTATGAAACAATAAAAATGAAGTCGCAGCTTTATAGTCTATTGTTTTGGCTCAGGGAACGGGAGAATCAAGGGTAGTAAATGAACTTATATAATACTTCTCACTCCTTTCTCTCTACTCTGTGAGTGTGAGATGAGCCATTTTTTTTTTCCAGATGTTATTGTTAATTTCAAAAGATTCATCCAGACCTTGGAAAGTCTTCTAATGACAAGTCTGATTTGAGAGAAATGTTGAGCCCTTTAATACAGGAAATTCCATAATTATGAGCTGGTTGTGCTTCAGTCGTTTATGTATAAGATGAGCACTGGAATCTCCTATTTTAGAATTGGAAGGAAACTTATAGAAGAAGAAAAAGAAAATGAGCATTTATGGAGCATGGTGCTGGCTACAAGGGAGACATGCTGTCTCACTTAATTCTCACAACAATTCTCTGAGGAAGACTTTTGCTTCATTTTATAAAGAAGGAAACTGAGGCTCAAAGTAAAGTTAAGAAATTTGCCCAAGGTTCTACAAACAGTAAGTGGCAGAATGAGAATTCAGCTTTTGGTGTTTCTGATTCTAAAAGCTGTGCTTTCCCCACTACTTTGCCTTCCTCAAAATGACGGTACAATGTACACAAGGGTAAATCAAAACACAGAGCGGCAAAGTTATTTTCTCAATGTCACAGAACAAATTAGTGGCAGATGGAACGACAATCTACATCTTTCAAATCCCAGATCAGGCCCTGTTGGTTACTTCATGCCTCCCCTTTGGCCTCATTTTTGCCCTCTTGCTCCCCAGGATTAAATCACAGCAGTCGAGATTGAAGCAACGTTCAAATCAGTTTCAGGACCTTGTTCTCATACTCCTAAATCTTGAGCTAACAAAGCCTTCAGTGCAGTGTTGGAGTGTTGTTTGCAAGAAATGAAAATTATCCCAATTTTGTTTTTGTAAATATATTCACTGTAAACCATGGTAACACAGAAGCAATGTTGGTGTCAGCTAAAAAAATATATGTAATAAAATCTATGATAGAGGTTACCTCCCTGTGGAGAAGCAGGAAAGAGATGGTACGGGGAATCCTAAATGGGTATCAGTCATATTTTACTGCTTAGGTTGGGCAGTATTCATTTTTAAAATAGGTTTGTAACTAACACATACATGACATATACTCTGTAAATGTGTCATATAGTGAATTGAAAAAGTATGACAAATAGAAAAGGTAAGCTACATACACACATACACATTATATCTGCAAACTGAAATGGAAGTGTCTTATATACCTATGTGACCATGGGCAAATTATTTACTTTCTGATCCACAGTTTTCTTAATTATAAATAGGGATGATAATAGGGTGTTTGTAAACACTATACAAGAGAAATATTTAAGATATTTAATTTTCTGTCTGATTGTAACTCTTTCTATTCTATGACAATGATATTTTCAATAGAAAAAACCTTTATACCCAACATGCATCATTTAATTGGTTTCTTCAACGTGAGACAGAATAAGCCATTATTTGTACACTATAGAAATGTAAGGGCATGTTAAGATGTTATGCAGTATGTTCTATTTAAACATGGCATGCAGTGATGATGTGTAAATCTCACATACTGTTCCTTCACATCTTGTTCCCTTCCTTGTCCCTTTCCTGTGTTTTCTTCTTGATCCAAGGCTAAACTGTCCCAGCCCTGAAAATCTGTGCTCGGTTAAAAACTGTCATGTTAATCCCAGCTGCTCATTATCGAGGACTGTGCACAACCCCCTTTCGCCCAGCATGAGCTTCTAACGCTCTGATTCACCTCCGCAGAGTCACCCCACTCCACGTCTATAAACAGAGCAGAAATCTGTGGAGACTATTTGGCATTGTCTGTATTACCCAAGAACATGTCTGGTTGTCTCGCCCTTGACCCTGCCTTTAAAAGCCTTCTTATCCTTCAAGACCAAACTTAAACACTGCATTTTGGGAAAAGCCTGTCCAGCTTCATATATCAAAATGAACATCTTCATCTTCTGAGCTCCTATGGTGTATTGCTGTACATTGACTATTTGCCAGTCATACCATTTGGCCATGGTCCAAAGAGAAGCATATAGGTTATAACCTACCAAATGGTAGGTTCCTTAGGAGGAGAGAGTCTTGTTTATCTCTGAACTCTTATCTTCTATCCCCAACTTCCTGGAATAGAAGACACTCAATATATCTTTCTTAAACCAAACTGTTAACTAGGTATAAAAATTGCTCTTGCTTCCCCTGGGCCACACAACTACACACATTCCTTAGATGAGCTCATGTGAAGTTAATTAGACAAGTTAATTAATTCTCCAACTCAGCAGGTTATCAGAACTGAATGTACCCAACTCATCTAAATGCAAAGATAATAAATAGGCTTTTGCCTTCTACATTTCTAATGGGGGTTTCTGAAAGAAACTTTCCACTAGCTCTATAACTCTAATGTCTCCCAAATAGAAGACTCTATGCTAAAAGGCCTTTCCAAAGTAGTAATATACCTAACCTCCACAAATACCTTTTATCTCAAAGACAATTTTTCTCTACACCATCCCAGGGGAAAATGCAACATCTATGATTTTAATTTTTTACCCTCATAGATCACATCCATGCACAATTCAACTACTTAATGGGGTAAGGCTGTAGGTGAGTGCAACAAACCTCACGAACCTCAAAGGTTAGTGACTGTCTATACCACTGGAATCCTGGTAAAGTTTTGGAAGAGCCTTCATGACTCACCTTCAATTTCCATCCACTCCCAGGATGAAACTACCACAAAATAGTTGTTGGAAAGAAGGATTTAAGAACCAAGCTTCAACCATGGCAGATTCGAAATCCAGCCAATGCCAGCCAAATATGAGCTCGAAAGCATTCATAAGAAGAGGCTAAGGTTTACAAAACAATCCTTTTTGATGAGTTAAGTACAAGTGAATCAGAACCACATGGGTTAAATTCCCCTTGAAATACCCACGGATTTAGAATTAAGTGGAAAAGTGCTTGGCACAGCATAAATTCCAGGCATCTGAAATGCAGTTAGAAATCATTTTCTTTGAAACCTAACAAAAAGGGTTCCCTGAGATCTCCTGCACAAAACGCCAGGTATTCTTACAGCAATGGCAGCTACTCCTCATAGTGAACATAGTGCCAGAGTTGAATTCAGGCTGTGGACACAGAAAGTTCTGACCTAAATTCCAACCCTGCCCATTCTTAGCCCTGTGTCATTGTTTAATCTCAGTAAGCCTCAATCCCCTCACGTGTCAAGCGGAGAGAATTTAAGGTTGTTAAGATTTGGGTGAAATATTATATGTGAAATACCTGTAATTGTCTCAAGCACATATTTTTTATCAGTGATATTTTTAAAAGCATCACCCAGTGAGTTGCTAAAAATAGAGTGATTTAATTCAAGAAAAAGCTTCTTAAAGTAACGCGAAACATCCTGAATCACCTGGCCCACTTACAGACTTTTCGAATGCCCTTCTTTGTAGTGAACTGTGCAGGTGAAGGAAGGTCTTTTTGGTACCTGAACCCAAGATTGAGAGGGGAGTTGAGTGCACACTACAAAACAATATAGAGATGGCCCCTGTTTTGTGTAAAAAGGCAGTGCAGTAGATGAAAAGAAAAGCACTTAGAACCCAAATCTCTATTCATTCAAGAATTTGGTAACCTATGTGAATTCCTGACTTTGAGGATCAGAAAGGTTTTTAGAGAACAGCTCGTCACTTCATAGATGAAAAAAACTGAGATTGGGGTGGTGCAATGATTTGCCCAAGGTCACACAGCCACTGAAAAGCAAACCAGCACTAGGACTCAAGTTTCCTCCTGGTCTAGTACTATTTTCACTAAATCATGTTACTACTCTGGATGCCGGCCTGATACATCCTGGTGCCAAGTGGCAACTGGTTTCCCCTGCAGAGGAGCAACAGAAGGGGCAGCAGAGTCCTTTTTCACCTTGGAACACGCTGAGGATGGCGTCAAGAAAGCCAGGTTTAAACCAGGTCAGCCAGAAGGGTCTGTCTAAAGCACAGCTGAGCAAGCGCCATTCAAGCCAGGATTCTGTCAGTACAACGGGCGTGTCAGCGACAAAGTTGAGTGAATGAAGTTCATGCCAAGTATTCATTGAGAAGGCTGGGCAAGATAGGTCCAGGTTGGGGAAGGGAAGAGAAAACGATGAGATGAAGGTTAAAGGAAAGGATGACTGGGTGTTCCTCTAGGGCATCTTTTCCACAGTAGGGCTCTCTGAGCATACTTAGCTGTTTGTGCAGGGGCCCTAAGACACTGGCTATCAGTTGATATGCTTGCATTTGCAAGATTCTCACTTAAAAATAAAAACTTAACACTCACCTTGAATACTATGCCTGAAATATAATTAAGCCATCACCAGGAGATGAATTTGCCAGGACTAAGGCTTGAGGTCTGAATAAGTAGGCTTCTCCTATGTGGCTAAGTTAAAAGTTAGAGTGGTTCCCCCACTCCCATTCACATGTGGTTTCCTATTTTTTAAAAACTCTTAAACAAGCTAGGCATAAATAATAATCAGCACTCCAAGTCCTCTCAGCCAGGCCAAGTTACCATCCAACTCCATTTCCCCTCTCCCTATTTGAGGTCTCCTTGTTCCATATAAACTGTTAAATCTTTGATCCTACAACACATTTCATGTATTTCTCTGCACACACCTTTGTTTCCTTCAGCCATTTCCTATCCCAGAATATCTTCTTCCAGTTTATCTAAACAAAACAGTTCAGCACATAAAAAATTATAAACACTTGGGTATCATTTTGAAAACCATTTCAACTTCAACATTATTAGCATAAGGTTTAGTTTTAGACCTTGGTAATTCCAGGAGAGAGGGTTTAAATTATTAGACCTATTCCAAGCCAGGATATAAAACCCTTTCTAAACAGGTACTCCCCCAAGTATGGTGAAGGGAAGCATAAATTATCTAAGTCATCTTACAGCCCAGTCAAGCAAAGCATAGTTTTTTTTGTTAAAGCTGTTTTGGCTGTTTTGGCACACTAACAACTAGCTTTGGAAATTCTATACCTAAGAAGTTAGGCAGAATTATGAAAAAGCAAAGAAAAAGCACACAAATTAGCAAAATATCTGGCTACAGCACATACTAATAAAACAACAGAAATATATGAATAGCAGACAGATCAGATTCAGAGAGAAAATTTAGTAGGAATGGATATCAAATGTGTTCAAAGACGCAAAGCCTGCAAAATGAGATAACTAGGTCTGTTTTTCTGACAATCAATGTTTATAATTCCATGAAAATTTTTGAAGTATCGTGGGAGTACCTATAGGTGCTGTATAGCTCTGACTTGCTGGTTAAAGCTTAGTCAGTGAGCTATGGAGCACTGTACATGCATTCAGATCTGCATCTGCATCCCTGTAGAGAAATCCCACTTACCTGATTTCCCACAAAGAAAGCTGTTTCAGCTCTTTGGATTCACACTGGGAACAAGAAGTGCCGATTATCTGAAAGTTCAGACTAGGAAGCAGGTGAATAAAAAGGTATTCCCTCACTCAACACATGCCCCAAGAGTTTTGGTCAATGCAAAGAGCAGAAGCCAGAAGTCTTCTTAGAAATCAGCTGCTACTAAAAGTTAGTGTAAATACTGAATACAGAGCACTAGAAAAGGGAGTGAGAGCGTTGTGTGCTGCAAACCATTCTCTCTATCTTAGGTATGTGCTCCTTTGACAATTTATTGGCTAGTACAGCCTGTTTCCTTTCTTAACAAATTGTAGCCACAAATATATTATGTCTAAAGAATTTTGAGACCCCTTCGAAAGGGAGCTTGATCCAATCCTCAAGGCTCCAGGCACTTTCAGCATCAGCAGAGAGCTCTCCAGGAAGTCTGGCGGGTGGAGGCTGGATTCCCCCAGACTGAAACCCAAGAACTCTCTCATTAGAGGAGTCTGACTCAAGTAAAAGGCCTGCGGAGGACACAGACCAAGGACAAGCAGGCAGACCTCTGTGAGGAGCCAGGGTCCGGAGCAAAGCACAGTTTTTACAATCCTCAAGAACCTCTGCCAACCCAGCCAGGCTACTTACCTCGCCTGTGTCTATGTGAACTAAGGAAACAGTGTAAATTCCCCTCTCTTCCCAGAATGACTGAGTAAATGCTAAGGCTTGTTAACAACTGCCAAGAGGTTTCTACAGTATTCAAGGGCAGACTGGATTCACTCTGGCATCGGAAAAGAGGTTGAAAGAGATGATGGCATATCAGAAGATTAGGACGATAGAGGAAAGTTTTCATATCTAAGCAGCAGCAAAACAATGAACAAAATATATTGAAGTGAAAGACGAAGTATTTTACCAACAAAATCCTATGGAGACAAAGCCTGTTTTGTGTGCCCATCATCTGTTTTCAGTCATCTATTATCTGCAAGAGTTAAGTTTGTCTATTTCTACTTAGTACATGTGGAAGGCAAAACGAAGTAACAGATGCTACACAGGAGAAGCCAGGCTCACATAATAAAGAGTTTTGAGGCAAGAAGGCAGAATTCATGGGCCTCCTTTACTCATGGGCCCACTAAAGGCGACTCAAATTGCTACTGCATGAAATCAGGCTCACCCTGGGTATTGGCAGAGGTACGTTAAGTTTTCTCTTCAACATACCCTTATCTGAAACCACGCTACGTGTACTCTTAGACAAGAAGACGAGCCAGGCATGAGACAAAGCGCACACACCTTAAATCAATAAAGGATCCTAACTTTCCTGTAGGAGATAGCAATAAAAATAACAATAATAATAAGGACCCTGGTTGGTGATGGGCTTTACCACCTACAAGCCTTATTCAAATCACTTAATCTCTAAGTCTTGTTTCCTTATCCTATAAAATTGGGATAATAATACCTGCCTCAGAGGATGTGGTAAGGATTAAATGTGATAATACGTAACAAATGCTTGCCTTACTGGGTGCTCAAAGAGCAGTTGCTAGTATCATTTAGGAGAGGATGAGAGAGTCAAATGTTATTCTCTGAGGTTTGGGATTCCCCATCCCCTTGGTAGTTAGGTGCAGAGTTTGTGCTATGTGATATGAGATCTGGTATATTTGTAATTTGCATAACTTGGTATGTGTTGGCTTTGTAAGTATTCCTCGGTTGTCTTCGTATGAGCACATTTTGATACTCTAATTACAATGCGAGCTTCTAAAATTGCAAACCCATGGCTTCAATTTCCTTTGGATTTTTCCAAAAGACTTCAACAAATGTTGACGGAGCCCCAAATAGCTCATATACTCAAGGACTTGGATGCCAGAAGAGGCCCTGGAAATTGCCTAATCCACGTCCCCTGCATGCCACAGTGGAAAGAGCCCAGTACTGGAAGTTAGATGTCCCACCCCTGTGTGACCCTCTCTAAACCATATAACCTCTCTGGGTCATAATTTCCTCATCTGAACAATAGGGATCATGCCATACTACCCAACCCCCAGAGTTGTTGTGAAAACTAAGTAATGTATTCAGAAATCGTCAGCCAACTGAAATACAGGGAGTTTTCATCAGTATTATTACAGACTAGAAAACAAAGTCTCAAGAGGGTTGAGTGATTTGCCCAAGGTCACCCAAAACCCCAGTGATGAGTGGTCTGTCAGGGAGGGGCTTTAAAATAATGAGTATAAGTGCTAAAACAAAATGACTTGTCTTTTCAAGCCAATTAGTGATTTCCTTAAAACTAGCTGAATGTGCAGTCTTTCCCTTCCTGGCTCTGCCCTTTGGAAATGTTCATTACCTTCTGCTACAGGGACACCTAGATTCTAGAGTATGTGTTTTTGTAGCCTGGGCAGAGTCAGAGCAATCACCTACTAAGGCCCTACAATGAATGTTAATGCTTTAAACATTTATATTATTTAAAAATTTGTGAATAGGCAATATATTCAAAGGGTTCAAAAATCAAGAAGCATAGAAAATATTCACTGAAAAGTCTTCCCATAACTTCCCTCTGCCCAGTTCCTATGGCCAAACAGGTAACAAATTTATTGGCACCCTGAATATTCATCCAGCAAGGTTTTTATGAAAACACAAGTAAATAGAACATACTAAATATCAATTCAAGCTCCATTACACTCAATTCAAAATTTTAAAGAATCATATTTACCTTTTTTAGACTTTATCAACAATTTTTGATTCATCCACTGAATAAACAACCTTCAGATGAAAATTTTCCTACTCTCAGACTATGGAAAAAGTATCTCTAAATTAAAGATTTCAGCTCCTAATTTAGCGTATGTTTTTACTCATCCTTAAAGCTCATCTTGAAATGGTTTATACTGTCAATATACACAGCAGAGCAAATATGAAGGCAAGTCATTCTCTTGGGCAAGCATTCTGGAAGAACTATTTAGCACATAGCTTTCCCTGGAAATGGGGTCTTAAGGCTTATTGGTAAAAAGCCCAAATTTTAGTGTCCATAAGAACCACTGAGGAACTTATTGAAACGCAAATCCCTGGACTGAACCCTCAATAATTTTGATTCTGCTGGGGGCCAGGAATCATTTTTGCTGAGTAACCCTGCCAATCATGACGTAAGTTGTCAGTAGATCACATTTTGGGCAACACTGGACTGGATGTTAGAAGAATGGAATCAAGCCTGGACTCCCATCAATTAGCTCTGTGACCCCTGGTTAGTAAGCTCAGTTCACCGAAACTCCTCAGAACCCTCTACAAAAAGCAGAGATTGGGCCAGAATGCTATAAAGTTCCTCTCCACAGGTCCGTGCTGTGATGCTGGGACATCTTCAGTAATTTTGGCAGACCGTAGGCCACAAAGAGGCCATGGATTACTGTGATATATCTACTTCAGGGAAACTTTACAATTCTGAAAGAGCATGTAACACAGTAACCCACAGTTTTTCTTTGCTTTAATAAAGTTATTTTGTTGCCCAATGGTGGCCATGTTGTGTATTACAAATAGGGAATTGAGTCAATGTAAGAGAACTCCAAATGGAATACCCTTTTGTGCATGGGCATGAACGTTTTAGGTGTCGCCATCAGCAAAGGGAAATGTGAGTGCCTTTAAATTAACTCAAGTCTTGGATTCATTAAAAACAGAAACATATTTTTAAAACCAAAGTATTTTCATTTTCAAGGACAAAGATTGCTATTTTTTAGAGATTGCACTAGGTGGTGATGCCAACTAATGGACTGCCACTCAAACACCAGCATGCCAACTTGCTCGCTGGCAGGAAAGCTCTGCCTGCCCATGGTTTGAGGAAAGCATCTTCCCTACAGCTGGGGTCTTCCAGTCTAAACCAGGCAAGGAGAACAGCCCACACAAGCTTTCTGATTTAATTTAAACTGGAAGGGAAACATTTATGTATTGTTTTAATCAATAGTTTGGAGGACTCTAAAATTTGTAATGAAACATTCTAAATCTAATTTTCATTAGTCTTTTATTTAAATGAAGAGATTGTACCAAAAGAAGATGTTTTTATCTATTTGTAAAGTCCTTTAGAGGAGGATTATATGCCCAGTACCTAGTACTACAGTCCTTAGCACAGACTATGTCTTCAATAGATACATGAGAGACAGTGAATGAATGAACAGATGAACAATCAAATGAACCAAGATGTTTTACTCATAGTCCTGTCTAGAACTTCTTCATGAACTAAGTTTTATCATCAATATTCATTGAGTACCTACTGTCTGCCAGACACTATTCTAGGCACTGAAGATATGGGTGAAAACAGGCGGCCAGCTCTCCTTTTCTGAAGCTAACTTGAGAGAGAGAAAGAGACTTTTAGGTAAATATTTTTAATGGTAATGTGATAAAGAGAAACTAAGGAAGCAACACTGGAGAGGAAGGTGAGAGAAAATGAAGGGGTTAGGTAAATAAATTAATTAATGAGTATCATATGAAGGAGATTGCCTCTTGTAAATCAGCTGTCCTGCAGGGAGCAGGCAGGGAGGAGGGAAAAAAACCCTATCTATTAAATCTGTTTTGAACAAACAGATTGAGAAGCCATATTTCACCAGGTGAACCACTGCAAAGCTACCAAGTAGCCTAAGTTCCAAATATATACATTTATAAAACAAAATATTTTAAAAATTTCCAAGCAATTAAGCCTTCAAGTGTAAGTTATGTGTATTTAGCCAACTCTCCTGTGCCATTCTGCAAACGGGCGCTCCCCATGTATTTGGTACTCTTTCCTCGTGGGTATCACTCTGTTATTTGACACTCTCTACTCTCTCCTCTATTCCCCACATCCTGTCTAGCTTTAGAGCTCCACGTGTGTGCACATCCTACAACGATTTGTTTCCCCCTGTTTTCTGGGGAATACTGAAGAAAGGTGCAGAGCCGTAGAGGCACAGTCACCCCTGAATCCAGAACAATTTTAAAAATGCAGATTTTTTGTGATACATTTTAATCTTGATATATTTCAAAAAATGCTCTGAAAATGAGACTTGGAGATGAAGTTTGATCTCTTTAGTGAGCCAGCTATGTAAAAACAGTGCTCAAAATCTAGAAGGGCCAACGAGCAGGTATCACGCATGCTCTGCACTTCACCCTTTCTCTTTCCAAGCATCTGGATCCTTTTATATACTATATTGTTCCAGTGGGTGGTCTGGAAGTTTTAGGGGAAGGCTGTAATGTTTGGTATGGGAGGCAGGCATGCAGAAAGCTCAAGAGTGACGCTGTGGCTGCCTCACCATAGAACAATAACCCTGTGATTAGCTGAACTTTGCTCACCCATCACCTTCATCATCACACAGACACCAACACCACCCTGACTATTCAACAGTCACTTGAGAAGGCTTTTTATTGTATAGGATTATTTGTTGGACAGCACCCCTTGCAACCAGATCAATAAAACAAACTTATTAGAATCAACTGCTGGGACAGGAAAGCATTTCTGTGATACAAAGCCAATGCGGTTTTGTGTGTGCTTTGTTGTGGGGTCACAGAAAAGACACTTTGGGGAGAATTAAGTTGAAGTTTCTGGACTCAATG
The DNA here is from genome assembly GCF_000001405.40 of Homo sapiens. Classification (NCBI taxonomy): domain Eukaryota; kingdom Metazoa; phylum Chordata; class Mammalia; order Primates; family Hominidae; genus Homo; species Homo sapiens. The sequence continues at coordinate 48,564,475 of NC_000015.10, forward strand.
TCTCTGTCTAAACTGCTTTCAGTGATTCAGGACTTTTTTTTTTTGTCTAGGTATATCTTTGCCTTCTCAAATGCTTATTGTCTATTAATATAAAATTAATTTAATTAATTAAAAAGCAAAAATCCCAGGTGGCCCTCACATATCGATGAAATAAATATTTATAGTTGCACAACTACATAATAAATCCTAGTTTCTCACTATCCTTCATGATAAAACTAGAACTGCATTCTCAGAGAAAGGTCCCAACAGAAACTTGGCTTGGAAGGAATTAAGTTAATAAACCAAACTTTTAGTGGTTGGTATTTAAAAGGATGCCACGTGGAAGAATAACTGCAGAAATGGGGGAGGTATCTCAGAGATGAATGTCACCTGGGTATCTGGTCTCACCTTTCCCCCAGGCTATCTAAACAGACCGGCCTAACTCCAGAGGTAATGAGTTCATCACCATGAATGTGCAAAGCACAGTAATCATGATTACTTTCCTATGTACCAAGTATTAGACCAAGTGCCTTACATATAGAATCTCAATTCATCCTCTTTAAATTCCAGGCGAGAAGCATAAAATGATTACCACTTTACGATGGTAATAATTCATTGGGGGATATCATTTATTGCTCCCCACCCACCATACCTTGGTCAGATAAAGATCTAGAACTGAGCTTAAGGGAAACAGCTGTCTCTCACCTCCCCTATTCCTCCCCAGACCCAGCAAAGTGCATGGTGTATAGTAAGTGCATCATACATATTAAATAGATACATGAAAAGTTCCCTTTCTCCAGAGAGAAATAAAGCTAGAAATTCTAAGCTTTTATTAATTTTATACTTGTGGTCTTTTCTAATTCAAAAAAATTATGTGGCCTTTGTAGAACATTCAAAAGACACAAAAAATTAGAAATCAGAAAATGAAATTCAACTATAATCCCACCACCCAGAGTGAACCACTGTAAACATTTTCATCTGTGTTTTTCCTAACATTAATGAACATATCTTAACACATAACACAATCATGTGTTAGTTAATTAAAAACAAAAGGCCTGCCAAGCTGACCCCATTATTACTAAATGAATAAAAGGAAACCCACCAAGTAAAATATTGTGCCAAAAATAACAGAAATACAGTAAGTATATTATTTAAATGATGTTCAATGTGATAAAAAAAAAAAAAGAAAAAGAAAATGCTAACTTTCCACTAATCTCAGCAAATAAAAACTCCTATATATTTTGTAGACTTCAAATGTCTGTACCCAGGGAAACCATTACTCAACAGTGTATAAAACGAAAAAGCTGTTTTGAAGAATGAGGGTACTACAAACTCACAAAACTGATACTCTTTATCTTCAAGATTCTAAACTATTTTAATAAATTCCTGGGGCAAGAGTCTGTTCTTAAATTGAATTGAATAATGGCATCTAATGCATGATTTGCATTTGAGCCTGAGGAATTAAAAATTTAATAGAGCAGCTGAGTATTTTAAATCTTTTGGAAGAATTGAAAAAGAAATATGAACTCTTACACACCCTGTAAACCAGAATTTTTTTCTTACCCTAAGAATATGTTATTCATGTACTCTGTACATTAGGTCAAATATTAGTCACTTTCTTTGGAGGCTGACCAAATGCCTCCACCCTTCATTGCAGAGTTTGCTGTAATCATCTGTAGTAAGAATAGCAGAATCACACTAATATGTGCTGAAGGCTGAGGATACAGCCCCTGGAGGTTTTGACAACACATTTCCACCACAGATTTACCACCCTTTTCATTTGCTTTTAAGCAACAGGGGAAAAAGTTTCAAGTATCTCAGTAAATAAAATGAAATATAAAGGACAATGACATCATTTCAACTTGGCTGAAATTGAAGCCTTTCAGCTATTTTGTGTCAACTTGAATTTCATAATATAAACACCTATTTTACTTGTGTCTCCACACTTTAAGCAAGCCAGTTATTTTTTTAATTGGATTTCCAACTATAAAGTTAAACAAGACCCCCACCCTTTCTCTTCAAGACTTCAACATGGAAAAACCTTTGAATGTTGACACTAATCTTCCTGAATCATCCAAAATTTAGTAAAGCATGTTTACTGTTACTTTTTAACATTATGTTAAGAACTGTTGTAGCATAAAACTTTGGGTTCATGTTTTATTAGGTTTATACAAAAAGAAAATGCAAATGAAACCATAATTCTCCTTTGACATGGATGCTTAAAATCATAGACTGTGAGATCTGGAAAGGACTTCAGAGATCTTCTAGTTCAACCCCTTGGATTTATAGAGGAACAGCTGGAGACCCAGAAAGGTCACAGGCCAAGAAAAACAACTGATATCTAGAGAATCCTGACAGCTGAGTAACAATCCAACAATCTTGGAAAATCCAAAATATGTCCCAAAGCAATTTATGACAGGGTTATTTAAAAATCACATTTACGTTGCTGTCTGCATTGTTTTTCATAGCCTTGGCACTCAAAGTGTGACCTGTGGCCCAGCAGCAGCCGCATCACCATCACCCGGGAGTTTGATGGAAATGCAGAGACTCAGGCCCTGCCCCCAACCTGCCAAATCGGAATCTGCTCTTGAACAGGATCCCCAGGTGATTTCTATGAACATTAAAGTTTGAGAAGCATGGGTTTACACCAGTGCTTTACACCAGACTAAAAGCTGGTTCACAGATTTGTGAGAACTGTTTTGTGTCCAGTCTGTGATGAGGTAAACACAGAAATTAAGAGTAAACCTTTAGGAACGTTTTTATCAATTTCATGGAGTAATTTAATATAGGCTGAATATAATTCATCAGTGGGGCTTTTATTTGTATATTTTTGTATGACTTTTCTAGTAATTCAGTTTTATTATATTTTTAAAGTATCAATTCACAAGATAAGAAATGATTTTTAAATGAAATTTCATCATAGATAGAGAAACACTGTTGTGTACCATCCTTCCTTCCCCCTAACTGAGACCAGTTTAAAAAAAATAAATTGGCTCACTTCTCAACTTTTCTGTGAGCCAGGATTACCCTGATACCAAAGCCAGACGAAGACATGAAAAGAAAACTACAGACCAATATTCCCAATGAACAGAGACAGAAAAACCCTCAACACAGAACTATCACACCAAATCCAACAATATATAAAAAGAAGTATTCACCATGACCAAATGGAATTTGTCCTAGGAATGCAAGGTCAGTTTAACATCTGAAAATCAATTAATGTAATACACCATATTAATAGAATAACAGACAAAAACCACATGATCATCTCAATAGATATAGACCAAGCATTTGACGAAATCCAATGTCTATTCATGATAAAACTCTCAACAAAACATAAACAGAAAGAAACTACCTCAACCTGTTGAAGGGTACCTACGAAAAACCTACAGCTAACATGATACATAATGGCGAAATAACAAATGCTTTCTTTCTAATATCAGGAGCAAGATAAGGATATCAGTTCTTGTTACTTCTATTGAACATTGTTCTTGGGGTTCTAACCAGTGCAATGATGCAAAGAAAAGAAATTAAAGTATACAGATAAGAAAGAAAGAAAGAAAGAAAGAAAGAAAGAAAGAAAGAAAGAAAGAAAGAAGAAAGAAAGAAAGAAAGAAAGAAAGAAAGAAAGACTATCTTTATTCCAAGACAATATAATCCTGTATAAGAAAATCCTAAGGAATCTACCAAAAAAAAAAAAAAAAAGTCCAGAAAAGTCACAGAATACAACATCAGTATACAAAGAGCAGTCATAGTTTTATATACTAACAATGAACAATCAGAAAATTAAATTACAAAGCAATTCAATTCACAATTACATCAAAAGGAATAAGATTTATAGTAATAAATCTAATGACAAAAGTGCATAATTTGTGCACTGAACAAAACATTGCCAAGATAAGTCGAAAAATCTTTAAATAAGTGGAGAGGCATTCCATGTTCACAGAATGGAAAAATCAATACTGTTAACATTTCTTCACAAATTGACCTGTAGATTAAAGGTAATCTTTATCAAAATCTCAATGCAATGTTTTGTGGAAACTGACAAGTTGAAGGTAAAATTTATATGGAAATGCAAAGGACCCAGAGTAGCCAAAACAATTTAGAAGAAGAAGAATAAAGTTGGAGGACTTCAAAACTTACTACAAAGCAACAGTAATCAAGAGACTATGGTACTAGAGTAAGAACAGAGATTAGATCAATGAAACAGAATAGAAAGGCCAGAAATAAACCCTTCTGGTTACGGCTAACTGATTTTCAGCAAAAGTGTCAAGGAAATTCAATGAGAAAAGATGGTCTTTTCAACAAATAGTACTAGTAACATTGGATATGGATATGTACATGCAAAACAGTTGACCCTCACCTCACACCATATACAAAAATTAATTCAAAATGGATCACAGACTTAAATATAAGAGCTAAAACTATGCAACTTCTAGAAGAAAACATGAGAAAAATTTTAAGATCTTGGGTAGGCAAAGAGTTCTTAGATAAAATATCAGAAGCACAATTCATAAAAGAAAAAGACTGATAATTTAGACATCATCAAAATTAAAAATGTTTATACTTCAAAAGGCGCCATTACGAAAATTAAAAAGACAAGTCACAGGCTGGAAGAAAATATTTCCAATATCTGATAAAGAACTTGCATTAAAAACTACAAGGAACTCTTACAACTCAATAAGAAGATAACCCAATTTTAAAAGCCGGCAAGACATTAGAGTAAACATGTTACCAAAGAAGATACATGAATAGGCACATGAAAAGATGTTCAACACCACTAATCATTAGGAAAATAAAAATGAAAACCACAGGACATCATTTCACATCCACTAGAATGGTTATAATGAAAAAGAAAGACAGTAAAATAGTTGTGAGAATATGGAGAAACTAGAACCCTCACTCATTGTTTAATGGGAATGTAAAATGGTACAGCTACCTTGGAAAATAATTAGGCAGTTTCTTAAAAAGTTAAATATAAACTTGGCATATAATCCAGCAATTCTACACCTAAATATCCACCCAAGAGAAGAAATACATATGGTCAGACAAAGACTTGTATGTGAATGTTAATAGCAATATTATTCATAATAGCCCCATACTGGAAACAATCAAAATGTCCATCAGCTGGTGAATGTATGAACAAAATATGATATATCCTTACAATGGAATATTACTCCACAATAAAAAGGAATAAACTACATGCTACAACATTATGCCAAGTGAAAAAAGCCAAATATAAAATAATATGTGTTATAAGATTCTATTTATTTGAAAGGTCCAGAAAAGGCATATCTATAGAGACAGAAAGTGTATTAGTGGTTGCCCAGGGCTCTGGGAGAGAGCAAGGATTTTTTGCCAACAGGTGTAAGAAATCTTTTGGGGGATGACCGAAATGTTCTGAAACTAGATTGTGGTAATGGTTGCATAACTCTAAATTTACTAAAATTTGAATTAAATTGAATTGAATTATACACTTAAGATGGGTGAATTTTATGGTATGTAAATTACACCTCCATGATGCTTTTTTGAAAAAAAAAATCAATTCACAAACCAATTCTTATATTTACCTAAAAAGATGCACACGTTGTCAACTAATACAACCTACAAGTCTGTGGTCAGATATTCTACTTCTATCTCAACTGTATGGACTTAATACTCTTTCTGTTTGTTTTGGTTTTGGTTTCTTACACTCACTGGATAAGTAAGCTTTATATATCTAACCACCTGGGGCAGATACTAAACCTGTTTTCCAATCATATTTTTCCTGTTTTTTAGAAGCCATTTTTTCCAAACTAATCCTAGGACTTAACACAGTTGGCTTATCTAAGGATCAAACCTGCGGTTATGACCTCATTAACATCACGTTCTAGCAAATAAGATTCTTTACATAAATCTATATCACATTCCTTACCTTTTCATGAAGAGATCAATAAAAGGATGTATACACATACATAAATACACATGCAAAAAATTTGTTTTGTGCCTCTGCTACTGTAAATGTTGGGAAAACTTTGAAAAAAAAAAAAGGGAGGTGTGAAATGAGATACTCACGTAACTTCAGAACCTTAGGGTGAGAAGATTATGGAGACAGTCATCCTCATGAAATTCATGACTCCCCTATCTAACATTTCTTAAAATGTTTTCCTGAATCTGTTGAACACTCTAGGTGATAGGGTGCTCACTACATTTAAACTGGAAAAGTCAATTCTTGCTCAGTTATTGATTGAATCACTTGCCCCATACTCATTTATTTAAAACAAAAGAGCAATGTTATTGCTCTTATTTATTCTGCAGTCATGGAGCTAAAAAAGAAAGCCTTTCAGTCAGCTAAGGAGAGAGAGCTGGTGTGAATGTGCTGACCAGCCCAGGCAAACTGGCATCTGCTGGCCAGGCTGCAGGGGATGGGTGGGCAGATCCAAGAGGAAAGGTGATTGGAAGGGATTCTGCCTGTGGATGAAGGAGCTTGTGTTATAGGCCTTCCAGGGCCTAAGGAAAATGGTCTGTTGACTAATAGTGAGGGTACATTGTTTGCTGGAAAGCAGAGTTCACAAGCCCCAGAGAAAGGCCAAAGATCTAGTATAAACTAGCTGGAGGCTATTCAGAAACCAAGGGCAATGCACGTTCAGGGACAAATGCTAGATTCCCACTGAGCCACAGGTCAGCATGGGTATGAGAAGTCCAAGGCTGGTCCAACATTTTAGCAACACCCATCAGCCTGATTTAAATAACACTCCTACAAAGAGTCAGGTACAAAATGTGAAATGAATCTTGGAATTCATCCATCCACCACTGATAGCATTTATCACTGGTTTAAACTAGGTATAGCAGAACAATGGCACCCTGGTAGATCTGTCTTAGGCCTACAACAAATCCAAATTAGATTAAAGCATCAAATATATTTAAAAATCGAACCACAAAAAACTGGAAGAACATGAATAAAAATATTTATTGAATCTTTGAAAGCACAAAGACTTTCTAATCTTAAAAGCCATAGATAAATCACGAGGAAAAGGACCACATGTAAAATGAAAATAAAAATATATGTACACTAATACAAATTTAAATACCTGCAAAAATATTTAAAGTAAAGAAGATTAAAAAAAGATTTAAGAACCTATTTCAATAAAGAGTAAATGTCTATTGTTGGGAATAAGCAAGGATTTTTCTTTCTTTTTTATTATTTAAAAAATCCCTATGATGGCAAGAATGAGGTGAAACCAAAACTTAGACATGCAGGTGCACACGTGACCACATTCATAATAGGTAGTAAGGGCTTTAAAGTGCCTGTAGCCATCCTCCAACAATTTCACTCCATTCTAAATACAAAAAACACTCTGTGTTCAAAGATGTTACACATAACGAAATAACAGAAAAAAATTAAAGCTAAGGGTAGAGCCCAAATGCTTAAAAAATGAAAACACAGGGTTATATAGTATTTTAAAATGTGTATGTGTGGAAAACATATAATACAAACTGAATTTATGTTGTGATTGCAAAGAAATTTACTATGTAAAGAAAAATAGAAACTAGAAGGAAATATAGTCAGGCAAATATTAACTGTGATTATATTAGTATGGTAGGTAGTTTCTTCGCTACTTCCCAAACTTTCTTAAATGAGCATATTAAACATTAATAGCAGTCACTCAGGGACCTATGAGTATTTTCTCCAATTTCTCTGCACTTTTCTAAATTAAAAAAAATACTTTTCACATTATCTATTATGAATATGGATTACTTTGATATCAGGATTTCTTAAGTAAAGGATCGAAATGTTAAAAGGTCTTTGAGAAAAATTCTGAACATTATAAATGAAGGATTCTCAATGCTGAAACTACCAAGCTAATAAATAAGTAATGTGCTTTCTGTAAAAAGAAATCATGTATTATTAAATCTCTACCTTTGTAGGGGCAAGAGGAGGTCAGAAAAAGAAAAGGCCAACCAAGTTTTCAATAAAGGGGAGAATTAAAATTAGATTTTCCAAGACTGTCACAAAATCACTGAAGAAGCTCCAGACCAGAAACAGTAAAAAAATTTTTAAGAAATAAGCAACAATTTAATTAGTTTGTTAAAAAAAAAAACAAAGACCCCTCAAAGAATAGGAAGCAAAGAGCCCCCAAGGATCAGTACTGGGGATTGTCTAAAACGGCATTTTTAAAAAAATCTTGGAGAGAAAGTGTACAAGTAAAATCTACACAGTTACAAATGGCCACGAAATCATACACATAGTAAATTGACAAGATTAAAAACTCTAGCACAAATTCATGATGGCAGTCACCTCTGGAGAGAGGAATGGCAAAGGAACTAGGGAGAAAAAGAGGGACATAAGCTTTATCTGAGATGCTCTGGTTCGTTCATTTAAAATTCATGAAATGTTGACATTTGTTAATACCAGGTAGACAGTTTAAATATGGTTGTCTTATTAGTCACTGCACTGTTTTGCATTTAAATTTTTTTAAAAAACAAGAGGCGAAGGGCTCCAAACAGAGACAAGTAGACTAGTTGCGAACATCTGTTAAGTGTGAAAAGGGGGAACAATGGGAGGATGTGGGCATGGTTCTGCAGATAAATGAAGGGCACCTGCTGGGGATGAGCCAGCGAGGTGGGAAAGACCAGCTCATGGGAGGCTTTGTCTGGTCCACTAAGGAGTTTGAGCATTATCCGAAAACAGGAGGCTAAGAAAGCGTTTCAACTAAGAAAGAAATCTTTCTTTGAGATCTATCTTTTGGGATTGTCTCAAATTGTTTTTGCAAGTTTGTGTTTTTCCATATATTTATATATACATATGCTGAGTTATGTGATGATTATGGCCCAGAATACACAACACAGCTCAAATTATACATTGGAACTTCATATCTATAACTCATATCATGATGCCCATTAATCTTAAAATGGTGCATAAAGTGATAGCTATCACATTGTTGTACTAACCATCACTATGATCTCATATCACAACAGAATATAATAAATTGTAAATTAAACAATATGGCTTATAGTGTTATAAAAATAAAAAAGGACAATGGCTAAATTTTAAAATAACAATAATAATTAAGATTATTCCAAAACAGGTCTTACAAGGCTAAGTGAATGGAGAGTTAAAGACTAAATAAGCTTCAGCACATGTAAAATCATGGTCATAAGAAAGAAAATATATATTACCCTCCTAAGGCATAGCTCTCAATTAATGATTTGTGGCCAGCAAGGAGATCTTGGATTCTCATCAGTCCCTTGAAGTCTGTCATGTTCCCTTTAACCAGATTCTTGGCAAACAATTAAAGGAACCATCAGAACCAGACTGAGGCTTTGACTGAGCCTGCTCCCCCAGGAAAACCTCTGCTATCAAGAGACCCTGGGCAGTACCATCAAAGAACTCTTCTCTGATGAGGGTAGGCTGTGCAGACAGGCCAGGACGCCATGGATTTTTAGAAGCCAGTGATGGTCACTCCTCTACTGACTGTGGATGAATGAGGGGTCCCAGATTAAACCCAGCCTTGGTGCAGCCTTGCAGAGCCCTGGCTGAGGGTTAGGCCTCTTTAGCCTTGTCCCGACCGCACGGGTCCTGTTCTCATGGTGTGGAGCAGAGACCATGAAGCTGTGTGATACTCAGGCTGTGGCACTGGCCTAATTACCTTGTTAATTAATTCAGAGCACATTCCTGAGTCCTTGCAATGGTCAGTGGTACAATATTAGACCCTAAAGATACAAATGTAAGTAAGACAGAGCCTCTGTCTTGAGTGTACAACCTAGATGGGGAGATAAGTATAGACAGTGAAATGAACCAGTGTGATTATCCTGGAAGTACAAACAATGTTTTGGAAATAGAGAAGTGATTCTTCTGTGAATGGCTAATGGAAGCTTTCTCATCTGACAAATCAGTAAGAATGTCAAATGGAAGGAGCAGCATGGATGAAGCATGGCACTGCAAACATATACTGTAGATTGTGGATTGTTGTTTGTGACAGCAAGAGATAAGGCTGAAAAGGTCTGCTGCTTCCAGGTTGTAAATGGCCTGGTGGCTCTGGCAAAGGAGTCTGGACTTTTTCCTAAAGGCAGTAGGAAGTGGTTAATGATCCAATGCATGTTTTAAAAATATAACTCTTACTTGCCCATTCAAAAAAAAAAAAACATATTAAGCACCTACTTTGTACAGGCACCACGTACAGATAACATCTATATCCTAAACAGCTCTCAATCTTCTTATCACTATAAAACCAGCCAATATAAATGCAATAAGCTAGAAAAGATTCCAAGAAATGTTAATAAAATGATTAGAAACATAGAAAAGATCAAGAGTATGCAGTGGCTTCCATGTGACATCAGATCAGGACAATCAGGAGGCTTCCATTTGGAAACTCAAGCCTGACACAAAATAGCATCCAATTTTATGAATATCACTGTTGTTTTGTTCATTTAATTTTGAATGTTAATTTAAAAGAACAAATATTGATGATGACTGCATCACATATAAAGATATTAATACTAAAATCTACTAAAATTCTGAGGTTATGTTAGATGAAAATAACACAAAAGCACCATTTTACTCAACAGTTAGGCATTCCTATAGGTTAAACATAAAAACGGGTTCCAGAAGGGAACATTTGCAGATTAGAGACGGGAAATAGTTCACGTGTGACACGAAGTATAAACTCAAGTAAATACCATGAAAGACAGGAGTATTCTTTCAGAGATGGCCCCTGCCCACAATCACAGATAACAAAATGAGGATGAAAGAGCAATTGCTCTAGCATGGACTTTAGAGTCTTGCAACTCGTATTAAATGTTAAAGTCTCCACACTCCAAATAATGCTCTGGCAAGGAAATGGTAAACCAGCTTTAGAGCTCCGCTCAATTCTTTATGTATTTACATATGTATGTATGTATGTATGTATGTATGTATGTATGTATGTATGTATTTAGGGGGTACAAGCGCAGGTTTCTTACATGCACATATTGCATAATGGCAAACTCTGGCTTTTACTGTACCCATTATCTGAATTGTGAGCATTGTACCCAATAGGTAATTTTTCAACTTTCACCCTCCTCCTACCTTCTCACCTTTGGTAGTCTCCAATGTCCATCATTCCACTCTCTCTGTCCAAGTGTACCCACTGTTTAGCTCACACTTATAAGTGAAAACATGTAATATTTGGCTCTGTCCAACCTCTGCGGAAAACAGTATGGACATTTCTCAAAGAACTAATCCAACAATATCTACCCAAAGGAAGAGAAATCATTATATTAAAAAGACGCCTGTACTCATATTTTTATCACAGCACTATTCCCAAAGCAAAGATATAGAATCAACATAAGGATTCATCAATGGAGGGCTGGATAAAGAAAATGTGAGATACACACACACACACACACACACACACACACACACACACACACCATGGAATACTACTCTGCCATAAAAAAGAATAAAATCATGTTTTTTGCAGCATCATGGTTAGAACTGGAAAGCATTATCCTAAGTAAAAGAATAGAAACAGAAAGTCCACTTACTTCTTAGCCTGACATATCAAGCTGGGAAGGGGCACATAGTAAACTGGGAAACAGAAGAGCAAGAGGACCAAAACTCACATGGAGTGGTCTCACCTACTTGTCTGAAGTATTATGAAGTCTCAGTATTGTTGACTCTCAATGAACACAACAAAACACCTTGGAAAACCAATGATTTTGAAATGACTCTCCATTTAACTTACCTCCAAACTCCATCTGCTCCCATCATCTCCCTCCCTTCATGGTGAACTACCTGCCGTTTCCCTGACAACGTTGTCTTCTTCTTCCAGGTCGTATCCTTTCTTGCAAGTCATTTCATTTTTCATCAACTCTTACATATTCTTTTAGGCTCTACAAATCCTTAATTTTCCAATCCTTAATTCTCTGGAAAAAAATTGTCCTTGACCTCTCAGCCTGATTAAATGTTTTTTTCCCCCTCTACTCTGATCTCCCTTTGTGCACATGTCTAATATAGCATTATCACTCTGTACTGGACTCCTTCATTTACCCATGGGTTGATCCCAACAGACCATAAGCTGGAGGGCAGGAACCTTGTTTTATTGGTCTTTGTGCCTTAGCACATCCAGTGCCTGCTGGAGGAATGAAGGGAAGGTGGGAGGGAGGGAGAGATAGATGCAGGGAAGAGAGGGACTAAAATGAATTTCTGGCTTAAAAATGACACCATTGATGCACTCGTTCATTCATTCATTCATTCAACAATTTTTATCAAGAGCCTACTAAGTGTCACACACCACTCTTGTAGCTAAGGATACAACAAAGTGTGGGGGATGGTGGGAGCAGTGGCAAACAAAATGTCTGCCCTCATGGAGTTTAATAATGTCATGGAAGAACTAGGTCAGACAGAAAATATACTATATGTTAGATGGAGGATGTGTTGTGGAGAACTGTACAGCAGAGAAGGTAGATAAGGGATCTTGGAGGAGGGGTCTCTGTGAAAAATAAGCTACTGTGTTTCCCATTCAATGCCTCAGCACCAAATTTTATTATTTTTATTGCCCTCATATAAGGAATTCATGCTTTCCTGCATTAGCATCCCTTCCAATAGCAATTCTTTTAGAACTCATAATTCTCAGGTCATTTTTTTTAACCTCAGCCTTTTTTTCTGATGCCCAACATCAATTGGACTATAAATCTGTCATATACTACTACTCGTTTAGGTCTCTCCAAGTTATAACCCATGTGGTCCAGCCAAGATACAGAGATTCCCAAAAATGCTTTCATCACATCCCAGCTGGAATCTCTTAATTCATTATTTTCAGGTCTAGCCAGTACCTCCTGTGAGCACTTGCTGTACAGAAATAACTAGGTCACAATAGTGTTCTCAAGATTCTGAATCCCTAATTACAATTCCCCCATGATAAAGGCATGAGGGTACATATTTACATGAACCAAAGTTTTTCCTTTCTCAAGCCAAGTAACATTTTCTCTTGTATAATTTGAGTCAGAAACTCAGTTCTCAAAATTAAAAAGTATTTCAGGTTTATAAACCACTGATTAATTCCAAGGGGGGGCATTCAAACATCTACCACCACTCTTTCCTGGCCTACTTAAATCGCCCTTTTTTTCCTCTCATTTTATCCATTGTAATATGCTCTGGCATTTTCACAATAAGAATGCAATCAGAAAACAGACAGACTGGCCTCTTAAATAAACAAAGCCTGTTATTTCTTGAATTAAGTGGTTCAAAGAATGCTCATTGCCCCGCCTTCCCTGAAGTTTCTTTAGTCAATGGCTTGTGATTACTCAGCAGTGCCATTTCTACTTTTTGTTTCATGTGTTGGTGACGTTCCATAATGCACGAATTAATGTAAGTTAGGAAGTGAGCCAGCTAATAGGGCATGATCGTCCTTTTTGCAACGCCTTCCTACAAGGTCTCAGGTGCCATATGCCGCTAAGATTAATATATTTGTAACATATGTCTTGTTGTAAAAGCAGTCTTCAGCTGGCACCACATGATTGATTTGTGCAGCCTAACAATTCAAAAAGAAATTAAGCTGTTACTATGTGCTTGTTACTAAAGTAATATTTATCTTTATACAAACCAACCATCGTTTACATGCAATCTACAAAAAAAAAATTGAAGATTGGCATATGTATTTTTGGACAGAGAATGGGAGTAGGGAATTGAAAGTGATGCTACTGGTTCGTGTATTTGAGAAGAAAATATATTTTAAAATCAAACCTTCTAAGGTTGGCAAGTAGTTCAAATTCATTTTTAGTTCATTCATTAAAAGGGAGAAAGTGGAAAGAAAAATCAAATCTGCATGGGAAGAAGCACAAAGCAGCTACATCCACATGGCTGTTCCCAAGCCTGTCCACAGGGATAATGACTGAATGTTAGGGATGATAGTTTTGCTGGTACTAATGTTATTTTTTCAGGCTGTGTGGCAATACTGTGAACTGGATCCACTAGAAGTGTCTGTGGTTTGACGTATCCTTTGTTAATGTTCCACTCCTAGGCGTGTGCTCTCCAAAGCGCATCCTATAATTTATTTTTAAGTGAAAAATGTCAGCTGTAGAAATGCATCTCCAAGTCTTTTGGGTATATACCCAGTAATGGGATGGCTGGGTCAAATGGTACTTCTAGTTCTAGATCCCTGAGGAATCGCCACATTGACTTCCACAATGGCAAATGTCCAACAATGATAGACTGAATTAAGAAAATGTGGCACATATACACCATGGAATACTATGCAGCCATAAAAAATGATGCATTCATGTCCTTTGTAGGGACATGGATGAAATTGGAAACCATCATTCTCAGTAAACTATCGCAAGAACAAAAAACCAAACACCGCATATTCTCACTCATAGGTGGGAATTGAACAATGAGATCACATGGACACAGGAAGGGGAACATCACACTCTGGGGACTGTTGTGGGGTGGGGGGAGGGGGGAGGGATAGCATTGGGAGATATACCTAATGCTAGATGACGAGTTAGTGGGTGCAGCACACCAGCATGGCACATGTATACGTATGTAACTAACCTGCACAATGTGCACATGTACCCTAAAACTTAAAGTATAATAATAAAAATAAAAATAAAAAAGGGGAAAAAAAAAAAAAAAGAAATGCATCTCCAACTTGTTAAAGCTCGCAGACACTTTCAGTGACCTTATACCAAAGTGGTAAGCACAGCTTTGAAAGGAGGGCAGGCAGGGCAAATGCAATTTGAGGCACAGAGATTTCACCACGAGCACTGAATCTTGCTTGTATGTCATAACAAATATCTGGATGTAGCAATTAGAGCAGAGAATAAGAAGTTTTTCCTTGCATGCTTACAACAGAACATTTCTTGACCCCCCAAAAAATAAATTCTTAAAAATTCCATATCAGCTGAATTTAGGAACAATTCTATCTATGAAGCAAAACAGTTATATAATTCCTGTTTGGCCTACTGCTGAATTTTAATAATGGCCATTATTTTTCTTCTTATATTACAATTTCATCTACATACAGTTGAATATATAGCTCTACTACCATCTCAAAAAAGCAGGGAAGGAAGAAGGTTGACATTTTCATCTTTTAGAAAGTCTCAACTCCCCAGAAGCTACCTTTCTGAAACCTATGGACATCTGGAATAGCTCAGGTCTCTGAAGAATAATGAGGAGAACATTTCTGGAAATCTTTTGACTGAGACGTGGACTTCTTTCACTAATCTATAAATCTTATCTCAGTCCACATCACTCTGGAAAAGAACACTTTATGTCCCATCCCTTCACAAAGTGAAAAAGCTACTAAGTTATAAATCAGGCTCTTCCAAGCTCATATGTCCTAAGAAGGGCTCTTAATAATAAATCCCTATTTAATCAAACTCATGCACACTTAGATTCAATTAATCTAAACTGTGGTATGTGGTAGGGTCCACAGCTTTTTAGCAACCCAATACGACTAAAAGAATTGCCACTAGTATTAACTTCCTGAAGTTAACAAAGGAGTCTATTAAATAAATAATGAATAAACCAGAGTCAGTGGAGAGCTACAAAATATGTTTTGAAATTGAAGGGACACAGTCAGACATTTCTGTTTCATTCTCTTTCTTTCTCTCTTACAGTTACTGAAGTTAAAAAAAGCTTGAAATTTCCACCCTTCTTGGTATTTCTCAATCCAGCCTCTTAGTTTCATTTTCTTTTCCTTCCTTGTCCAGTTTTTCCAATTGCTTCTAAGCCAACAGATCCTCATACCTACCCACACCATGGCGCTATCAAAGAAGAATATACAGTCATCATGCATGCACTAGGACCATTCATCCCTGACAGTCAGACAAGCGTGACATTTGTATTTCTTGGGGCAACTGAAGAACACCTTTTTAAAGTTTGCCATTTCCTAGCACTATGAAACACGTGGTAGAGCCCCTGCCCTTTGGAGATCAAGCAATCGATCAATCAGTCTCTTTCTCCACCTCTCCTTAGAAACTCTACGTTATATCCCTCTGACATAAGCTTTTTAGGCTTTCTAGGATGCTTCAGCCAAGTATTATCTTCTGCTCCAAGTGCACTCGGTAACTGGCTTCTCCATATGACTTGGCAAGATAATGCTCAGTCTACGAATGGCAGATAACCCTACAGTCAAAAGACCGGGTTGTTCTGAGCACCCACAGGAAGGCATGGGAAAAAAAGAAACATCTACTTTAGGCCATTCCAGTGATGCTAGACTATGCCAAAAGCCACACACCCAAATCTGAATTTCTTCTGAAAGCCAAACTTCCTTGTGACCAAATGTTTCTCAGGGGGAAAAAACTGATAGTACATTAATCCATGTCACTTCAGGCTACCCAGAGTGATCCATTTTAATTATTTTCATTCTTATCTCCCTATTTTCAGCCACAGATTAGCTACAGTTACTATTCTATCCTAAAGAGATAAACGAAAGCCAATTATAATTTCATAATCAAGTATAGCGAGCCAGAGGGGTAGGAAACTACCCACCAAAACAGAGACTAAAACTGCATGCACTTGTATAGTGGGGCAGACAAGAGCCAAACACCAACTCTGACATGACTTGAACTTGCTGTCATTGAGTAACTGAGGCTGGGTGAGCTCAGAACATCATCACAGCAATGCACCAACAAATCATGCACTACACCATCAACCCATGTCCTATTGCAAAAAGTGATCAGCTGTATATATGCCAGATCCATTCTTTAATTCAACAAATATGTATTGACCATCTACTCTGTGTTAGACATTTTCTAGCCACTGTAATTAGACAGTCAAAACTCCCTGTTCTCAAGGGGCTCATGCTCTCAGAGGAGATAATTCTAAATTTCCAGTAGTTTTTATATGACAGAAACTGCAAATCTCCTGATACGTGCAGCAAGAAAACAAAGAGGTCATAAAAGAAAACCAATTCTCAACTCTTCCTGGAATACACACTCCAATATGCAATATGCCTGGTCTACTTTCACAGAAATTCCAACAGAAGGATGTCCCGGGCAGCGTGACACAGCAGCAGTTCATTCATTCACACATCCGGATTATCCATGCCTGTGTGTTCTCAGACTCCTTCAGGACCAGATTGTCTTCTGATTCTATGCACAGCTCAATTTCAGCTAAGCCAAGTGTTTTCACCACATAATATCCACTTACAATTAAAGACAAGCTCTCCTTGACAAAATTAATTCTAAATATTGCCTAGTTCCCTCAAATTTGAAATTTTAAAAATGGACATAGTGTCTAAGAGACACAGAGAACAGAAATAGCAAAGTGTCAGCAGTCTGACTGAAAATCAAAAAGGTGTGAAAAATGAGAGGAAAGAACAAAGATAGAGCTAAAATTAAAAGATAGTTAATAATAACAAAAGGTAATGCTAGCGACCACAGTGAGCTCTAAAAGCAAGCAAATACATGTTGGAGAATATAGATGCCCCATAGTCTGGGCTGACTGAGAAGACATAAGTCTCATTCCTAGACACCTGCCTTAGAATTCCGAGTCACAGAGGTTCCCCTTCAATCTCACTCTTTGCTATAAAATATGAAGGGTTGCCCCAAGGACTGACTAAGGTGGTATATGTTCATAAGTGCTGCATAAATGGAAGGGATGACATAAATGTGGCATCTCTGAGGTATTAACACTTCACAGAATACACTTGGCTCTACCTGACACTGTTGTGTTCATGGTTTTAAAAAGTCGAGGGAAAAAACTATCGGCTAAAAAGTACAGATGGTAGATCAGTCATTTCTTTTTTGAATTACAGGAAATTCAAGAAATAAACTATGCCTGAAAACTACTCATTTGTTCATTTTTCCAGTCAACAAATACTTGCTGGGCTACTGCGTGTCAGGCATTAGACCTAAAATGTTGAACAGAACAGAAATAGTCTCTCCCGTGTGGAGTATAAAATTACTAATAAACTAGCAAAGACCCATGTTTCATTCTTACAACATGCAGTGTGATTTCACCTATTGTGCACAGTAGGCCTCCAACAATATTTGCTGTTTAATTTTCAAGACCTTTTAGATGCAGTAAGAATTTATTCTTCTAAAGCCCACAAAACCACATGTGGTATTAGAAAAAAATGACATGACCAAACAGTGTGTTGCTAGGTGGTTGTTGTTATTGTTCACGTAAACCATTACAAATGTATCTAGTGACTGACGTGGTGGCCACGACTTGTCCAAACAGCAAATGATTTACTGAAGCCAGGATTGCATGACATCCAAAGGCGTTCCCCAGGGACAAGACTGCAGGCATCCATTCAAAAGTATGCATTATCTCAAAATGTTTGACGCCTAAACAAACCATTTTTGTGGTGTACTTGCATTTTTTTGGACACTTGAGTTCCAGTTCATTAACGTTTCTGGGGGAAAGCTAGGGATCAGAGTCCCTGTGGGAGCACAAGGATTAGAGGAAAAGCAATCTAAGCAGCAAAAGACTCAAGATCCCTCTGACTTTGAAGGGCATTGGAAACCTATAAGAAGAGCTCTCTCATCTTAACAAAGTTGGTATTCCAGAGGCTCCTCTGGGAAGAGTCTCATGGTCAGCCGGAGCCATCAAACTTCTAATGTGCTATAGAAAAATGTACAGAGCTCCTATTCCCAGCGTGGGAGTCACAGCACCACTGCACACCTCTCAATGTGTGGCCAGCCTTCCTACACATGCCCTTCTAAGCACTGCTTCCATCTCTCCACAGGAATGTGACTCCAGAAGGCGGGATGCGTGTGTTTCATTCATTATTATACATCTCCAGTCATTAGCATAGTGCCTGAGAAATACTCATGCATGATAGATAAACTCACACCTCCTCTCTTCGTCTTAGAACAATTTCTTTTCAGCATAACATCACACCTTTTTATGGATAGACTTAACAAAACTGAACACTAACAAGGGCAGCTTGAAATTTGTGGGTTTAAAATAACCAAATGTTTTGATTTTTCTAACTTTAGTCCTCTGGGACTAACACTTTTAGTCCTTTGCAACAAAAGAAGAATGGCACATGGTTCCATGAGTAAAAGCATCCCCCACTCCCATCCAACCTGACCAGGCCGTATTTGTAGACTTAAGGTCTTACAGCCACCTGGAAACTGTATACTTTACAGAGATGTTCAGTTTATTTTACTGATGGGTAAGTGTCTATTACCTCTCATTGATTTTAGAATGCCGCATTTCTAAAATAGCTAAGTACCTCTTATATTTCGTTATTGGCCTTTTCTGAATAGACAAGTTCATTTTCCCTTCTGTACCTGTATGTCAGTAAAAGTAAGCAAATCTTTCAGGAATTTTTGGTTAGCTATTGGGAGAACAAATGCTTCCCAGACACAGTCACCATTACATTTTATGGAAATAGTTTTCCCCTTACCCCTTCATTTTCTCTTTCTTTATTACTATTTGCACTATTGTAGTTTTAGCCTTCATTACAACTGCAACAGTTGAATGTGTACTAAAGAAAAGCACACGGTTGATGTGCTTCTTTCTTGATGTTGACCTTTCTATATCCAGCTCAAGAATGTTGGGTTTCATCTGAATAGGGGATCCAAAAAATACGCTGTTCAAGTAAAATAACAAAACTTCTAAGTGGAAAAAATGGTCAAAATGAGGCCTTTAAGTTTAGGTGTAATTTCAGGGATATGTGAACATTTCATGATACTGTTAATGAAATGATACTTGTCAACCAAGATTACCCTCATTTTCATGTGAATTTAAAATAGTTAACATTTCTTATACATGTATTATGTGCCAGATCCTGTGCTAAGTACTTTGTGGATGATCTCACTTAATCTTCCTGACAATCTTACTAGATAAATACTATAATTACCCTCATTGTATAGATTAGGAAACTGTGCCTGAGAGACATGCAGTAACTTGCTCAAGGCCACCAATCCAGCAAGTAGCAAGATTTATCCTCAGAGCGTGAGTTCGTGATCAGTTTTCTAGGAATGGCTAGGCAATTAGAAAAACACAACTCCTCCTAATTAGATATTTTAAATGAAAACATTAAAATGATTGTCATGTGATACTGACAAGTTGGAATGAAGACTCCTTTGAGATATGATTTAGTTCTGAAAATAATTTCACTATCATTTTGTCTCATTCATAAAAAGTAAAGAATAACAACCCCAGGAGCCATGAGAACAGGAAAGTCCTGGGTACACTCCCAGTTGGCTCCGTCAAGGGATGGGATGCCTTCTAGGCACTGCCTTTTGTTTAGTTTTGTGATAGCTTATTCTGCTTGGCAATGTGGAGAACACTGTAGAAAGAAATGAGGCCTAAATAAGGTCTGAAAAGAAATAGCCCAATCCCACTCCAAATTATGCCGTCTGAAAAAATAAATAAATAAAGAATTTTCGATGGTGATTTAGGGTTGTTTTCCTCCAAGGACAATCTGAATTCTATTACATACTTCTTTCCAAAGCCAGTTTTATATCATTAAGATACTGTGGATGCTTCTGCTTTTATCTTCTCCATAGTAGAACAAGAAAGTTCCAAAATTTTCTCCAGTTTTCAAGTGAAGTTTTCAAATGATTATATAAAGAATGAGTCAAAATTTACTTCTGGCTTCGCTTTTGCCTTTTAACGTTCACGAGTCTTAGTTTAAAGAATATATCATTGGAATCCCTAACAGAATATGATCATTTCCATTGGGACTTCAGGAAACAAATGGTTCATGAAGAGCTAATGTATGTTTATAAAAACATTTTCAATTTGGATAAAAGTTGCCTCCATCCTGTAAGGCTTCTCTTTCAGCGTGGTTCAGTGCCTACAATGGTAAAGGTCAACAATGCCTCCTAGGAGAGGGCAGGCAACAAGATAAGGGCTCTCTAAGGACAGAGATAGAAATGGATCTATCTTATAAACTCAACCATTAGAACATTCTTTATTTCCTGAGAAAACAAATATCCCAATCTATTGTTTACTTATAAAGCTCTTCTCAAACAGTTCAGAGACAAAAGATTATCACCGAGGGAATATGGCAGGAAAGTTGGAGAACATTTTTTTTCATGCGTTCACTTCCTACAATATTTCAGTTATAAATAACTACACTAATATTTCCATATAACATACACATAGATTTATAAATATTGTTGTCCAGAATGTCTTTTCTTAGAATGTTGGATTAAACAGATGTATTTAACATTTAAACACTCCCTCTCATCGACTTCAAGAGCCCACAGTTAAATTATGTAAATCAACAAATATTTAATAGATACCTACTCTCTTCACAGCTCTAAGCTTGGTAGTGAAATAGGAAGAAGTATCAGATCTAATTTCTAGTCTTTGACCTATGGGGAGTACCATAGTCTGACTGAAAGACTATACATAAACCTCTATTTTAGTAGTCCCAAAAGCAGATTAGCCAATTGTGTAATTCCCAGATGATGGGACTCATAAACCAAATTGACTTTTTAAAGAAAATACTGAAATAATACCTATATAATTATTTCATATTTTAAAATTAATAGATGATTTATGTTTCACTTAGTAAAGAAAATATTTTTAAGGAAACTTAAATATTGCAATTTGCTGATAAGGCTTCCTGAAGCCATGAAACAGAATTCTAGATGGTTTTATGCTGATAGAAGTATTTCAACACAAAAATCAATAAATGCACATGGAAAAAAAGTTTTTTGACAAGGTGAATATGCTCATTCTTTACCTCTTAGTAAATATTTAAAAATCATGAGTACATATCCCCAGAGACAAGCACTGGGTCAGTTAATCAGTTTAAAATGTAATAAAATGCAAGAAAAACAAGAATTCATTGGAGGAATAAAAATGCTAAAATGTCTGATGTAATCCTTAAAGTGAATGGCAAAAACCAAAAATTTAATAGATTCACTGAGCAACTGAAATGTGGGTGGGGTCCGGGAGGCCAGAGGTGGCCATGTCAGCAAAGTTGCATAGAAACTGATGGGGCTGGTTGGGGTGGGGGTTTGGGGGCTGGCCTCCTACAGTCAGGAAGTGACTGGGGAGAGAATGAGACTTAAACTTGACCTTGAAAGAAAAGGATCTAACCAGTATAGAAAAGGGAGCTCTAGCTCTAAGAATATCTCATACTCCTAGTTCTAGAAGTAGTACCCCCAGTGGCTGATAAGAACCAGAACCAGGATGGCATGCACACTGACCACATCAAGCCATTAAAAACTAGGAAGTTATCGGTATTTAATGGGATAGTCCAGCTCTCCTATATGATTCTTTAAAGTATTTGAGAACCAAACCCCAAAGGATGAGTGTCTCATGCTGTGTTTAAATTTATGGTCAAATGAATCCTCTTAGGAACCCAAAAGGTGAATGATTAAATAATGAAGATCTTCCTCCAAAAACCTCTAGACATTTAGGCAAATATTTATCTTTAAAATGAGGATCATACATGGATTCAAAACATCTATCTAGAATA
Organism: Homo sapiens; assembly: GCF_000001405.40. Lineage (NCBI taxonomy): Eukaryota > Metazoa > Chordata > Mammalia > Primates > Hominidae > Homo > Homo sapiens. Next base: position 48,586,812 of record NC_000015.10, read on the forward strand.
TGAAAATGTTGTCATGCAGATGTCAAGTGACTTTCAAAATGACTGTCAAAATAATAAGAATCCAGATCTCCAAGATGAAGACATTAAAGGTGTTAAGGGAAAACAAATTGGAAAGAAGAAATTCTAAAATTCATGGGCTTGGAGATGTGAGTTAAACTAAGTAAAAACAGTTTCCTTCCTGCAGGACTCCCAAGAGCTAACAAACCCGATGCCTCCCCAAGAAGACATGGGATGGAGTTTCCAAAAATGATATTATATCCATGGCAACTTAATTTCATGGAACCCCTCATGGGACTGATGTTCTACAAAAAGTACTTTGGCACATCGTCGGGACCATGAAGCCCCATGTATTTGTCCAACATATGTTCATAAACCAAAAACAGCATAGACTCTCTAGAGACCATAACTACTGGGAACATAAACATTAAGTGTTCTGAAGTACTCTCAGTTGGGCATATAAAATTGGTAAGGATTTCCTGAATGCCGTCTATAAGAAAGTGAAAACAGTTTCAGAAATAGACCAGTCTTCCCACTAATTTATACATACAAAGGGGCATTTTTTAATCCCAATATCCTGCTTCAGACAGAAATTGTACAGAAGCACAGTTCAATAGAATGGAAGGGCATCGTGGAGAAGCTTGCAATAGGCCCTCCCTTCTTTGGAGTTATGTGAGTTGACGTTGTGCCTTTGCCTCTTCTCCCACAGAAGGGCTCCAGTACCATGAAAGCTGACACAGCAGGGTCCTCCCTTTTCCCCAGGTCAATACAAGCCTCTAAATCTGTACTAACTCTTCCCTTTACCTGTAGTACTTTCCTTTATCTCCTCTGCCTAGCTAAATCCTGGCCCTGCTTGGTTACTTAACTGTTTCCAATATAGTATGCATGTCTGTCTTTCCAAAAATTATTTTAAGGCCCTCATGACAAGAGCCATACACTCCTCTCATGATTCTATCATCATGCCTAGCTTAGTGCCAAGGCTTTATTAAATATATGCTGTAGTTGTTATATCTAATTGACATGATATAACATGAGATTGAGCTTTATCACTTATATTTGATCAAACTTCTACTAAGACAGAGAACCTGAGAAATTAGGCTCAGCTCTGAGGCCCCAGTTCTTTTTTTTAATGGTTTACTTTTCAAATATCAATGCAGCCTCTCTTTGATTTTCTAAGATGCTGCTTTCTGAAGAGCTGGAGAAGCAGCAGAAGGAAGGAAAAGAAAGAAAACTGGAAATCTAGTAGATACTTTGGGTAAAGTTTGGATATGTATTACTGGAAGTTCTAGAGTTGTGCTGTCCAAGATGATAGCCACATGTGGATATTAGCTGGTCCAAACTGAGATGTGGTATAATATATGCATTGGATTTCAACGACTTAGAATGGAAAAGAGAATACAATATATCTCATAGATAATTTTTAATACTGAGTATCTATTGACATAAAACTTTCAGATATATTGGGTTAAATAAAATATATTATTAAAATTAATTTCACCTGTTTCCTTTTACTTTTTCATGTGGCTACAAGAAAAGTTAAAATTATATATGTGGCTCACATTATATTTCTATTGTTCAGTACTGTTCTACTGTTTGAACATCTAAGATCGAAAAGTGGTTCAAATATTAAATGTGGGGCTAACGACATATAAAAATTAGTTTTATCTTTTTAATAAGTTCATAAGAGCTAAAAAAAAATGAAGTTAAAAAAACTGTTTTTGAAGATGAAACCATGACACTAAATTTAACAGTTGTACTAAATGATTAGCTTTGATAACACAAGAGAATGTTAGAATCAAAATTTCAATTGAACCACCAAGGGAACAGATGCCACATTCTAAGTCAAGTGTGATATTTTGATGCATAATTTGCAAAGTGGGTGATGATGACCTCTTAAACCTTTATGCATATCAAGAGTATTCAAATGTCCAAAGTAGCAAGTGATGGGAAGCGGGTTACTCTGGAGAGAGCTGGGCTGTTACTAGCCCTTCCTGGGAAACTGGTGAAGGGCCACATTATGATGCCAAGTCATGAGAGAGGCTTCAGGGAGACTCCTCAGATTGCATGATACCTATCCCCAGAAGTCTGGAGGACACTGTGGACTAGGGACTGTCAAATGCCTGGAAACTGTCTGGCCAGATGCTTGGACAATGGTTCCAATGAGCATTTGCTAACGTGTCAATAGTTTGCACTCCAGCAATTTATCGTGGCAGAAAAAATGCATGAATGTTTTCTGCCAACAAGCTAGGGGCCGCCAAAAAGAAAGCTGATGTGGACTGAGCCTAGCTCCTTTCCCAGATGGCTCCTTGGAGCAGCAAAGAGAACTCAAGAGGCTGGAAGTACCACTGGATGCCCAGCGACTGAGGAAGAAAATGTCAGCAACAGTCAGAACACAGATGCCTCTGCCCCCATTAAAGGAACTATAGGGGAGAAAGTCCAAAACAGACCAGATGATTTCATCTACCAGCAGGAGAAGAAGTAGCCTACAAAGTGGGCCGAGAGGGACAGTGAGTGGGAGACAAAAATCAAGCTTCTTTCTGGTTGCATCCCATCCCCACTGCTTGTTCATACCACATATGTGCAGCCTGCGAGACAGAGGAGCATGTGTGCCCTCAGTGTATACAGTTACCCAGCCACAAAAAAACGAGTGTGTGTGTCAAAAGATGCAATTCCTGGAACTATTCTAGGAAAATCTAGTTTATTCAGTGATCCACCAGCTGCCACAAATGTTGCAATACCACTGTAGACGCACAGTAACATTTAGGGCATTGTGCCCCTGCTATCTACACATTGTTACTTTCTTTTTTTTTTTTTTTTTTTTTTGAGATGGCGTCTCGCTCTGTCGCCCAGGCTGGAGTGCAGTGGCGTGATCTCGGCTCACTGCAAGCTCCACCTCCTGGGTTCACGCCATTCTCCCGCTTCAGCCTCCCGAGTAACTGGGACTATAGGTGCCCACCACCACGCCCGGCTAATTTTGTTTTTCTATTTGTAGTAGAGACAGGGTTTCACAGTAGAGCCAGGATGGTCTCGATCTCCTGACCTCGTGATTCGCCTGCCCCGGCCTCCCAAAGTGCTGGGATTACAGGCGTGAGCCACCACGCCCTGCCACATTGTTACTTTCCATTGAAACTAAATACCAAAAGAGAGGTTCATAGAGGCCTTCAGTGTAGTTTAGTAATGACAGTTTACTGCCTTTTGCTTTTGGAAAGAAGAAAATATACATAGTTCACAGAGCTCTGCCTTCCAAAGGCACATGGAGAATGGGAGTTAGCCTGTGGCATTACCTTGGGAACTTTAGTGATAGCCACCTACAATTTAAAATTATGTAAAATTCGTGTCAGAAATGCAGCTCTGTAAAACTTACTTCTACATAGAGAAAAAATAATAATGAATCTGTATTTTATTAATACCTTCCTGAAAAACACCAGGAGAAAAAAAGCACAGGAAAATCAGCTCCTGATTCCATGAAGCTCTCTAAACAGGTCTTGAGATAAGGTAAAGTTTTTACTTTCTTTTTCGAAGCAGGTGTTTCCAAAATGGACTATCTGATTATTATATATTTGGATAATTACATGTTAGTCCTTTCCATTCACTAGACACAGTATAGATGCTGCCTTTTTGGATTTATATAATATGTGTTTATCAACTGCTTAATGTAGTATTTTTGAAAGTCATTCAATAAAATCATTAGAAAGATATCTGTGCAAAATCATTTTTACATCATCAGAGAAACAAGGTGTGAGGACAAGTTTCTCAAACGTCAACTGCACATATAAGAAGGAGGTGGAATTACAATCAACCTAGCTGTTGTTTGTTCTATTCTGTTTCATTGTTGTGCTAACAAATACAAAAACCTTTTCAGCTTCATTAAGACTGTAATTTCCTAGGAAGCAAGTACCTGCATGAAGAGCTAGTTCACTTTCAACTGTTCTGCTTCTCTAATGAACTAAGGATTATTTCAATCCTCTCATTTTTATTCTACTCCACTTTGGCCCCAATTGTTCCTTTTCCTTAAGGCTATCAGTTCAACAATGCTTTCCCCTATACTTTATCTACTGATAGCCAGCATAACAGCCAACAGACTTTCTTAAGTTGGCAGAAATCCAAGTATTGTCTTCACAGTTTAGACTTGGGTAGGAATTTAACACAGAACAAATGCACCAGGATTTAGAAGAGTCCACGTGCATGCTAATATTCTGAGGATACATGATGAGCAGCTTCAGATGGAGAAATGAGAGAAAACTTCTTGCTATTTGCATTTATGCTTCCAAAAGGCTTCATCCTCTGGCTCACATAAAGTTTGACATTAAAACATTAAACCAATTCCATGTGCTTTATGAACCACATGAGAAAATTATTTTTAGTATTTTTTAAATCTAAGTCTGCTTTTGATCCCAAACAGCTAAAATGTGTGATTACCCACTGTAGTCACTAGAATTAACAGTAAATTACTGTAGGCTGTTTCTGAAAACTCAAATGCCTCCTCAAAAGGGAAAAAAAAAAATCACACACTGATTTGAATGTATTGCTGATTCTGTAAAGGCACCTCCAAAAAAGAGTTCCAAACACATTTTGAGCTGTTGTAATATTACAAGAAAATGATATAACTTTCCATGATAACTGCACTAAATGACAATATTCATTCCATATGTCTACTTCCAGGCATGTTAGTTCAGTCCTTTGGAGCACATTTATATGTCCTGTAAACACACAGGAATCTCTCTCTTTCCAAGAGCAGATTCGTACGTTGAAATCAATCAAATAGAGGAATATTCCAAAACCCTACATTTGAAACATCCAAGAATATGCAAGAATCCTTTCTTTTGCCTTTTCATCTTGACTTCCATTCTAAGATTCATAGTTCTAGGTTTCTTCTTACCGTTCCTCAGAAAAGTCTTTAGAGTTATGAGTGGCCCCTTTCCAGTGAGGTCTTCAGAGTTACGAGTGGCCCCTTTCCAGTGAGGTCTTTAGAGTTATGAGTGGCCCCTTTCCAGTGAGGTCTTTAGAGTTACGAGTGGCCCCTTTCCAGTGAAGTCCAAGTACTACACAGTGGCTATGTGCACAGGCTTAGGAGCCAGAATGTCTAGGTTCAGGCCTCTATTTTACCACTTATAAGCTGTCCCTTCTTGGACAAGGCACTTGATCTCTCTTTGCCTCTGCTTATTCCTCCATAAGATGGGACTTATTACAGGACTTTTCTCATAAGGTTGTTGCAAATCATCAAAGTGAAGTGCTTAGCACACCCCCTGGCACACTGCAAGTACTCAGTACATGTCAGCTGTTCTTACGTCCAATGGCCGCTTTATGATTCTCATTCTCAGACCTTCGATGAGTCTAACAATTGCCAAGTTATTTCTTGAACTCCTTTTTGTTTGTTTGGTTCAATGCTCTCCTGGTTCTCTTGCTGTATCTCTTTGTTTCTCTTCTTCCCTAAGCCTATTCATCATCACACCCCACCCCCATCTCCAAGTTCAGGTCTATCTCCATCATTCTTTTCTCTTTTGACATGACCCTGAAAAGTCTCATCCACTCATATGATTCACTGTGTTTAATACAAAGGCATTTAACAAGATTTTAAATGTGCATTCTGAGGCAAGATGGCAAGAGAAAGGGATTCCACACAGTTTTTTTGTTAGCAGTAACTATGGCAATATACGACTAGCTTGTATTGTCATTGCCAAAACAGGCACTGACCTCACTTCAATAATCTGATAACAAATGCTAACATACTGTACCACTGAGCTAAGAAGTGATTAAGTTCTACTAGTTGCTCAAGGCCCAAGCAAAGAGAAGGCAAAGGGTCGGAGTAGGAGGCAACAAGAAAACCACAAATGTGAACTTACCAAAAAAAAGTGACAGGAAGAAAAATTAAAGAAACTTGTGGTTAAAAAAAATAAAGACACAATCTTTGACAGAGAAAGCAGCAGGAGGTGGCAAACTTGAATGCTCACAAGGGCTAATACCTAAGCTAAATGAATGAACTTGAGCAAGATGTGACAATAGGTAGTGGTGGGGACTATGACAAACTAGAAGATGTATTTAAAGGTATTCCTATTCAGCTTTTAAAAAGTAGACATCACAGGCCAAATAAGCCACAGGTCTCTATTTTTTATCCTCTGGGTGTAGAGAAACAATGGTAGTGGCAATGGTAAAATATATCATTGCTACCTGCCCACTGGGGATGAGGCTGGCCAGCCAAGAATGTTTTTAAACAAACTTATCTTAATGACAAAAAGCTGCAAGTAAGACTAATTGCTTTATAATCTTATTACACTGTTATATGACTATTATGATTCATAATTCAAGCATGAGATCTGCTGCTTCTCTCCATCACAAAACCAAAATACTATGTTCATGGATGATTAAGATTGACTTATTGGCTTAATGTGATACAAATCCTGCCAGTATGACCCCCAAAGGCGTATTTCACACTCATAGTGGGTCTCTGAGGTAGTTATTAATGTATAAAAGTTCCAAGGTCTCCCAGGGACATAGATCTTTATCCTGAGAAGTACTTGTAACTGACATTCTAAATGTTCCCTTACATGTGTATTATATCATGATAAGAGGTTTTTGCTTTTGTTTTTATTGCCACTTAGTTTTGATCAAAACATTCCTCCTTTTTGCATCCCTGTTAACTGAAAAATGACAGTCTTGTGGACCTGAAAGATCATTCTTCTGAAAGATGGGACCAAATTCAATTAGATATCAACATTGTAATCAGCTCTGTTTAGCATGAAACCAATGAAATCAATATCCAGGACTGTTGGCAAACAGCAATTATTTCCAGGAGATACTTGTTCATATCCGATCATTATATCTCCAGATTTTTTGATGCTATTAAATGAATCCAGTTCATCATCTATGGGTCGTGTACTGTGCATCACACAGTAAGGCTAGAATTAAGAAGATGAAGAAACTATAGTTGCTCCTGAAAACTTATGCTCTAGTGAGGGAGATTGGAAACTTGCTGTTTTGATGCAATGCAGTAAATGCTATAAAAAGAGATGTGGAGAGAGTACTAAGGGAAAATGTAGATGAAGGGAGAAAGGAAAGTAGTAAAGGCCTCCCGGATCTGCACTTTAAAAAATAAACATCACATCCCAGTTAAAACAGAATACAACCAACCTAGGTACTTATCCAGTAATAAGCACCACAATAAGTATACCAACCCACCATCGGAAGTCACCCTGAATACTTCCCCACACTTCAGGATGGATCTGTCCTGACTCGGTATCAGATTTTTATTCATCACTCTTGAAATCACGAACATACATCTAAGTAAGAGAATCTACTGCCTCTAATTCTTCAAAGAGGTAAGCAGGTGACTTTCATAAGAGCAGCAAACAGTGAAGACTCTACAAATGGAAATAGAATTCTGGAATCAAAAAGACTCCTCTCTCCCATGTGGTGTGGGAAATGACACCCATGTTTTTCTTCTCCCATTGAAGGTCTGGGACTGTACCCGTGGGTAAAACAGGCAGTGGGTAGATGGCACTACCCTTCTGCTACTAACGGGCAAGCCTGCCTTCTGCTCTCCAGTCTCCACTACCACAAATGCCTGAAAATCTGCCACTTGGGGATGAATTTGATTTTGAAAATCACCACTGGGAAAATTCTATGGAGTCAACAGATATTTACACCTTAGTGCAGATTTCAGGATAGCCCTTTTTCCTGAAGGGGAGCAGTTGAAGACACCCCCAAACTTGGAGAAACCTCTGAGTAACATGCCAGTTTTGATTAGTAGCTTAGTAATTTAACCCATTCAGGACATTTCTTAATCTTGGACAAAGATCAAATCTTTGAAGAAATCACTGTGGAATGGTTCAATATCATGCCCTTTATTTTAGACTGTGTTATCATCAATATCAACTATGAGCATCAATAGTCTTTGCAGCAAATCTTTAACCACTTTGTTAAAATGGTTACAGGTAAAATGTTACAGGTAAAATGCCCTGTAACTTCATCTTATTAGTGATTTTTCTAAAACAAATTATGCCCAGCATTATCATCTGAGAAATTATTTTCACACACCACTCCTCAAGCTACACATTAACAATTTTAATCTCCTACAACTTCCCTGATTAAGTAATAAGGCCACAGAATGATATTGCCTAGAAGAAATAGTTTTTAGTACTCTGGACCATTATAATTATTAGCGAATAAAAACACATCTGTGCAAGTTGTAAAGAGAAGCAGTTTAAGGAGGGACTCCTAAAGGATATCAACATGCAATGTAAAGGTCTATTATGCATTACACATCAATACCATGCAGTGGTCCCATTAATAGAGATACAATGTAATTTACCTAGTAATCAAAGTAATCGACCTGGAATTTCTTGCTCAAATAGGTATTACTGCATTATTAGCAAATAACTGAATTTAGATAAATTATAAACACAGACAGAAAATAATTTCTCACAAACCACTCTCTGCTCTTTGTTTTCCTCTATTACATGTTTTAAATGACATATTCAACATCTGCTACTGAATCTTTACTTTCCATCTTAGAATAAGATGTCTATACAACTTTGGCTAAAAGTGATTACTGCAGTTTAAAAGTTCATGCAAATTTTCAATTACAGTTTTGTGTAACATAAAACTTCTAAACTTTCATTATAAAACTAGGGATGATGAGAAAAAAATCTATAAATGTAGAGACAAGATTATTAGTAAGACCAAAGTTCAGGGAAAAAAACTTAAGAATATTGCATATCCACACATATCTCAATATCATACTTGTATTTTTAGGTAGGCAAATCAGGTAGAATGTTTCTTTTAATTAAGAGCAGCAGTAAACATTAGACTTGAAGAGACAAAACACACATTCAAATTAAAGGTTTCTTATGTATGTGGCCTTGGGGACATCCCTGGACCTCTTTGTGCCTTCATCTTCTCATATGCAAAATTAAGGATAATTCTACACACTCTAGCAGGCTGCGATGAGTACTGAATAAACCATCTACACAAAGTAGCTTCTCAGCAGACACTCAATATATCTATGGTGAGTGTTGAATGCTGAGCTTGTACACCTCTACAGCCCCCAACAGGTCCAACAGATCTTTAGGTGTGCTTTTCATACTGAAATTCTCCCTTTCCATACATATGTTTTGTTCAAGACCACTTAATTCACTGGCATAATAAAGAGCTTAATCCTTACCCTTACAGAAGAAAGTTCTCCCCTTTTTATCCTGATGCCAACTGGTAATTATGTATACACTCATAACTGAGTACCACCAAATTAGCAAATAACTGAATTTAGGTAAACTTGGACTGACAAACATTGCCGAATATCATGCATAGATTCAGGGCCGCTGTCTTGTCATCCTAGGGACCTTCCCAATGACAAATGAGAAATCCCCTCAAAGCTCAGCAACATTCAGGAAGTAGCCATGCAGACCCAATGTCTGTGCAAATTAGTAACAGCTTTAGGTACCAGCATGTCTTTACGTAAATGATTTTAAAAACCATTACCTCTTTCACACTGGGGTCCAGTAAATCCGTAAGTGCATGCACATCGATTTGGGGCCACACACCTTCCTCCATTGAGACAGCCACTTTCACAAACAGCTGTAAAATAAGGAGAGAGCTGAGACGCTTTACCTGAAAATAAATGCTAATGAAGTAACACTTGTGGTCCTCTGGAAGGACAACAATAAAATGTCTAAAGTCACCCTGGTGTTTGTTTTGGACGGTCACTCTACAGTTACACATACTCAGATATTCCTCAGTCCACTCTTAGGTAAAGCTGCCTGGAATAGATGAGTTTGTATCTATGTTAATGCTGATGGTCTCATTCCGTGAAGCATCTGAGCAATGCTTTCAGTTTAACCTCGAAAACAGTGGTTTCTAAGAGATGTCACTGAATGGGAACTGTGTGTTAGCAAAGACTCTTTTGCTTATGATTTACGTTTAATTGCAACAGGGCTCCCATGAGGGGAAATATCAGCCCCTCTGATGTCACCATTACAGAAATGTAGCAAGTTCAATTGCACAATTAACTGCAAACAACAAAATACTACTAATGATCTTCAGTAATTTAAGTACCATAATGAAAATCCAATTGAGAGTTATAACAGAACTTACGGAAACTATTGGTGCAGTAAATCTAGAGATGCTTCAGGGCAGGATATTTTGCTTGTTAGAAATGACATTAAAATAAGAATTGAAAGTTCATGTGCTGAACAACTCCTCTTTGTACAAGTTCCTGTAACTCGTGCATGCATGGGCTCTTTCTAGGCATCTTCGTCATGCGTGGCAGGCTCTTCTCTGCCAAATATGTCAGTTCCACCCACTCTTCAAAGCCCAGCTGAAATCTTACTGCTCCATGAGGCTCCCCCAAAACCTCCATTCAAATTCCTTGCTCCTTATATATTTTCTATACATTTTTCCATACATTACCCTATAGCAGCCATGAAGTTGAGCCACTCATACTTTCCCTCAAGAGAATCTCCTGCAAGTTTAGCTGGCAGACCACTTCCAGCTGCTGTACCTTCAGATCTGCTGCAATGTTCATGTCAAGGGCAGGCTCACAGCCAATGACTAAACACAGCATTAGGATACTAAAGCCTGGCTATTTCCACCCATCATGGAACTCTTTGATGGGCACTTTTTGCCCTGGGTTCTCCATCAACCTGGCTATGGCTTTTTGGAGCTGCACTACAGGCTGAAGTTCCTTCTATGCAATTGTCCTTCCTTCCCTCCCTCCTTGCACAGGATCAGACAGGCATCATGGTCTGAAGACCATTCCCTCCTACTTCTGCTTCCTCTTTCCTTTATTCTTCACGGGTCTTTTCCCCAATAAATTCTCTTTTATGTCTAATTCTGTCTTGATATTTTCTTGGCATAAGAGGACCTGAACTGACACAACCCTTTTTAACCAAAAATTATGGCAGGAGGCCATTACTCATCATATAACCAGAGAGGTTTATGTAAATTAATTGTCTTCTTTGCCTCTTGATTTATAGTCAGGGAGAATGAAGAGCTTCTAAACAGAAAAGAAATTTTGAGCTTGCCTAAGCCAACCCTCCCAGATTACAGATGAGGAAGCTGAAGTTTAGGAAAAGTTTTCTAATTCTGCCAGTGTTAATTAAGCACTTGTGTGTTGGGCATTGGGCTAAACTCCCTCAGGGAGCACCAAGGGGAGCAGAAGAGATGCCCAGCAGCCCCTCCTGATTCTCCTGGAATGCCTTGGGATCCAGCCCCATCTCGCCATCTCCACAGCCATAGCCTTAGTTAGGACTTGTCTTCCTGCTCCTGTTTTGTCCTCCTCCAGTTGCGCTTCCACACTGTGATCTTTCTCACTGTAAACCTTCGTAAGTGAAGGGTAATAAGGTTGGTATTTCACAAGAGTAAACACATGGGCTATGGAGTCAGACTGCTTGGGTTCCAACCCCAACTCTGCCGATTACCATCTATATACCCTTAGAGGAACTACTGAGGTCCCTGTGTTCCAGTTCCCTCATCTGCCAGAGGGTAACATTTATGTCCTCTAATACAAAGAGTTGTTGTCATATTAAATGAGTTAACACACATAGAGTTCTAAAATGTGCCTAGCACACAGTAAGCACAGAGTAACTGAAAAGATGTAGGTTATTGATGTTGTTAGTGTTGTTTATTGTTGTGGTCTCACTCTTCTTTCCTAGCCCTACTTTGGAAGAAAACATAGTATGTATAAAGGCATCAAAACCTGGCCCATGACATCCTATCTGACCTTACTTCCTTTCCCCTCACTCTCCTCTGCATTTAAGCTCTAGCAACACCAAAGCACTTGCTATGTCCCACATCCCTTGCTGTGTCTTGTGCTGGTGCTTTGGTCATGCTCTACCATCTGCCCAAAAAGGTCCATTCCCCATCACCTGACAGGTAAGCTCCTACCCATCCCTCAAGACTCAGCCCAAGGATCACCCACACTGCGGAGGCTGCCTCTCCTCTCTCCAGGCTGGGCTACACAAAACTCAACCAATATTCTTCTCCCACTGCAGTGTGTGGATGGTGATACAGTTTGGCTGTGTCACCACCCAAATCTCATCTTGAATTCTCATATGTTGTGGGAGGTGGGAAGTAATTGAATCATGGGGGCAGGTCTCTTTCCCATGCTGTTCCCATAACAGTAAGTCTCACAAGATCTGATGGTTATCATAAGGGGGAGTTTTCCTGCACAAGCTCTTTCTGCCTGCTGCCATCCATGTAAGACGTGACTTGTTGCTCCCTGCCTTCCACCATGATTATGAAGCCTCCCCAGCCATGTGGAACTGTAAGTCCAATAAACCTCTTTCTTTTATAAATTGGCCAGTCTTGGGTATGTCTTTATCAGCAGCATGAAAACAGACTAACACAGATGGTCACTAGGGCATTCTCTACATTTTTGTTTATTTATAATAACATTATTAATCCTAATAAATATATACACAAAAGCAAAAATTAGAAACGCCCTGAATAACGCCCACCATTGAGGATTCATTAAATAAACAGTCAAACATCCAGGTAATAGAGTACTAGGCAACCATTAAAATGTATTTTAAAATGTGTAATGAGCATACTTTGAATAAAGTATTAAGTGAAAAAGTGGTACAAAAACTATATATACAGTAAGAACTCATGTACCAAATATGCATTACAAGTCTAGAAGATACTATCTGGAATGATGAAATCACGAATAATTTTACTTTTTGTATTTTTAAACTTTTCCAAATTTTCTGTAGGGTATATATGCTCATCTTAAAGTAACAAAAAAAAAAAACAAGGTTTTTAAAAAGAATGTTCGTCTTCTGCAAAGCACAGGGACTGGTAGAAAGTAGATACAATAAATGGTGTGTGCAAATGAACCTTCAAACTGAACACCATGTGATAAGTACTTCGGTAGCAGAATCTAGATTAGGAAATGAGAGGGATGCAGATACCACCAATCAAGATAAAGGACATGTTTAGAGAGAATGATGAGGCTGAGTTTTGAAATACTTTATTTGAGATGCTTCCTGAAAATCCAAGTGTTGAAGTTCAGCAAGTGGGTGGAAGGTATGTGTCTGGAATGAACAAGAATTCTGCTCCTTTGGTGGTGACTAGAAATCAAGGAGATCAGGCAAGCAAGGTGGTGAAGGTAAATGAGAGGAAAATGAATCAAACAACCTGTAACCAATCAAGGTTCCAATTGGAAATTTGGTGTTAAGTTTTTTGAGTAAGTGATTTGTTCATCTGTAAAGGTCACTGGACACTTGTAAACATGCTGTGTCCCAGGTAATCGAAGAAAATCCATCAGCACTTATCTCTTTATTCTACTTGTCTACAAACAGGTTAACATCTAGAATACTTATAACTACAGTGTACTTACGTTGTCCACAGTGAGTCCCTATGTATCCTTTCTGGCATAGACAGTGATCGTCACTGCAGCTACCTCCATTCATACAGCGAATATTGCAGTGTTGTACTTGAAAAAAAAGAAGAAGAATTCACTTTTGCAACTTAAATGCATAGATTGCAACAGCTCACAGGAGTTGATTTGTAGTTATTTGAAGAGAAAATCAAATAGCTTATCAGGATTCATCTATTTTTACCTGATAATGACCTAATTGAGAATGCTAAACATATTATTTGTGTGTGTAAAATCATTTACCGGCTAGGCGCAGTGGCTCATGCCTGTAATCCCAACACTTTGGGAGGCCAAGGTAGGCGGATCACCTGAGGTCAGGAGTTTGAGACCAGCCTGGCCAACATGGTGGAACCCCGTCCCTACTAAAAATACAAAAATTAGCCAGGCGTAATGGCGCATGCCTGTAATCCCAGCCACTCCGGAGGCTGAGGCAAGAGAATCGCTTGAACCTGGGGGGGCAGAGGTTGTAGTGAGCGGAGATCGCACCACTGTACTCCAGCCTGAGTGACAGAGCGAGCGAAAGAAAGAAAAAAAAATCATTTACCATGCAATGCAATTGTTTCTCTGGCATTCACTTTAATAGTGCTAAATGACTTCTTTAATTTAACAGAAATTACAACTCAATGTCATTTCTGTAATTTATACCAACAAGAAAGTATTGCCTTGAGTAACCATATGAGACAAGATTATGATGGCAATAATTTTCCCGTGAAAAGATTTAGAATCCCAGGTAGATGGCACAGGGGAACAGTTAAGAGTAGCAAATTCCAAAGAATTTTGTTAAAAGAAATTTTAGAGGCAGAATAGAGAAAAAAGAAAATACCTACAAAGACATTTAATAACAACACTGCCTGACGACAGGGACAGCTGGATTTGCCTGAGAAAGAGCTGCTTGTTTAAACTGTAACCTCAAACTAAATAAGATCCTCATTTTCACCTACAGAAGTGTTCATTTCGGGGCCCAGGGTAGAAAGACCATGGGCTGACAGCCTTAGACCCCAGACAATGAGACACTCAGAGAAGCTGGAGTAAAAGACAGCCACGGGCTCATAGTGAGCAATGACAACAGCGCAGGCAAGTGCTCTCATTTCTCCAGTGTTCAGGCTATCTCTAGGTCAGTAATTTAGGAATGCTAATAGCACTTTCAAAATCCTAGGCTATTTCCTAGTCCAAAGCTTGATTGAATTAACCACTAATCCTTGTTGATACCTGCCTACACATGGAGGCCAGGATTGGGCTTTGGAGGTTTGGCTTATTCTGTCTGGTCCTCCAAGTTGTGGAAGTAAATTCTCAGAGAAGAAGGTTCGATAATTTTAGCTAAGGAGAAGAGAATATCTTCTTTCTACACAAAAGCAGAAATCTGCTGTTTATGCTCACTCTTCCTGAAGCACAGGGGCCAAATCTTCTCTTCAGAGCAAATAGAAGATTCCTCCCAACAGCCACCCTGTCCATTACCCCTTGTTAGGAATCCTCAGCCACGGTATTGAAAAGTGGCTACTTGACTTCAGGAGAAAGGGACAATTTTTATAAGGAGCTACACAAATCTCAGCCTGCCAACAGGGAAGGAAAGTGCAGAACCCACTATCTTCTATACCCTTCCTTTTACAGCACAAAGAAGTTAGGTTGAGTTGAAAGTTAAATGCCTTTTCAACAACATGCCACACACTGAAACACCATCAAAGGCCTGTTTCTACTGAACTAGAGCCACCTCCATCTCTCCACATTCACGGTCCCCTCAGCATGGCCCCAGGTATCTTTCGAGGCTCCTTGGCACATGCCCACTATGTCCTATGACTCCATCCCCTGATCTACTTATCAGTCATTCATTCACTCAATGAACATTTCTGAGTGCCTACTATGTGCCATGCAAAACACCCGGCACTTTCCTTGTCCTAGTCCCTCTGTAGAACCCTCTCTCTTACCTGCCTCTTTGTCTCCTTGCCCCTAACTCCTAAACCCCAACACAACACACACACAGTTCTCCCCCAAACCTGAAATCCTATCTATCTCCAAAACCCATTTCAAATATTGCTTCCTTCCGCTAATCTTTTCTGATATCTCCCAAACCAAATGTGAGCCCTCTCTCCTTTCCAATTACTTCATATTTCTCTTTTGAAGCATATATTATATAATCCAGCCTATTTTTACTTATTTTGCCCCATCTCATTTGTTTAAAAACTTCTTCAGAGTGGGGAGTGGGAGAGCATTAATTATGCAATACCTCTTAAGTGCCTAGAGTAGCACCTTGCTTTATATGTAAGTGCTGTATAAAACTGTGCTAAATTAATTTTTATTTACTTAACTCATGCTGCCTGATGATGACATCAAAAGCCATGCCCAAAGACCAAACTGAGACTTAGAAGTTGTCCATTGTGTCCGAGGCACTTATACAGCCCTACTAAGTAGGTTGCTATTAAAAATATTTTTATCTTTGTTTCCCCATGTATGAATGCAGAAATAACTCCTTTGTTGGAGTAATGAAATCAAGCAACCCCGGAAACTGATTGCAGTTATTTTAGGCTCTTATGATTCCGTTAAAACATCTCAGCCAAGATGCTTTTTTAACTAAAAATCTGTCTATACGTATACAAAGAAAAAAAATGATTTAGTGAAAACTTTGAATAATATTCTAAGTAGGTCATGAAAAGGTGTATAGTTGCTTTAAATTTGAAGTTAAACTTAGCTTCATCCTATCTTAGAAAAACAGTGAGGATTGGGAAAAGCACAGGAAATGATGTCATCTGTCAAGCAGCATAGGAACTCAGCCTTCAAACTGATTTCAATTAAAGCAGTTCATGCCAAGAGCTAATTTCCATTCCCACATGAGCAACAAAGCCATTTAACTACTTTGAGATAAAAAAGCTAACAGTAGTTTAGTGACTTTACATTATTTGTTCAAGTTGAAAATCAGAATGAATTCTTCTTTCTGGCAAGAATGGTAAGTTTACAATTAAATGCAATATAATAAAAAATCTCCCTGATATATATTTTTTACCCTGTCTTTCAGGCAAACCTTTTCCAGCATAAAATATTCTTTCTTTAAAAAATAAAAGCACTCATTCAGACTTGTGAAACAAGAAGACATCAAGGAACCATATGCATGAATCCTTGGGGGAAGCCAGGAGGAGGCAGGCTCAGCACAGGTAATAGGCTCTGAATCACTTGCTTTGCCACCGTGTTAACCATGGGAAACTGTATTCGTTGTGAGTCTTAGATCTTTAGTGGGGAATAAAGCATTCCGATAAAGGTGGGAGCAGTCGCTCAGGATTTCTGTGGGGAAGTGAAAGAACTAGATACGTAGTTTCACTGTACACGCAGGAAATAGTTTACAGAGAATATATACCGAAATTGGTTTTATTTTGGATTCAGTCCTGCCATTGATGCATATTCTAAATTTATACTGATTTGAACAAGAATTCTAGATGTATCATAATTAGGAGACCAAGTTCTACGTCTCTTAAAAAAGCCAACTGAAACCTAGGGGTTCCTCCTACACCCATAATGATGCTGTATTCTTTACTGGATGCACTAAGTACCCCAAGTCAGAAGATATTCCTAAACTCAATCTGTGTTAAGATTTTACTAGAAATTGAAAACACTAGGGGAATCAAAGTGCACAGATCCAGCCATATGCAGTGAACCCTGAGTGTCCTAGGGTCCCAGTGAGGACCTGCCCTTGAAGACGAGCAGACAGCCGTAAAGGGTTTCATGTAAGGCTCAATAACCCAGAGCTAACAGAAAATGTTGCCATCTCCCCATATCCATAAAAGATCCCAAATTAATTTTGTGTTCATATCAGATGTCAGTCAGTCATTTCAGTCATTCAACAGTGACTTACTGAACGTCTTTCATTTGGCAGCATTGGCCAGAAAGAGCAGAAGAAATTTTCTTTAGATTACAGCCCAGCACAGATTAGTTCTTAAATGATTCATCAGAAAAGAACAATGTGAGCACGCTATGGGAATGAGAGAGAGGCAGGGCTGGCACCTGGATCTCAATACCTCAGGTAATGATTTTCTTTGGGATGCATTAGGTTTGGAATGATTCTAAAGACCTGCCATCATCTTGGCAGGCACAACTGGCAGGAAGAACACTGGGAGCAATTTGCACAT
Organism: Homo sapiens; assembly: GCF_000001405.40. Taxonomy (NCBI): domain Eukaryota; kingdom Metazoa; phylum Chordata; class Mammalia; order Primates; family Hominidae; genus Homo; species Homo sapiens. Next base: position 48,604,290 of record NC_000015.10, read on the forward strand.
AAGCATTTGTATGACGAACATGTGATTTTAATTTAGGTACTAGGAAAAGCACAGACAGACAAATTAAACAGCTAGACTAACTTCTGGACTCTACACCTGAGACAAGAGTCCACAGGGACAATCAGAGTCACTGCAGGATAAAAACAATTTTCATTTAGAGGGATAACAGCAATGGCATTTCCCTTAAGTGAACAGATGTCTGGGGATGCCTAAAGACACACAGCTTGGAAGAGAAACTTCACTAAAATTCTCAAACAAACAAATAAACAAACAAAATCTAGCCAAGCTGGAAAAGCTGTAGAGAAGGACAAGTTAAATGACAGTAGTGATAAAGGTGCTTCCATAAAGGGTGGAGTAGAAAGCAAAGAGTTCAACCATTTCTAAGGACAAGTCTGAGTAGATTCCATGCATGCTTCTCCTCCCAGTCCATATAAATCCCACACTTCCCTGAAAAGCTTTTTCAAGGAGGACTTCTTCCAGACTGGCTAAAGCACCACCTTCCCTTCCTCTGAATGTCCCCACACTTTCAGGATGGTTGCACCATACTCCCTCAAACTTGCTAACACACTGGTCTAGAATTGTTCTGCTGGCCTTCTTACACCCTTAGAGCTCAGATTTGCATTGGGAGTACAAATGCCCCAAACTCTTGCTCCCAGCTGATTAAAGCCCCTTCCTAAAACCGGTGTCCGAGAGGTTTTGTCTGCGACTGGTCCTGCTGACACTCTCATTGAATTGAAGTAAATTAAATGAGAAAATGTGATCAAACTATAAGGGGTTTGAAAAGTGTAAAGGGCCCCAAATTGATATACAGGTTTGATGCAATTCCTATCAAAATCCTAAAAGGTTTTGTAAATATAGACAAGATTAATCTACAGTTTTTACAGAAAAGAACTAGAATAGCTAAAACAAAAAAAGGATAAAGTGGGGAAGATCTGCCTACCCATCTGGGTGGCAGAGCAAGACCCTGTCTCAAAGAATAAGTAAATAAAAATAAAACTATGAAACCATCAGAAAAAAGTTGGAGAAAATCTTCAGAATCTAGGAGTAGACAAAGCATTCCTAGACTTGACAATGAAAGCATGATCCAGTAAAGGGAAAACTGATAAGTTAGACTTACTCAAATTTGAAAACATTTGCTCTATGAAAGATCCCATTAAAAATATTAAAAAGCAAGCTACAGAGTGTGATAAAATGCCTGCAAATAACATATCTGATAAACAGCTAGTATTTAGAGTATACAAAGAATTCTCAAAACTCAACAATGAAATAACAAACAATTCAATTAGCATCTGGGCAAAAGAGGCCAGGCACAGTGGCTCATGCCTGTAATCCCAACACTTTGGGAGCCCAAGGCATGCAGATTGCTTGAGCTCAGGAGTTCAAGACCAGCCTGGGCAGCATGGCAAAACCCTGTCTCTACCAAAAATACAAAAAACTTAGTGGGGCATGGTGGTGTGCCCCTGTAGTCCCAGCTACTCAAGAGGCTGAGGTGGGAGGATAACTTGAGCCTGGGAGACGGAGGTTGCAGTGAGCTGAGATCGCACCACTGTACTCCAACCTGGGTGACAGAGTAAGACCCCGTCTAAAAAAATTATTTTAATGAAAAATAAGAATCTGGACAAAAGATATAAAGAGACCTTTCACTGAAAAAGATATACAGGTGGCAATAAGCACATAAAAAGATGTTTGACATCACTATCCAATAGGGAAATGCAAATTGAAACCACAGTAAGAGATGACTACACAGCAATCAGAATAGCTAAAATAAAAAATAAAGACAACACCAAAAGCTGGTAAGGATGCAGAGAAACTGGGTCATTCATACACTGCTGGTGAGAATGCAAAATGGTACATACGGCGACTCCAAAAACAGTTTGACAGTTCTTAAAATGCTAAACATGAAACTATCATACAACTTAGAAATTGCATTTCTGTGTATTTATCCCAGAGAACATAAGATTTGTGTTCACACCACAAACTTGTACACAAATGTTCATAGCAGCTTAGTTCAAATAATAAAGAAAAAAAAACTGATGACAACTCAGATGCCCTTCAATAGGTGAATGGCCAAACAAACTTGTGGTACATCCATAGCATGTACTACTACTCAGCAATAAAAGATAACAAGCTGTTCATACTGCAACAACCTAGATGACTCTCCAGAGAATTCTGATGAGTGAAAAAAGCCACTTCCAAAAGGTTACATATTCTGTGATTCCATTTATATAACATTTGTGAAATGAAAAAATTATAGAAATGTAGAACAGATTAGTGGTTGTCAGAATTAAAGAGAGAATTATGTCGGGAAGAAAATGACAATAAAAGGGTAACATCAGCGCTCTTTGTGGTGATGGAAATGTTCTGCATCTTAACTGTATTGATTTTGTGATATCCTGGTTCTGCTCTTGTACTATAGTCTTGCAAGATGTCACAATGGGGAAAACTAAATAAAGAATACCCAGGATATTTCTGATTTCTTACAACTGCCATGGTTGGAATGTTCCTTCCAAAACTCATGTTGAAATTTAATTATCATTGTGATGGTATTAAGAGGTGGAACCTTTAAGACGTGATAAGGTCATGAGGGCTTTGCCCTCATAAATGGATTTATGCCATTATCTCAGGAGTGGGTTGGTCATCTCGGGAGTTCAGCCCCATTTTCTGTCTGTCTCTCATACTTGCTCCCCATGTGATGCCTTCCACCATGGGATGGCCCTCTATAGACATTGGTGCCATGCTCTGGACTTCCCAGCCTCCAGAACCACGAGCCAAATAAACTTTTGTTGTTTATAAGTTATCCAGTCTGTGGTATACTGTTATAGCAGCAGAAAACAGACTAAGGCAACTGTTTGTAAATCTACAATTATCTCAGAATATGAAGTTTAATTTTTAGCATTCTTAAAGTGTAAAGAGTAAAACAGAATGAGAAGATTTCAAAATTACAAAATATAAACTGTAGGAATTACAAAATAGAAAATACAAAATTACAAAATATAAACTATAGGAAACAACTTTTATCATGTATCATATATAATTATATATATAATTAGACAATTATATATATACACATACATATACATATATATATATATATATATTATTGTCTAAATGTTTGTGTCCCCACAAAATTCATATGTTGAAACTTAGTCCCTAATGGGAGAGTATGGAGCAGTGGGGCCTTTGGGGAGGTGATTAAGTTATGCAGGCAGAGCCCTCATGAAAGGATTAGTATCCTTATAAAAAAAAAAGGCCTGGGAGACCTGTTTGTCCCTTCTGCCATGTGAGGACACACAGAAAGCACCATCTAGGAGGAGAAGGCCTTCACCAGACATGTAATCTGCTGGCCTCTTGATCTTGGACTTCCCAGCCTCTAGAACTGTAAAAAAATACATTTTTATTGTTTATAAATGACCCAGTCTACAGTATTTTGTTATAGAAGCCCAAACTGACAAATATATATGTAAAGTTATAGAGTTTATTAATCCCAGTGTTACAAGCTAATATATATTTGAATGTGTGTATACACATATTAGAACAATGAGTAAATTCATACATCAGTAAACCATGATAGGTCTTTATGACAATTAGGATTGCTCAAAATCCATCTGTACCCTCAGAGACTGACATAGCAAAGAACAGTCCTAAAGAGGGCTGGAATTAAAGTCTAGAAAAACTACTGTTTTGACGCTGTCTAGCCAATCATTCTTTTTGCCCTGGTGCTGAATGACGAGTGTCGAGAGTTCCACCAGCACCAAGGGAAGCCACAACTTCCTGTTGTCCAAGAGAATCACTGGCTGGTACTTTGAACCTTCTGGAAATGCAATCTCTCATTCAGGTCACTAAGAGATCATTTTCTATTCTCAGAGTCACAGGACACTCAAGTCAAAAACCACCTGAAAGAACAACACTTCTTCCATTCTGTTCATATTCAAGTGGGAAAACTAAGCCTCTCTGAGGTCCCACGACTTGCCTAGACCTCCTTGATCCCTATCATATAAAAAGTATAAAATTTTTCAGAGGAAAAATTCGTTCAGTGATCTAAATTGATCCTTTTTAGTAGAACCACATGTAGTGAATGCAAACATTTCACTGAGTAGAATTGTCCTTCTATTAGCAGGAAAGTTAGCAAAGTGATCAGGATGTTCTGTGGAATGGCACAGCTGTTCCCTAGAACATCACTCCAAAAGATGAGAAATGAATTCTGATCATCCCCAGCTATCCTTAATTTAAAATATTTTGCCATCTTTAATTTTGCAAGCCATTTAGACAATATTAGTGCAGAGAGAATCAAAGCCAACAATTTTAAAGATTTCAAGTAACCCCAAAGATCCTGATGAAACCAGAACCTCCTCCTTACACTACTCTCATCCACAAGCTACTTGGGGACTTTGTCTAACGTCCAGGTACCATAGATATGACTCAGACTTCCTCAGAAAGCACCACCCACAGTCTTGGATTTTAGTCTCTAGACTAAATCTGGCCCCAGGACCTTACTACTATACTCGTCACACCCCACAGTTAACTTGGATTCTACCAGGACCATGGCTTTTCCCTCTGGTCTTGTTAACATCCTGTCTCCACATCTCATGATTTCTACTCGATAGAGAAGTCATTATCAGTTCACATTATCATTGAAGACCTTCCCAACTTAATACCCAGTTTTGCCATCTGGCTATATTTCTTCCCCCAGAGGAGTGCAATGTTGTTAGTTGGTTCAGGGACCAATCTGAGAGATGGGGTCTATTCCCAACTTTATAACTGCACTTCTTTTCCAACCCTGAGATGCTTATGCTTCAGCGGCAGCCTGGAAGTCACCCTTATAGAGACGGAGATGTCCCGCATGTTCCCAGATGTGCTGCCAGCTGGCTTCTCTGCCTCGTTCTATTCCTCCAGTTCAGGGGCTCTTGCTACGTAGAATGAACCTGCTATTACTCGGAAGATGCATGTCTGACACCAAGCTGAGATCAAGGAAAACTATGCTACACATTCAGTGCAATAAGCAAGAGTCCCAGCCCATAGGGCAATTTCTATCCCAATTGTAACTGGCTGTATTTAGTAAAAGGTGGCTGTTACTGTGTGGGCTCCACCAGAAGCAGATTCTGAGACAATAATTTAAATGGAAGTAGTTTGTTCTGAAAGTAATTCTAGGAAACACTCATAGGAGAGTGGGAAAGTGAGACAAAAAGAGAAGGAAGCTAATAAAGTACATTATCAAATCTATTATCACTGTGAACAGCGAGGGCTCGGTCCCACTGGGGAACTTCAGGAGACAGTGCAGAGTGAACCTCATGGTTATCCAAACTGAGAGGCAAGGAAGCTGAGGCACTTATCCAACCACTCTCCATCTGTTGTTGGTTAAAAGTCTGCTTCCAGGTCCACTAACCCCCAGCACTTCCAGCTTGCCCTGCATGCAGACCTGGCATGCTCTCTGGCCAGAAAAGTATACAAAGCTCTCAGGAAGAGTCCCCCGTGTTCATCCATGAAGCCAAGGGAGGCAAGAGGGCACCAGGAGTGCTACACAGGACAATTTGCCCTAACCTGTTAATTGGCTTGTGAGAGACACACTCAAATGTTCAGACTCTTAACAGGTAATGAGCCTTGACACAGTGAAGTCTCTACTTGCAGTAAACAAAAGAGAATGCACTTATTCCACAATGTTTTTCTTTAAAACTTTGTCAAAATAGGACACACAATAAGGGGGGTGCATTTTCTTACAGGACAAAAAGAAACGGAAAAGGGACCTACGTTTTTTGCCATGGGGACGGTCAAAGTTTTGAGGGGCTGTTTATACAAACAAGAACTTCAGCTTTTTAAACAACCAATTATGACTCACTTGCCCAAACCCCCAAAAGAAAAACAACAGAACAAGCAAGAAAAGGTTCTGAAGAATGAACTGTGGATATTCATCTGGCATCACAGAAAGTGGCAACATTCTGAAAGGAAAAATATGTTTATGCTTCATTATAAATCACCCCCAGAAACTTCCATAATGACTTCTTACATTTTCTTCTTGTAAAGCAGGGGTCTTGAGTCTTAAATAAGTTTTTAATCAGATTCATATTTCAGTACCACAAGGAAGCATGCCTAGATTTCTTGAGCCAAAAATGTCCATTAAACAACCATTTCATTGAGCACCTTTTATGGTGTTTACACTGGAGATACAAAGATGAATAAGGCGATACCTACATAAAAGGCCATAAGCTTTATACTATTCATAGTAACTATGCCCCATAGGTAATTTTCCTATAAAGAGTAAAGAAGGGAAATGAGAGGCCAGATGAAGGAAAGCCTTTCCAAGTATTTTGGGCAGAACAGAGAAGGCAGATGTTCTAGTGAAAAAATGTATTGCAGGAAAGAGGAAAGCCAAAATCAAATTTAGGAGAAAATGGGGTATAACCACATAAAATAATATTATATATAATGACATGTTAGACTTACTGGATCTGGAGCCACAGGAAGGAGCTATCTGACCAGATGGGCAAGTGCACATATTTGGCCTCGAACAAAATCCATCCCCACAGGAATGCCGGCAAATGGCTGTGAATAAACCAGAGGTCTGTTAGCACATGGATTTGGAACACGATTTGTTATAGGGGACCAATCCTCAAATGAGGAAACCTGGGTTCTCAGGTCCCTCACAAACTTTGCTATCATGACTTATATGACCTTAAGCCTCAGGTGTACTCATTTTCAAAACAAGTCTATTGAACTAAATAAACTCTGGCTTTAAAATCCACAACTCCTTTATCCAGTCACGGTGGTTCTCAACCTCTCTTTGCTTAGTCCACAGCACTCAATCCATCAGAAGCCCAGGACAGGCTATGAAGAGAAAACCAAACAAACAAATTAAATCCTGCATCTAAACATATTTATATGATCACAAGAAATATATTATTATATTAACTCTAAGATTTAATGATATAAAAATTACATTATTACTCTTGGGAGCCAATTTTATTGTAAATTTATTTTGTTTTGCTTTGTTTTTTGAGATGGAGTCTCGCTCTGTCACCCAGGCTGGAGTGCAGTGGCGCAATCTCTGCTCACTGCAAGCTCCGTCTCCCAGGTTCATGCCATTCTCCTGCCTCAGCCTCCCGAGTAGCTGGGACTACAGGCATGTGCCACCATGCCCAGCTAATTTTTTGTATTTTTAGTAGAGACAGGGTTTCACTGTGTTAGCCAGGACAGTCTCAATCTCCTGACCTTGTGATCCGCCTGCCTCGGCCTCTCAAAGTGCTGGGATTACAGGCGTAAACCACCGCGTCCAGCCTATTGTAAATGTTTAATGTTTAATTTTTATCCTGTTCTGAATTCCATCAACAGTCTGAGAGAAGAATGCTGGAATCTACTGCTAGAGTACTGATTCTACAGTCAGGAAGCCATTCATCCTTTAGAGAAATACTAACATTTGCATACCACCCAGAGACTAATATCATGCTGGTACCAAATGCTCTGCTAGTGGTCACAACAGTAAGTTTAAATGGCATATGATTTATATTTATCGGCAGACTAGCACTTGGTCACTACTTTTCGTCATGACAGGCATGATCTTTTCCTCAAGCTCCTGCACAATCTTGCAAGTGCAAACATGATATGCAAGGCTAAAAGAGTACACTTGATAGAAAGTGCATTCAAACATCCAAAGAGTTTAGGATGGAAACTGGAAACGACTAAGAAACAAACTGTCAAAGATCCAGTAAACATTTATTTAAATATCTGGAGACATCATTTCTCAGAGAACTCTACAGAAGGCTAAGAAAGGGTTCTATTATAAAGTTCATTGAGAAAAATCCAAATACCATTATATTTCTCTTTTAGTGATCCAATTTTGGTCTTAGACCATAATGTGCCAAATAAAGGAGATGCTTTCTGGTCAAAATCAAGAATTGAGAAACAGTTAAACTTTTTCAGGTCATGAAGCAAATATTGGCCAATATAGTCTATTGAATACTCCATTGACCACTGTCAGCCAAGTGAGAAGGTGAACTAAGTGATTCTTAATGTCCCTTCAGCTCTAAATTTCCCCATTATACTACTGGAGTTTTCTGAAAACTGGACATTATTTCATAGGTACAACAACTGTAAAAGCTCATGAAGGGCAGGCATCATGACTAAATTTGACTTTGGTGTCTCCATTAAAGAACACCTTGTCTGGCATGCGATTTGTCACTCAACATTTGTGGGATATTGGGGAAATCTGGAAGTTTGCCTTGCCAGCAGAAATCAATAGAGGAACCTCTGTTATCATTTGAGATCTTTCTTAGTCTTTCCACTGATCTTCGTCTGGTGATCTATCTCCTTCCTTTCCCCTCTGTCTAAGAGTCAGGTCTGCTCTTGGTCCCTCAATCACCCAAATTCAATGTACAGGGTTTGGTAAGGCCCGTGAGTGGCCAACAAAGTTAGAAATTACAATAAGAAAAGCAGCAATAATACCCTTTCATTCAAACTCCCATCAAAGTAATTAGATAGTCTGTGTAGCCAGGCACAACATATGTAAATGACACAACCTCAAGCAAAGTATCCCCGTGACTAAACTTTGACAGGGTTTGACCAAGTTGATGTATTTCCCAAACTGGAAAGGTAGAAAAGTCTTAAAGCTGGAAGGCTGTACTATCAACAGATTAATAGTACAGTTACAAAAGGCCACATTCTAAGGCTCCCCATGCAACCAACACAACAAAAGAAGGACATGCAGAATGACAAGTTTTCTATTTACTTACGGACAATACACTGATTTCCGCCAGGTAAGGTTTTCCATCCAGGGCAACAGTAAGCATTATAACGTGATCCACAGACATTGGGTCTAAAACAAAAACAGAAGAATTCCATACTTTAAAAAAAAGAAGAAGAGGAAGAGATGGCCAAATAAAAGGAAAAAAAATTCCTGAGTTATAAAAGCAAGATGAATCCTGGCAGACAGATAAAGCAAACTCATGAGACTCAATGCTGGGTTGGTAGCTTGGGACACTAACATAGTGATATCAACAGGGACATCCCTTAATATCACCTATGCATATGGCCCATCAGGGAAATAAAAACCAGAGATACAAAATGTAGCACATTCTGTCACAATTCATGAAGCCATACAAGTCTTAAATTAGACAATAAACTTAAACAATAAATTTCTTACCAATATGGTTAAGAAAGTTTGTAATAAAATCTAATGCACATAAGACTTCACATTTCTACACTTTGAAGCCATATATATATATATATTTTCCTACGGCCCATCTCACCTCTATAATTTTACATATTCTCCCTTTCACTAAAATTACAGGAACGCAAACTCTGACATGAGTCAGAAAAAAATAAAGGCCAAAACATGTAAATATTTCTTTAGCAAAAGTTTGGAAACAGGCCAGGCGCGGTGGCTCACGCCTGTAATCCCAGCACTTTGGGAAGCCGAGGTGGGCAGGTCACTTGAGGTAATGAATTCAAGACCAGCCTGGCCAACATGGTGAAACCCCATCTCTACCAAAAATACAAAAATTAGCTTGGCATGGTGGCACGCACCTGTAGTCCCAGCTACTTGGGGGGCTGAGGCACGAGAATCGCTTGAATCTGGGAGGCAGAGGCTGCAGTGAGCTGACATCGCACCACTGCACTCCAGCCTGGGCGACAGAGTGAGACTCTGTCTCCAAAAACAAAAAGTTTGGAAACACACTTGATAACAGCAGTTACAAGAAAATAAAATCAGTGTCACTCTGGGTTTCTTGTTTACAGACAGTTCATCACATGTCTTGGAGTAGAAACTCCATTCAGAATCCAGATGATCCACATTTAACAATTTCAGGGAGCAACTAAGTAAGGATCCAATGACTTCTACACTGGAAACTAGGACAGAGACTATAATACACAGAGACCTAGAAGCAACCATTAGTTTTACTTTGCCGTATCCTGAGGGCCTAAGCATTGATGCTAGCTGCTAGCGATCAGGGGCTAATAAGGAAGGTCAAATGTTTTGCAATCAATTTCACAAACTAGGAGCAATTCCAAAGCTTACTGGTATAAACACTGTAAACCCAAAAGCATAAACCTTTAAAAACAACTGTATAGCTAAAATGTATTTTCAGTTAGGGTGCACTCCCACATTCTCTTTGTATATGTAGACCACGTGAAACAGTACAGAGTCCTCCCACATTTCCTCTGAACTCACTACTTCAACATCATGCAGGTTTGGGAACCAACATAAGGTCTTTGCTATGTCCTTTACCCCTTTTGTTGCTCCAGAAAATCTGGAACACCCTGCAGGGCACCACACATGCTTCACACTGACAGATGCTGAGGTCAGAAAGGGATTTAGGAAGAAAGCTGGAGGAGCCAAGGAAAGGGCCCTAACTCCATACCCAGCAGCCCAGGCCTTCTCTAAGGATAGAGAGGAAATGATTGGATAGAGGTGAAATATGTGCATGATGTTAGAGCCTGTGTGAGCTCAGTATATTTCTGTGTACAATGGCACAATGAAATGTCTCCCTTGTGTGTATATATGTCAAATAATGGACATGAAAGCTTCATATATGAAAAAGATGATGAAAATGCAATGCAGCATTATCATCCTGATGGAATCATCTTCTGACCCAGGTTACTCAGCCAGTGGAAACACAAGGAATAAAGGAAGAAAGATGTTATGGAGAATTTTAAGTCAAAGGCTCTCAACCCTTTGTCCCTCCATGACAAAGTAATGCCTGAAACTTCAGAGTGTCCAGAAGTTCCTGGGGAAATTCAAATTCTCGGAAAGGAAAATGAGAGAGGAAGTGAGGGTAGACAGCTGGGGTAGAGGGGAACGCACAAACCTTCCAAACTTTTATTATAAAAGTTCTCTCAATTTGAAATGACAATCCAGGCCAAAGTCAACCACCTCAAACCTTCTCCAGCAACAGCCCATTAGAACAGCTCCGCTGGAGATAGTCCAATCCCTACCAAATCCTGGAATAGTGTCAGAGCACTCCTGAGCCTTTGCAGGGTGCCCTGTGGTTGACATAACAAGGTTTTATTTTTTTTTTTTACTACAATCATACATTGTCTGACATAATATGTCACAGTCATAGTGTCTGACAAAAATATGTATGTCATAACACATACACAAGATGAAGAAGCTCAGAAACAAAGGATCCAGAATAACAATTTCAGTCCTACAAAGCAAAATATTCTAAAGATTTTCCAAGGAATTTGAAAAAGCATGGTAATATAAACATTCTTTTTTTAATGTTTAGAATCAATCTACAGCCAAAACATGGAAGATTTTACAATTTACTATAGTTACAAAAGAAAATGTAAATGTTGTAAACCTTCACAAGAGTAAAAGTAATGGGACAGATGACATAACTCGGGAAACAATTTGGGAGGAAAGGTGTGGCAGTCAATAAAGCAGCTGATCCTAGAAACAGAGTCTTATATATATTACACTGTGTTTTAAAATAACCAATACATAAAAGTTATACTAAAACTATATTTTAAAGTTGTGAAGAAGAAGAGAGAAAGAGGGTACAGATACTTTAGTGAGCTAAGTCCCCATCTTTCAAAGCAAGAAACCAGTGGGTACTGTTTAAATCTAGATACAGAGGTACAAACATGGTAGATGGTGTTACATGAGAAGAACAAAAAACAGAAATGTTTCAACCTAGTTACCTTAAGAGATGAGAACCCGGGGAAGCAGAGAGAGAGTTCTCTTGCTTTCTTATCTAATATTCATCCACAACTGTTCATTTTAAAATATACGCTCTTCTATTTCCATCGTCTTTCACTTAAAGCAATAACTAGACTTTCGAAGTATGAACGTCTTATCTTTGAAACAGAATACTTCTTGTTTTATTCATTCACCATTCCCTTTCATTAGTGCATCACATTTTCATTTCACTGTATTTCTTAAGGTTCTTTATAATTTTGGGTTGGACTTATTTTATTTGCATCCTCTGACTTTCTATGAGTTTTAAAACTTTATCATTAACAAGTAACATGTTATTTAATTTCAGCTGTTTCAACCAATACCTTCAAATGACAATGATTGTTTTAATTGTGTTGCCATTCATTCTTAAATCATTCTAAATGCTATGTGGTATGGCTCAACGCAAAGTATTTGAAACATGTAAGATTTCTCCTCTGCTGCTTTTGGTCTTGAGAAACTGCAAACTATTAGAACTCGTTCAAACAAGCTGCATGACATTTGTTTTACTTATACACAGAAAAAAAACAGCTCTAATTCTGGAAATAAATGAATGTCTTATTGAAGCTGGAAAGAACCAAAATATGTAAACTCTAAATGAGACATGCTGGATTATTTCCATAATAAAAGATTTAGTTATAAGGTTTCAATACAAAATGCTTGTACAAGGAAGGTAAATCTTTAATAAAGTTACTCTTTCGGGTCAATGAAAGTATAGCATCCATACCTCTTTCTCTTTTCACTTCATGAGCCATCCCCATCAACCCCCATCACTCCAACACACACACACAAAGTCGGATTTAAAGCTCTGTGCAAGTAGCAATAACATTCAACAAATTTTAAAAAATTAAAATTCAAAGGGGAAATAACTTTTTGCTAAGTGCTAAAGATATATTATTTTATTTCATCCTAATAACAACTCTTTGAGGTAATTTTTATTGTTATAATGTTTAACACTAAAAAAAAAACTATGGCTTAAGAAGGTCAAACAACCTGGCCAAGGTCACATAGCTTAGACGTGTCTAATGGAGATTTGAACTCAAGAAGCCTCCTGATTCTAGAGTACGCTCTCCTAACCTTATGTTAAGTCAAAAGTGTACTTAGAGGACAAGATGATATTTCATCCAGTAGTATTCATGGTGACATAAGTAACACAAATCACAGAATGTCCATCAATAGACCAAGGATAAAGCACAGCATAAACTGTTTTGGGGGTTTTTTTTTGCTTTTTTGTTTTTTTTGAGATGGAGTCTCGCTCTGTCGCCCAGGCTGGAGTGCAACAGTGCGATCTCGGCTCACCTCAACCTCCGCCTCCCGGGTTCGATAGATTTTTCTGCCTCAGCCTCCTGAGTAGCTGGGGCTACAGGCACACACCACTACACCCAGCTAATTTTTGTATTTTTAGTAGAGACGGGGTTTCACCATATTGGCCAGGCTGGTCTCGAACTCCTGACCTCGTGATCCGCCCGCCTCTGCCTCCCAAAGTGCTGGGATTAAAGGTGTGAGCCACCGTGCCCAGCCAGCATAAACTGTTTTTACCTGTATTCCAATAGTTTATAGGGGAAAGAGGGAAAATACATTTATATTCCACTTCACCACTGTATGTTACATTTTTTTAAAATAGCTAAGTCTTTATCTGTAACTTCTCTTACCAGTTACTTTCAATATTGTGCTCTGTAAGAACCCAACTCCAAACACCCTGGGGGATGAGTGAGTCTCAGCAGGTTTGATACTTGGATTCAGTTAAACATAGCCCTCAGAGAGCCTGTGGACTGGCAAAAGCCTCTCTCAACGGAGCAAACAGCTGGCCTCTACCACGTCTGACCACATCATTGCAAGACTTGGCCTCTGTGCAAGATGTCTGCAGTGTGTCCACATTCCTTAGCCAAAGCCCACTTCTGCAATTTGGCCTCTTACAGCAAGATAGCCTTTCTGTTTCCTATGCAAAGTGCAAACTCCTTTTCAGAAAAGGTTAAGGTAATAAAAACAAGGTCAGGAGGCTCTTATTTCATATATGTTAGTTTCTCAACATATTTGTTAGTGATTAAACTCTTGGGCAAGGAGAACAAGTACTAGGTAAGGGCTAATGAGACTGACCCTGCTCCATTAACTGCTTTTTTTTTTAACCTTTAAGGAAAAAAACTATGATTTAGCCCCTTAAGTATAAATCTGGAGGGGATCAAAAGGTACATGCCCTCACACAACAAAGGACACCCAACTTCCCATGTAATGTGTCCCATGTTAATATCTTAACATCCTACTGTTCCAAGGTTAAAATAACTTCCACTATAAAAAATGTGATAGATCATGAAACAATTACAATACATAAATGAGCTGCCTGTATTGTGAACTACACATCATGATTTTATTTGCTCTTTGACAATTTTCTTATCAAGATAAAAAAAGAAAAAACATCATGAGTACTGTCTGATGAAGGGGCCCATACTATTCTAACGAACCTTTCAAATATTCCCCCTCTTTATTTTAGTGCCTTTATTCTGGCCCTCTTCACTGAAGTCAGAGGTCAAGTCTCCCAGTAGTGATGTGAATACCTCATGTGACTGTTACAGTCCATCTGCCAGTCACAATGCAACCTGGGTAACAAAACTTCAAACCCTGGTAATGAGAACAGCTTCCATGACCTCCCTAAGCTTCAGCTTGACTCTCTAGACTGGGGTCCCCAACCCCTGGGCCACAGACCAGTAACGGTCCATGTCCTGTTAGGAACTGGGCCACACAGCAGGGGGTAAGTGGCAGGCAAGCAAGTGAAGCTTCCTCTGTATTTACAGCTGCTCCCATCACTCTCATTACCACCTGAACTCCACCTCCTGTCAGATCAGGGACAGCATTAGATTCTCATAGAAGCACAAACCTGATTGTGAACTGCGTGTGGGAGGGATCTAGGTTGCCCACTCCTTATGAGAATCTAATGACTGATGATCTGTCACTGTCTCCTATCACCACCAGATGGGATCCTCTAGTCGCAGGAAAACAAGCTCAAGGCTCCCACTGATTCTACATTACGGTGAGTTGTATAATTATCTCATAATATATTACAATGTAATAATAATAGAAATAAAGTGCACAATAAATGTAATGAGCTTGAATCATCCTGAAACCATCCCCCCATCCCCCAGCACCCTTGGTCCGTGGAAAAGTTATGTTCCACGAAACCAGTCCCTGATACCGAAAAGGTTGGAGACCACTGCTGTAGACCCAAAGACTCTTTTCTGGATTGTCTGAGTTGACACTGCTTGGGACACGGGCAATTCTGGCTTCCTCCTTTGAGGATGCAAGCCAGCCAACCACTCTAACTTACTTTGTGCAGTTTGGGATTTTTTTTTATTTTTTAGATGAAAGTAATCTGAAAAGGAACAGAATGAATAATAGATTTATTCTGGTTTTCAAGAGCTTTATCCCCTTCTTGCCTTCTCCATCACCAGTAGATTGGTGACTCTATTACGTTTTCCTCCCAAGCCATGGTCCATCTGTTTCTCTCTCCCTCCTTCTCTCCCTCCCTTCCTCATCTCCCCTTTCCTATCTGCCTTTCTTCCACTCTGTCTCTTTTCTTCTCTCTTCAGTTCCTGTTTTCAGGGCATTTAGAATTAAATGTTTTGTTACCATCTCAAACTCAATTTATCCAAGATCAATAGCTCCTCTTCCTGTGTAGCCAGTAAGTTCACTGCCAGGTCCACAACCGGATACATCAGGACTATTCACCTTGCCCACAAGCACAAAGCTGTTCAACAATTTTTTTTTTTTACCAACCCAAAGGTTTTTTTTAAGTTTCTTGTTTTTTTGTGACTATGGAAATAAAATATGATTAAGAAACAAACTGAAATAATTTGTACCTCAAACAATCATGACACGAGTTTACCTGTATAACAAACCTGCACATGTACCCCTGAACCTAAAATAAAAGTTAAAAAAAAAAAAACAGGAGAAGAACTAACATTTATTGAAGTCTGGATACTCTACATGCTTCGACCTATATGAATGCCAAATCAACATGTTTTAAAAATTAAATTAACCTATTGAGATACATTTGGTTGTGCGCTGAAGGGCTCATGAGAGGGACTCAAGCTGCCCCTTTCCTGAGAGCCATGGTCGGGGGACTGGAGGAGCATGTATGTACAAAGGGTAGTGATGAACCCCAGACAACATAAAAACATTGCTGAGCAATCATTTCAAATAGGAAGCACTATGGGAATTCTTAGGAAGGGAGAGTGAGACTATCATGGCTGGAATGATCCAGCTCCAGATATTCCTTACAGAAGACTGGGAAGAGAGATGAAGAGATGACGATGTATGTAATGTTACACATCATTGAGGGTTTGGGAAACAAAGACAAAACACCATAGTTCCATCAGCCTCACAATAATCACTATATTAATCATATCTATTGAGTGCTTATCCTATTTCAGTCACAGCACTCATTTACCTCCCCACAATACTTCTATGAAATAAGTTATTACTTTTATCATTACTGTTGCATTATAATTAATGTGAGGAAGCTGGGCCATAGAGATTAATCCATCTAAATTCATATGTTAATAAACTGGGGAGCCAAAATTCAAATCTAGCTCCCCATGTTAGCATTTTTTGCACGAGTCTCTGCTTGTTTTGCATGAGTGTTATTACAATCTTCATTTTTTGTTACTTTTTCACTTATGTTATTGTATAAATCTAATGATCATTTTTGATAGATACATAATATTTTATTGAGTCATTTGTACCATCAGTTACTCAACATTCCATTACTGCTGGCTGTTCAGCAATATTTAATGAGAGCCTATTATGTGCTAGGCACTGTGTTAGATAAGAAATAAAACTGACCAAGAAGAGCACACCTAATGCCTAGATCTTGGTTGCTAATACTATTATTCAATAAAAGGAATCAGGGCTCCTGGGAGATGATTCTAGGGCTGGGCAGGAAATAGACAAGCTGAATCTGTAGCATCTTGCAGTGACAGAAAGTATAAGGAAGTGCTAAACAAACATCCACACTGAGGGGAGCATGGCAAGGGACACAGAAGCCAAATGAAGGAAGTGTAAATGGCCAAAGCTAGAACCCTTTTGGAGCAACAAAATAACAAAAGCAGCATTGGATTACAATACCAAGTAAAAAATAAATATCCATAAGTCCATACTGATAAATAAATGATTGAAGAAATAAATGGGAGAGAAAAGACAAATCTCTTGTGCTTCCGACTTTCAAATAATTTTGTAGATGCTCTGCCTTCAAAAAGATGAAGCATAACTCCCCACTCCTTACATGTGAGCTACACATACTGACTGTCTTCCAAAGAGTACAGTATAAAGGGAGGGGGAGGAAGTGGAAAATCCTGACAAATCCTATCTCAGCCAGGCAATGAAGGGTTACAGCAACAATGGAAAATCATGTTGATACTATAAACCCTTAATATTATGTGATAAAAATGGAACTTTACCTCTGTGGTCTTTTTCCCAAAAACCCATAATTTCAATGTAATCATGACAAAAACATCAAATAATTCCACTAAGGGCCATTCTACAAAATATCTGACCAGCCCTTCTAAAAACTGTCAAGGTCATTAAAACAAGGAAAGTCTGAGAACTGTGACAGCTAAGTCAAGTCTAAGAAAACATGACTACTAAATGCAGTGTGGTATCCTAGATGGGATTCTGAACATAAAAAGGACATTAAGTAAAAACTCAGAACATTTGAATAAGGAATAGACTTTAATCACTAACTACATATCAATATTGGTTCATTGGTTGGGCACGATGGCTCACGCCTGTAATCCCAGTACTTTCGGAGGCTGAGGCAGGCGGATCACAAGGTCAGGAGATCGAGACCATCCTGCCTAACACAGTGAAACCCCGTCTCTACTAAAAATACAAAAAAAAAAAAAAAATTAGCCGGGCGTGGTGGCGGGCGCCTGTAGTCCCAGCTACTCGGGAGGCTGAGGCAGGAGAATGGTGTGAACCTGGGAGGCGGAGCTTGCAGTGAGCCGAGATTGTGCCACTGCACTTCAGCCTGGGTGACAGAGCGAGACTCTGTCTCAAAAAAAAAAAAAAGAAAAAAATTGGTTCATTAATTACAAAAAATATACCACGCTAGTATGAGATGCTAACAACAGAGTAAAGTGTCCAGAGTATATGGCAACTCTCTCAATTTTTCTGTGACTCTAAAACCGTTCTAAAGTGAAAAGTTTATTTTAAGGTAAAATAATAATAATCCTGTCCCAATGCAATTATAAATAAAACAGCTATATTTAAAAAGTGACTAAGACACACAGTCTTTGCTCTTGAGGATCTTACAGTCTAGGAACACAGGCACATACACAAAGATTATCTACACAACAGACAAAGCACTAACATCAAGGTCTGCCTGGGGAACTCAGGGAGGCCAGAACAAAGGCCTTTAGCCACAGCATGCATGGTAAGCTCAGAAGAGGACTATCTGAGCTATGACTTGATGTTTCCCGGTTGCTAAGGGGAGTCACTAGTTTTATTTCATCCCACTGATGAAATTCCCCTTAAATTCTCCAACTCCATTAGCAAATCCCTTGTCCAAATCCTGGTGATTTCATTGTTGGACCAATATCATGTTCTTTTTTCCTGGCTTCCTAGTTTCTCTCTACTCCATTAGGACAATATGGGTAAGTATCTTTTCATATTCACCGTGCTTATTTCTATTCCCCTACAGCCCAAAGATGGACCTTCACTCTCTATAATGTTAAACATCTCATTATTAGGTTCAGATATCTACCAGGTAGGCCTAATCTACCTGTCAACTCTTATCTTTACCTATACCTTCAACTTCCACCCTCCTACTCAGCTCCTCTTCTTCACCGTCTCAGCCCTCACTCATGCACGCACTGCTATCTCTGACACACACTAAAACCAGACACTTCCTCCATTTTTATATCAGCTCTTCCATCTTTCCATTTCAATATGTAGTTCCATCTCCCTTAGTGTTCCCTGATGAATCCATCCATCTTTCACACTACAAACACAATTCCAGACATATCTTCAAAAACCTACATAGGCTATACTGTAGTTATATATTTAAAACAATTATATGTCTAGATCTCATCCCTGAAGCCCAACCCACCACCCCCTTTACTCCCAGAGTAATAAATTGTTCTTCAGGCACAGAAACAATGTCTATTATGCCTAGACTATCCTGGAGTCTATTTAGAAGCACACAAGATAATATTGACTAAAGGCAATAGTGAGTACGAAGTACAATTAGCAAAGATTAATATCATCTCCTCAGTGCCAAAAGTAAGCCAGATGGAATATGCCACCGACATTAAAATCTGTGCGATAGAATTATTTCTTATAAATTTATCTATTTAAAAGAAGACTATTTAACACGTCTTTGAAAGGCTACATAGGCAGTTAAACAGAAATGTATGGTGGTTTTGTGCCTTGATTATTTCACTGACATGCCTGTCATTAACTTATTCTGATCAGTGAAGTTACCCATGTTTATAACTCAGAAATCAATATTTTCCTTTGAGAAAATACAAAATCAATGTAGACAAATAACACACATATGTAAACATTTGATTCTATTTATTTCTTTGGCAAAAGAAGAAAAAAAATCCCACAAGCAACTAAGTGAAGGTTTTCAGCTCACAAGTTGGCATGCATTTTATTATGGCAGATTGCTGCAACTGATCAAGGCCATAGATGGAGCCAGCCTCATGCGGCCAATTCCTACAGACAATCATGACAAAATTCATAGAGTGACCTTGATAGGTCTCTTTGGATGTGCTGCTTGGATGAAGGCTTTTCCCACTGCTGAGTGGAGTAACTCACAGCACAAGCAGCACAAAGGTGTTGCATCAACAGTTTCATTCACTGTGTACCCTCAACTTTTCATGGAGATTTTGTGTTGATCAAAAGCAATAGCCCAAGAACTTATGGTCCAAAAATGTCGTCCCCCTTCAAGGGCATGTACACATGCACCCTCCTCCCCAACACACACATTCTCTCTCTCACATACACACACACAAAGACACAAACACACACACACACACACACACACACACGCACAGCCTAAGAAAATTAGGAAATAGAAAGCTGAAAAGGCAGTTCCTCGGATCTGGGACATCATTTTTAGACTGACAGCCAATTTAAATCCTATTGGAATCTTTTATAGGTGGAGTGTATATATTTAAAAAAAAAGAATTTGAAGCTCAAAAAGCCATGGGATGCACTCTACAGGAAACTAGACAATTGAACCATGAAGACCAGAGGCACAGATGTTTAAAGTACATCATGTGTGCAGCAAGTCAGCACTCTTCACTTCATGCTTCTGGAACTCTGGATTAAGCAGCACTAAGAACACTAAGTCTGCTTGTCTGCTTAGAAAATTACACCACCAGAATGGACTCCTCAAAGTTCTGAAGGCAATGATTTGAATAACTTGCTGTCCTAGTGTGTACTGGATCACTTCTCCAAGGGAGGGCATCTGTATCTGGCCTACTGGCGTCACATGTCTGGTTGGTTGGGTAAAAGTTGCTCCCATACATGGGAAGAGGTGAATTTCTTCATGAAGTTTCAACTATTTGACCATCTAAGGATGAGGAAGCATTGCTTCCAAACAGAAAATCCAGCTTATCTCAAATGTTTGCTTCTGGAGCATCTGAGAGGATATGGCCAATGACACGATGAGAACATGTTGCCTGTGTAAAGAACTGCTTCCCAGCACTCTGAAACCCCTGGACTTCACCAGTGAGCTCAGGGTCTATCAAGAGCTTTTCTTTGACTGGGATATTCATTCCATTTATTCAAGTTGAAGCCACACTGTACTTTTCCAAAGGGTGAACGAAATCATAGAAATGATTGAAAACACAAAACAAGTGGTGAGGGGATTCTGAGCCTGCACAGAGAGAGGCCGGCCAGAGGCGGAGCCGGGGGTGGAGCTTGTGGAATTCCTTTACCACCCACAGAAGGAACTGGGGACTAAAACCATGATTCTTGCCACTTCCCAGAAATTCTCAAACCAAGAGCTCTGTCCAGGGAGATAATATCTTCTGAATGTACTGGCAGCCCCAGGAAGAGACAGGAAAATCAGCCAATGGGGTCAGACTTAGGAGAAAGAAAGAATGAGGTCTTTCAGGAACCTAGAGTGCAGGGTGATTTGATACTTGAGTTCCGAATGCTGTCAGCCCCCAATTGACAAACAGGTAGAGCTCCAAAATTTCATTTCTATATTAGTATTTAGAACTTGGAATGGCCTGTCCAATAGAAACAATGTTAATAGGTGGTGGTTTGGTCTCCAGACCAGTCAAATAGCAGTCTCTCAGCTGCATTATCAGCTGAATAGGCTATTGTGGGCTGGTCTGGGAACCTGACCACAACTTAAAATGTTGTTTCTATGGGAAAACACATTCCACGGCAGGCAACCAGAGGAAAACTTGGCCACTCAAACCCACCATGTCTCAGCTTAGTAAGCTGCCCAGTGATCTGTGAGAAATGAACACCTTAAACTCAGGCAACTCCACACAGTCCTGAGAGGGCAGCCAGAGTCAGAGCCGTCCCAGCCCAGGCTTGACACCCTTCTGGACCCCCTGCATGAGACCATCAGGGCCAATACAGGACATCCACAGGTCCATGAATCAGAGACTTAAAACCTGGAGAGTTCTCATCCTCGATGCACCTGATTTATTTTAAAGGCCAGAAGATCCCGCCCCATTAGCAACTATAACATAAAATCAGTATCCTGGACTGGCTCACAGATAGACTTCAGTGAGCTATTTCTAGCACGAGTGGCTTACACGTGAAGCAAGGAAGCAAGTCCGTTTTGAATCCTATTTGGTGACTTTAGTCTCATACCAAAATTATTCAAGAATTTCACCTCTCCTAAAACTGGAAATTACCAGCGTTTTTTTTGTGTGTGTATGCAAGTTCCTTAAATATAGCAAGTTCAGATTTATCTTTACAATCCCAGCACCTAACACAATACTTGAATCTTAAGTGGTAAATGAGAGTTTAGAGTTTCATTTACCACTAAGACAACATAAGTTAATGAGAAGTCTATCAGAGTAGTGAGTATTTAATTTATTTAAAAAGGTGGATATGTTTATAAGAAACTTTTAAAAAAAGATCCAGCCTGGGCAACATAGCGAGAATCTATATCTTCAAAAAAATTTTTAAATTAGCCAAGATGGTGGCATGCACCTGTAGCTTCCCAGCTACTTGGAAGGCTGAGTGGGAGGATCACTTGAGCCCAGGAGGTTGAGGCTAGAGTGAGCCGCAATCACGCCACTGCACTCCAGCCTGGGTGACAGAGCAAGACCCTGTCTCAAAAAAAAAAAAAAAATGAAAAGTATAATTACTAGTAAGAAATCAGTATCATTTCATCTACTTTTTTAAATTTTAGAAAATTAAAAGGAAAAAATCTAACACATAACAACAATTACCCATAAGTGGAATACATGGAGTACGAGAGTGAAATTCTTCCATGTTTCAGTTGCATCATTTAGAAACATTTATAGCTACAAAAGCTTCAGAGATCTTGTAGCTCAAACCATATTTCATAGCAGTCAACAGGCCATGGATCTTTAAAACATTTCTCTATCTAGCCCTCCCATCAAAACAGGGACAATATTGTTGCTCAGGAACAAAAATAAATAAATAAATCACTAACAGATTTTAAGTTTCTATAAAGTCAGAGGAAGTTAGGTAAAAGCATGCAGTTTGCTGAGATTATTTCATTGAAATTAACACTTCACAATATTAGCAGTCAAAAACTTAAGTTTTTTTTTTAATTTTGAAATTGAAACAAAGTTGTAAGCATTTATTTTTTAAACATTTAGATATGTGGAAAACTTTTAATAAAAATAGTCTAATTTAAATTTAAGGGAATTTAACCAAATCAGTACTTTAGTCCACATGAAGTCATTCAGTGGAATAAAAATAATAATTAGCAACTATTAGAGAGCTTTAATTTATAAAATTTACTCTTCCCCCAAACCCTATCAAGAAAATGTATTGGTGTGCTCATTCTCAGATGAGGAAACTGAAAATGTGAGAAGTGAAGTAATTTTTCAAAGGCTACACAATGGAAACGTCATAAATCCCTAATTAAAAACCAAAAGACTTTATTAATAACATTCCAAGGTTAGTGTTAAAGATTTTTAGATTAGAGATTAGAAAGATGTTTCCATAAATACTCCAAAGAGAATGTATTCTCTTTTTTGTATAAACTAATTTGTACATCATTTTTTGTGCTCTGATTTTTTTACTAGGTTTGCAAAATAAATAAATAAGACAGTGTTTTGGAAGTGTATTAGCAAAGGAAAACAATGTAAAGAGAACACATTTTAGGAACATTCACTCCTATAGATTGGCACTTCTGTTTCTGAAATAGTTTCTGCATTTCCCAACAGAGAATGAGTATTCTGTCCTGCACCCTCCGGTAAAAACATTAGTCAGCTCTTAACATGCTCAACGTTTGAGGGAGTGGATGTGTAGAGAGCACAAGAAAGATTCAACATGTGGATAATTCAAAACCTACTCAGAGCTGGCATTGGAATGTGTTAGTACACACACTTCAACATGGGTGTGGCTTGTCTTTTGAAAAGTAGCTCAAAGCAAAACCATCAGGACACGCAGGCAACTGTCTGACCCGGCTTAGGAAGACAATGAGCTGCTCGAAGGCCTGGGTGATCCAGATGATCTTCTAAAAAAAACCCTCCAATTTCACGTCTCTGTGACTTAATTCAGAGGCTGCTGGGATATTGTCCATTACACAGAGAAAGTGGTGACTGTCCTCATTCCAATGGCCAGCACAGCTCTTCCCTGAAATCCAACCCGAAAGATTTCCCTCTCAGTGTGAGTGATGCCAGCACTGTCCTCTCAGCACCCTTCCAGCTCCAGGGAAGATGTCACAGTATTTGTGTTTCAAGCTATAATTAAGCAGAGCAGGTGCTAAATGCCAGCACAAAGTTTCAACATGACAACTTCTGAAGTGGTGATGATGATGTCAAAACAGACAGAAATACATCCACCTCGCATACCTAAAGGGCTTCCAAATCTCTGTAGCAGCACCCACTGACGAAAAAGCAGTTCCAAAAGCCTGTCATTTCACCCAGGAGTTTTCTATCAAGTAAGAATACATGAGGCCTTAGAGAATGACGGACATGTTTCACTGACATGAAACACACGGGTGATGTGCCTGGCACACATGCACATGCGCACGTATCATCCCCTACAAACAGTCGGGGAGGTGCTCCTGGGGCAGCTCTTGTCCCTACCTTCCTTTCCCCAAAGGGGACTGGGTGTACCAGTAATTTTCAGAATCTTTCATTTGAATCACTAAGGTTGTACTTGTTCCAATTTCTTGAAGAAAAAAAAAAAAAAGAGCATTCCTGAGAGAGCAATGCCGAAATGAAGGTACAAAAATTCACTTCTGAATATTAAAATCTCTGCAGATATCTTCTTTATTACCCTCATAGTCCAAAATCTTACCAACTTTTCATAAGGTTCTTGCCTGAAATCCCTTACTTTAAAATAAAAACACATTGAGTGCTTCCACCTTGACACTCACAAAAGATCATGGGATAAATGGACCTTTGCAGAATTATTTTCTTCCCTTTCAAATGCCAGGCTCCTTCTGTGTGAATTTTCCACAATTTCATAGCTCATAATAGCCTATCCTTACTGTTAGATATTAAATAATTTTTCTACAACAAAGTCGCAGATAAGAAAAATCAGACCCAGCATATTGCAAACATTACTGGCTGTGAAGCATTGAGCCTAAGTTCAAAACTAGGAGTAAAACTTTACAGCATTAGTAAGTCAATAGGAAATGACAGAATTTGAATATCCCCATTCTGCCACCCTAATAGATCTAGAAAACGATTATCAATGAATGCTAATAACACAAAAAGAGAGACTAGTAGTAATGATGTCCCTCCTAATGGAAGGACACATACCACTTATAAAGTCTTCTTGAAAAAAAAGTTAATTGAGTTGAATCAAGCATCTAGCTCTAACTAGCAATTCACAACAAATACAGGGGACTGAGAAACATGGTAGGACCATACCACTGGAATGCAGTCATCACTGGACTGCAAGAAACTCTCCAGTGGTGAAAGCCATGTGTGGTCCAAGGACTGGCCAGTGCTGTTCTACAAACTAGACGTTACTAGTCTATATTGAGATAAGGAGTTTAAGCTAGAATCTAAACCATCTCACTGCTTCCTTCATCGAGAAAGTCTCCCTAGAAATAAAATATCAGCTGAACTAAATAGTGTGCTTAGTGACATATTTTGGATTTACACCCTGGCTTCTCATCTCATCATGGACCAGTAACAGGAGTTTGTGGACTGGCATCTTAAGAAGCACTGGTGTAGAGGACAGGAACCAATTTCTTCAATACATAAATTACAAGGAAAAACTGACAGGGGGACAATCTACATATTCAAAAATATTTAAGACAGATCAACCAATTGCAAAATATGGACTTTTTTGGATCCTGATTTGAATAAACTGCAAAAAAACAAATAAAATTTATGACTCAATTAGGAAATTTTAAATATTCACTGAATATTTGATAATATTAGAAAATTAGTGTTAATGGTAAACAGAATAATGTTATTGTGTTTATGTTTCTTAAAGGGCCCTTATCTTTTAGGACACACATTGAAATATTTAAAAGTAAAATGATTTTTCAAGGATTTACTTCAAAATAAATGCAATGAGGGAGAGAAGAAGTAGATAAAACAAGATTGACCATTAATTGATAAATGCTGAAGCTGGATCATCATTGTATCCTTCTTGCTAGTTTTGAAATTATCCACATCTGTGTTAAATAAAATTCTTTTTAAAAAACACAAATTTGCAGCAGCACCTGGCCTAGTCCATCCTGATATCCACAGTCTCCTACATGCCATCATGCCACACTTTTGTTTTCTGTTTTCGTTCACTTGAAGAACCACCTTTATCTGTTACGCAGCTCAACATTCCTGAGAGGGAGGGGACCCCCATTAAGAGACAACAGTCCAATCCCAACATGTGTACCATGTTAAATCAGTGGCAAGAACTAACCAAAGTGTTCCTACTAAGTATCCAGCTACTAAATAAGGTTACAGTTCACTAGATGAAGAATCCAAGAACAAATGACTTCACTACACCTGTGCAAACAATTAACATGTCGGTCCAGGGGATGGATCCCCTTGGGCATCACAGGTCCTTTTTGACATGATTCATTTTCATAAAGACATTTTATCTTTCTTTATGACAAACATAAACCCATCAGTTAACAAAAGATGTGTTTTGGGGGAAGGGGTTTTTGTGTATCAGGTCCATAAAAAGGTTAAATTTGGGTTTTTCTGTGCATAAGTGGAAGAATTCTTATGGACATGGGAAATATGAAATGGAGGGAGGAAATCATTTAGCAAAGAATCCTGGTATGTCTTCTGACCTTTCAATGTGTGAGAATGTGTGTCAAACAACCTATTTTCAAGGAAGGTCCCAAATGCAAATGAGCAGATGAGTCAGTCTGCAGTCAAATTAGACCCTGCTGTCTTCTGTCAAAGTTCAATAATGTCTGGATTAAGTTAGAACTGCTTACAAGCAAAAGGAGAAAAAGTGGTTTGCCTATCTTTGTAAAATACCTGAAAGGTTTTCAAAACTTTAAAAGGAAAAGTTTATTTTATTTGAGGTTTATTTTTTTCCCAGGAAGTCGGTAGAGCACAGAAAATACCCGGTATTTGCAGTGAGCCGAGATTGTGCCACTGCACTCCAGCCTGGATGACAGAGTGAGACTCCATCTCAAAAAAAAAAAAAAAAAAAGAAAAGAAAAGAAAAGAAAGTACCTGGTATTCATTTGTTTGATTTTATATTCTTACTTTTTTACAAACTTTCTGTTGGTGATGGTGTGATTTACCCCACGGGGATGAGAGACATTAAGTAATTTGAACATTTTCAATGGCAAATAGAAAAGTAACTATTATCTGTTCAAATCGTTCCTTATTTAAAACACTCTACTCTTATTTTTATAGGCTGTGAATGAATATGAAGCAACCGCAACTTCTTAGAGTTTACTGCCAATCAGTTAACCAGAGCTGGCATGTAGGGTGCAGCGTATAGGAACTCTACGAAAGCTATGCCTAAATTAAGATAATGTATGTTTTGTTCCACTCTCACGGATGTTCAATAGTTTAAGACCTCTCCGAAAGTCAACTCTCATTAAAATCAAAATGGAAATCATTAAGAGAAAATTTAAAAATAAAAAGATTTTCAATTTCTCAAGAGAAAGAGGACACAGAAGAAGAAGAACAAATAAGAATCTCTTTGTAGTAAATGAGCATTATGTTGCTGCATGGCATGAAGCCAAAGGAAGGGAACGCTCAACTAGAAAGTGGCTCTTCTCAGGGGCTGCCAATCTGAGTCAGCCTGTCCCCAATCACGCAAGCAAGGCCTGCCCACAAAGCACCTAGAGAGGACAGTGATAACAGAGTGGGTGGAGGGAATACTGACGCTATGGAAAAGGGAGCTTTCTCCCTGTGAGTGCAGATGTGTTGTGTTTGCCCATCCAGTATCCCTTCCCCTTCTCTGCTAACCAAACTCTTCGTTTCCTAAGCCCATTCCACATGGTTCAGGCAGGACTAACACATGGCTCAGTCCTGACCAGCTGGAGTGTCCTATTTCTTTGGCGACAGTGAAGGGCGTGTGACTGGGGCAGTGCTGGAGTTCTCCGCGAGATCTGACATGAGCAATCTGGAAAAGAGGGCTTATCTCTTTACCTCTGAGATTATGTGTTGAAAGGCAGTGTGGCTAAGAATTGTAGGTGGTCATCTGGGCTACCCAATTATAACCAAATCCTTACTCCAACAGAGGCAATTAAAGCACATTTCAAGAATAGCGCACCACCTTGCCATGAAACAATTCTAACTCCCAGGGTATCTCTGCACTGCTGCCAAAGAGAATGGTTTTCAACCCAGTCTTTCCATTTACTAAAATTTAAATTCTTTTCACAAAGTATCTTTTTAAAAAATGTGCTAATCAGGAAAGAGGCAAGGCCTATTTGACAGATCTGCCAGTTAAAAAATGCAAACTTTTTTGGAAGAGTTGAGGGGGTGCATATTAATAAGGAATAATATTTAGTAAGTTTGTTTCCCAATGAAGACAACACAATTTAGGGAAAGAGAAAATTTAAAAATAAAAACTTATCCCCAAACTGCCTTTAAGTATAACCAGATCTCCACAGATATAGTAAGTCCATTAAAATTACACTTTTGAACATTTTAAAATTCAGGTTTGCCTCCTGTTTCTTAATATAATCATTTCTATGATGAGAAAGTGGAGACTGTGGTATCCAGATAGGTATGATTATCTAGATTTTTGCTTTAGCCATAAAAAACAGCCTCTTTGGATGACTCTCTGCCTCATTTTCCTTATCTGTAACAGCATTATAATCATTCTCATCATCATAGCTAAACATGTCAGGCATAGTACTAAGAACTTGAAATGTACCATCCCATTAAATCTTAGGACAACACAGAAAGATGAGTAATTTAATCGCATTTACAAGTGAAGAAACTGAGGCCCAGAGAGGTCAAATCACTCGTCTGAGGTTTCCTCCTAGAAGGTGGTGGAGCCAGGGTTTGACCCAAAGCATGTCTATTTCCACACTTCCAAACCTCCCTGAAAGTGTGGCCAAAGGTTATTAGTGATCATTGAAAATGACTCCTTGGTCCTTTAAAATATGGTCCCACAATCAATACCAGTATACCCCACTACCCACAGCCAGGCTCAAATAGGAAATAGTGTGAGGTAATTATAACATATACCCCAGCCACTAGCTCTGGGTTTTTATGACCAAACTGCCAAACATTCCTAGCCAACTCTTCAGGAAATGTTCAGGCACTTTCTCAGATTCCAGCTAAAACACCGACTATGTGACCCTGGGGAGCACAGAGCTCACAGGGTGGTAATGGGATATAAAATTTGCAAACTTGAGGTCAGTGGCCTCAACTCTGGGGTGTGAAGCACCAGCAGTCCATGAAAGATTAAAAAACTATTTGTCTACTTAAAGGCTGCACATCAAGTCCTTCACTGAAAAGCATTTGCCTACATCTCCTCAGACATTAACCCCATCAGAAAGGGAGAGAAAGATATTCCAAATGGCAGTTCTGCCTAGAATCATTGGAAAAAAAGATAATAATATCAACAAGCCCAAGACAGGGTGTTCATTCTGAAAATGAAGCATTGGGTCCTATTCAAACGCAGCTAATGCTCATAACATAGTTGTCACTTGGAGTAGGCAGATGTTTTACAGTATTACTAGGTGAGATGATATGGAGGAAAACACAAGAATTTAAGAATTTTTTTCTTTCTTTAGCATGTTTATTACATAAACTCTTAATGTATAGTTTGGATAACTGAGCCAGCAAGTTACACAACAAGAAACCAAGCTTAATCACAGACCCAGAACTGCCTTAGTTGATCCCAGGTCATTTGACTCTTTGACTGCCAATTAGAAGTGTGAGTATGTGTGTGGTGGAGGGTTGCGGGGAGGAGTCATGCTTCCGATTCCCGGAGAAGACTATTTCTCTTTTTCCAACCACCTGACTGATACCCTCATTGACAACTACCTCCCTCAAAAAGTCCCATCCCACCCAATCCTTTCTAATGTGGAGGTTCCCACTGAGAGCAGGGTAGTACTGAGGATCTAAAACTCTGCTACAGTATCACCCCTTCAGGGCTGACCGCTGAGAGAGTAATCACACTGCCTAAGATCAAATAAATGAGAGAAAGAAAACACCCATGCCCACAGGATTGATAAGGTTTGGTTATTTCAAGTATAGCAGAGAACTTGCAGATACCAGTCCACCTCTTGAGGGTGTGAACACAAAGAGGCCCAATCTATTACCCAACAACGCGCCTCTTAGGTCAGCTCTCGCTACCACGTGACTCAGCTTCCACACCTACGAACCGGAGAGGAAAATAAGCACCTTGAGCACTTGTTCCTGGACCTTCTCTGGGCCTCAGTTTCAGTATTTATACATTTCTAAAATCTGTCCTACTATAACTAATTTATAATATGAATTTTTCTAAAGATGGATGGTCTGGCTATGGAAGAAGATATAAGCCATAATTTCAATGGCAAAAATAAAAGCATTTAAAAATAAGAAGGTCCTTTAAAAGTTATTCATCAAAGGCCCAAACCTATTAGGGTCTGATTACACAATCTTACAAATTAGCACTGAATGAACAGGGGAAATGATACACAATAAACCATTAGTTACAAGAAGCAGGATGCATCAAACTTTACATAGTACCATATACACAGGTGCATACCAGACAATGGATTAACCTGCTTTTCCACTGCATTCCTCTAAATGTTTTCATACGAATCTTTTCTGGCATCCAAGTGTCTTTCTTTTATGTCCTGACTCTCCTCCATAAGCTCTCTGTCCCCTAAAAGAGGCTGATTAAGGCCACAGGTCGCCTGGTCCCAATGCTGCCGGGAGTGAAGGGGTTGTCATCAATCTCTTTCAAAACCCAGCATCTGCTCTGTCCAGCCTAGGTCCACTGGCTGGCAAGACTTTCACTCCAGAACCTTCTCCCAGCTCTCTCCTCCTGCTTCCCTCAGGCTTTCTCCTTCCTTCCCCTAACAAAAACCTTAACCCTGTTTTGCTTTTTGAACACCCCAATGTTCCCAGGTAAAAATTTTGTATTTTACTTAGACCTTGTTTACTTTTCTTAAGGTTTTAACTCTCATTTGATATTCCTATCCTCCCTATTTTATTTGCAGCACAGCTTATGAAATTACTTACAAAAAGAAGATGAAACAATGATGATGAAGAAAAAGAAGAAAAGGAAAAGATGGCAACAAAGAAGGAGAAACAGAACCGGAAAAGGAAGAAGAAGAAACCAAAAAAAAAAAAAAAAAACCACACACACACACACACACACACACACACACACACACACACACACAAAATGAAACCCTGCCTCTGGAATACATTGTCTTTATTAATAAAGATATTACCATACTTCAGTTCAAAACCATGAAACTTGACAGCAGACAATGTGTCTTTAGGGCAGACATAAATCCTGTCTCCCAACACCAACATCATAAAATGGTTGTACTATATTTGGACTTAGATGTGTTTGGATACTTATATTTGAATGTAAGTATGACTGATGGTCTAGGAATTCATAATCCTTCAAAATGTTGAACTAAACCACTTGTTTAATGGAGCAGTTCTCCCACTCTGAGCCTGCTTGCTGTCTGGAATACATCTCCGGCTGGGAATGGTGGAGATAGGGATTTTTGCTTTCTCTCTTCCGCTCTGAGGGAGCTGAATAAATAGAGTCAGTGATAACTTCAACCAAAAAAAAGTCACTTAAGTTGAAAAAGTGGTAGTCACAAGAAATTTAAATCTAGGATTTGATATAGTATAAGACACCCACAATGCAAACTTGACTATATTCCTAATCCAATTTTATTCTATTGATAATGTGGCTACTCCATTTATAAGAAAAATAGTACAGTTCAGCTCATTACAACACCAATTCTATTAGCAACTGCAACCTATTTTTACTTATTAGTATAACCCCTAATTTAAAAAATTGAGGTGGATTACACCAACAGATACATACATTTGAGGCTATAAATAGAAATTGAAAATAAAATTCCATACAGAAGAAAGTTAAAACATACCAAAGTTAATAAATTAGAGTGATTGCCCATTAAATTTATTTCATGTATAATCTTAAAAGCTGATTTTCTTAAAAGCAAATGGAAAATGGTTAGATGTTTTGAAATTCTCATATTTGAATAAAACAAAACATACTGCTTCATTAGGAACTTTCATTTTATTCCTGACAGTTGTGAGTTCTTTAAATGCAGAACTGTGGACAAACTAAGATCAATGCCCTAACATGAATCTAACAGAACATGCAAACACAATATTTATGGAGCTTTTTCATTCTGAAGTTACAGCAGCAAAATACAATGAGGCATCCTCAGTAGAGAACTAAGCCAACTGAACTTGATCAAGTTAGAATTAAAACTTAAAGTATCTGATTAGCCTTCTCAAAGATCTATTGCCTCACAGTGGTAGCTGGTCTCCAAAGATGGCTCCACTTTCTCCCCTCCCAGCAGACACATGATGCTCCTCACATCCAAAGGTAGGTCTTAATAGTCCATGCCCTTCAATCTGGATGAGGCCTATGACTTGGATGGAATTCCAGGTCATGCGATTCCAGGCTAAGTTTGAAGAAAGTCTGGTAGTTCCCACTTTTGTGCTCTTGAGAGATCCTGAACTGCCATGGAAAAAGTCTGGCTATGCTGCTCTAAAGACCATGTAGAGAGGCCACGTATAGAAAGGGGACAACCTGAGACTATATAAAGGAGAATCAAGGAAGCCAGGCAATGTCGAGGACATATGAGTCCATGTGACCCCAGCCAGCCAGCCCCCAGCCCTTCGAGTTAGCCTACGGTCAATATGTGGGATTAACACATGTGACCAGGGTCAGGAGGCTGTTGTTCAAGATCCAGCCCCAACAGACACTCACTCTGAGCAAGGCCTAGTCGCTGCATCTGGGGCTCAGTCTCCCCATTTGAAAAAAAACACATTCAATGGCTCCATCCCGGGGGCAGGTTCAGGCAGGAGACTGCATGAGAGACAGCTTTAAAACTTGGAAGGCCCCCAGCAGAGCCAGACAAGTGGCTCTTTGCTTCCTTTATTCCCCTCCTCAGTGGGTCCATTTAGATAAACCACACCCAAGTAAACAGGGCTGCAGGCGCCAGTGCCTGGTCACAGAACCAGATGCATATGTGAAGAAGTCATACTGCCTGTTCCAGCCCAACTGACATTGTGGGGCGCAGAGACAAGATTCCCCACTGTGTCCTGTCTAAATTCCTGAGCCACAGAATCATGAGAAAGAATAAAATTGTTGTTTTAAGCCACGAAGTCTGGGGCAATTTGTTACGTAGCAATAAAATAACTCAAACACTCACAAATGAAAATACTTTGTTTCATGGTAGTAGAGGGCCTAGGCCTGATCTCGTTTCCCTTTATTTTCTCTTTATGGTGCTACAATGACTTCGTGTATGGTAAGTTTGAATATATATGGAGGTGGGAGCATTCTAGGTCCTCCTCGCCTTTGTCTTTCACAACCAACTAGTCAAGTACTGTCTGCATTAACTCTGGAACCACCTGAGTCTCTTCTTTCTTCACCCCTTTCACTGAATTTGCTCAGACCATCGTGGACTCTCACTGTGACTCCTATATTAGCCTCCTAAATCCAAATCTCCCTGTCTTTAGTCTCTCTTCTCTCTAATCATCTACCCTTCACACCTCTACCCAGTGGCAAAGATCTGATCATGTTCCTATCTTAGAATCCTTTACTAGCTCCCCGTCCTTGCCTTTCACAACATCAGTGACATTTATATTTCCACTAGTCCCTCTCCTTTCCCTAACAACATTGCCACCTATGTACGGGCTCACAAGATTGCTCAAGGTTGCAAACTGCACAGCTCCAGAGGGCACTCGTTTCATAGACTGCACTACAAACCATGTCACTTGGAACCATGCCGTGCCAACCCTGCCCAACTGCAGTCAATGTCCTAAGACCTCAGACACTTCATATCCCTTTCCCTTGATGTATTTTTCACTCATCTTTCCTTTATTTCTCAGCTATACTTACTCCAAGCTCTAGTCTATATAATTAACCATACCCAGTTAATCAGCTCATCAAAATTGCTCAGAGTTCAACTATCAAAAACTATTCTATTGAACATGTGCCGCATACCCAGTTCCTAGATGTTCCTAGAGATAAATAAAACAAGCAAGATCTCTGCCTTCAAGGAGTTCTCACTCCTAGTAGACAGTCACTTTTTATCACGTAGATCAGAGGTTGTTAAACTTTTTCTGTAAAGGACCAAAGAGCAAATGTTTCAGTTTTATGGGCCATACTGTCTCTGTTGCAACTACTCCACTCTGCTGCTGTAGGGAGAAAGCAGCCATACATAATAAGTAAATAAACAGGCATGGATTTGTTTCAATAAAACTCTATTTTCAAAAAAAGTGAGCTTGGTCTTCAGTTTGTTGACCACTGATAAACTTTTTTTTTTTTTTTAAGACAGGATCTTGTTCTGTCGCCCAGGCTAGAGTGCAGTGGCATGATCATAGCTCACTGCAGCCTCAACCCTCTGGGCTCAAGTGATCCTCCTGCCTCAGCCTCCCAAAGCACTGGGATTACAGGAATGAGCCACCATGCCCAGCCCTAATAGACTTTCACTGTAAAGTCACTTCTGATCAATCCCATTCCCACAATGATGCTTCCCTTGGCTTGTAACAGCATCTGCCATCAATAAATGTTGAGTCTTTCCACATAGCAATGGTGGGAGAAGATTCTTGGGAAACGAAGGTATAAAAGGTATGAAAGAAAAAAATTTACCAGCTACAAGATTTATTATAACTGTAAAGCAGTAAAATATTAAGATTAAGAGCTCCAGCTATGAAGCTAGATTTTCCAACTCTACCACTTACTAGTTTATGTCCCTGGAGTAATTACTGAAACTCTGCATCCCTTGTTTCTTCATTTGTTAAATGAATAAATAAGCTTAATTTTCCTCATAAAGGATTTATGTTTTAAAGGAATTAGTATTTGCAAAGTACAATCATAAGTGATACATCAGAGCTTTTTTTTTTTTTTTTTACCATTATGGCTGCAATTTAATGTAAAAAATTGGGCTGAGTTTACAGGCAACCAAGGTTAAAAAATGAAAAAGAAATAATTAAATAACTCATATGACTGGTCGTGATTTAAGACACATACCAATTTCCACTGGAAAGAGAAATACTTCTTGCAACCCTATTCAGAGAGATTTCTCACAGGGGACATGACAGCAAGAGGGTTCTGAACAACATAAACAGCAATGCCTCCAGCTCAGAAGCCCACACAACGCCCAGCAGGCTGCCTGCAATGGTTACCTACCACCCTCACACAAGTCAAGGTCTAATATTAAAATATAATACGCTGTCCAAAGTCCCACTGGCTCTAACATCCTATGATTCTTTCTGTTTTATTAATGTCTTTGCAGAAAGTTTCTTGTTGGACTAAATAATACTGTGTGATTAACCATACTTAGGATTTGTGAACTAGCATGAAAGAATATTAGGAATTTTAAGTGGAATTTTACCAATGTCTTGGGCCTGCATTTTTGTCTGGTGGAATGAAAAACCAAAACCATAACTAAAATTAATGGAGAAAGAAAAGTTAACGTTAAGTTTTGTCTTTAGAACTTAACCTCTGCATACCTCGGCTCTCACATCTGTGAAGGGAAGCTTATGAAAGCACCCAGCTTGTAGAGTGGCTATGAGGATTCAATGAATTATCATATGCAAAACAGTAAGAACAGTGCTTAGCAACATATAGTGCTTAGTAACATATAGATGTTACCTAAATGTTACCTACCATGGCTGCAATTGTTATTATGTATTTGTTTAGACTTAATACCAGACCCCCTTTCCAGGGACGCTGTCCTTCTGTGCACTCACGGTTCCTGAAGTACCCCCAGGGTTATGGGGTATATGTCTCTGGCCTTCCACAGAACTAAACTCAAGCTAGCATTCAATCAAGACTTCCTGAATTAATGAACTTTCTGAAACCCCACTTAATGATGAGTTAGTGGTAAAATGCTTATAATAGGATTCTTGTCTTCAATGATTTAACTATCTAATGAGAAAATCGACTTGAACAATCATGAAACGCTAAACTATCATGTGCCTGAGTTAGGCCACATAACTCAGGCCTGATATATTATTGATGTCGGTTTCTTCAAAGAATCTCATGGGAAAAAATTCTAAGTTGCTTAAGCAGGCCCATTTGCTGGGTTCATGTTTAAAAACAAAGAAATTGTTAAAAGAATGTATTTCTCTTTCAAGAAAACATTTGTAAAATCTTATTTTCACATTGAAAATAAAGCTAAAACTCCCAAAGTGGTTAGGCTGATTGGCTTACTGGAAGAAAAAGCCAACAAACTGGTACATGAATACTCTAATAATTTTTTAGTATTTTGCTTGATTAGAGTCATCAGTATAATACTATAATTTTTAAAGTATATGCTACACAAGACGATAAAGGAACATTTTAATATTCTTTAAAATTCCAAATAAGGTTGAAGGGAAGTCTGTACTCCATTTCCATCAGCTCTCATCTCATTTCACCATAGGCTGATGTATGTTTTAATTAATTTGTATTACCAACTTACACATTTTTATAAACAACCTCTATGTCTTCAATGTTACAAAATGAGTCACATAAATAAATATTTTGTCTCTACCTTCTTGTTTCATGTGTGGAATTGCTGAAATCTTCTATTTAAGAACACTATATCCTTTTTTAAAAAAAAATTGTGTCCCAATATTTTAGCTTAATCTTTTCAATAAATGTAAACCATACCCCTGCAGGAGTCTTTCCCCATATTTAATTATTAGCCCATCTGACTTCAGGTGAAGTCTTAAAGTCCCCTTTATAAAGTAAAATGGACTTTATAAAGTCTACAGAACTTTTTCTGTATTCCCTATTACAGTTCTTTATTTTAATAACAGACTTCTACATAACTAATCCCTTGGAGTTTGCCATCACATAATCTACCATGGGTATGAACTGTTCCATGTGTATTTTTCTGGCAACAAGACCTCTGGAAAAAAATAAACAAATAAACAAAGACCAAAAGGAATCACACACAAGGGGACAAATTGTGTCAAATACAACTGGTCTCATGTACCTATAAACCACACAACAAGGGCAGAAGTCTCAATCCATCTTCTCCAAGGTTTGGGAAAGGAGATCTCACTGTGAAGAACTTTTCCCCCTTTGACAGGAAACAGTAATATTTCCTTACTTGGGAGCTAAAGCAATAAGGCAATCATAAATAAATGGTGCATAACTATTGCTATTCAAGTACAGTTGAGTTTTTTTTTTTTGGACTGTCTCCCACACTTTTTGCCTAATCACCATTTAGAGTTTAGCTGAGAAAAATTCCCATGAATTGAAAGTCAAACAAATAGCGTTATGATTTTATTATTTTTCATAAACCCATTTCACATATCAAGCAATGCCCAAGGAAAAGAAAACTACTATACATTTATTATTTCACGTGGTTTTGAAACTTGAACAAATCTCATTTGAAAATAGAGAAAAATGCAATTTTTGCAGAGTAGATGGGGACCACACTGATTCCATTTTTAAAAAAGGATTTCCTGTAAAAACAGAAATTGGCAATTTACTCTAAGAAAACACAGCAGAAGCTGGGAAGAAACTTGAGGATGCCTAAATTTCCACTGTGGAACAACTTTTGCTGCCCAGTGGGGAGAGAATAAAAAAAAAAAAGAACACCTGCAACAGGGGGGGAGGAGAGGAAGACAAGCTGGGACTGCACATCCAGTGAGCAGAAAATGAGGCAGTTTTCTAATCTAGGAAGAGAGGGAGCTGACAAGAAAGGAATATATATGCATTTGAAGAATACCAAGGCGGATTTTGTAGTCACCTGCCACATCAGAGAAAAACAAGAAGGCAGTATTTGCTGGGGAGAAGGAACCAGTGCACAGCAGATACTGATGAGTTTAAGGTACCTTTTAACTAGAGGAAAGATTAGTGAGGTGCTGAAAGTTGCTGCCACCAACTGGGCATCAGGCAGACTCGGGGGTTACAAATCACTTTCACTTCATAAACTGTGCATCTCCAATCAGAATGGTAAACAGGTTTCACTGTAGTCAAAGAGGTGAGTTTTGAAGCCGGTAATATTTTAACAGACAAAAACAGAAATTTTAAGCAATAACTGGAAAAATGTAGTACATAACTGCTTTTTCTGATGATTTATACAGCAGGGCACCGTTAAAGGATTTATTCATATGAGACTGTAACGGCAATAAGCAGAGGGAATAAATTTAAAATGTTATTCAAATTTAACATAAGAATTGGGGTTTGCTTAAAATCTATGGGAAAGACTTTGATCCAGCAATTCTATTTTTACTAATTTATACCACATATAAACACGTGTATGTAAACACAGGTATGCAGAAGAAAGTTGGTAATAGCAAAAGACTCAATGTAATCTAAAGAGCCATCACTAGGGAACTGTTCCAGTGACATAATGAGGTTCTATACAACAAGAAAATGGGGTAGGGCGCAGTGGCTCAAGCCTGTAATTTGGAGAGGCAGAGGTGGGTGGATCGCTTGAGGCCAAGAGTTTGAGACCATCCTGGCCAACATGGCGAAACCCCATCTCTACTAAAAATACAAAAAATTAGCCGGGCTTGGTGGCACCCACCTGTAATCCCAGCTACTCTGGAGGCTGAGGCAGGAGAATCGCTTGAGCCGGGAAGGTGGAGGCAGTAAGCCAAGATTGCACCACTACACTCCAGCCTGGGCAACAGAGCAAGACTGTGTCTCAAAAAAAAAGAAAGAAAATGAATGAGGTAGATCCATATGAGTTAATAGATGGATGCATTAAAGATACATAAAAAGTAAGTAAAGTTCAGAATATTGCATGTACAATACATTCCATGTATTAAAAAGGATACACACACACATGTGTATGTATACATATATATTTGTGTTTATTTGTACATGTATACATATGCCTAAAAGATTTATAGAAAAATACACAAGAAAATGGTCTCTGAAAGGTGGCAGGGAAATACTTTTAATTGTATATATTTTTAAATTATTATTTTCACCCCCGTGTATGTGTGTGTGTGTGTGTGTGTGTATATATATATATCACTTATTATAAAATCTTATAATTAACATGAGAATTAGGAACACACATAATTACAATTCTATTAATACCCTGTTTTTAGGAAGGCTTTATAAATAGTTTACAATAGGATAAGGTCTGTGTTAATGATCAAATACTGTGAGGAGCACAGAGAGGTATCTCTCTATAATCACAAACAAATTTAAAACCAGAGAGAAAAAGCACAAGTGTGAGTAAAAGTGTGGCATCCTGTTAAGCAACAAAGTAAAGCTTAGTTTCTTTTTTCACATTCCCAAGGGAACACACTAGTTGGTGACAGCCCAGAGAAATGAGACAAATGTCTGACCAGGCCTCACACCTCTCTGCAGATCTTCAGCCACAGAATTAAATCCCCACGTCCTTTATATACAGGAGCAATCCTATCAGAATAGATATTAAGATATTATTATGTAGGAGAAATGTATTTTTGAAGGAAAAATACTGGACTAAATGAGGTCCTCTTGAGAACATATGAAAATCAGAGCCTCAGTCTACTTATTGAACTTGCCATGTGCCTTGCACACAGGGCAATAAACATCTGCTGTCTGATCAAGGTCAGGTTTACCATGATAAGCAAACTTCCTTCCAACATTATCGGAATTCTGGGTTTATTTTCCACGAAGGCCAAGATGGAACCGAATTAATCATAACTATTTTCTGTGCTATTTTATCACAGCCTAAGTGCTTGGCTCATACAATCATCTTGTCCTTACTCCAGACTAGGAGTCAAAAACTGGTCTGGTGAGTTTACTTTTTCTTCTCATATCTGGGCCATACAAACACAAATTTTACTACATATACATGACTATAACACCTCATAACAAAAAAAGAGTAAGTGAAATGAACAGCCACATATCCAAGTGGATACCATCACTTGGTGACCCAGAGCTATATAATAAAGCTACAGAACCACTCAGGAAAAGAGCATCAGCGAGAATGGTAAGAATTTAATACAAAATCTCCCTATATATACTGTCTGAATTTATTTAACAGGCTCCTCCAAGAAGATAAAAGGGGTCACTGACAGTCCATCCTGTTGTTTCCATGGAGGCTTTAACTTAAACAACTGCAGACAAATTTCTCTTAAAGGAAATGTATTCCCACTGTCCTTCAATACAGGAAAATGACAACCCTTAGTCAAGTCTAATTAAAATTTTTCCGGCTGAAACATCTGTAACAGCGGCATGGGAAGCCAGTGAAATGGTCAGTTGCATGTACACAACACAAACACCACTAGTTAAAAATACTCCCTTAAGGCCGGCCACAGCAGCCTTACTGCTGCAGTGAAACGGAGAGCCCCACACAACTCAAAAAACCAGTTCTCAGAACCACTTGCCCTGTTCTGCTTCCAATGTAGACATCTAAAGGAAGCATTGCCCAGAAAACCCAATCCGTAATTTTAATAAGCATAATTTACGGAAGAGTCAACTACTGTGTGATTTCTCCTCTGACTGTCATGGGAATCCCTTCCTTTCCTTGCCCCCTTTCAAATACAGCATCTACCAAGATGACCCCAAGGAAAGTACTTTCCTCTAGAAACAACCAGAATTGATATTGCAGGGAAAGGAACGGGCTTCTCCTCTTATCCCACTCGCAACTCCTCCCCTTCTTCCCCAAGGAACTCTTCTCGCCTCCCAAAATCTGCCTCAACAATGGCCCAAGATTCCATTTAACCACGTCCTCTCCTTTGGGGCAGAAATCTCTGGGAGTAGGGGCAAGGTAGTTTAACCACGAACGGGGTGGGGACTAAACAACCCTAGCACCTCTAAGGTGCCCCCAGGAGGTCTTGCCAAGGAGTCTTCCACAGGGAGAGTCATCCTGCCCGTTGTTCTGGATCTTGAAACTTGGGAGACCCACACCAAAGGAGGGAACCGGTTCCTTTACCCTTTAAGCGCGTCGTGTCCTCCACCGCCTCTTCTCTTGGCCCGACTGGCTCTGGTTTCCTTCACGTTCCCAGCCTCCAAATTGGCGTCCGCCCCATGGCTCGTGTAGGACGCTAAAAGCACGGTAAATCCCAGGGCGATCTCCAGCAGACGCCCTCGACGCATGATGCCGAGCCGCCACCGGCTCCCGCCGCCTCTTGCCGCGCCCGGGGCTCGGTCTGCGGCCGCCGCTGCGCCCTGAAGCGCACCGCGCCGCCGGGGTCCCGCTATCCCGCCGCCCGTCCCCCGGGCCGGGCTCCTCCCGCCTTCTCCAGGCGCTGCTCCCACTTCAGGCGGCCCCTGCCAGCTGCAACACAGAGACAAATCCCCGAGGCGGGGAG
The DNA here is from genome assembly GCF_000001405.40 of Homo sapiens. Lineage (NCBI taxonomy): Eukaryota > Metazoa > Chordata > Mammalia > Primates > Hominidae > Homo > Homo sapiens. The sequence goes on from NC_000015.10 coordinate 48,644,985, forward strand.
ACTTTCAGGGCATCGGGATGCTGAAGCCTCGCGGTCCCCATTCCCAAGCCCAACCCGTGCGCCGCCTGCGCGTGGCGCAGTTAATTTGGGTAAGGGAAGACCGTTTGGTCCACAGCTGGCTGGAAAGCCCAGGCCCCCGGCGGCAGCAGCCCCGGCCGATCCCTCGGCCTCCCGGGCCCCGCCAGAAGAGCGCGGCGCAAAGTACCCATATCCCCAGCGGTCCTAAGCCCCGGGCGAGCTCTCTGGGTTTATTTTTTTTAGCGGCACGAATTGCGCGCGATGCGCGCTCTGAACGCCCCACTCCTCAGCCTGCCCTCTCCGCCAGGCTGGAAGCCAGCCGCGCCGTCCCCGCCGACTCCGGGCGATGCCACCGCCCCCCGAACATCTGACGCGGAGCCCGGCACCAAGAGCCCCGGGCCAGGAAGCTGTCAGGCAGGGGAGGGCCAGCGCCAGCTGTGGACGTTCCGGGACAGCCCCTCACCCCAGTCCCTGTCCCTGCCCTCGGCGCGGCGCAAACGCAAAAGCCTCCGTGGCCGCAGCTCCAGCCCCGGTGGCCGCCCGACCCCCGTCGGGACCCCGGCTGCACCCACTGGAGAAGCGGCGGCTCCGACTCCCGAGGAGGCGGCGGCGGCTGCTCCCAGTCGTGGCCGCTACAGCCACTGCTCGGCTCCGCTCGCAGCTGTCCCAGCTGTGGCTCCTGTCCGCTTGTGGCACCCACAGTCTCTGCCGCGGCTCCCGCAGCCCCCTCCTTTCCCCACCTCTTCAAGTATCGTCCGCGCAGCGGTTTCTCGCGAGAGAAATACTTTTTTTAAAAAAAGAAAGAAAAAGAAAATGACACCCCCTCCTTCGTCGCCCTCATCACCACCCCACCCCCCGGCCCCATCCATCCTCCCTTTCCACTCCCCTTTGCCAGCCTCCGCCTCGGTGCGGGGCCTCTCGCTCGCAGGATTAGCGCAGTGGGAGGAGGCAGAGGTGATCAGGTCCTGCCCGGCCTGGGACTTTTTGTCTTGAGGTGGGGAGGGGAGAAATGGGAAGAGGTGGAGTAGCGGTTTTAGCCCGCTCTGCGGCTGCGAGGTTTAGATCCGAGATTAACCTCTCCCGCGATAGGTGAAGCCCTACCGGAGCAGAAAGCTGTTCCACCTGCACCAAGAATGCGCGCTGGAGACGGTTGCCCCGGAGGCCCTGGCCCGAGAGAAAACCAGTCCCCGCTGCCCGCGCCTCCCGGTAGCGCGCTCCCTGCGCCTCTCCCGCCGGACACTCAGCAGACGCCGGAGGCCGGGAGGCTAAGACTGGGCGCGTCGCAGGCCGGGACCGCGGCAGAGGCTGCTGTGCCGACCGAGGAGAGGGCTCTGCCGCCCCCACTTGCCCTGGGTGTCGAGAGCCCACTCCAGACGCGGCTCTTCTGAGGCTCAATTCAAGCCACCCAGGCCTGAATCCAGGGTGCTCTCTCTAAGTCGGTGTCCAACCCAGGGGCCTGTAAATGTTGGAACCTAGGATGTAGGATGGGAGCGGTGAAGGGATGGTCCTCTTGCCCAGCCCAGATTAAGACTGGGGTTCATCTGGAGGACTCTACTTACACCCTCCCGGTCCCCTCGCCCTCCCCCACACACAGCTGCCTCTCCCCAGGATATGCGCGGCACAGTGAATTTAGTGGCTTTGAAAGGTATAGTATTTGTGGCATCCTTATATGGATAATGCCCAATGATGCCTGCACCCTGTAACAGTTTAGGAAGGCCTGAAGTCGCACACTGGGTCCTGGCTGCTGTAACTGGAGACCCCCAGAAGATCCCCTGCAAGCAGCCACCAGCCTGCTGTCAAGCCAATAATAAAAGCTCAGCACAAACAGGTACCCTGGGAATGTATCTTGTTGAAAGGGATTTTCCTTATTTGTAACCGTTTGTAAAGGGGCCCAGACAGTAGGGTAGAGAGACCTGGGCAAGTTATTCAACTTCTTTCCAAATACAAGATGGGACTTGTAGTGTCCACCACACAGGGTTGTAATGGTGATGATGGACATGCTGAACTGCTGTGATACATGAAGATGAAACAGAAAAACTGTGGGAACTATGAGCTGATCTAAAGCCATAGTCCTGTAAGTATGTATGTGGTGTACTTTAAGGTCTCACCTGCAAAAGGTCTCTTAGCAGATTCATGAATGAGAGCCTTGGTCACACACTCCTGGCTGAGTAAAGGAGATCATTCATTCAAGATGTTTTTACTGAGCACGAACTGTGTACTACTTAGTGCATTGTTGAACTAGACTTCAACAATTTTAACAAGGCAGGTTCAACAATTTGAACACGACTGACTTCAACAATTTAGTGAAAAGGGCAGAAATGTGTCTCCCCTCACACAGCAGGTAGTCAACAAGGAAAGGCAGACTTGAAACAAATAATGGACCAATTGTTAAGCGCCAAACAGGATAAGTACTGGGTGCTTGCTTGGAGGATATATAACAAGGGGACTTGACCTAGGCTAGGGCTGATCAGGAAAGGGATCCCTGAGGAAGTGATATTTAACTTAAGTCTAAAACATAACTAGACTCTACTTAGGATAGCAGTTCTCAACCCTGGCTATGCAGTAAAATAATAAGAGGCTTTAAAAAAATTCTGACACCAGGATGGGCATGGTGGCTCATGCCTGGGCCTGTAATCCCAGCACTTTGGGAGACCAAGGCGGGTGGATCACTTTAGACCAGTAGTTCAATAGCAGCCCGACCAACATTGTGAAACCCTGTCTCTACTAAAAATACAAAAATTAGCCAGGTGTGGTGGTGCATGCCTGTAAATCTTGCTACTCAGGAGGCTGAGGCACTAGAATCGCTTGAACCTGAGAGGTAGAGATTGCAGTGAGAGGAGATTGTGCCACTGCACTACAGCCTGGGCAGAACAGAGTGAAACTCTGCCTCAAAAAAAAAAAAAAAAAAAAAAAATCTGACACTGACACCAGGCCCCAACACCCAGAGTTTCTGATTTGAGTAGTCTGTAGTGGATTCTTCACATGGATATTTTTTAAAGCTCCCTGGGTAGGGAGGGGTAAGGAGGTAATTCACACTGGGAAAAGGATCTGAGCAGAGGGACCATGGATTAGGAGAAAGCAGGGCTGTTGGACATCCAGAAAGGCCTTGTCCTGCCCACCAGTTTTCTGGGCTGCTCTGCACCCACAGGGGACTCTGGAAACTGCATGCTTTCCTTGTACTCCAGCAGCATGCAAGACATGCTGTGCCCTTTCTCTCAGAATCTTACACTCAGTGACATGTTGGTCAGCAGCAACCAAACACAAGCCTTTTCTAAGGCTTCTGCCCAGGAAGTAAAGGCCAAATCCTGGTGCCCTGCAAGTCCCCTCTTCCAACATTTCTGGACATTTCTATTATTTCTAACTCAAACTGCCTTCCAGGGTTTCACCTCCAAGGGAGGGATTTGGATTAAACGTTTTTACCTGGCCTTTGCTTTCCCCGGCAACCTCCTCTTTATTCATTGGCCTCTTTCTCCAATAAAGGAAAGATTCTTCCTTCATATTGGGTGGCAGCTCCAAGCCATATACTCCCCTCTTTGAGCAATAAGTCTCATGTTCTGACCACAATGGTGGAAGATTACAGGGGAAGGGGAAGCAGGGGGAACTTGATTACTTAAAAGTAAATACATTTTAAATATACAAGAACTATTCCCGCTATCTAGGCAATCAACATGTATTAGAGTAGCATGCTACTTATGACAAAATTCAGTAACGAATAATAAAAATCTGTGTCTTTGCAATAAGATTTTCTTGATGCCAGATGATTGAGGACCCAACTCTCCTTAAACCTATCACAGACTTTTTTTTTTTTTTTCGTAATAGGTTGTTTTGCACTGTTTGCAAATTAAGTCCATGGGCTAGAATTCCTTGCTTCCATCTCCTTATTTCAAAGAATTCTATTCACCCTAAGAAACCTTGCTCAGATTCCTTCTTGTTCGTAGGTGTTTTAGCTCATGCCCATCTCTCTTGTTCTAACATCATTGCACTTATTAACTGAATCATTCACTTAATAGTTAATACATAATTATAGTATGCCTACTATATGCCAAGTGCCATGTCAGGCACTGGACATTAGGGATATTTCTTCTGTTGCTATAGTGAACTATTAGGTTGGCACAAAAGTAATTGCAGTTTTTGCCATTTAAAAGTACTAGCAAAACCGCAATTACTTTGGCGTCAACCTAAATATATATTTTTTTTCTGTAGCCATTGTACTTACTCCCCCTAGCTGTATGATAGATCCTTAAAGACAAGGTGGCATTCCTTATTCAAGGAAACTTGCTAGTGTCCTGAAAACTATGACAAAACACAAATACTTTGTTTGTTGTTGGATCAATTGAAATCTTTCTTTTTTTTTTTTTTTTTTTTGAGACAGTGTCTCGCTTTGTCACCCAGGCTGGAGTGCAGTGGCGCGATCTCGGCTCACTGCAAGCTCCACCTCTGGGATTCACGTCATTCTCCTGCCTCAGCCTCCCAAGTAGCTGGGAATACAGGCACCTGCCACCATGCCTGGCTAATTTTTTTGTATTTTTAGTAGAGATGGGGTTTCACCGTGTTAACCAGGATGATCAATTGAAATCTTGTGGCATTTTCAGCTTCAAGCCACTCTCATCATTTTATACCTCCTGTATAAATATCTATGTCAGCAAGGGTTCTTTGTCTACAAGCAAGAAAACTAGCTATGGAAAATTTCAGCAAAAAAAAAGATATTTTAAGTATTATCAGGTTATGAGATGGCTCATTGAACTTGACTTTGTGATAAAATGGGGAGTAGTACAGTTCTGGGATAATGGTAAGCAGAGAACCTCTTCAGGCTGATGTCATGTGAGTAAATCAATTCCAACCATTTTCATCTTTTTGCCACCCCTCTTGGAGTTCAAATTCAAAGGACAGGGTCCTTTTGACGTAGCTATTTAGGGAACTTGGGCACAATCCTGGCCAAAGGATGATGGAGTATCTTGATGGATAGTCCCAACAAGATTGCATGCCATGGGAAAAGGGTTCATCTATAAAAGATGGGCAAAACACTATTTTGGTCATGCACCAAAAATTGAAGGGCATTAATGCTTGTCAGGAGAAAAAAAAAAAATCCAGATGTCCATTACATCATCTCAAGAACTCTCAAGATGTTTAGAGCTTACTGAAATAAAGCATTTTCAAGCTTTACTTGGAAGAAGCATACTCTAAAATCAGCTTCTACGTCTTCCTTTGCAAACTAAATCATGACTTCACAAAAAGCTAACTAGACTTTCATGTAGCCTCAGTTCCTGCCATTGATGGTGGCAAATAGATCACTCATGATACAACCAACTATATCTTCAAAAATTGGCTTCTGACTTTTAGTGAGTATTGTAGAATTTTGTAGTTATAAAAATGTAATGCATATATCACAGCTACCAGAAACCATACCTATTTATATATAGAGAGAGAAAAATAATACATTCACATACATAACCACATTTAATCTTTGCCACAACTTTTGGTAGATTGAAAAACATAGCCACAATATTTCTTATCTTCTTCCATCAAGAAGTAGCGTCTATTTCTCAACTCTTTGAATCTGAGTTGGCTTTTTATTTTTCTTTTACCAGTAGAATATCATGGAAGTAACATTGTATGACTTCTAAAGCTAGGCCTTAAGAAATCTTGCAGCTTCCTCTTTTACCCTATTAGATGTTGCCCTGAGATGGATAGGCCTTCAAGAAGTCCAGGATGAAAGACAATGTGGAGAGAGACAGCCCCAACTCTCTCAGCTACATCAAGACTCTTCCTGAGCTACCAACTAAATGTAGTCACATATGTGAGCCCAGCAGATCAGCCCAACTGCCCAGTTAACCCATAGAATACATATATCATTGTTGTTTTAAGCTGCTTATTTATTAGGGTGGTCTATTACGTAGGAATAGATAAATAATTGAAACCTTATAATATAAAATAATTTTTCTCAATTTTAGAGATGAAGAAACTCACATTGAGAAGAGTTAAGAAACTTGCTCAAATTCATAAAATCAAGAGGAGAGGTGGATGTAATTAAAACCAAGCCTTTGACAAATCAAGGAAACTTTTCATGTCGTCACTGCTACCTCATCCGTGGCCACAAAATCTCAGTCAAGATCTAGGGTTGATGCAAACTGGAGTCATTCCCAGTATCCACAACACTTCTCTTGTGTCTTCTGGGAAGCTAAGATTTCATCCCTTGAGTTTCATTGCTGCCTGAATCTATTGCATCTTACTTGAGAGCCTCATTTATTCCATGCTACAAGATCCATGCAAGATTCCAGGATCACCAAGATCACTCCAGGAAATGAAGAGATCAAGAGAGCTGCCATGGACAAGTCTCTGCCTCTCTGCTTCAGCTTCTAGTTCCCTCATAATATAGGACAATTCCTTGTACAAAACGGGTGCTCCATAAATATTTGTTGAATGAACTTCTTTTCTAGATGGTGACGTGATGGCAACCTTAAAACCTCATGCCATTCTTCCTCATCATTCTCTGGGTTAAAGAAAGGCCTAAACTTTTCCAGCAATTGACAGAGCCTTGGTGTGTCATATTGCCTCATTGTGCCTCAGTTGTCCCATCACTCCCACTTGGGAGAGGATATGAATGAATGGATCTTAGTTTTAAAGAGCTGAAGGTGGAATTCAGTTGCCTGATTGCTAGCATAGATAGTACCTCTATGTATGTGCCATTTCTTTTTTTTTTTTTTTTTGATTGTTTAGTTCATTTATTTGTGTAACCAATTTTGATTAAAAGCTGAACACTGTGCTGGAAGCTGAGGCTTCACTGGTGTAGGGATGCCATTTCTGCCCCCTAAGAATCACAAGGGCTAGAGCATTGCAGGAGGTCCTTACAGCAACAATTACCATGAACTAAGCCTTTGCTTAGTGCAGGCACTGTGTTAAGAGGGAAGTTAGTAATGTTCTTCCCATTTTAGAATTTTGTAACTATAAAAATATAATGCAGGCTTAAGAAAGAGCAGTTTAAAATGACATAAATAAACCTTTGTTTTAGGGAAAGTTTGCATATGTTTGTGCTTCTGTGTTATACTAAGAATCCTGAGCAATTCCCACTTCAGTATAAAATTCTAGTGGTGTGAGGGCAAAAGGTGAAAAAGAGTTTTAAAAAGGTAAAAATTTATACATGCTAGAAAAAAAATGAGAATTGTTTTCATTTTCATGATTCTTCAGAAAATTTATTTATTAGAAATATTTTAACTACTTAAATAAAAGATTTTTTAAAGTATTTTTTTCATAATCCCAACCACCCTGTTTTAGTTTTCTCATTTTGCCTCTAGTCTTTGTCCATATGGTGCATTTTACATAGTTGTAACCCTGGTGGATGTATAGTTTTATCTTCTGCTCAACAAGGAGGAGAATTTGTTCAGCATTTGAGTGTTTAACCTTTGCATTTTGTGGATGGGGTCCCTGGGTGAGGTCTGCCTAGCCATCTTTCTGGCAGAAAGCATGTACAACTGTTGAATTATGTTATTGAAATCACTTTCATTACCTCAATCCCCCAAAGCAAACAGTTGCTCTCCACCCAAAACAAAAGCTCTGGTTCCCAGACTTCATTTCACTTGTGTTTTCCGTGAGTTCTGTGACCCACCCTGGTATTCCCTGTCATTTTTTCTACCAGACATAACAGATACCAGCCCAACGGCAGAGGCGAATAAAGCGGAGGCCTGGACAGCAGGAAAGGACATAACATCGTATCCATCACAAATTAAAAACATTCTCTATTAGCTGCATTCAACAAGTGTTACCAAACACCAGCCTTGTGTTGCAGACTAGGGGAGACACTACAGAAGCCACCAAAATGTGCCCATCCTGCAGCCTGCTCTCTCTCAGGAGGGAGAAAATGAGTGCTTATAGCAGAGGTCAGCAAATTTCTATAAAGTGATAGACAGCTAACAAATACTTTAAGCTTCATGAACCGTAAGGCAAAAGAAAACAAATTTCCACATGCATTTTACTGACAAAAGTAAAAATTTGTCTATGGACACTGAAATTTGAATTTCATATAATTTTCATGTGCAATGAAATCTTCTTCATTTGATCATTTTCAACAACTTAAAAGTGTAATAACTATTCATAGCCTGCAGGCCATATAGAAACAAGGCATGGGGACAGATTTGCTCTGTGCAGCCATAGTTTACCAACTTCTGGAATTAAAGAAAAAGGCCAGCACAGAACCTGGCTTGGGCATGATTCTCCAAAGTGGCTGGCACCAAGACAGGGATCCACAGAGGAGAGAGGTGGGGTGGGGTGGGGTGGAGTGGTCCAGTCAGAAGACTTAATGGAAGAAATGAGATTTGAGGATCGCCTTGAAGGGAGGGTAGGATTTGGCTACATGGGGAGAACATTCCAGGCGGAAGTGATGAGCATGAGTCCAAGGCACAGAGGGAGGGAAGATTATGGGCCAAAGGGGACATGCAGGGTGTTTCACCATCCTTCACGGTGACATACTTCTAGCTCTCCAAGGTTTCTGTGACACACCCTGGGCTATGTGTTTATGAAGAGAAGGGGTATTATGGCCTGTAGGAGTCAGTCTTTAAATGACTACGATTAATCATATTATATGAATGTTAATAATATCCATAACCCAAAACTTGTTGAAAACACTGAGATCCATCTGATCTCTGGTTTAAACCTGATGAAAGGCAAACTAGACCTTATTTTTCTCCATCCAGAGGCTTTCCACATTTCATTTGGTCACCTATTTTAAATAATTTTTGTAAAGAATGCACTTTTTCTTCAGGATCTTAGTATTCTAATGATACCAGAAAATGCCACCTGCCCTAACCCAAATATTCATGGCAAATATGAAAATCTTGATTAAGTTATGAGTAACAAGTAGCTTTGGTTAGTGACTTTTCTGTTTTCCTACATCTGTTTTTGTTTTCACTCTAGATCTGAATTTTCTCTAAAAAGTTAGTAATTAGTGCATACCAGTAATTACTTGATACCTAAAAAAATGTTTTTCCTGGCTGACTTGATCTATTCCCATGATTTCACCCCTTGGTCATAACATACTACTAACTCCCAAATCTGAATCTCCAGCCCAGACATTTCCCTAGAGCTTCAAATTCAGATGTCCAAGTTCCTGCTGGATGCCTCCACCTAGTCCTCCCACAGGCGTTCAGACTCAACTGTGGTAGCAGCCTCTACGAAGGCCTCCAAAGATCCCCCTTCTGGGTACTCATGCCCAGGGGTAATCCCCTCCCCTTGAGCATGGCCTGGACCTAGTCACTGTCTTCTAACAGACAGAGTATGGCAGAGGCCATGGGATGTCACCTCCAATATGAAGTTACACAAAGACGCAGGAGCCTGTCTTGCTTGCCCTTTCTTGCCCTCCTGCCTGCCCACGCTGATAGAAGCCAGCTGTCACGTTGTGAGCTGCCCTGCAGGGAGGCCCTATGCAAGAAACTGATGGAGGCCTCCGGCCAACAGTGATGGACTAAGGCCCACAGTCCAAACCACGCTTGATGAACTGAACTCTGCTATTGATAACAATCACACAAGCAAGCTTGGGAGTCTTCAGATGAGACTGCAACCCCAGCCAACACCTTGATTCAGCAGTGAGAAACGTTCAGCCCGAGGCATCTAGCTAAGCAGTGCCTCATTTGTGACACAGAAACAATGAGATAACAAATGTGTAGTGTTTGAAGCCACTAAATGTTGAGGTTATTTGTTACACAGAAAGAGGTAACTAATATGTCAGCAAACTCCCTAAACTTGTTTCTTCCCCTAAATTCTGTTTTAATTATTAGGACCACCATGTTCTCACTCACCTATGCTTGCAAAAGGGTTTATCAGAGGTCCTTTATCTGTGTTTCTCTCATCTATGAAAGCTTGAATGCTTTTTGTATTTTTCAATCACAATTGGTATGATTTAGTAGTCTTAAAATTTGTTCCCTTTGAGTTCCATCTGGAACTCAAGCCATTTGTGCTACAGCTTGAAATTTCTCAATTTCTGCATGATTCTGCTAGCAACAATATTAATGACATCATACTGGATATCTTTCCACAGATTAAAAAAAAAAACTTGGGGAAGTGTCCAGAGTGATAGAATAGGAGAAGGAAGAGTCTGGGAAATACTAGAAAATTCTGCCCAGAGTTTGAAAATCAACTACATAAATAGGGATGGAACAAGCATGGAATTAGAAGACAGAAGACTATGGTCCTGTCTCGGCTTTGCTACCCATCTGCTGTGGCCTCAGAAAGTCACTTTACTTCTAGGGTCCTCCCTTTCCTCTTTAGGAAAATAAGGGAGTTAGATTTCAATGAAAGGCAGGCCACGAGTGGGCTATTTCAGGATAAACCAAGGAGCTTGTTACACTTCAGATTCCTGTCCCTAACAATCACCCAATGCAGATTCAGTAGGTCTGAGGTGGAGTCTAGGAATCTGTATTTTTAAAGTGTCCAGTTCTCTGAAATATAACAAGGTATGGAAATCCATGAATTAGATCCTTCCAAAGAATATTTACAATTCTAGTGCTGTAATTGCGGAGCAGTGTTTATTATATGGCAATTCTACCTTGCATGCACATTGTAAAACATATCCCGCAAAAAGCTAATTTTAAAGGATAATTTTTTGTGTGTACATGTGCCTGTACATGTATGTTTTTTTCATTTTATTTTCTTCCCAAACCCTAACTGATCTCCTTGCATCATCACTAGAACACATGAATCTCAGGAGAACCACTGGAGACCGTGACAGGTCTATGGAAATTGGGTGAAAAGGGGTACAAAGGTCAAGAACACCGAGACAAACATCCAAGGTAGCAGGCGAGCTCCTTCTACTCGTGGTACTGCTTGGCATCACATGGAATACTGAGAAGTGTAAGGGGTGTGTGTGTGTGTAGTTAGCCCTTCTTGTTCTCACCTGAAAGCCCATCTCCATACAGTGTCATATCACAAAAAACAGAATCTGTCTTAATGAGAAAACATCTGACATGATCTTCAGTAAAAAGTAACATAAGTCATCACTGAAGGACTCTCATGAGATGTGAAGGGAAGACTGTGCCACACCACGCACAGCACAGTTTTCTCTCTTTACTGTAGAATCCCCATGTCTCCCTCAGACCTTAATTTCCCCATCTCCAAATCTTTCAAATCCACCCGTACACCTGTGCTTGCCATGGTTGTCCTCCTCTCTGCCCCTGGCCTCTTTCCTAAGATTCCTCAGTCTACCCTCCAGGCCCACCAGCCCCCTATTAGGCAGAGTTATTTCCCCTTCTCTCAGCTTCTCCCATTTGCTCAGCCTGGGATTCGTTTTCAGTTGAAAGGGAACACAGGATCACAGTTAATGTCTAGTATATTTTTAACCCTGTACACCAAAAAAGAAAAAAAAAAAGGGAAACTAACAATGTAAGGCAATTAGTGCTAAACCAACAGAGAATGGGAGTTCTAGATGTTCAGAGGAGAGGAAGAGACCTCTATGCCACAGTGACCAGAAAAGTTTTCATGGAGAAAGGAGGAGATCAGCTGAGGGTTGAAAACTTGGGAAAAATCTTTTACCGGTGAACGGTAGAGCCCTCCTGTCATATTGGAGGAGAAACTCTTGTACAAGGAAAGACCAAAGATAGGAAAGTATGCAACCTGTTTAGAAGAATGGACAAAACTGGGTGGAATGTATAAAGAAGAAAAAGAGAAAGAGAAGATTAGAAAGTGGGTTGGGACCAGAAGATTGAGGATTGTGAAGAAATGCACATTATTATAGAATGTAAAGCATGGGAATGACATGATTTAGAAAATTAATATTTTGTCACCATGCAAGAAGAACTGGAAAACAGAAATCTTTTAAGAAAGGAGATCAGGAGGTTAAGGCAGCAGCTGGGTGTTGGTGATGAGCATGTGCTCCAAAGATTTGTCAGTACACGTGAAAATGAATAGAAAATTATAGTGTCATTTCATGATAGAATCATTACAGCTGAATGAATGATTGAATATGAAAAGCAATGGAGAGAGGGAAGCCAAAGATAACACTGAGACTTGAATTTGGTTGGCCAGAGAATGGACAGAACTAAGGAATTGAGGAGGAGAAAGATGCGAATGGGGAAGAGAGAAGATGGTGAGCTTAGTGTTTGTTACATGTGGCAGTTCTGAAGGCAGCCCAGCCGAGGTGAAGTAGCCAGAAGGCAGAGGTTTTGGAGCAATTTTGCCAGTCAGTAAAGGAGATGCAACAGTTTTGAAGAGACTTGGGATTCAGACTTGTGAGCATCTGTAAGAAATTAAATTTACCAGCTAATTAAAATTGCATTTTCCTATAGTTTAGACTTTTGATTCCTAATAAACCTGCAAATTGACCTGGAAGGGATAACCCTCTTGATAGCCAGCATTTGTTCTTTGAGTTTCAGATATATTCTTGGAAACAGATTCTCATGGCAAGAAGGGTAGGAATCCTGTGTAATTAAAGAGGAAAGGAGGGACAACCTCTAAATATCAGAAACAGACTCTGCTGCTGGCAAACACAAGGATAAAAAAAGACCTACATGTCTCCACTTGGAATGACAGTCAGAATTTTGGGAGGTGATAAAGAAACTACATTCATGTAATACATTCATGTCTGGATAATTTGTGAATAATAAATATTATTAGTGCATGTAGACACTCAAATGATTATCAATTAAAGAAAGCTTTGCAAGATGGTTTTGTTTCCAAGAGAGAATTTTTTTTTGTTTAAAAACTGTCCAAAATACACAATAATAAATTTACATTTCCAGAGATAAATATTCAGCTCTTGACTGAAGATTTGAGAATACATTTGAATTACATTCTTGATCAGGAACCAGGAAGTATATTTCATATTTATTGAGCAAAAATAAATATCCACTTTCACTAGTCTGAGTGCCCATCAGCATGAGATAATCAACATAAATACATAAGGTTGATACCGTTAGCTGAGCTGACTTGTCCTTGTTTCTAGGATGCACATAACTATTTTCCTAGGCCCCTACGGATCCAGGGAACTCAGGTTGCTCGGCACTGTTTGGGGCCCTTTCCACATTTATTTATCTGCCCCCTGGCCCTCACCAAGCCCAATTCCATATTGCCACTGCAAATCTCTGTATTTAATACGCTGCTTTTGCTCAAACTTTATCTCACATTCAAAATGTGTTTTCCCTTACAAAGTGGATAATGCTGTTCTCTGCCAAGCTCTCCTCTTCTGCGCCGACGCACACAGCCCCCAGTTGCTGGGAATGTTAACTGCTAACAGCTCACAGCTGTGTCCCTCTTTGAGCTTTGCCGTTTGCCTCAGAAAACTGCTAGCTCAAGGTGATGCCCTCTTCTAGGGTGTGGCCCAATATTTCCAACATTCCTAAAAGTCTGTTATGGATAATATAAGTTCAATACTCTTCAAGATGAAAGGAGAGGAGACAAGTGACCCATTTCAAAATAAAAGACAAGACATTGTTAAAAGTCCCACAGACTTTACAAGGTCAGGGAAATATTAAGAACAACTTTGTGCCAATAAATTTGGAAAATTAAATGAAATACAAAAATTTCTTGAAAGACATAAATTACCAAACTGGTGCAAAAGAATAGAAACAGGGCTGAGGATACCTTTAAAGATATTAAATTCATAATTTAAAATATCTCCACAAGGAAAATACCAGGTACGAACAGCTTCACTGATATAGTTTATCAAACATTTATGGAGGATATAGTAACATTCCTACAAAAACTTATCCAGAAAATAGAAGCAGAGCAAACACTTCCCAATCATTTTATTAGCCTACCATTATTCTGAAAAAAACAAGCAAGAGCATTACAGGAAAAGAAAGGACAGATCAATAACCCTTAGAAATATGGAACAATAATCTTAAACAAAATTTTAGCAAATCAGAATCAGCAATATATGGAAAGGCAAATGCATTACGAACAAGCAGAGTTTATCCTAGGAATCAAAGGGATTTTTTTAACATTCAAAAATCAATGTAATTCACCATACTAATGAATTAAAAGAGAAAAACAAAATACAGAGAAAGCATTTGAGAAAATTAAACACAAAATTATAATAAAAAACTTTCAGCAACCTAGGAATAAAAGGGAACATCCTGATAAAGAACATCTATGGAGAAACGACACTAACTCACTTTCAGTGGTGAAAGACCAAACGTTTTCACCTTTAGTCAGGAAGAAGGGAAGAATCTCTGATACTGCCACTGAATTTAACACTGTACTGAATGTTGCAGCAAGAAAAAGAAATGAAAGGCATATATATTGGAGAAGGAGAAATCAAACTGCCACAGACAAAACAGCTATTTAGACAGAGTACACTAACAATAGACAAAAAGGTGACTAGAACTAGAAAGTAAATTCACCAGTGACATAGAACACAAGGTCATTACACAAAAATCCAGTATCATTCTATATATTAGCAAAAAAAAAAGTAAAATAGATTTTTTAAAGAACATTTTAAAAACAATACCATTTGGTATTTCACTTTTAGTCTGACTAAATTGGTTCCTGCTAGATGAACACTTCTACAAATAACAATAAGCTAGAAAAAATACAAAAACAAAACAAACAATAATTACAACAACATAATTATCTAAAGGACTAGAGTGTGAACAAAGGCAGGCCGATTCTGGAGAAGAGTTGATACCCAGAGGAAGGAAATGGCACAGGGTGAATTTTCTATTTCTTATGACTTTTGGTCTGAAGACAGGCTGCAACCAGCATGGTATAGGGTGACTAAAATTTTGAGAGAAAATCCATAGTCTTTCTGGACTGAGGAAACAGAGTACAGAGTTCAGGGCAACCCAGCTGATGGAAAGTAAGGGGAGAATCCCAAAAAGGAAAGAATCAAAGAGGGGAAACAACAAAGTTTGTGTGTACATGCTTTTCAAATGTCTGCCTGGCCTGTGAATATTCATAGATGGACAGACTGCATCCAACCCAGTAAAGGCTATAAGAACTAAACTGCAGTTTGAGCTACTGTCCAAGAGACAGAGTTCATAGTCTGTTGTATTCATAAATTTGAATACAACAAAGTTAATTGCCCATTAAACAAAACAAAACCAAATCACAACTCTATTTGAAGAAATACAACAAAATCTAGAGTCTTCGCTATTAAACATTCATAATGTCCAGGATACAACTCCTAGCATTCAAAATACAGAGAAACAATAAAATGTGAGCAATTTTCAGGAGAAAAGACAATCAAGAGATAGAAACTCCAAGATGACCCAAATATTGGAATTATCAGAAAAGAAATTTTAAGGCAGGTATTATAATTCTGATCAATTAAAGAAAATGTGGTACATATACACCATAGAATACTACACGCTAAATACCACATGTTCTCACTTATAAGTGGGAGCTAAACATTGGGTACTCATGGAAATAAAGATGGCAACAATAGAAACTGGGGACTACTACAGAGAGGAGGGAGAGATGAAGGGGTAAAAAACTATTAGGTAATATGCTCAGCACCTGGGTGATGGGATCATTCATACCCCAAATCTCGGCATCATGCCATATGCCCAGGTAACAAACCTGCACGTGTACCTTCTGAATCTAAAATAAAAGTTGAAAAATAAAAATAAAAATAATTGTGATGAATGACGCAAAGGAAAATATGCTTATAATGAATGAAAGGGCAGAGGAATAGCAGTGAAACAGAAAGTATAACAAAGAACTAATGAGAAATTCTAGAATTTATAAATATAATATCTGAAATTAAAAATATATTCGATGAGCTAAACATTAGAATTGAGATCATATTGAAAAGAGTCAGGGAGCCTGAATATTAATCAATAGAAATTATCCAATATGAAGAACACAAAGAAAAGGACAAAAGACTTAAAAAAATTAACAGAGCTTCAAGGACTTCTGAGACCACCATAACAAAAGATCTATCATAAAAGCATCTGAAGTTATAGAAGAAGAGAAAGAGACAGATAGCAGAAAGCATAGTTTTTGAATAACTATGACCAAAAATGTTGCTATATTTACAGATTGAGGATGCTCAGCAAACTGGGGAAGAATCAATATAAAAAAGACTATGTTAATGCTGCTAAAAAAAAACACAGATAAGGAGAAAATCTTCAAAGGAGCCAAAGAAATGACACATTACCTACAGGGGAACAATCATGCAAATTAATTTTGACTTATGATCAGAAATAACAGAGGTAAAGAAACAGTGAAACAATATCTTTAGGGTGTGGAAACAAACAAACAAAAATTGTTGGCCCCAAATTCTCTACCCAGCAAAAATATCCTCCAAAATGAAGGACAAACAAAGGCATATTCATTCTAAAAAATGTCACTTTAAATTTGAAATACTCAGAAATAAATTTAATAAAATATATGCAAGACTCATATAAGAATTATAAAATATTCCTAAAAGAAATTAAAGAAGATCTAAATAAATGGAAAGATGTAATAGTTTATAGATCAAAAGACTCAATGTTCTTAAGAATTAAATTCTTCCTAAATTAGCCTATAAACATAATCTCAATTAAAATCCTAGTATACATTTATGCAGAAATTAAAAAACTGATGCAAATTTTATAGGGAAAATATAAAGGAACTAGAATAGCCAAAATAATTTTGTCTTATAATTCTATCAATTGCTGAAAGTAGGGTATTAAAGTCTCCAACTATAATTGTGGATTTGTCTAGCTCTTTCAACCTAGTGGTGACTACAGTTGCCTCACACTGCCTTGTTAATTCTTGTTGGTTCTGGGTGAGCATGGAGGCCCATTTTAGCACAGGACCCTGCAGATGGTACCCTGGCATGAGAGTCCAAACACCCTTCACTTCCAAGAGAATCAGAGCATCCTTCCCTTTCATTAGGTAGAGAAGGAACGATCAGCTTCCACCTCAGCCCTGCTGATACCACTCAGTGGAGGAATCATAGCACTCAAGTCTGTCTTTGTGGGCTAGAGGAGGAGGCTGCAATTTTTCCATTGGCGTTTGAACAGAGTTTGGCAAATTTTGAATTTGCCAAAAAAATTGTGTTTTGTTGTTAGGCCACTCTTTTCCCCATTCTTTGGTGGCAGAGAACAGGGTTTTTGTTGTTGTTGTTGTTTTAGCGTTTTTGTGTGTATGTAAGGAAACCTGGGAGGCTGAGGCAGGAGGATTGTTTGAGGTCAGGAGTTCAAGACCAATCTGGGCAACATATTGAGACCTCATCCCTACAAAAAAAATAAACAATTAGCCAGGTGTGGCCACATGCACCTGTGGTCTCCACTGCTCGGGAGGCTGAGGCAGGAGAATTGCTTGAGCCCAGGAGTTTGAAGCTCACTAGCTATGATCACACTAGTGCCTGAGCAACAGAGTGAGAGACTCTGTCTCAAAAAAAAAAAAAAAAATTGACTATAATATATATGTCTGACATAGGACATATCAGAATACATAAAGAACTCTTACAATTCAATAAGAAAATAAACCAGTTTTAGAAACATGTATAAAATATTTAAGTTTTGCATAAAAAGATATATAGATGGCATATGGAAAGAATGTTCAACATTATTAGTTATCAGGGAAATGCAAATTAAAACTATAATGAGATAACCACACCCTGGAGAAACCAATTCATTTTATTGATAAGTGGCACATCATACAGGACTGGTCCAGCAGCCAATATGAAACTGCAACTTTCAAGAGCAAGAAGGTCCTGAAGTTGCAGGGAATACAGCAGAAATCTCCAAGGACAATCTCTGTTCCCAATGCCACATACTCCATCCCTTGGCCAATCTGCACAGGTTGCTAGTGATGTGATGTATGCAATCCAGCAGCTGAATATGCACAAGAAATTAACAGCAATTTAGGATTTCTCTATCTGAAGGATATCAGAACATAATGTCCCTTTCACATCACCCAGCTGTCAGTCTTCCTGAGAACAAATAAGTAAATAAACATGTAAAAGAAACTATGTTTCATGTGTAAAAATGTAAGCCTGAGCAAGTAGGATAACTATTCCTGTTGTCCTCTACCTGGGTGCACCTTGCTAGTACTACAGGGTACTTTCCCACCACAGGAAAAGTAAGAGGATGTTGTTACATGGTGAGCAACAAGGCCCAGGAAAAGAAAGTTTTTCAAAACTTCTTTCTCTGCTCATCACCTCAGTTCTTCAACCCTTTTCCCAGCTTTTGGAGTCCCCAAATTCTACAATTAGAGATTCATTTATTTGTAATAATTTTTAAAGGGAAGTAATACATTAAGCATTCATAAATGCTTTTCTTGTATGAGGGCATAGATTCAGTTCCTTTGCTGAGTCAGATTTTGACAAGGGATCCTTGGTTGAAACATCACACGTAGGGAGAGTTGCAAAAACAGGGAAGGCGCCAAAGTCTGTGGAAATGGAAGACTGGGCATATGGAAGATAAACATTGAGGACTTCACTGAATGTCAGTCCTCACTTAAACTTTAAAAACTTTCATAAATACCTGATTCTAAAACAGCATAACTGTTAAATAATTTCTACAAATATTAGAAGATTATAAAAGTTCTCTGCCCCGCCACTCCGCCAGATTTCCCATCTTGGATAAATTACTTAACTTCTTTGAGAACCAGTTTTTCCCACATGTGAAATGAAGACATCCCTTGCTTATTTCCAAGGTCATTCCTAGGGAAGGGTGAAACTTGAAATCAATCATGGTAGTGTGGCCTCACTCTAAATATTCTGACATAAATGAAACCCAACTCAAATAAATGTCAAGAATAGCTTTGAAGGAGACAGGCCATCCCAGAAAGGCAACCTACAGCCTCAGGACAACAAATAAGATGATCTTTCCAGCTTGCACTTCTCATGGTGTTAACTCAAGGGAAACATGTAGGCTGATGCTAATGTAGCTGCGTTTGTCATCAAAGCAAGTCTGCAGCTCCCCCTCCACTCTCTCCATATTGTCCCCAGGTCATCGCCGCACCCCAGGTTCTGAGTTACTTTGCTCCTCACCTGAGTTCCCCAGTGTTCTAGGCTATTACCATAATCACCTGTATCGCAAAAATAGATTTTTAACCAAAACAAAGGGCAATATAAAACTTAATAAGAAGTAGCTGAAGATTTTTTAGAAAAGGTATCTTTAACAACTCTAGAAGTTACTATCATCTGGAGCTGGAGTGAAAATAACTTAATTGAAAACGGAATCGAAAATGTGAAAAATCAACACGAGAACCTATTTCATGATACAAAAGGAGGACGTGAAGAGAGAGAAGATAGCAGTCAGGGAGGGTAGGAAATGCAGATGCATGCCCAAAACTTGTAAGGGCCCCTAAGGGAGAAATGAGGAAAACCAGTACAGAAGCATCAGCCGAAAGCACCCCTGAGGAAAGTTATCCTGAGCTGAGAAAAGAGGGGAATGAGCAAATCAAAAAAATTTGCTGTCTTCTAGGCCAAATAAATGCTTAAAAAGAGGCTTGCATCTAACATTGAGAATGAGCTATCAACAAGTAACTACCAGAGAACATGAAGAAAATATATTTTGGCCAAAGTTTCTCAGAAACATGCCCTAAGACAAAAAAAAAAAAAAACCTACCTGTGAGCACTTTCCTGGGGAATGTGATCCCAGCAGGCAGGTGTGAAGGGTAGGGATGAGGTAGGGTGTAGAGTGTATTAGTTATCTATTACTGCATGATAAATGCCACATTACATTCCAAAACTTAGCCACTTGAAACAACACACATGTAATTATCTCACAGTTTCTGTGGGTCAGGAATCCAGGAGCCACTTAGCTGAGAGCCTCTCACTTGGGATCTGTGACAAGACTGCAATCATGTATCTGCTGGGGCCGTAGTCATCTCAAGGCTGGACAGGGACATCTGCTCCCCACCTCACTCATGTGGATGTTGGCAGTGTTCATACTCTCACTCTGTTGATGGCATCAGTTCCTTGCCATATGGGCCTCTTCTCAGGGATACTCACAAAATGGCAGACTGCTTTCCTGAGAACAAGGGCTTCCAGAGAGAGAGAGAGAGCAAGATGAAAGCCAGTGCTTTTATAACCTATTGTCAGAAGTGACATTCCATCAGTGTTTCTGAATGGTATTCTGTCTTTAGAAGAGGTTACTAGGTCCAGCCCACACTCGAAGGGAGGGAATTATTCAAGGGCATGAGTATCATGAGCCCAGACATTGGAGATCATTTTGGAGCTGCCTACCACAGGAGGGTGGGGAGCACAGTGCAGGGAGAGAGGAAGTGCCAATACAAAATGGGTTAGCAAGTAGGCTAATATCCTTAAGAAATACTTCTCAGAACTGTCTATCCAGAAACAGAAAGGAAGGAACGTTTGTTTATTAAAGTGTTGCCCCAGAAAGCATGAATTCATTGATTCATCCAAGTTGTGCAAACACAAGCTTAGAGTGGGATTTCATGGGAAGTCTCTGTGCAGCATGTGAAAAGCTCTTGAAGTAGCCATGGGACCACCCTAATGTGGATGGCCTTGAGAGAGAGTCTATAACCCTGCACCTGCAGGAGGCTGGAAGGAGTCCGAATAGAGCTGGTTGCCATGTAGGTGAGAAAGGAAGATTAGAGCTGTCTGATATGAGTCTGAACTCTAAATATTGAAGTGATGGAAACTGAGTCTTCTGAGGGACCAGCACAGTCAAATTTCCAAATGTCTATTATTTATAAATGATCACATCCTAGTCTCCCAACATTTTCCATAACAGTGGCTCCAATAACCACAGGAGAGACAAGACATAAATCTACATGTTCTATTCAGTAATTAGGCAAACATTATCATCGTTCACTTAATCAAACTCTTCTTGGCTTTAATCTGATATTATTTCTTTACCATATCTTCAAAAGCAATAAGATTCTTCTCATTTAATTTTTACCTGGAAATTTATATTATATCAAGAGGTCTCATAGACTCCAAAAATTCAATACCTGGAAGGAACCCTAATGAGTCACTTAATTTAACTTCCTCTCTCCAGACAGAACTATCCCTCAACCATCCAACTGTGCTCGTAATATAGATCTAGATCTAGACAGATGTATAGATATATGCCTACATATATTCCTTTCTCTTTCTCTCTCTCTACACCTCTATATCTCTAGAGAAAGAGAGAGAGAAAGGGAGGAAGACACACACACACAGACACACACACACACATATATATACACACACACACAGAGAAATTATTTGCTGATGTTGCATCAAGAATAACCTCTTTGAAATAGATTGGATGAGCCGGGCGCAGTGGCTCACACCTGTAATCCCAGCACTTTGGGAGGCCGAGGTGGGCGGATCACGAGGTCAGGAGATTGAGACCATCCTGGCCAATATGGTGAAACCCCGTCGCCACTAAAAATTAAAAAAAAAAAAAATTAGCTGGGTGTGATGTCATGTGCCAGTAGTCCCAGCTAGCCAGGAGGCTGAGGCAGGAGAATCGCCTGAACTCGGGAGCCGGAGGTTGCAGTGAGCCGAGATTGTGCCACTGCACTCCAGCCTGGTGACAGAGTGAGACTCCATCTCAAGAAAAAAAAAAATAAAATAAAATAGATTGGACATTTTTTGTAATTCTTTTGAAAAAAAATAAGCTCAACAGAAAAATTTAAGAATTAGGCAAGATGAATTTGTTACAAATTATTATGGGAAATTGTCTTAAAGTCATTATTAAAAATCTTAGATCTTTACCTCAAAATATGTGGGCAAGAGAAGCAGGAAAACCAATTAAGAGGCTCTTGGAGTGGTCCAGGTGATTGAAGATGGTGCCCGCACTAGAGTAACACTGATGGAGATAGAGGGCAGGACACAGTCAGGGTATCCTTGGAGATTAAAAACAAAAACAAACAAACAAAAACAATGGAACGTGCTGATGGATTGGATGTGTGGAACCAGAGAAAAAAGTCAAGGATGAGTTCTACCATGGAATGGCCAGACACCTGGTATCTGCTTCAGAATAACCCAGGTAGAGGGATGTGAGTGGTGGTGGAGGATAAGCGAGTTTGCCCAAGTTGATTGCTGTTGAAGTGGAGTGATGGGTGCACGGGTTTCACTTTGCTATTTTGTCACTTTTCTTTATGCTTTAAGTTGTCCACAATAAAAATGTCTTAAAATGCCAGTATACCTATACTTTTAATTGTAATTCCAGAAATCAAACTAAGAAAACAATCAGAACTATAAACAAGATTTTTATATACAGATATTCATAGCAATATTATTTATTATATTGAAATACTAGAAATAATCTTTTTGACTAACAGAAAGGCAACAGTTGAATACACGGTGATACCGTTCATATGACATTCCTATTGAAATATAATGTCTTGGAAAAATATTAATGATTTGGGAAAATGTGCATGATACAATGGTAAGTAAAAAAGAAACAGGAAACAAATCATATATATGAAATGTATGTCAAAAGAAAAATACCAAAAAATTTATCAAAATGTTATCATTGTGATAAGATTATCAGTGGTTTTTATTTTCTCATTGTATTATATATAATTTACTACAAAGGTTATGCATTAGAAATAAGTAAACATTATTTTAAAGTGCAGAAGAAAAATGATTTATTGAAATTCATCTTTCCTAAGCATGCCAATTAAAATTACAAGTGACTTTCTTTCATTCTGAAACAATTTATTGACTACCTATTCTTTGCAAAGCACTGCTCTATGGTTATTCTATGTTCTTTGCTAGGCAAAATAATTCACATTTCAGATTAGTTAAAAAAGAAAGGAGGTAAGGTTGGAGAGAGCAAAAAGAAAGGAATTTGGTATTCAGGGAGCTCAGGGTAACTTTCTAGCAAGACAATGTGTCCAGTTTGGGAAAACTCAAGTTTAATAGAGTTAATGAAAATTCTCCACCCATTTCCTTTATTGCTGCTGCCTCAATATGGTCTCAAAACCACAGATAAAATATTTCATATGTCCCTTTTCTATGAATTCTAACTTCATTATGAAAACTAGGAGAAAAGTAAATATTGTTCAATGACGGCTGCTACAAAAATGTGTCAGCATTACTTACAAAACCCTGGGAGGCAGAGATATAACATTCTCTGGAAAAAATTGGAAAAAATGAGTAAACATTACAAGAATTTGTCACAAAAAGTGCAGAAATTACAACCCAAGCTGTTGAACTCTTCCTAGTTTTCCTTTCCTTTGCTTTCTTCCAGGAAGGCTGAGGGCTTCTTATACCCTGAGACTGAGTAACTTTGTAGCAGGTTTGGCCTGGATGAATATGGGACATGCATAAGCCATTTTTATTATCTTTTGCCTGAACTCTGTGAATACAACCACCCTGCACTGAAAAGATGATGGAGGCCGAGCCACATCATGCACTTCTCTTCTGTGACCTGCCAAGTTCTAGCCTGATCTCCCTCTAACATAGTGCAGATCCCAAATGGCTAGAAATTTCAATATGCCCATTGGATTTGTAGAGATAATCAGCTCTATTGTCTTCTGTAGGATTTTCTCTTATGTATAGATCCTCCGGAATTGAAAGGAGTATAACTTTTGCTCTGCAGTGAAGCAAGATAGATTCTTGACGCTAGGAAAACCAATGATGAATTAAAATGGTAAATGACCCACATACAATAATTCACAGTTCATGAGTCTGTTCCATATGGAAAGGAGTGCCTTTTGTAACATTTATTAAATTGTTCCAAGACAATGTTAAAAAGCACAAAGTATATAAATTCAAACTAAAAGTACAGATAACCAAAGAATAGCAAGTTAAAATTTTGTTATTTAGTGCAATAAGATATTCAATTTTTTTTTTTTTTTTTTTTTTTTTTGAGAGGGAGTCTTCCTCTGTTGCCCAGGCTGGAGTGCAGTGGCTTGATCTCAGCTCACTGCAACCTCCGCCTACTGGGTTCAAGTGATTCTAGTGCCTCAGTCTTCTGAGTAGCTGGGACTACAGGTACGCCACCACCACGCCTGGCTGATTTTGTATTTTTAGTAGAGACAGGGTTTCACCATGTTGGCCAGGCTGCTCTGGAACTCCTGGCCTCAAGTGACCCACCTGCTTTGGCCTCCCAAAGTGCTGGGATTACAGGCATGAGCCACCGCACCCCGCCATGGGTATTCGAATATTTAGACTGACTTCTGATTTCTGATGTTTGTATATTTGGGGACAAGAACTAGAAACAGTTTGCAAAACAAGTTAATTAGACTTGGATGGCTTTGATCTCTAGTGGGACACTCATGGTGTATTTTTCAGTATCTCACATTGACACATGATGATTACCGTATATGAGGTAATGCTATACAATCCATGGTATGCATGAATTAAGAGAGAAATACGCAGCATACAATCATTTGAGATGCAGATTTTTGACAGTTAATTTATATTCTGAAAGAAACAGATTTTTAGCTCATTGATTTTGAAGTTGCATATATTGCTAAAGGATAAACAACCATATTCTCATTTCTTCTGAGCAAATTATTTTCCATGTAGACAGGCATAAAATGACTTTTAAAAAAAGTAAATGTCTGTCAAACCTTAGCTCTCTGCAGAAAAACACCTTTATTGAAGATGAGCGAACCTCTCTAATAGTCTATTTAAATTATTTTTCTCCTTTGAGATCAGATTACTAGGAGAAAAAAAAATAGCCAGGCTCTTAATTAACAATTTCAAATGAATATAAAAGATGTGGCCATGAACACCAGAATAAATCTTGTACCCAAAAATGTGTAATATATCTGTGTACATAAATATGGATTCTCAAAGATGGGATAAACATGGTTAGTAATATACTGTATATATTTTTCCCCTTAATAAAAAGCTCTCTTTATTTATCTTTGACACAGTGGAGTTGTGAGGGAAAGATGAAGTGAAATAGCATCATATTTGATGGTGGGATATGGAGTGGGGGAGGAGTTTACCTAGATAAACCAACAATAAACCAAAAACAAAAAACAAAACGTAGGTACAAAATAGTAGAGTACAGTTTTATGTAGTATAGTAGAATATGATATACTGTAGTACAATATAGTATATATATATATATATATATATATATATATATATTACAGTATACTCTATAGTTCCTGGCTCAAGGAGCTTAGGATTCATCTGGCAAGATTATGAATACATCAAATCCTTAAAGACTAATGGGATTGGTTGCTGAACAGTATGATGCAACTGAAGCTCTATCAAAGCTCACAGGAAGGGAGTTCTGTGAAGGAGGTAGCACTAGAGTTCTGTTGCAAATAAGAGGTGTGTGATCTATTTAGGCTAAAGGAAAAAGATTATGTTGCCCAGGCTGAGGAGGAAAAGTGTGAACACAAATTAAATGAGCTTTATGCATTTGAGGAATGTTAAGAGACCCACCTTAATATTAAGAGCAGGGAGACCATGTTGAGAAAAGGGAAAGAGCTGCTGGATTGGTTGGTATAGGCAAGTCATACCATGAAGCACCTCAGAAATCTGGCAAGGGATTTATGTTAGATACGAGCAGCCAGTGGTGGGATGAAAGCAATGGGTGGGATGAAAGGAACATTCACCTGGGGTCCACGTGCAGGATAGATTGGAACAGGGGATCCTGGGGTAGGAGAGCTTCCCCGGGAGGCTGATGGACTGATCCAAGAATGAGCTGGAAAGGATCTGAGGGAAGCAGTGAGAACAGAGACAGGGACACACACAAGGAACAAGATGAAAGAAGTCAGTAGATTAGCTGACTGAGTATCAGAGTCATACCAAGTGACTGAAGACAAGGTTTCAAATGGAACATAAAAAAAAAAAAAAAACCTGGTGTTGACAACACTGATATTAGAACTAGGAAAGATAGTTGGTTGTGGAGAGACCAGTTCATTTTTACACATCTTGAGTTTTCACACGGACATCCAACAAGTGTCTTGAAACTCGAGATACAAACCAGGGGTTTAAAAAGCTCATTTTGGTATTCAGAAATCTAGGGTGGGAACTGACGTTGTAATAATTAAGCCTGAGGTTCCTGCAAAGATTGCAGGAAGAAAAAGCCATAGAAAGTGAAAAATTATATTTTTGCTCCTCACAGTCACTGTGGATGTAAGAAGAAAAGTAAGTGAAGGAAAAGTATATTAGACTCTTAGTATCTCTTAAAAATGCCATTGAAAAGGGTGCCAAATAGCTAAGAAGATGATCATAAAACTTTAAACCTCTTTAGTATCTACACAGAATAACCCACCTATTACGTAGAATATAAGCTCCATGAAGGCAAGATTTAAAAATTTATTCATTCATGTATTCCAAGCACTTGAATAATGTCCAGTACATAGTAGCCTCTCAATAAATATTGGTTGAAAGAATGAACGAATGAATGAATAGATGAGGAATATAGGCATAATGGAACTGATGTTTTTTTTTCACTCAGGCCCTACAGGTCCTTTGATAGGGCAAACTATATAGCAATTCACATTTCTACCACAGAAAAACATGAGGCAAAATTCCCCTGGATTGAGGCTGGTGTTCTACAGGCAGGGATGTAGCAGGGTTGGAGAAGGACCTACACTTTATGGAGAAGGGTGAAGTCTCCCTGGGATATTTAAAGTCATTGCCTTTTCTAACTCTTCCATTATTGATAACACGCTACGTGAAGAAAGCCCGGCACAGCCAGGGTGATCTCATTCTTACTAAAATTCCCTGAAGCATGCATAGTCATTGTTTCAGTCAAGGCCAACCCAGTATCTGCAGCCAACATTGCTCCTCCCAGAACTGAGCTTCAGCTTGAGTCCACTGGGACACCGCCATCCCAGAAACATGGTGTTCTAGCCTCACATACTTTTGGCGTGTGTGATGCTGGGGTCTCCCTGAAAGGGTGCTGTTTTAACTACAAGAGGCCCTTTATTCCTAACCCTGAAAGGGTTTATCCTCTTGATCTTGCTGGGTGGTTTTCTACAAGTTATATTTAATAAGCTGAGGCTGTCTTTAGTCAGACTTTGGCCTCTCTGGGTTGATGACTAAACTTTTGTGATTTCTTACTCCCCTCTGGTTTGAGGGGTGGTGTTTCTGCCAGAAGGGGACAAAGTTAGTCCAAAAGCTTCTCTTTTCCCATCAAGAGTCCTGTTTGCTCTCTAAAAATCTGAAAGGAGAAGATTTAGGATCAGAGACTTTGAAGGTTAGAAGAGACCTAAGAGATCTTCTGGTCCAGAGTCCTACGCTCGTGTGAACAGGCTGGGCAGATGACACAGATGGGTTACATGGGAGTGATAGGGTCTGTGTCAAACAGGAGAGTTGATGCCCCAACCCAAGGGCTCACGTTGAAGGACTTTACAGCCCTGTGCTAGCCGGATAAAGCACAACTGGGCACTGATGAGACACCTGAGCCAACACAGTTGCTTCATCTTACAGTTGCGGTATCTGAGACCCAGGCAAGGAGTGAGAGCACTTTGCGATAGAAAGAACACTGCACTGGAAATGATGAGACCTGAGGTTCTAGACCCGACTCTCCACACAACAAATGACCTTGGCTTGAGGTTGACCTCTCAGAATCTCATTTCCTTATTTGGACACGAAGTAGGAAAATGAGTAATTTCCCTAAGGTGTTTTGTGCTCTAAAATTCCAGGACTTTCCAAGGTCACCCAACTAATTAGCGGTGGATCCCTAACTGGAGCCCACGTCCCCTGATAGAATGCTCTTTTTACTAAAGTGAACTGTTTGCCAAGACAAGGCAGAAGGAGGAAACAGCAGAAACACCTAGAAGCCAATCTTTCCTTCTTAGGAGATGTTCTCACTGCTTGGGAAAGCTGTGAAAACCAAGGGGGAGGGGCAACTGAGACACCTTGGAGTCACATGTGGGGCTTTTCTTTTCCTCCTCACATGTCTGTTGAGTGCCCATGCGCCCCAAGGCAGGACTTCTGAAGATGGGGTCTCAGAAGTTCTGAGCATTTATGCTTCTTCCCACTGAGTACAAGTCAGATAACACCAAAAGGAGGATCCAACTGGGAAGAGATACTGGATTGCTTTGTTTCGTTTCATTTTTTGCTTTTGTTTAGATGTTCTTTTCTGTTGGAAAGTGGAGAAGTAAAGGGCTATTTATGAGCCTCTGCAGCAGCCCAAGATACATTCTCATTCCAGGGTTCTCACTTCCACTGTCTCATCTTATCCTCATAATGATGCTACTCTGAGTAAAGCCGGTACGTGTGTCCTGGTCTACCTCCCCAGTCTTTCTTAGAGCAACTTTCCTTCTAGCTACAATTTTCCCACTACACTGGAATATTCTGTTCCTCAAAGTATCAAATTCATTCCCATGTCATAACTTTGTGTTTGCTGCTACCTCACCCTCAAATGTCTTCCTCATCCCCTCCCCCAGGTCACTACATGGACAGTCTTCCTTCAGGTCTCAGCCAAACTGTAAAGAGGAGATGATTTCGCTGTCTCAAGTGGCCCACAAAACCACCAATCACTATCACATTTCTTGGTTTTATTTTATTTTGTGTGTGGTGCAACATATAAGTAGAATTATCTTCTGTATTTACTTTTTATTTTCTATATAACTCCTTTAAACGTGATTTTGATGAGAGCCAGGGCCCCTGTCTTGTCACCATCATATTCCCAGTGCACAGAACAGTGCCTGGTCCATAGTGAGTCAGAATAAGTATTCCATGAATAAATAAATGATTGCTGAAGTTTCCACAGCTGATTAGTGGAGAAGCTAGACTGTACCAAGATCATCCTATTCACAGTTCTTTCCCCTAAACCACTAAGCCTCAGAGCAACGACTGTGTCAATGCACTGTCTAAGGAAGTAAGTACTAGGTCTGGACTTCAGGACAGCATGGGTTAGAAGAAAGAGCCAGTTGACCCAACTCTAGTCCAAGTTCTGCCATGAAACCTTGGCCAAATCATGCAACGTTAATTTTAGACAATATCTTAGAGATCACCTAGTCTGAAGGCTTTGAACATGTTTATGGCATCAGAAAACTTTATTCAAACACAACTCTAATATGTAAATAAAATAAAGAAGTGCCACTCTGCTAAAAGCAGAGGAGAGCCCAGAGCCTGCCTTCCGGGTCTATTCTTTACCCCAGTTAAGGGTCCCCTCTGAAGCAACTCTGTAAAACGTAGATTTAAAACCACTGGGTAGCCCAATAGCCCACCCAGTTCAAGAATCCCTGGAAGCAGGATGCCTACTCCATCAGGGCAGCCCATTCTACTGTTGGGATAGTTATTAGGAAGGACAACCTCTTCTTGGGCCAAGCTTCCCATTTCACAGAAACGAAAGTCACTTCTCTCCAGTTCTGTGCCAGTTGTCAAAAAACAAACACCAGCAAGCTATGGCCCCCGTCTTGAATGAAACAGACCTGGTTTAAGACCAGCTCTAAGTTACTTAACTTCTCTAGCCTTTAAATACCTCTTTTGTAAATTAGGGATAAAGATATATCATGGGGCTGTTATAAAGATCAAGGGCAGTAATGTGAAAGACATAATCCAATGCCTGACACAGGTAAGTGCTCAATAAATTGTTGCCATTCTCAGGATCATCTTGGTCATTACTATTACCACCTCACCCCCTTACCACCACCACCATTCTTCTTACTTCTTCTCAAGGAAACTACAGGCTACTCAAGGAAGCTAGTCACATCAGTAAGATATAATTCATCATGGTAAATTTATTATAGAAGTGTGCCCCAATTTTTAAAAATTATTAGCTAATAGCATCAGGATACTTACTTACCAAACATATAATAGCCATTTATTTCTCCACTATGCTTTGAAACTTTTCAATTTTTCTTGGCCAGGCCAATGGGAATCATTTATATTCTCTAAGGTCTTACAACACACAGCAGCATCAGTATCACCTGGAAACTTGTTAGAAATGCAAAATTGCAAGCTTTACTCTAGACCTTCTATAACAGAATCTGCATTTTAATGGAAGCTACAGTTGCTCTACATGTGCATTAGAGTTGAGAGGTCCTGCCCATGTTTCAATTTCTTCATCTTTGAGCTGGGGAGATAACTATTAGCTCTGCCTACATCGCTAGGGTTCATGGGAGGACTGAATGGGATGCTGTGCATTAAAGCAACTTAGAACAAATCAGCTGTGAATTCCTCAGTGCCTACCAGATTCCTTTACACACAGAACTTGTGGAACACTGATTGACTTATGGCAGGACTGTCTTAGTATGCTGTCCCGTTTGAACTCTGCTTCAACTGTTGAATGTCTGGACCTTCTTACTATCTTTGTTTTATGAACTACGTAAATTTTCTGTGAACCTCAGGAAATTCCATTAAAATGATTTCTGCCTCAGAGCGTGTTCATGTCCTAAAGCCTGCCTGGTCCCTGTGTGGTCATCTTTCAGAATTCACTCTGACCTACAGTTATTGCTCTCACTCTATTTTATGGAACATTTTCAGCCAGCTACATGATTTAATGGTTTTAAACACATCATTATTGCCATTATTTCATAGCTCACATGCCTAAAATAATACATGACACATTTTTAAATGCATCTGAGATTTAAGTTTTATCATCTAGGAATTAATAAAATCTACTTATTAAATCTTGCCACCCAGGATATCAAAGTCTTGGTTCTAGCTGGCAGTTGGGTGGTCAAAACAAATTTTAGGGGGATATACTCTGAGGTATCACAAGAAGTTAGGAGCCAGGAACCACATGGGAAAGGAAAGCCTTATGTATTAGTGTAGCCAACACCCTCTTAGGTGGCCCAACATAAAAACAAATGATTCAATAGTTCAAAGCCCCCAACCGATTTCACAGAGGTGACCAATGTAGGCACAGTTATTACAAAATGCTCCTCAAAGTCTCCAGAGGGCCAGTTATGAGTCACATGTTATTCAGGACATATGAGAAAACTGGGAAAGATCAGGAAGAAGCCTAGAAAGACAAAATTACGAGGACCCAAGGCAAGGGTTCGCTAAGTCAGTAATACGAGGTCAGCCCCCTAGGCACCTAGACCAGTATTCACCACCCCACTGAGCCTTCTCTTCATAAGGGCTGCAAAAAGATACAGAGTTATGCAACACCAGAGAACCACAAGGAAATGGCCCATGTTAGGGACACCAAATGACCGTCTTCTCCATTGTTTCTGGATCCTCTCTTCTGTTACAATGTTCTCTGTTTCCTCTGTTGACTTTCTAGTATGGCTTATTCCACGGGGAAGTTTCCTAGTCTGCCTTGCCCTGGTGACATGGGATGAGATAGGCTAGGAGGAAAAGTAAATGTTGGGACTATGAGCCAAGAAGATAGTTTGTTGAGGAAAAATGGTCCAGCCACGCCTCTCACAAACACATATGTACAAACACACACACAAACAGATTCTATGTATAAATGTACTGTGTGTGTGTGTGCATGTGTGTGTGTGTGTGTGTTTTCCCACCTAATTCTTTCTTGGTGAAAAACTTCACTAGGGTTTGAAGTTGGTTAGGAGAGTCCCAATTGTCTTTGTTGGACCTTTCTAGTCAGTTATTATCCTCATAAAGTCAGGAAGCCTAGATATGTCTCCCAACCTTTTTTTTTTAACCAGAGACATAGCATGTCTTCTTCATCAAGGCATCTCTTCCTAGCTTTCACCCTTTCTGGATCTGCAGCTCCTCATCTGCACACACCATGTAGGTGCACCACTGCACAGTCAGAGCTGCGAATCAGAGCTGACACAGGAGGCCAGGCCAGACTGTCCCTCTCATGTCTTCCCTGTACCGAGCAGCACTCTGGTTAGCATGAGGTATTGGGGAGATTCTTAGACATGGAATCTGGGGTGTGTTTCTTTTTTATTTTTAGCCTTGTATTTTGAAATAATTTTTGATGTTCAAAAAATTGTAATAGTACAAAGGATACCCATATACTCTAGATTTACCAATTGTTACCATTTTGCCTTGCTTGCTAATTAATCATTCTCTCTCTCCTCTCATATATATGAATGCACACCACACACACACACACACACACACACACACACACACACACACACACACCCCAATATAGAAGATTCCTATCAAAACAGCAGCAAACCCATAGTTAATGAAAACTTTCATGTGCAGGAGGATGGCTGTGGCTGCATAGGATCTGAATAAGGGCTCCCCCTTGTCCTCCCACACTCAGCTAAGTTAGAATGGCTCTCCCAAGCCAGCAAACATGTCTGCCAGGTAGGTTATAACCCCTTGGAAGCAAGTACATAGTGAGGAAAGGCAGGGCTGTCTTCCTCTATCAAAATATGCTATTTAGAATTTTCAAGGTTTGGCCAGACTGTGGACTATTTGGAATATGAGCTCTCAAAGAATAGGGAATAAGATGCAGACTCGAGTGGATTAGGACAGATATTTAAATGTGTTGGGGAAAATTGAGTTTCAGTATTGTATTTTAAAGTCATCTGTTTTAGCCACATTTACTTTGATGTGTAAGGTAAATTGTTCAAAGGAAAATCCCTTAAGATATGTTTATAATTCTAAGAGAGTCTCACAGTCCTTTTATACTGGTTGAGTTAATTTGTACAATAAATCAGACAAAACATAGTGAGAGGGTTAATTTTAACTATATTGATGGGTGAAATTAGTATCTTATGATGTAGTTGTCATTTGAAGTGAACTGTTTTCCACGTATACATTTTAACAAATGTAGTTTCCCAAAACAAGCATTTATAATCACAATTCAATAGTCCTTAGAAGAATAAAACAAACCTTAGAATATTTTTGGCAAACAGATTTACACAGAAACTGGACAATGACAAAACATATACTTAAATGTTAAGATAATTAGTATATAAATATCTGCTGTCTTTTATCTATCTAAAGAAAGGTTGTAACTAACATAGTGCTTTGATTTTTTAGAGTGTGTTGCTTCTTAGTCTCTAAAGTTTGTTACTTAAAGAACAACTCATGGGCCTCTTGTTTTAATTTTAAACAAAGCTGAATTAAAGACATTTGGAGATTTTAAAAATGTATTTATATAAGTGGCTTATATGTGCAAGATTCTATTCTAGACACCTTAACATGTCCTGGAGAAGCAGACATCATCCCCATTTTAGAAATAAAATCCTAAGATTTAGGAAGGCTAAGTAACTTGTCCCAAATCACACTACTTATGAGCAGCAGTCTTGGGATTGGGACCCAGTTCTTTCTGACTCTAAAGCTCATTAATTTCTGCTATGCGCCCTTTGGCTTCCTTGTCAGGACTGCGACTATTAGATAAACAGCCCATGTCTCCTGAGGCAATGTAATTCATTCCAGGTGAACCTGCAGACATGGGTAGCAGCAACTTGGGATAGCATTAGCCATCTTGTCTTGGGAACATAATCCATGAGAAATGCTTTCTTCCCTACACACCATGTGTGGCTCTCTGTGGCTGCCTCCATTCTTCTCAACATGGAGTCTCCACCAACTGCCATGGATGTGTCCCTTCCTCCTCAGGCTGGGATAATAGGTTTCCATAATCCACCCACACTTGAAAAGCCTCCTTAATATGTGGGAGCAAGAAGTGGATGTTACCGCTTTATTTCTGAATGTTCTCTCTACAGGTCCAACCTCTTGAATCTCATACAGCTTAAAGGATGTAATTTCTTTTTTTCTTTTCAACAATTTCTTGTCATACTTTCAACTTCCAGCTTCTTCGTCAATAATCTTTTCCCTCCTGGATTCCTACTCTAAGTATTTTATCTGTCTTAAGAATCTCTTCGTCTCTTCTAATAAACGGAATATTCAGTGTCTCTTAAGGCTTGAAGTCTTATCTTCAAGCTCAGTCCCTCCATGACTGGTGATTGCCTTATGCACAAAAGCAAACACAACACAAACAAGGTTACTAGGGTAATTTTCTCTGTGTGTTCAGAGTTTAAATATATGATCATGGCTTCCTTTGGAAATGTCAACTAAAAATTTGTAATAGAAATAGGCAATCAATAATAGGAAATACAACACAGATAAAGAAGATATGAGAGATGAGATTGAGGATGTTTGTAAAGAGAATTTCAAAAACTGCAAAGATTTAAAAGACTGTAAAAGGCAAGAAGCAAGAACCCCTTATTAACTCCTCAAACTGAAAGACAACCTATTTGTCAAAGAAAAAAAGGCTGCCTTGAACATCTCACTCCCTAAGGATTCATAAGACTGGAAGGTGGAAGAGGAAGCTGAAGATGATGATATGTCGGGCTGTTAGTCCATGGGACACGTGGACTCCTTCCACAGGCAGGTGTTACTGAAAGGTTTGCAGGATCATCTGGATGCCCGCTGAGAGTTCACTCACTCCCGTGACTCACTGTCCGGCCTGCTGGAAATAGGTGCAAGTGGAAGCATGGTACATGTGAGAGAATCCCTATGATATCCAAGGTAAAGGGATACGATGGCTGTGAAAGCACTTATGGCAGGCTCCAAAAGAAACGCATCACACCCAAGCAGGAGAAAGTGGGGTTCAAGAAAGCTCCTCACAAGTCACTGAAATTTAACTCCGAAAGATCAAAAAGCACAATGCCTTTCAACTAACAAATAAACCCATAGATTCAAGGCAGGCACTGCAGACGTTCAGGAAATACCCAGCAGACACAGAGAAAGCAAATTGCTGAGTTCCATCTACAAAGAATTTAATATCACATATGTCATGACGGGAAACAACACATGATCTCTTTCTTGATTTGAACCAATAAAACTGTAGTATATCACCAAAGACGTTAAGAAAATGTGACATGTCCTTTTGAATTATAAGTTCAAGAGAGTAAATAAATGAAATTACATTTTAAAAATTAATAATTGCCTATTTACTACTAAATTCATCATGCAAAGACTTCGAGTGAGTGTCCTATTAAACTGTCCAAGTATTTAATAAAATACTCCTCTTTGGAAACTTTTTATGTATATTAGTATATTAAAAATATTTTAAACTTATTTTAATACACTTCTCAATATTCCAACAAGAAAATATGTGGCAAACATTCAACACCCACAGAACAGCAGTTTAGGAAATGGCAGTGTAATTGTATGAAAGCATCTGAATGCATAAAAATATGGGAAATATTTAAATATCTTTTGAAAGGCTTGAAGCTATAGTAACTTACAATAATAATTTACAATGATAAACATTCAACAAACCTCTGAAGGAAAATGAACTGATCAGTATCTGTTGTGTGTAGAAAATAAAGGCACAGACTGTTTTTTGCCTGACATTGTTGGAATCCCCAGGAAAAACTGAATGGATTTTTGTCACTCAGCCATGTCATAGTCCTCAGCAACTGATTTTCATTACAGTCATCCATAGCTTAATGACAGGAATACATTCGCAGAAATGTGTCATTAGGCAATTTCTGTGATGTGGTGTGAGCATCATAGAGTATTCTTACACAAACATAGATAGCATAGCCTACTCCACACCTAGGCCATCTGGTCTAGCCTACTGCTCCTCAGCTACAAACCTGTACAGCAAGCAGTTACTGCACTAAATACGGGAGGTAATTGTAACACAATGGTGTTTTTATATCTAAACACATGAAAGGGACAGTAAAATGCAGAATAAAAGATAAACAGTGGTGTAGCTATATGGGGCACTTAACCCTATCAACACTGTACACCTAAGTTATACTACATTTATCTTTAAAATTGTCTTTTTTCAATAATAATAAATAAGGTTTCAATAATAAACCTTAATTTACTGTAATTTTTTTACTTTACACACTTAACTTTTTGACTCTTGTAATAACATAAAATGCAAACACATTGTGTAGCTGTACAAAAATGTTTTCTGTCTTTATATCCTTATTCTGTAAGCTTTTTCTATTTTTCTTTTTTTAACTTTTTAAACTTCTTGTTAAAAATGAAAATACAAACACGCACATTAACCCAGACCTACACAAGGTCAGGATCATCAATTTCACTGTCTTCCACCGCCACATCTTGTCCCACTGGAAGGTCTTCAAGGGCATTCACAGGCATGGAGCTGTCATCTCCTGTGATAATAACAATGCCTTCTTGTGGAATTCCTCCTGAAGATCCGCCTGAGGCTGTTTTACATTTAACTTTTTAAAATATAAGTATAAGGAATAAACTTTAAAATAATGACAAAAATATAGTAAATACACAAGCTGGTAGCATAGTCATTTATTATCACTCAAGCATTATGTACTGTACATAACTGTATATGCTACTCTATGACTGGTAGTGAGTGTAGTAGGTTTGTTTATACTACCATCACCACAAACACATGAGTAAGGCATTGCACTACAATGCTGTGACAGATATGATGTAAATAGGCATAGGAATTTTTCGGCTCTATTATAATCTTATGGGACCACTGAGGTATATGTGATTCATCTTTGAAGCATCATTGTGTGGTTTGTGACTATACAAAAAAAAAGTACATTTTTGTGATTAACTTGAATGCTAATTCTATACAGAGCATATAGAATGGACTCAAATCAGTAACATATTGATATGTGAGTGAATCACATGTATAGTTTTATGCCCAATTGGCATCTGGAGTTATTATGTGAAGAATATGCTTGATAAGAAAAAGCATGGAGATCTTTTGAAGGCCATTCGCTGGTGACAGCCCTTAACATTACATTAAATTGACTCTATTCATCCAGTGAATGCTTAAATCAATAGCCAAGTCATAAAGCTTTATGATGTATGCCTTTTGGCAAAACTAACATTTGATAAGTGTACCTGGCAATTAGATTATTCCTGGGGAGGGGAGCCAGGGAGCCAGAACTTGCTTGTTATTTGCTTGTTATTTGCAATGATAAATCCCAACGGTTTATCATTGTTGCTATGTACACTAACTTATCAGAAAATTCTGAGTGAGACATCTTTCCTGAGGGCTTTACGTGGCAAAAGAATGAGACTGAACAGTCAGCACAGGCTCTCTCTCTGGCAGGAAAAGCTCTTTCCCTAAGTTGGTCCAGCATTTGCCTCCAGTCTAATGTTCTGTGGGTTCCAGTTAAGTCAGTTTCACAAAGGAGATGGCAAAGGAGAAAGAGGCCCAGAAATGGGCAAAGGAACCCCAAGCTGAGGGCAATGTGGATCCTCCATGTCCCACAAACAGAGCAGATGCTGTGTTCCTGACCTGTTTGGAACTGAGCACTGGATGTTAATGAAAAAGTTAAGTTAAAACAGGCAATGGCATGCATCAGTTCTAAAAAATTCTACTTTAACCAAAAATATATAATGTAAATTTATTTACCATGATTTTAACTGCTTTATATTCGTTGTATTTGTTCTTTTTTCCCAAATTTTTTTGCTTTCTCTGGTATTAAGAAACATTTTATGTAATTTCATTTTATCTTCTCTTAAATATCAACTATACTTCTTTTTTAAAAAAATTAAATCGTTGACCTAGAGTTTGCAATACTCCATTAAAACTAATCAAAGCCTACATTCAAAAAACACTACAGAACTTCAAATAGAGTGAAGGTCCCAATTCCTCCCTCCTGTCACTTATGAGATTGCTGTTCTTCATTTCACTTACCCATTAGATATATTCACCCACTACACTGCCACAATTATTAATTTAAGAGAACAGCTTGCTTTTTGATCAATTAAAAATAAGAAAAATAAAAGATTTCAATTTACTTTCATTTATTCCTTCTCTGATGTTTTCCTTTCTTTATGTAGATTCACATTTCTGACTATATCAATTTCCTTCTCCCTAAAGAACATACTTTAACACTTCTTGTAGGACAGTCTGCTGGCAAGGAATTCCCTCAGTTTTTGTTTTCCTGAGAAAGTCTTTACTGCTCCTTCACTTGTGAAGGATAATTTCGCTAGATATAAAACTCTAAATAGAGGTAGAGCAAGATGGCTGAATAGAAGCCTCCACCAATCATCCTCCCCACAGGAACACCAAATTTAACAACTTTCTACGCAAAAAAGAACCTTCATAAGAACCAAAAATCAGGTGAGTGATCACAGTACCTGGTTTTAACTTCATATCACTGAAAGAGGCACTGAAGAGGGTAGGAAAGACCATCTTGAATTGCCAACGCCACCCCTCCTCAGTTCTTCAGTAATGGCCACATGGCACAGAAGACAGAATCTGTACATTTGCGAGAAGAGCACAGTGCTTGTGGAATTTTGCATTGGACCTCAGTGCTGCCAACACCAGGCAGAACTCAGCTGAGACCCACAGAGAGAACATTTAGATCACCCCTAATCAGAAGGGAATCACCCATCCCAGCAGTTGGAACTTGAGGTTCAGCAACCCTCACCACAGGCTAAAGTGCTATGGGATCCTAGGTAAACTTGAAAGGCAACATAGGTCATAGGGACTGCAAATCCTAGGCAACTCCTAGGGCTGGGCTTGAAGCCAGTGGACTTGGAGATTATGCAACCTAGTGACATACCAGCTGGTGCAGCTAACAGAGTACTTGCATGACCTCTACCCCAACCCCAGGCAGGGCAGCTCACAACAATGAAAGTGACCGCTCCCTTCTGCCTGAGGAGAAGAGAGGGAAAGGTGAAAAAGACTTTGTCTTGCATCTTGAACATCAGCTTAGCCACAGAAGGATAGGGCACCAGTCAGAGTCGTGAGGCCCCCATTCCAGGCCTTAGTTCCCAAACAACATTTCTAGACATATCCTGGGCCAAAAGGGAACCCACCACCTTGAAAGGAAGGATCCAGTTCTGGCAGGATTCATCACCTGCTGACTAAAGAACCCTTGGGCCCTGAATAATCAGCAGTGGTAACCAGGTAGTACATGCTATGAGCCTTGAGTGAGACTCTGAGATGTGCTGGTTCCAGGTGTAACCCAGCATATTCACAGCTGTGGTGCCTATGAGAACAGACTCCTTCTGCTTGAGAAAAAAGATGGAAGAATACAGGGAACTTTGTCTTGCAGCTTAGGTACCAGCCTGGCCACAGTGGGGAGAGTACCAAGCAGGCTCTTCAGATCCCCAATTCCAGGCCTTGGCTCTTAGATGTCATTTCTGGTTCTTCCTGGGCCAGAGGGGGCCCACTGCCATGAAGGGTGAGTCCCAGACCTGGAAGCATTCACCAAAAGAACCTTTGGGCCTTAAGTGAATATTGGTGGTACCCTGCAGTACTCCCCCAGGAACCTGTGGTGGTGGTAGACACAGGAGAGAGTCCTCTGCCTGGGGAAAGTGGAGGGAAGAGTGGGAAGGGTTTTGTTTTATGGTTTTGGTGCCAGCTTAGCTGCAATAGAATAGAGCACCAGGTAGATTTCTAAGGTCTCTGACTCCAGGACAGCATCTCTGGACTTGCCAGGACCCTGGGGAACTTACCACCCTAAAGGGAAATGCACAAGACTGGCTGGCTTGGCCACCTCCTGACAGTAGAGCCCTAGGGCCTTGAGCGAACATAACCAGGTAGTGGCTACGGTAGGTCTTGAGCAAGACCCAGTCTTGTGCCAGCTTCAGGTCTGACCCAGCACAGTCCCAGTGGCGGTGGCCAAAGGAGTCCTTTTGTCACCCCTCCCCCAGCTCCAGGCAGCTCAGCATAGACAGGGAAACTTTGTTTGTTTAGGAGAAAGTAAGGGAAGAGAACAAGAGTATTTGCCTGATAATCCAGACAATTCTTTTGGATCTTATCAAAGACCACTAAGGCAGTACCTCTACCATTCTACAAGAACGTCAGCATTATTGGCCCTAAGGTGCCCTCTAATGCAGATATGGCTGCAGTGACCAAAAACTTAGATCACAACATCCAAGTCTCTGAATACCTAGAAAGCCTTCATAAGAACAAGTGCAAACAAGTCTAGACTATGAAGACTGTAATAAATACCTAACTCTTCAATGCCCAAATACCATTGACACATTCACAAACATCAAGATCATCCAGGAAAATATGACTTCACCAAACAAACTACTTAGGCACCAGAGGCCAATCCAGGAGAGACAGAGATATGTGGCCTTTCACACAGAGAATTTAAAATAGCTGTTTTGAGGAAACTCAAAGAAATTCAAGATAAAACAGAGAAGAAATTCAGAATCCTATCAGATAAATTTTACAAAGAAATTGACATAATTAAAGAGAAGCAAGAAGAAATTCTGGGATTGAAAAATGCAATTGACATACTGACGAATGCATCTGAATCTCTCTTTTTTTTTTTTTTTTTTTTTTTGAGACAGAGTTTGGCTCTTGTCACCGAGGCTGGAGTGCAGAGGCATGATCTCAGCTCACTGCAACCTCCATCTCCCAGGTTCAAGCAATTCTCCTGCCTCAGCCTCCTGAGTAGCTGGGATTACAGACAACCACCACCAGGCCCAGCTAATTTTTGTATTTTTAGTAGAGACGGGGTTTCACCATGTTGGCCAGGCTGGTCTCAAACTCCTGGCCTCAGGTGATCCACCTGCCTCGGCCTCCCAAAGTGCTGGGATTATAGGTGTGAGCCACTGCGCCCAGCCCAGAGTGTCTTAATAACAGAATTGATCAAACAGAAGAAATAATTAGTGAGCTTGAAGACAGGCTGTTTGAAAATACACAGTCCGAGGAGACAAAAGAGAAAAGAATGAAGCACACCTACAGGATCTAGGAAATATCTTCAAAAGGGCAAAGCTAAGAGTTATTGGCCTTAAAAAGAAGGTGGTGGGGGGGTAGAAAGCTTATTCAAAGGGATAATAACAGAGGACTTCCCACATCTAGAGAAATATATCAATATTCAAGTACAAGAAGGCTGTAGAACACCAAGCAGATTTAACCCAAAGAAGAATGCCTCAAGGCATTTAATAATCAAACTCCCAAAGGTAAAGGATAAAGAAAAGATCTTAAAAGCAGCATGAGAAAAGAAACAAGTAACATACAATGGAGCTCCAATATGCCTGGCAGCAGACTTTTCAGTGGAAACTTTATAGGCCAGGAAAGAGTGGCATGACACATTTAAGGTGCTGAAGGAAAAAAATCTTTTATCCTAGAATAGTATATCTGGTGAAAACATCCTTCAAACATGAGGGCAAAATAAAGACTTTCCTAGACAAACAGAAGCTGAGAGATTTCATCAACATCAGACCTGTCCTATAATAAATGCTAAAGGGAGTTCTTCAATCAGAAAGAAAAGGATGCTGAGGAACAATAAGAAATCATCTGAAGGTACAAAACCCAGAGGTAATAGTGAATGCTCAGAAAAACACAGAATGTTATAAAACTGTAATTGTTGTATGTAAACTACTTAAACCTTGAGTAGAGTGTTGAAAAGATGAATCAATCAAAAATAATAACTACAAAAACTTTTAAAGACATGGACAGTACAATAAGATATAAATAGAAAAAACAAAAAGTTTAAAAGG
Source organism: Homo sapiens (assembly GCF_000001405.40). Classification (NCBI taxonomy): domain Eukaryota; kingdom Metazoa; phylum Chordata; class Mammalia; order Primates; family Hominidae; genus Homo; species Homo sapiens. The sequence continues at coordinate 48,686,059 of NC_000015.10, forward strand.
TAGGTGATAAAGTTAAAGTACAGAGTTTTTATTAGATTTCCTTCTGCTTGTTTGTTTATGGAATCAGTTTTAAGTTGTCATCAGTATAAAATATTGGTTTATAAGATATTATCTGCAAGCCTCATGGTAACCTCAAATCTAAAAACATACAATGCATTCACAAAAGATAAAAATCAAGAAATTAAAATATACTACTAGAGAAAATCACCTTCACTAAAAGGAAGACAAGAAGGAAGGAAGAGATGACCACACAACAACCAGAAAACTAATAATAAAATGACAAAAGTCCCTGTTTATCAATAACAACATTTAATATAAATGGACTAAACCTCCAATGAAAAGATATAGAGTGGCTGAATGGATGAAAAAACAAGGCCCAATGATCTGTTGCTTACAAGAATCACACTTCACCTATAAAGACACACACAGACTGAAAATAAAGGGAGGGAAAACATACTCTATGCCAATGGAAATAAAAAAAAAGCAGGAGTAGCTATACTTATATAAGACAAAATAGACTTCAAGACAAAAACTATAAAAAGAGACATAGAAGGTCACTATGATAAAGGAATCATTCAGCAAGAGATTATAACTACTGTAAATATACATGCACCCAACACTGGAGCACCTAGATATATAAAGCAAATATTATCTGAGCTAAAGAGAAAGAAAGGCCCTAATACAATAACAACTAAAGACTTCAACACTCCAATTTCAGCATTGGATAGATCATCCAGACAGAAGTTCAACAAAGAAACATCAGACTTAATCTGAACTATAGACCAAATGGATCTAATAGATATTTGCAGAACATTTCACCCAAAAGCTGCAGAATACACATTCTTCTCCTGGGGACATGGATAATTTTCAAGATAGACCATATGTTCAGCCACAAAACAAGTCTTAAAACATTCAAAAAATTGAAATAATATCAAGTATCTTCTCTGACCACAATAGAATAAAACTAGAAATCAATAACAAGAGGAATTTTGGAAACTATACAAACATGGAAATTAAATAATATGCTCCTGAATGACCAGTGGATCAATGACAAGATTAAGAAGAAAATTGAAAAATATTTTGAAACAAATGATAATGGAAACACAACATACCAAAACCTATGGGATACAGCAAAAGCAGTACCAGAAGGGAAGTTTATTGCTGTAAGTGCCTACATCAAAAAAAGAGAAAAACTTCAAAAACAACAACAAACCAACAGAAAGAAACACCTAACTGCATCTTCAAGAACTAGAAAAGCAAGAGCAAATAAGCCCAAAGTTAGAAGAAGAAATTAAATAATAAAGATCAGAGCAAAAATAAATGAAATTAAATGAAGAAAACAAAAGATCAATGAAACAAAAAGTTTTTTAAAAAGATAAACAAAAGTGACAAAACTTTAGTCAGACTAGATAAGAAAAAAAGACAGAAGAACCTAATAAATTAAATCAAGCCAGGCATGGTGGCTCACACCTGTAATCCCAGCACTTTGGGAGGCTGAGGCGGGTGGATCACCTGAGGTCAGGAGTCTAAGACCAGCCTGGCCAACATGGTGAAACTCTGTCTCTACAAAAATAAAAAAATTAGCCAGGTGTGGTGGCACACACCTGTAGTTCCAGCTACTTGGGAGGCAGAGGCTTGAGAATTACTTGAACCTGGGAGGCAGAGGTTGCAGTGAGCCAAGACCCTACCACTGCATTCTAGCCTGGGCAACAGAGCCAGAACATGTCTTTAAAAAAAATAATTAAATCAGAGATGAAAAGGAGACATTATAACCAATACCACAGAAATTCAAGGGATCATTAGAGGCCACTGTGAGCAATTATATGCCAATAAATTGGAAAATCTAGGGAAAAAATGGATAAATTCCTAGACACATACAACCTACCAAGACTGAACCATGAAGAAATCCAAATCCTGAAGAGACCAATAAAAAGTAATGAGATCAAAGCTGTAATAAAAATCTCCCAGCAGGGGAACAACACATACTAAGGCCTACTGGGGGACGGGGCGGGAGGGAGAGCATTAGGAAAAATAGCTAATGCATACTGGGCTTAATATTTTGGATGATGTGTTGATAGGTGCAGCAAACCACCATGGCACACGTTTACCTATGTAACAAACCTGCACATCCTGCAAATGTACCCCAAAACTTAACATTAAAATTAAAATTACAGTTAAAAAAAATCTCCCAGTGAAGAAAACCCAGCAAATGATGGCTTCGCTGCTGAATTTTACCAAATATTTAAAGAACGAATAGCAATCCAACCCAAACTATTCTGAAAAACAGAGTGGAGGGAATACTTTCAAACTCATTCTACAAGGCCAGTTTTACCCTGATACCAAAACCAGACAAAAATACATCAAAAAGCGAGAGAGAGACAGAGAGAGAGAGAGAGAGACAGAGAGAACGAGAGAGAGAGAATAGTATCTCTGATGAATACTGATGCAAAAATTCTCAACAAAATACTAGTAAACTAAATTCAACAACATATTAAAAAGATCATTCACCATGACCTAGTGGGACTTATCCCAGGGATGCAAGGATGGTTCACCATATGCAAATCAATCAATCTGATACATCATATCAATAGAATGAAGGACAAAAAACATATGAGTATTTCATTAATGCTGAGAAAGCATTTTATAAAATTCAACATCCCTTCGTGATAAAAGCCCTTAAAAAACTGGATATAGAAGGAATATACCTCAACAGAATGAAAGCAATATTTGACAGACCCAGAGCTAGTATAGTGAATGGGGAAAAACTGAAAGCCTTTCCTCTAAGATCTGGAACATGACAACAATGCCCACTTTCACCACTGTTATTCAACGTAGCACTGGAAGTCCTACCTAGAGCAATCAGACAAGAGAAAGAAATACAGGGTATCCAAATCAGAAAGAGAGAAGTCAAATTATCCTTGTTTGCAGATGATATGATCATATTTGGAAAAACCTAGTCTACCAAAAAACTATTAGAACTGATAAACAAATTTATTAAACTTGTAGGGTACAAAATCAACACACAAAAATCAGTAGCATTTCTATATGTCAAGAGTGAACAATCTGAAAAAGAAATCAAGAAACGAACCCCATTTACAGTAACTACCAATAAAATTAAATAGCTAGGAATTAACCAAAGAAGTGAAAAATCTGTACAATGAAAACTATAAAACATTGATCAAAGAAATTAAAGAGGACACCAAAAAATGGAAAGATATTCCATGTTCATGGATTAGAAGAATCATCATTAAAATGTCCATACTACCCAAAGCAATCTAAAGATTCAATGCAATCTCTATCAAAATACCAATGACATTTCTCACAGAAATAGAAAAAAGTTATAAAATTTATATGAAACCACAAAAGACCTAGAATAGTCAAAGCTATCCTAAGCAAAAAGAACAAAACTGGAGGAATCATATTACCTGACTTCAAATTACACCACCAAGCTATAGTAACCAAAACAGCATGGGACTGGCTTAAAAACAGACACATAGACTGATGGAGCAGAATAGAGAACGCAGAAACAAATCGATACATCTGCAATGAATTCATTTTTGACAAAGGTGCCAAGAACATAAATTGTGGAAAGGGCAGTCTCTTCAATAAATGGTGCTGGAAAAACTAAATATCCATATGCAGAAGAATGAAACTGGACTCCTCTATCTCTGGCCAGATCCAAAAATCAAACCAAAATGGATTAAAGACTTAAATCTAATACCTCATATTATGAAACTACTATAAGAAAACATTAGAGAAACCAGGACATTGGACTGGGCAAAGATTTCTTTAGTAATACCCCACAAGCACAGGCAACCAGAGCAAAAAGGGACAAATGGGATCAGATCAAGTTAAAAAGCAAAGGGACAAATGGGATCAGATCAAGTTAAAAAGCTTTTGCACAGTGAAGGAAACAATTAACAAAGTGAAGAGAAAACCCACAGAATGGGAGAAAATATTTGCAAACTATTCATCTCACAAGGGATTTATAACCAGAATATATAAGTAGTGCAAACAAATCTATAGGAAAAAAAATCCAATAAAATAATTAAAAATGGGCAAAAGATCTGACTAGACATTTTTCAAAAGAAGACATACAAATGGCAAACATTTATATGAAAAAGTGCTCGACATCATTGATCATCAGAGAAATGAAAATCAAAATTATAATGAGATACCATCTTATCCCAATTAAAATGGCTTTTATCCAAAAGACAGACAATAATCAATTCTGGTGAGGATGTGGAGAAAGGGGAACCTCATAGACTGTTGGTGGGGATGTAAATTAATATAGGCACTATGGAGAACAGTTTGGAGGTTCCTGAAAGAATTGAAAATAGAGCTACCATATGATCCAGCAATCCCACTCGTAGGTATATACACAAAAGAAAGGGAATCAGTATATCAAAGTGATATCTACAGTCTCATGTTTATTGAAGCACTGTTCACAATAGCCAATATTTGGAAGCAACCTAAATGTCTGTTAACAGATGAATGGACAAAGAAAATGTGATACTTATTTGCAATGGAGTACTATTTGGCCATGAAAAAAAAGAGATCCCATCATTTGCAAAAACATGGATGAAACTGGAGGTCTTTATGTTAAGTGAAAGAAGCCAGGCACAGAAAGACAAACTTCTCATGCTCTCATTTATTTGTGAGTACTAAAAATTTTTTTAATTGAACTCATGGAGAGTAGAATGATGGTTACCAGAGGCTGGGAAGGGCCATTGAGGAGTGGTGGGAGGGAAATGGAGATGGTTAATGGGTATATAAAATAGTTTAAAAAGAATGAGTAAGATCTAGTATTTGATAGCACAACATGGTGATGTAATAATTTAATCATAAATTTAAAAATAACTAAAGAATATAACTGGATTGTTTGTAACACAAAGGATACATGCTTGAGGTGATGGAAACCCATATACCCAGATGTGATTATTACACATATATGCCTGTATCAAAATATCCCAAACACCCCATAAATATATATACCTACTATGTACCCACAAAAATTAGAAGTTAAAAAAGAAAAAGAACTCCAGGTTGCTGAGGATTTTTTCTTTCATCACTTTAAAAACTTCATGTTCTTGCATAATTTCTGATGAGAAGCCTGTTGTAATTTTTATTCTTGTTCCTCTGTAGATGAGGTGGGTTTTGTTTTTTTTTTTTTTTACTCTGGCTTCTTGACAGATTTTCTCTTTGTCGCAGTTTGACTATAATATGTGTAAGTGTAGCCTTTTGTTATTTATCCTGCTTGTTATTTTCTGTGCTTCGGAATCTGTGGTTTGGTGTCCCTCTGGTATTCCTGATTGCACATATACACATCTTGATACTGTTCCCACAGATTTTAGATGTTCTGCTCTGGTTGGGTGTTTTTTTTGTTTTGTTTTGTTTTTTATCCTGGTCCTTTAAAAGTATATTGACTTTTGCATTATTCTTCTCTTTTCTCTTTCCATTTCAGTTTGGGAAGTTTCCACTGCCATATCTTCAAGCTCATTGATTCTTTGGCTGTGTCCATCTGCATGTCCGTTTTCAATCTTGCTTTTAACACAGGAGATACATTAAATCAGCACACAAAGACAGTAGAATTTTTTACATCATATTTAAATCTAGAATTGTGCATAGTAAAGAGGGAATTTAGTTTGGGAAATCTAATATTAGAATAAGGAGACTCAAAAGAACCACTCATTCTGCCTTAGATTGAACAAGAAAGGTAAAATTATAACACTCTGAAAAGCAAAAATTAAATGTTCAAATAAAGCAGACTCCATGGTTGGAGGCACCATGTTTTACTGGATGTGACACACAGTTCACATTTCCTGGGGTGTAGAGAAAATAGTTGTATGTTAAAAAAACATGCACTTGACTCTATTCCACAGGGGATTAAGCAAAAGAGAAGTCAGAAACAAACTTGGCCATTAATGAAAAACAGTGGGGATAGTGAATCCTTACCACAACCCACTAACATTGATAAGAAATGTTAATTTTCTTTCAGTAGAAAATAAAACTGTCTTTGGTTCTGATTAAACTGGTTTTTAAATGTTTCCAGAAAAGACAATGAGGAAGATCTTTTAAAAGAGCCTGATTTGTAAGTGATCTGGAAGTCTTGCATTCACTGTTGGCAAGGATACCAGTTGTATACAGATTCAGGAATTCCACTGGTGGACGCTTATCAGCTAAATATCTATTGATAGAGAAAAACAAAATAATTTTGTATTAAAGAGAAAAACATCCTTTTATAACTAGAAAAGGAGCAAGAGGATTCTTAGAGTAGATATGTCTTTAAAATTTACCTGAAAATGAGTTTGAGACCAGCCTGGCCAACATGTCGAAACCCTGTCTCTACTAAAAATATGAAAATTAGCCAGGCATGGTGCCAGGCACCTGTAATCCCAGCTACTTAGGAGGCTGAGGCAGGAGAATCGCTTGAACCCAGGAGGCAGAGGTTGCAGTGAGCCGAGATTGCGCCACTGCACTCCAGCCTGTGTGACAAAGCAAGACTCCATCTCAAAAAAAAAAAATTACCTGAAATCTATATTTCTTTATTACTTTTTTAGGCTACAATGCAAAATGATAGATGGAAATGGATAATTTTATGGTTAGAAAAGTGAAAAAGTTTATGGCCATCAAAAATCTTTCAGGTAAAGCAGAAGCTGAGTGTGCTAAGAATGTAAATTTAAGCTATCTATAGGTCTCAAAGCCCTAATCCAACTAAAATGACTTGGAATGATATGTTCTCCTCAAGCTTAGAGAAAGAACCAAGTCATAAATAAGCCATAACTCTTAACAGCTATGGGTTACTACAAAAAGTAGAATTTAAAAACCAGTGGCCAGGTGGGGTGGCTTATACCTGTAATCAGTGCTTTGGGATGCCAAGGTGGGAGGATCACTTGAGGTTAGGAATTCAAAATCAGCCTGGACAACGCAGGGAAATCCCATCTCTAAAAAGTTTTTTTTAAAGTACCTGAACATGGTGCTGTATGCTTGTAATCACGGCTACTCAGAACGATGAGGTAGGAGGATTCCTTGAGGCCAGGAGTTTGAGGTTACAGTGAACTATGATCATGACACTGCACTCCAGCCTGGATGACAGAGTGAGTCCCCAACTCCAAAAAAAATTTTTTTAAGGTAGACAATTCATACTTGTATCTAAGGCTAAATTTCTTCTGTCTACTAGATAAATACCATTAACAAGCAAACATTTTTTATCTTTAAAAAGCAAATTAAAGTCTCTATCAGTATTTTTCTCCAGCCCATTTCTCTGGAAAACTCCTAGAAAGAGCGATCTCTACCTGCCATCTCCACTCCTCCTCTCATTCTCTCAATGCCACTATGCCCATAAATAGCTCTTATCAAAGTTGTCAACAATTTCAGTGTTTTCAAATCCAATGGTCAGTCCTCAATCATCCAACCCATTCTATTCAATCTCTCAGTCCTCATGAAACACTTTCTTCACTTAGTTTTCAGGATGCTACACTTTCTGGGTTTCCTCCTCCATCACTGTCTACTCCTTCTCAGAAATATTGGCTGGTTCATCCTCATCTTTCTGACTGTGGTATCAAGAGCTCAATCTTAGACTCTCATCCTTCCTCTATTTATATTTGCTTACCAGATGATCTCATTCAGCCTCATTTCTATGCTGACAACTCCCAGTTGAAATTTCTCCAGCCCTGTTCACTCACCAGAACTGCATATCTAAAGCTCCTTTTGGACAGCAATAGACATTTCAAATTTAACATGAGCAACACCAAATTCTTGATTTCACTACTACCTCCCCTGCCCCTGGAAAAAAAAGAATTGCTCATTCCATAGTTTTCCTCTTCTCAGTAAATGACAGCTTCATTCTCCAAGATTCTCAGGGCAAGCATCCTGGTCATTATTGATTTCTCTCTTTATCTAACATCACAGGAATACATAAGAAATTCCTATAAGCTTATCTTCAAACTATATGTAGATTACCACTTCTTTTCTCCAACTCTTCCATTACCATACTAATCCAATCCACGACAATCCAAGGGTACTGCCATAGCCTCCTCTCAGATCTAGCTCCCACCTCCCATCTTTGCTTCCCTGTATTGGATTCTTCTCCCAGCAGCTGGAATGATCCTTCTGAAAAGTAATTTAAAGTATATTATTTCTCATTATTAAATATAAGGTCTCACTCTGAATAAGACTAAAATCTTTAGCAGGGCCTACAAGACCCTATACGACCTTGCCCTTATCTCATCTCTACTATTTTCCCCTCCACTCACTTCACTGTCATTACACAGGCCTCCTTGCTGTTTCTCAAACAAACCAAGTGCACTTCTACCCCAGGGCCTTTACACTTGCTGGTCTTTCTGCCTGGAAAGTGCTGCTCCATATACCCACAGGACTCTTCTCTCTCACTTTTTTCAGGTCCCTGTTCAAATGTCACTGATATGGTTTGGCTCTGCATCTCCACCCAAATCTCATGTTGGATTGTAATTCCGAATGTTTGGGGAGGGACCTGGTTGGAGGTGATTGGATTGTAGGGGAAGATTTCCCCCATGCTGTTCTCGTGCTAGTGAGTGAGTTCTCACAAGATCTGATGGTTTAAAAGTGTGTGGCACTTCCCCCTTTGCTCTCTACCTCCTGCCACCGTGTGAAGAAGGTGCTTGCTTCCTCTTCACCTTCTGCCATAATTGTAAGTTTCCTGAGGCCTCTTCCTATTAAGCCTGCAGAACTGTAGTCAATTAAACTTCTTTTCTTCATAAATTACCCAGTCTCAGGTAGTTCTTTATAGCAGTGTGAAAACTCACAAATGCAGCCACCTTATCATAAAAGCCTTCCTCAACTACCCCACAAAATATGTATTACACATTCACACACATAAACAGCTGTCATTGTCTCCCAACATTGCTGTTTTATTATAGTTATGACTACTTTTCATGTTACCTATTTCAAATTTAAATTTAGTTGTCTATTTCCCCCAACTAGAATGAAAACTCTGTGAGAGCAGGGACTTTGTCAATATCCCCAATGTCTAGAACTCTGCCTGTGACATAGTTAAGTACAGAACACATTTTTTAAAGAAATGAACAAGCAGAGTAACTAGGAATGCTTATGCATTCCAACCATAAATGCAAACCCAAGACAGTAAAGGAAATGTTTCCAAGTGATTGCAATCTGAAAGGGAAGTTTTTCTTGGCCATCCATGCAATTTTTGCAATTTTAGTATATGACTGTGGAATCTTATGTCATGGGCCATCAACCTCAGGAAAAATTAAAATAAATTTCATGCCACAAAGAAGCAAAAAGCAATAATTAAGGGCTAGAAAAAGGATCAGACAATTAGTCACCACTTGCTCTGCCAGAGTGGTTGAGAGCATAGTTTGGGAATGAGACAGATCTGGGTTTGAGTCCTCACTGCTGTGCACCACCTCTACTACCTTGAGCAAATTAGTTACTTGCTCTCCCTGTATCTGAGCCTTCTGATCTACAAAAAGTGTCTAAAATCTTCCAGAGTTGTTGTAAGAATTCTGCTGGCTTTATTATTTTTTAATACATTATCATACTATTGCTCAATTAGCCATCAGTACCTTTCACTAAATAACACAGCAGTTATATACACACCTCCCCCAGCAGAATTCTCTAAGGGGTAAGAGCCTGTTTACTGGCTTTACTCATGAGATTCTTCACTCTCTGGTCAAATAGGTGTGTCAGCAAAGGAATCTACACATAATTATCATTAAGGAATTCATTAATTCAAGACTTACTGAGAATTGTATAAAGACTTGTTGAGAAAAACTGAACCCACACTCAAACGAAATCTCTATTCAATGAACTATACGTACGTGTTTGGAATGAGTTTTCTTCATGCTTCCTATTCTGCAGTGCTAAGAAGCAGGCAACAAGCCTTTGCAGTGAGGCTAGGGGAGTGATTTCCATGCTGACTGGTTAGAGTTTCTCCCTTGTGGGTTCCATGATGCTCTTGCTCTGTATTACCTGACTGATCTGTGCTGGGATATTTTTTTACTTTGCTTCAGTGCCCCTATTACTAATCTTATTTCTAGCTTATGCACTTGCTCAAAGTCTTCTCTGAACCTTAAGTCTACTTATTAATCCCAAGAGTGGCTAAGTAATACAAAAGTTCGTAACAATCCTTTTCCCCTTTATTCATTCAAGAGATACGTTAAAAAAAAAAGTATAAAAACTGTGACAGACCTGGTGCCAAGGTTACAGACAGCAAGATGAGCACAGTACCTGACCTCTGGGAGCTGGAGTCTAATGAAGAGCACAGACATTTAACACACCCAAACACACACGTGTGTGTGTGTGATAAGAACTATAATGAGTAAATTACAGTGTTTCCAAGAAAGGCATCACACTCAGACTTAAAATACCAGGAAATTGAGGCATTACATTCAAGGGAATGTTTTTCAAGCCTTTTGACCATTACCTACACTAAGAAATATGATTTATATTCTATACTTTTTTTCTATCTTGGTGGTAAATACCTACTATATTGATTTTATGACCCTTTGATTAGTGATATCTGCAGTTTGAGAAACACTCATCTAAAACTAAAGATAAATATCAGTTAGCCAGCTCTGGGGTAGAGTAGGAATTGAGGGTAGCAGACACATGTTCCAGGCAAAAAACCATTATGCCCAAGGTCCCTGAAGTGACTGCATGTTAACTCATTTCCTCTTATCCCAAGTGCTGTGATTACGATCAATTGGCAACCAGCTTCCATCTTCCTTCTAGGGTGTCTTCCTAAGCTGCAGAGACTGGTAAATAAAAACTACATTTCCCATACTCCCTTGCAGTTGGGTTCTACATTTAAAATAGCAAGTTATCTGCAGTTGCAAGATGAGGAAGCTGGAACTGAGTCAGATGCAAATTTACTGTGGATGCTAGGGGTTATAGCTGGAATCAAGGTCTTAAAGACATAGCTTCTACAAGATAGTGGCCAGGCACTGTGTTCTGCTGTCTAGTCACCAGCTTTGGCTACTGAGAGGTAGTTGTGTCCATGCTGGCAGCAGCTTCCCTGCTGATATGGTTTGGCTGTGTCCCCACCCAAATCTCATCTTGAATTGTAATCCCCATAATCCCCACGTGTCTAGGGAGACACCTGGTGGGAGGTGATTGGATCATGGGGGTGGTTCCCTCATGCTGTTCTCCTGATAATGAGTGAGCTCTGATGAGATCTGATGGTTTTATAAGGGGCTCGTCCCCCTTCACTCCTCACTCTTCTCTTTCCTGCCCTTGTGAAGAGGGTACTTGCTTCCCTTTCACCTTCCACCATGATTGTAAGTTGCCTGAGGCCTCCTCAGCCATGTGGAACTGACAGTCAATTAAACATCTCTCCTTCATAGATTACCTAGTCTTGTGTATTTCTTTATAGCAGTGTGAGAATGGACTAATACACCGGCCCTCTGATTATGGCAGGATATTCTTAAGCTTAATGGTGGCCTCTGATTCCTGTTCCCTTCCAATGATTTTATAAGCACCCAATTCCCTGCATTAGATCCCTTTCTTCTAAAGAAAATACTTATGCTGTGTCTTGGGTCAGTTTTCCTGGAAGCAGACTCTGAGATGAAGATTTATGTGCCAATGATTGAGTAAGGAAGTGCTTCCAGGAAAAACCACTCAGGAGATGAGGGAGGTGGGACTAGGAAAGGGAAAAAGTTAAGTGAGGGTGCAATTTTAGGCCTACCCAGCCAGATCCTTCAGAAGTGCTCTGGAGGGGAAATTACAGCTCAGAGGTTGTCCTAAATTGAGGTAAGACAGCTGGGCTTTCAAACCCTCACGCTGTCGTTACTGGGTATGAACCATACTGTGGGGTGCAGCGGATGCCCTGTGCTTGCAGACAAAGTGGCTCCAGGAACCCGAGGGCAGTCCTCTGGAGAGGTGTGGGTGGTTAAAAGTAAAGACCTACAGAAAATGGGGGAAGGACACACAGAAATATTAAAAGTGATCTGTGGGGATGGAGGAGGAACACGGAGGACGGGGTGTTCTGCTGTTGGGATATTTCTGTTATTTGCACCAAACCTTAAAAGATACAATCAGCAACAGAAGTTCACAAGTTATTGGTTACACATTTATGCTCACTGGCATGTAGGTTATAATTACACGCACTAATAATGCTATCCAAGTGGAACCTGCAATTGAAATGTTTCCAAAATTCTCATCATATATGTGATTATTATTAAGCAAAGGCCTAGATTCAGCACTTTGGGCTTTAAATTTTTTTTTACCACATGTATAGGATTTTGTTAAAATGTGTTGACATTTTTTTCTTAATCGTAGACATACAGCAAGAAAAAACAAAACAATACAAAATTGACATTGGCAGTTATTAAGGGATCTTGGCAACCTATCACATAATGGGAGGAGGTAGCTATATGAATCTCAAACGCCAACTTACCAAGCAGATACGCTACTAGGTCCTCCGTGGCTTCCCCTGTGAATGTGTAAAGAAGTATTTCTTCCAAAAAAGATATTGGAATAATTTTATTTTCTGTTTATTTCAGAATCTAGTGAGGACTTACTATTACATAATACACTTATTTCTCCCAGAACGTTTTTACTTATTTAAGTCATCATTTGACAAGCATGGTTTGCCAAAGCTGATTAACAAACCATTAGTAATTCCCTTCTCTTCTCCTAATCTTTATTTTTAAAACTGAGTAAAATTGGACAAAATATGTAATTTTTATATGTCAGGGATTTAAAATATATAATTATGTAATTGGTAGTGAAGATAACTGAAATTCTCTTTTATTTTCTGGTGAAACTTCACATCAAGTCTTTTGTTGGAAAAGATGTGAATTACAGCAAAAATATCAAGTAGGATTATATTAATATATATCAAGAATATAACTTGAATATAACCCAGTATTTTGGATTTAGGTACCAATGTCTTGGTTACTTTTGGTAACATAATTACAAAAAGTTAGCAGGCTACTTCTATCTAAGTACCCTAGATCATTAATGCTTGGCTGTTATTGTTAAGATCTATAGACCTAAAAATCTTAAATAAAATATTAGCAAATGAAATATGGAAGAATATTAAAGGAATGAAAGCCCATGGTCATAGAATGGTTTCTTTTTTTTTTTTTCCGAGACAGAGTCTCACTCTGTCACCCTGGCTGGAGTGCAATGGCACAATCTCGGCTCACTGCAACCTCTGCCTCCCGGGTTCAAGCAATTCTCCTGCCTCAGCCTCCCGAGTAGCTGGGGTTACAGGCACGTGCCACCACACCTGGCTAATTTTTGTATTTTTAGTAGAGACAGGGTTTCACCATGTTGGTCAGGCTGGTCTTGACCTCCTGACCTCATGATCCACCCACCTCAGCCTCCCAAAGTGCTGGGATTATAGGCGTGAGCCACCATGCCTGGCTGGAATGGTTTCTTTTAAACATTCAAAAATAGTTTAATATCAAAAAATCTATCAATATAATTCATCACATTGATCAAAGGAAAAAAGACATTTCAATCATCTTGATTACTAAAAATTCATTTGGTAAAATTTAGCATTTACTAATAAAATAGGAATCAAATAAATTTATGTAAAATGGTCTTGAAAATTGTTTCCGCTGGGCATGGTGGCTCATGCCTGTAATCCCAGCAATTTGGGAGGCCGAGGCAGGCAGATCACCTGAGGTCAGGAGTTCAAGACCAGCCTGACCAACATGGAGAAACACCCTCTCTACTAAAAATACAAAATTAGCCAGGCGTGGTACTGCATGCCTGTAATCCCAGCTACTCGGGAGGTTGAGGAAGGAGAATCGCTTGAACCTGGGACGCAGAGGTCAATGTGAGCCGAGATCACACCATTGCACTCCAGCCTAGGCAACAAGAGCGAAACTCCATGTCAAAAAAAAAAAAAATTGTTTCCAACCAATATCCAATAGCATGTTTCAATATATAGAGTGTTGGTTAGCTAAGGTTACAGTTATTGCGTTAAAAAAAAAAAAAAAGAAAAAAAAGAAGGGGTCGGGCACAGTGGCTCATGCTTGTAATCCCAGCAACTTGGGTAACCAAGGCAGGAGGATCACTTGAGCCCAGGAGTTTGAGACCAGCCTGGACAACATAGTGAGATCCTGTATCTACAAAAAATAAAAAGCTGAGCACGATGGTGCATCCCTGTAGTCCCAACTACTCGGGAGACTGAGGTGTCAGATCACTTGAGCCTGGGAGGTTAAGGCTGCAGTGAGCTATGATCACACCACTGCACTGTAGCGTGAGCAAGACAAAGACCCTGTCTCAAAAAAAAGAAGGGATAGATTAATGGTTTATTATTAAATTATTAAGTACATTTAGGAAATGGTAACAATAAATTAATCACATGTAAACAAATCTCTTTACTACAGATATTTCAGAACCTTTAACATATTAATATGTGTTTCCAAAATATATTTGACTACTGTTTTTTAAACAGTATTTTCAGGAACTTTCAGAATACTGCTGCAAAGACATTTCTCTTTCAATCAGATATAAAGCAAGAATGAATCCTGTTTACCATATGATTTAATATCACTCTAGATACAACATATATGCTAGCCAATACAATCACATATGCTAACAAAACATGGAATATATATTTTGGAAAGGAAAAAGCAAAAATCATTATTATTTACTTCTGATAACTGCCTTTCTGGAAGAACAAGAACAACAACTGAAACACTATTAAAATTAATAAGCAACCAGTATCGTACTAATTAATACACAAAAATCAATAGGTTTTTTTTGTTGTTTTGTTTTTGGAGACAGGGCCTTGCTCTGTCACCCAGGCTGGATTGCAGTGGGGTGATCTCAGCTTACCGCAATCTCCACCTCCCAGGTTCAAGTGATTCTTCTGCCTCAGCCTCCTGAGTAGCTGGGATTACAGGCACACGTCACCATGCCCAGCTAATTTTTGTGTTTTGGGTAGAGACAGGGTTTCACCATGTTGGCCAGGCTGGTCTCGAAATCCTGGGCTCGAGTGATCCACCCACCTCAGCCCCCCAAAGTGCTGGGATTACAGGCTGGAGCCACCATGCCCAGCCAATAGGTTTCTTATAATACCAATATTAGTCCACCAGAAATTGCAATGTAGAAAATAACACAAAATGTATAATACCTACAAATAAACTTAAGGAACATGCAGGAGCAATATAAAGAAAACAAAAGCAATACAACAAGAAAACTTGTCTAAAAACATAAATAATTAAAAGGACAAATGTAGTATGTCTCAAATTGAAAAATTCATCAATGCAAAAATGTCAGTTGTACCTAATTAATACTAAATTCCATAGAATTCAAATGCCATTTAAAAATTTTAACTAATGATTAAAATTTTTCTTCTGGACAAAGTATGCAATAATAGCCAGGAAGTATCTGGGCAAAAAAGCGTATCTATCAGATATGAAAGTTTATTTTAAAGTTATCTGAATTGTGGTAGCGTGTGATATTGGTACCTGTCAGAATACATAGTCCCCCACATTGTCCCTGCCTTCTAGGGAGGCAGCACAGGGTTGTCTTTCCTACAGCTTGGTCTCTGCTCAAGGCCGGTTTCTAATGAAAAACTCTTCTTTGTACACCTGAATTCTAAGAGATCAGACTTTATATTCATAATTTCTAAACTACAAAATAATATATTTAAAATACTATACCATTTCTTCAACTGTTCTCTTAAAAATCCAAATAACTCTCAAAATTTATTTTTGAGTCAAAACACCAGTGGTCAAACTTTCTTGGATTACAAGGTTGGAAAAGATTCATTTTCCAGTCTAAAATATTCCAACCTAAAAGATTACCATAGTAGGTAACAATTTCTAGTAGATGGATATAGTAATGTACCCTACTGATTTACTTTCCTTGCACCTTCAAAGGAAAGCAAGCTGGTACATTCCAAAGTAAGTTTGTATGTTCGACATGCCAGCTTCCATTTCTTCATAATCATCCCAGAGAAGCAGAGCCCACAACTGAAGTAAACACTGTTTAATGGTTAAAAAAATTAAAGATGTCTTCAAATATGAATCTGATGAAGAAATACCTTTCAGGTTCTGGCCGGGCGCGGTGGCTCAGGCCTGTAATCCCAGCACTTTGGGAGGCTGAGGCAGGCAGATTACGAGGTCAGGAGTTTGAGACTAGCCTGGCCAACATAGTGAAACCCTGTCTCTACTAAAAATACAAAAAACTAGCCAGGCATGGTGGTGGGCACCTGTAATCCCGCCTGCTCGGGAGGCTAAGGCAAGAGAATTACTTGAACCCAGGAGGCAGAGGTTGCAGTGAGCCAAGATCACACCATTGCACTCCAGCCCGGGCAACAGTGCAAGACTCTGCCTCAAAAAAGAAAAAAAGAAAAGAAAGAAAAGAAATACCTTTCAGTTTCCAAGAATGAAAACAGCTGTTTGTCTTCTGAATGAATGATCTTTTATCCAGAGAAACACACTTTTCATGTATAGGTAAGACACAAGCAAGCAGTAAGTCACCTTCATCCTCTGAGCCACAGTGAAAATGAAAAAAAGAGAAACCCTAGCCAAACAGATGCAAAGGGTTGCAGTTTTCAGCACTTTTAATAGAGTGGAGCACATATTGATGGATATGTAGGTAGAGTTGTTCTGATAGCCTGTGGGACCCCAAGAAAATGGACTCCCTCCAAGTTTGTCAGGGGTGTTAAAACATGTGAAGCACTTAAAATGTTTCTGACACATATCTAGAAATTACTATGCAAATGTTAGCACTAGCAGATGAGGAAGAAGTATCACGGACCAGGCTCATGTCTTGTGGCATCCTCTATTGGACCAACCAGATATAACCTTAACCCTTCTCAGAGGTAGCCAGTATTCTAAAGTATTTACAGATAAAATGCAATAATTTCAGGAATTTGCTTTAGAATGCTACAGAAATAAAGCTGTGTATTGGGGAGGGCAAATAGATAAAACAACTCATCAGTATACAGTTAAACACTATCATGCTTTAATATTTTGAACACAACCGAAGTCAAACTAGTAAATTACAATCAAGTTGCATCAGCCAGTTTTATAGTAAGAGACCAGAGACCTCATTTAGTGGACAGGGTGATCACTAATTTCTCTAGGGAACTCTCCAGCCCCAAAAGGAGATTTTCCTGGAGGGTCCCCACCAAAACACAGCCTAGGACCTATGATAGGTTTAGCCTTGTCAACTTATTCCAGTATTAACTTAGAATTTTTCATATAATGGGAGGTCTTTACTGATGTACAGCCAGCTTGTGATCCACAAAAACTCTGATCTTATTCCCCTCAAATCCATCTAGAGTTGTTTTCAATTCCAATGAATAAGCTACCCCTGCTCAGCCCACTCTAAGAGGCAAATTCAGTAACCACAACCTGTTTTCTATCAGCCAAAACACTGATAATGATATTTCAAATTTGGGGACTTATTCCTGTTTTCTCCACTTGGTATAATTTCCATTGTTGCTAACCAACAAGTCATGAACCCACCTACTGGGGTTTCGGGATCATTAGAGCCAAGTCACCACTATTATGAGAATTCCATGAGTTTCATTTTCTAAGTCAGTGGCTATTAAGTGGAAAATATGCTAGAACCCAAAGTCCCTAAGTTATTATCTTTATTTCCCTTTCACTCTAATTTTAACCAGAGGTCATTCTCATTAAAAAGCCTCTGGGTCCTTTGATATATGTAAGTTTTATATTCACTGAGAGATCCTTGGCCCTTTCCTGTGGCTGCGCTCATGCCAGTCATCCAGCTGCTATCAATTAACATTCCATCAATTTCTCTGTCAGTTTGGGTTAGGCTTGACTGAGTCACAGGTACAGTCTACTTGGCAACATTTAGATCTCACAATGTGTTCACCATAACAGAGTTAGAATATTGAATAAAGTTTCATTCAAAAACAAAAACATTTATTGAGCACTTATTATATGAAAAGCATTATAGTCAATAAATAGTACTTCATTCCAATGATACAGAACTCATTGTCCTAATTAGTGATAGTCAAACTAATTTTACAAAAAGAGATTACTAAAACATTACTCTGTATTAAACTGAAAACAATTTTGGGGGCTTTTCTTTGAAAAATGGCATGAATGATAGAAAAAGGAAAGAAAAGAAAATGAAATAAAGAGCAAGAAAGATAAAACAAACAAGAATAATAAGAGGACAAGAAAGAGGGAAAAAAGAAAATATCAAGGGCATGTGAAAAGAAAAATAGAATGACAAAAAAGAAAAATGAAATAATGAGAAAGAAAAACCAAAGAAAACAGAGAAGAGGAGAGAAGAAGAGAGGGAGTAAAAGAAAGAAATCAAGAGTGAAAGAAAGCAAGGCATTTCTGTTTTCTTCAATATGCTAAACTAAATGGCAAAAATTAATCCTGGTACAATATATTTTAAAATATTAAAACATATTCATATATATAAATATATATATATATATTCATTAAAGTCACAGTCATCAAACGAGTAGTTGATACGGCAAGAAAATTAGGAAAATCCTCAGAAGCCTCAAATCAAAAAACAAGAAAGCGTGAATTGAGAGTGTGAGAAAGCACTGAAGCCAAAGGTTGCACATCTGTCAATCCCTGGTGGCCTATGAAAAAAAGGGCACAGGAGAAAAAGCACAGGTCCCACACAAGATGAGTCAGGTCAAGATCCCCACGTAAAGTGAGACCCCTGAAAGGTAACACTCTTAGTGAACAAAATACAGAACAAAGAAACAAACGACTCATAGAAGCAGATTATGAGACTTGCCTCAGGTAGAAAGAAATTAAATGTCCTGAAATTCCCAACCCAAATCATAGTTTGGAGTTGAAATTCTATAAGGCGCGCATGCACACACACACACACACACACACACACACACATACACACACACAATGCATTTAAAGCATTCTCAGGTTGGAAAGGCCTCTAGACATGTCACAGAAGTGAGCACAGAGCACAGTTCTTTGCAGAGAAGTACAACTTGATTAAACCTGGGCTTCAGTGAATTTCTAAGGACAAAGTTCCAAGGTACTCGAGCTGTCATTCAAAAAATATCACCTGAGAACACACGGACACGTAGAGGGGAACAACACACACTGGGGCCTTTCAGAGGGTGAAGAGTGGGAAAAGGGAGAGGATCAGGAAAAATAACTAATGTGTACTAGGCTTAATACCTAGGTGATGAAATAATCTGTATAACAAACCCCTATGACACAAGTTTGCCTACGTGACAAACATGAACTTTTACCCCTGAACTTAAAATAAAAGTTAAAAAACAAACAAAGAAACAAAAAACATCACCATACTCATAAAAAGAAAACAACCCATCATGAGTTAGAGGTAGACAAAATAATAGACTACAGAATTATATTTACAAAGATGGGGTATATTAGAACAATTAAAAACTAATGTAACTGTTTAACATAATTAAAGAAAAAATGAGAGCTATCCAAAACATGGCAAGGTATAAGAGTTATCAAAAATAGAAATCATTTTTTGAAACTACATTAAATATTTAGAGACTAAAATTAGAAATTCAATGACAGCTTAAACAGCAGATTAGACACAGCTGAAAAGAAACTGTGTGTAGTGAATAACAGGGCTGAAGGAATTAACTAGAATGCAACTCAAGAGACACAGAAATAGAAAACATGAAATAGAAATCAAAAACCATAGAGCACAGTTTGAGAAGTTTGAA
The DNA here is from genome assembly GCF_000001405.40 of Homo sapiens. Classification (NCBI taxonomy): domain Eukaryota; kingdom Metazoa; phylum Chordata; class Mammalia; order Primates; family Hominidae; genus Homo; species Homo sapiens. The sequence goes on from NC_000015.10 coordinate 48,705,695, forward strand.
CTACATCTAATGAGAGTTGCAGGAGGTAATGGGGAGAAGCAATATTTTGAAGAGATTATAGCTGAAACTTTTCCAGAATCCGTTAGACTCATGAATCTTTAGATTCAGGAAACCCAGTGAATCTCAAGCAGCATAAATGCAAACAAATCTTAACCTAGATGCATTGTAGTGAGAATATACAACATCAAGTTAAAGAAATGATTTTAAAAGTACTCCCCCTCCAAAAAAGAAAGAAAGAGAGAGAAAGAAAGAAAGAGAGAAAGAGAGAATCAACAGAGAGTAAAAAGAACAGATTACTTTACTTTCAAAGGAATACTTAGACCAAAGGCTGATTTCTCAACAACAATAAAAGCAGGACAATGGAATAATGCCTCAAAACACTGAAAGAAAATAATCACCAATTTATAAATCTATACCCAGAATAGTTATCTTTTAAGAGTGAAGTAAAAAATAAACTTAAAAAAGTTTTTCAGACAAACAAACTGAAGGAAGTAACTTCCAACGTATATTTACTTTGAAAAACTTCTTATTTTTTGGATTTTTATTATTTTCATGTTTAAATTGACACATTGTAATTATACATAGTTATGGGACACAATTTGATATTTCAATATATGTGTATGTCATACAATGATCAAATCCAGGTAGTTATTAATAGCATATCCATCCTCATAAATTTATCATTTCTTTGTGGTAAGAATATTCAATAACATGTCTTCTGACTATTTGGTAATATACAATACCTTAGTACTAACCAGTCACCTTACTGTGCAATATAATATCAGATCTCATTTCCCCTATCTTATTGTAACTTTGTACCCACTGATCAACCTCTCACCATTCTCCCTTCCTTGTCCCCCTATCCCCAGTCTCTGGTAACCACTGTTTTCTCTACCTCTATGATATTAACTTTTTATTTTAGATTCAACATGAGTGATATTATGTGGTATTTGTCTTTCTGTGTCTGGCTTATTTCACTTAACATTACGTCCTCCAGGTTCACCCACGTTGTCATAAATGATAGAATTTCATTCTTTTTCAAGGCTGAGTATTATTCCATTGCTTATATATGCAACATTTTCTTTACTCATTCATTCTTTGTTGGACATTTAGGTTGATTCCATATGTTGGCTATTACAAATAGTGCTGAAATAAACATGGCAGTGTACATAGTTCCTTGACATACTGATTCAGTTTTCTTTGGGTATAAACCCAGTAGTGGACTTCCTGAATCATGCAGTTGCTCTATTTTTTTTTTAAAGAGGAAACTCCATACTGTTTTTCATAATGGCTGTACTAATTTATAATCCCACCATCAGTGAGTAAGTTTGTCCTTTTCTCCACATCATTGCCAACACTTGTTTTCTTTTGTCTTTTTTATAGCAGACATTCTAACTTTTTATAATAGGCACTCATAACCATTCTCATTAGGGTTTTGATTTGTATTTCCCTGATGATTAGTGATGTTGAACATTTTCCCACATACTTGTTAGCCATTTGTATATATTCTTTTGGGAAATGACTATTCAGGTCTTTGGTTCATTTTTTATCTGCATTTTTATTTTTATCTTGCTGTTAAGTTCATTATTTATTCTGGATATTGACTTCTTGTCAGATGTACAGGGTTTGCAAATATTTTCTCCCATCCTGTAGGTTGCCTCTTCACTGTTTATTCTTTTCTTTGCTGTGCAAAAGCTTTTTAGTTTAATGTAACCCCCTTTGCCTATGTTTTTCTTTTGTTGCTTTTAACTGTTATTTTGAGGTCTTATTTAAAAAATCTTTATCTAGTCCAATGTCATGAAGCATTTTCTCTATGTTTTCTTCTAGTAAATTCAGAGTTTCAAGTTTACATTTAAGTATTTAATGCATTTTGAGTTGATTTTTGCACATGATGAGAGGTAGGGGTCTATTCTCATTCTTCCACATGTGAATATCCAATTTTCCCAGCATCAGTTATTGGAAAGACTGTCTTTTCCCCGAAGGTGCTCTCTATTCTGTTTCCTTGGTCTATATGTCTGCTTTTATGCCAGTATCATGCTGTTTCAGTTTCTATAGCTTTATGTATTTTAAAGTCAGGTAGTGTGATGCCTGTAGCTTTGTTCTTTTTGCTTAGGATTGCTTCAGCTATTTTGTATCTTTTGTAGTTCCATTTGACTTTTAGAATTGTTTCTTTTATTTCTGTGAATAATTTCATTGGTACTTTGATAGTTTGTATTAAATCCGTAGATTGCTTTGGGTAGTGTGGCCATTTTAACAATATTTATTCTTCCAATCAATAAACACAGGATATCTTTGCATTTATTTGTGCCTTTTACAATTTCTTTCATCATTGTTTTATAGTTTCCAGTGTAGAGATATTTCACCTTTCTTAAGTTTATTCCTACCTAACTCATTTTTTCGTAACTGTTGTAAATAGGATCATTTTCTTGATTTCTTTTTCAGATAGTTCACTATTAGTGTATAGAAATACTACTGATTTTTGTATGTTGGTTTATATCCTGCAATTTTATTTAATTTGTTTATTAGTTCTAATAGTTTTTTGGTGGAGTCTTTAGAGCTTTCTATATATAAGATCATGTTGCCCACAAACAGAGACAAATTGAATTCTTTTCCAATTTGCATGTCTTTTATTTCTTTCTGTTGTATAAATTGCTCTGGCTAGGACTTTAAGTACTATATCAAATAGAAGTGGTAAAAGTGGGTATCCTTGTCTTTTTCCTGATTTTAGAGGAAAAACTTTCAGCTTTGCTCCATTCAGTAAGATGTTAGTTGTGGGTTTGTCATATATGGTCTTTACTGTGTTGAGGTACATTCTAACTATACCTAATTTGTTGAAAGTTTTTATCATGAGAGGATGTTGGATTTTGTCAAATGCTTTTTCTGCAGCTGTTGAAATGATCAGATGGCTTTGTCCTTCTTTCTGTTAATTTGGTGCATCATATTTATTGATTTGCATGTGTTGAACTATCTTTGTATTTCTGGGATGAATCCCACTTGATCATAGTGAATGATCCTTTTAATGTGCTGTTGAATTCAGTTTACTAGTATCTTGGGGATTTTTGCATTTGTGTTCATCAGGGCTACAGCTTGTAGTTTCCTCTTTTTCTGTTATGTTCTTGTCTGGTTTTGGAATCAGAATAATGCTGGCCTTGTAAAATGAGTTTGGAAGTATTCCCTCCTCTTCAATTTTGTGGAATAGTTTGAGGAGGATTGGTATTCTTTCTTCTTTAAATGTTTGTTAGAACTCAGCAGTGAAGCCATCAGATCCTGGGTTTTTCTTTGATGGTAGACTTTTTGTGACTGATTTGATTTCCCTACTCATTATCGGTCTGTTTAGATTTTCTATTTCTTCTTTATTTAATCTTGACAGTTGTATGTGTCCAGAAATTTATCTGTTTCTCCTATGTTGTCAGATTTGTTGGCATATAGTTGTTCATAATAGTCACTTATGATCTGTGATTTTTATAAAGGCATGGCAAAATGGGGGGGAAGTCTCTTATGATCTTTTGTATTCCTTAAAAAATTTTTTTGAGAGAAAGGGTCTCACTGTGTCACCCAGGCTAGAGTACAGTGGCATGGTCATAGCTCACTGCAGCCTGGAACTCCTGGGCTTAAGGGATCCTCCTATCTCAACTTCCTGAGTAGCTAAGACTATGGGCATCTGCCACCATGCCTGGCTAATTTTTTAATTTTTTGTAGAGATGGAAGCGGGGTGTCTCATCATGTTGCCCAGGCTGGTCTGAATCTCCTGTGTTCAAGTGATCCTCCTGTCTCTGCCTTCCAAAATGCTGAGATTACAAGCATGAGCCACTGCACCCAGCTGATCTTTTGTATTTTTTTAAATTTTTATTTATTTAATTTTCTGCCAAGGCTCTGTCATCCAATTTTTTGTATTTCTATGATATCAGTTGTAATGTTTCCTTTTTCATCTCTGATTCTACCTATTTAACTCTTCTCTTTTTTGAGTCTAGCTAAAGGTTTATTGATTTTATCTTTTAAAAAAAATGACTATTTGTTTCATTGACCTTTTGAATTGTTTTTTTTTTCAGTCTCTATTTTGTTTATTTCTGCTCTGAGCTTTATTACTTCCTTTCTCCTACCAATTTTAGGTTGAGTTCATTCTTGCTTTACTAGTTTCTTCAGGTGCATCATTATGTTGTTTATTAAAATCTTTCTTCTTTTTTTGATGTAGGTATTTATTGCTATAAACTTCCTCTCAGAACTGCTTTTGCTGTGTCCCATAGGTTTTGGTGTGATATGTTTCCATTCTCATTTGCCTCAAAAAATTTTTAAATTTCCCTCCTAACTTCTTCATTGACCGATTGGTTATTTAGGAGCATATTGTTTAATTTCTATGTATTTGTAAAGTTTCTGAAGTTTTCCTTCTTGTGGATTTCTAATTTATACCATTTTGTCCATAAAACATACTCAATACGATGTCAAGCTTCTTAAATCTGTAAAGACTTGTTTTGTGGCCTAACATGTTCTATCCTGGAGAATCTTCCATGTGCAGTTCCGAAGAATGTGTATTCTGCAGCATGTGTTATAGATGACTGTTAGGTCCATTTGGTCTGTGGTGCAGTTTAAGTCTGATGTTTCTTTGTTGATTTTCTGTCTACATTATCTGTCCATTGCTGACAGTGGGAAAGGAACTTCTCAAGTACTTCAGAAAGAAAGAAAATAACCCCAGAAGGAAGGTATGAGCATAAGACAGAAAGGTTGAAAGTAGAAGGATGGAAAAATATATACCAGGAAAATACTAATGAAAAAGTCTGGCATAGCTGTATTAATTTTAAATGAAAGAGGGGAATATTCATGAAGATAACAAAGGTCACTACATAGTTTTCAAAAGTTTTAATAAATCAGGAGGAAATAAGAATTCTAAATGTACATGAACATAAGATAGGCTCAAAATAGATAAAGAAAAATTGAGATGACTACAAGGAGAAACTGAGTTTCACATACTTCTTAAAACAATTGACAGATTGAACAGGCAAGAAATTAAAATTTGAACAACACATTTATCAAGTTTTATCAAATGATCACATATAAAATATAGATTGCCAACAATGGATAATACACATGCTTTTCAAACACACTAGGAACATTTGAAAGGCAGTGGGAATATATTGAATGTATTCAAGGCTGTTAGAAAAACTAAGAGAGGTAAAGAGATAATTAACATCTCTTCCTGGGTTCTAATCCTTGCCCTAAATACTAACTGGTAGCAATTCTAAGCAAGGCCTGAAGAAAGTCTTTCACAGAATCTCAGGATGGAGGGACTTCACAGCCACCTATGCCAACCCTATCCCGAATCTACAAGTCTCCACAACATCCTCCTTAAGCCTTTATCTAGCTTCTGTTTAAATTTCTTCACAAAGGGGAATGTGATAGTCCCAGGGCAGCCCTCTCAGCCTCTCCCAACCTTTAACTGGCTAGCATGCCTGCAAATTCACAGCAGCAATTCAACTGTATATCTGAGCTAATTAGTCATTATCTTAGGGACTGTGGGCAATGTCACAGGATGGGTCTTGTGATCGTGGTGTAAGAAATTCTACCCAGAACCCAGATGTGAGGTCTAGGTGACCGTGCCTGCTAAAAGCTATTGTATAACGACACAGGGCAACTATGTGGAGTTTCAGGATGATGTGGTTAAGCTTTGCAAGCCCTACTCAGGGGATTTTGCAACCTGGAAGTGCCTTAGCTTGGACTGGTGGAATATATACACTTCTCCCATAATTGAGAGTTTAAAAAAATCATAATAAAAAACAGACATAATGAAAAAACAGCAAAATTCTAGCCTAGCTTTTTCTAGTCCAAATTCTCGTCCCCCGGGGCAACAATGTATTGTCCCCCAGGGCAACTTTCAATCCCTTTAGCTGTTTTCTAGTATTTACCTCCAAATGTCTTTTTTTTTTTTTTAACTTTCAAAGTTCAGGGATTACAGGTTCAGGTTTGTTGTTACACAGATAAACTTGTGTCATGAGGGTTTGTTGTACAGATTATTTCATCACCCAGGTATTAAGCCTGGTACCCATTAGTTATTTTTCCTGATCCTCTCCCTCCTCCCACCCTCCACCCTCCACCCTCCAAAAGGCCCCAGTGTGTGTTGTTCCCCTCTATGTGTCCCTGTGTTCTCATCATTTAGCTCCCACTTACAAGTGAGAACATGCTTAGCTCCAAATTTCTAAATAACATCTTTTTGTTGTTGTTGTTTTTGAGGCAAGTCTGGCTCTGCCGCCCAGGCTTGAGTGCAGTGGTGCCATCTTGGCTCATTGCAACCTCAACCTCCTGGGCTCAAGCCATCCTCCCACCTCAGCCTCCTGAGTAGCTGGGACTACAGGCAGGTACCACCATGCCTAGCTAATTTTTTTTTTTTTTGTAGAGATGGGGTTTTGCCATGCTGCCCAGGCTGGTCTCAGACTCATGAGCTCAAGCAGTCCTCCCGCCTCAGCCTCCCAAATTGTTGGGATTACAGGTGTGAGCCACCACACCCGGCCTCTCAATAACATCTTTATACTGATTTTTCTTAATATTTTTTAGTTTTAGATATTATCTATTTATTTTCAACTGTGGAAAATAAGGAGTTTGCTCGTACATACCCTGCTTCTGCCCACATACATACACTTTTCTTCCCTGATAATCTCAATATAGCTTTATTATTCTTTTTTAAGGAGTGTAACGTGTTTACATTATTATGATAAAATAAATATTGTTCAGGGATAAGCCTACAGCATACAATGATAATATTTATTTCCATGTACAACTCTTTCTCTGGAAAAAATACTGCCTTTGACATTTTTTCAACTTTTTTTTTAAGTTGAGAAAACTTCATCCATCATCATTTCATCATCCTCTCATCGTTTCATCCACAGTTTCCCAACAGAACTAAAACTATTCTCTCAAGTTTAAACTCACTGGGTATTCTATACATTTCATTTTTCTTCAAGAACTCTCTTTCATGAGTATCTCCATTCTTTTCCACGATTCTAGATGGGCTGCAATCCATAATCACTGTACTGCTGGAACTCCCCTTCACAACCACCCTGGCAATTTCCTTTTTGTCTTGGGAATTCCCTTCCTTTTTCCATTGTGTTGCATTCCATCCTTGTTTCCTGGATCCTGTGTCTTCCACTTTCTTTGTTGCCAACTTGTTTTCGGAAAGCACATCCCAAAATAGTTTTTTGTTTGTTTGTTTAAAAAAAGAGTAATTTTTGTTGTTATTGTTGTTGTTAAATAGAGACAGGGTCTTGCTCTGTCACACAGGCTGGAGTGCAGTGGCATGATCATGGCTCACTGCAGCATTGAACTCCTGGGCTCAAGTATCCTCCTGCCTCAGCCTCCCAAGTAGCTGGGACTGCAGGTGCATGCCATCACGCCCACCTAATTTTTGTATTTTTTTTGTAGAAATGGGGTTTCACCATGTTGCCCAGGTTGGTCGGGAACTCCTGGGCTCAAGTGATTTGCCCACGTTAGCCTCCCAAAGTGCTGGGATTACAGGTGTGAGCTATTGTACCTGGAAATAGTAAATTTTTAAAGGCATTGCATTATTATTAAATTGGCAGGCTGAGTACTGGATTATGAATTGAAGGTCTTTTTCCATCAGAAGTGTAAAAGCACTGTTCCACTGTTTTCTAATTTTATTTGTTGCAAGTGAGAAGTCTGATCCCCTTCTAATTTTTAATTCTTGTTCTATGACCTCTTTTTATGTAAACATTTATGTGAAAGGCTGAAAACAATTTATATGTCAAATAAGAGGTTTATTTATTTCTATCTTTTCATTCAGGTCAAATAATATAATGTCTGTATACAATTAAGCCATTAAAAAGGGGGAGGCTCCAGTGAGGTGAGATCACACCACTGTACTCCAGCCTGAGTGACAGAGTGAGACCCTGTCTCAAACAAAACAAAACAAAAAATTATATTTTATAAAAATATTTAATGTCATAATAAAATCACCAAGATGAAAGAGATTATATATTCATGTTTTAAAATACTGAAAACTAATTCACCAAAATATTAAAAGTGCTGCTGCTGGGTGATAAAATTTTGGGAGTTTCTTCTTTTTAGTAACTTCTGTATTAAAAACATTTCTAAAACCTGTTTATTTTTACAGTTGGGTTTGAAAAATGTGTCCTAATGCCATGTTAAAGTCTTCCTAGAGCCAGTAATAAATATCAATGTTACATTGGAAAAAAACAAAGGAGAAGATTACTATAAATCTTTATAAATGCAGTTTTAAGTTTTAACCTCATATTGCTGGCATTTTATTATAGACTTTTTTCTTTTTTTTTTTTTTAAGACAAGTTCTCATTCTGTCACCCAGGCTGGAGTGCAGTGGTGCAATCTCAGCGCACTGCAACCTCTGCCTCCCAGGCTCAAGCGATCCTCCCACTTCTGCCTCCCAAGTAGCTGGGATCACAGGCATGCACCATTGCACGTGACTAATTTTTGTATTTTTGGTAGCGACATGGTTTCTCCACTTTGCCCAGGTTGGTCTTGAACTCCTGGGCTCAAGCAATCCTCTGGCCTCAGCCTCCCAAAGTGCTGAGATTACAGGCATGAGCCACCATGCCCAGCCTTATTATAGACATTTTCTAACATATGGCAAAGTTAAAATAATTTGTCAGTGAACCATTGTATGCCTACCACCTAGAATATATGAATAATATTTTACTATACTTGCTTTATCCCCTGTCTACCCATCCCTCTATCCACATCAATCCCTCTTTTTTTTTTAGTATTTCCAAATAAATAGCAGACATCCATACTCTTCCCTCTAAATGTTTCAGCATGCATTTTAGAGTTCAATATTTTCTGTATTGTTAATATTTAGAGTTCAACATTGTCTGCAGTACTTTTCTTTTGAGGTAAAACTTACAAACCTGAAGTAAAAGGTAAAACCTGAGTAAAATGTACAAACCTGAAGTGTACATTTGTTGAGTTTTGACGATTGCAAACATCTGTGTAATCCAAACTGCTATCAAGATATATTACTATATCACTTCATGTAAATTGTAGAGCACTTGCAATCATATAGTCCACTTATCAGCCACCTCCATCCCTTATTTTATGCTATAATTGTCATATGCATTAAATTTATATACATTATAAACATGAGACAATGTTATAATTTTTGCTTAAAATTGTTATATATATATTTTAAAGAAACAGATAAAAAATATTTTCTAGTTACCAGTTCTGATGCTCACCTTTCCTTCCCTTCCCCTCTCCTCTTCTCTTCCTTTCCCTTTTTTTTTTTTTTTTTCCTGTAGCTTTTTAAAGATGTTGGTTAATTGTTTTCTGGTCTCTTCATTTCTCATGAGACTTCAGTGGTCATCAAATAATTGTTCCCTTATATATAGTTTGTTGTTTTTTTTTTTTTGCCTGCTTTCAGAAATTTCTCATTGTCTTTGGTTTTCAGCACTTTGGTTATGCTATGACTTGGAGTTTGCTGAGCTTTTTTAAACTGTAAATTTATAATTCATATAAAAATTGGGGTCTGGGCACGGTGGCTCACGCCTGTAATCCCAGCACTTTGGGAGGCCAAGGCGGGTGGATCACGAGGTCAGGAGATCAAGACCATCCTGGCTAACATGGTGAAACCCCGTCTCTATTAAAAATACAAAAAATTAGCCAGGTGTGGTGGCAGGCACCTGTAGTCCCAGCTACTCTGGAAGCTAAGGCAGGAGAATGGTGTGAACCTGGGAGGCAGAAGTTGCAGTGGGCCGAGATCATGCCACTGCACTCCAGCCTGGGCGACAGAGCGAGAGTCTGTCTCAAAAAAACAAAAAGCAAAAAACAAAAAAACAAAAACAAAAAAAAAAGGGAGAAATTTTGTCCATTAATGCTTAAAATGTTTCTTTTGTTTAATTTTCTTTTTCTCCTCTCCTCTGGGCCTCTTATTATACATATGTTAAACCTTTTGGCTTTGTACCACAAATCCTTGATGCTTGCTTGCTTTCTTTGTTAAGTTTCTTTGACCACTCTATTGCCTATTAGATAATTCTATTGATTCTACTTTCAAGTTCAGTGGCTCTTTCCTCTGTCATCTCCTTCTGCCATTAAGCCCATGGTGAATGTTCTATTTCAGATAATTTAATTTTTAGTTCAAGAATCCCTATTTGGTTCTTTTAATGGTTTATTTCTTTGCTGAAATTTCCTATCTTTTCATTCATTGTAAGCATATTTCCTTTTACATCACTGTGCATGTGTACAACAGCTACTTCAAAATTCTTGCCTGTTACTTTCAACATTTGGATCATCTCAGGTTTGGTCTGTGTTGACTATTATTTTTCTTGAGAATAGATCACATTTTTTGTTGTTTCTATTATGTTGAGTAATTTTGGATTATATCCTAGACACTGTGAAAATTATGTGAGAAGACTCTGGATTTGGTTATATTCCTCCAAAGAGTATTACTTTTTATTTTGTTTTGTTTTAGCAGGCAAGTGACTTAGTTAGACCAAAACTGTAAACTCTTCTCTCTTGGGCAATAACCCAAATCTCAGTCCAGTTATTTTATTCTTAAGGAAGCTACTTGGAATCTGGTCCATCCATGAAGAAGTCACAGATCAACAAAGATTTGAGCAATTTTTAGTTTCCCTTTCCTGGTTTTATGATTGCTAGGATTCCCCCTTCACTTTCCAGTAGCTACAATTGCCTTGAACTCTGTGCTCTGATTCCTTAGACCAGAAAGACTCCCAATTTTCTATGGGCATTTCAGCTACCACATGTTGCCAACTGTGGTCTGCCTTCAGGCGAAGAGCTGTTAAAACACAGGAAATCTACCCTTTACCATTCCCTTCTCCCAAATGCCAACCTCCCTCCAGAATAAATTTCATTTTGTTCAGGCTTCATTGCCTCCAGGTAGATTTTTGTTTGTTTTTTATTTTGCCCAGAGGTTATAATTGTTTTCTGTGGGAGGACCAGTCTAGCAGAAGCTTAATCAGGCATTCCTAAAGTGAACCATCAACTTTAGGAATGCTGATGAAAATTTTTCATACAAAAGAGTAAAACTTTTATTTAGGAGAGTGGAGGTAAGTAGAAATTCTTTGGAGAATGGTTGTGAAAATTTAAGGAGAATGAAACAGAACTAAAAATTACACAGCAAGAATTCAGACTATATAGACTAAGGAGGTCTCCAAGCCAAAGGACACCTCTAAGCAGGTGCTGCACCAATTGGCAGTAGCAAGAAGGAAAGCAACCCAGAGTTTATATTGTCAATACTTTCATCTCTACATGTCCCTGTTAACACTTACCCTTCCCTTCCTGATGTAAACCCCTCCCCTCCTAGAGTATCAACAACACATAATACACTTACTGAGTTTGATTTCCAAGTTCCTCCAGGCATAAGTCTCTCCTCCATTGATGAGCATCTGAGTGGGTAAGTGTAGGCTTTCTACTGCCATGGGTATCAGGTTTATCCTTGTGTCCTCTTGGGTGAGTTATCTTTCTGAGACTTAGCTTCTTCACCTGCAAAATGGGGAAAGTGAACTAACAGGTCTTTAACCATTTTTTTTTTTTTTTTTTGAGATGGAATCTTGCTCTGTCGCCCAGGCTGGAGTGCAGTGGTACGATGTTGACTCACTGCAACCTCCGCCTCCTGGGTTCAAGCTATTCTCCTGCCTCAGCCTCCTGAGTAGCTGGGACTACAGGTGCACGCCACCATGCCCAGCTAATTTTTGTATTTTTAATAGAGATGGGGTTTCACCATATTGGCCAGGCTGGTCTCGAACTCCTGACCTTGTGATCCGCCCGCCTTGGCCTCCCAAAGTGCTGGGATTACAGGGGTGAGCCACCGCACCCGGCCAACCTTTTTTTTAATCTCCGAAATTATATAAACTTGTATAGAAATTCTACAAAACATCAACATGCTTTAAACATATTGCAAAATCATTTTTTTCCTCTAACATCTGCTATCCCATACCACACTCAGGGTATCATGTGCTATATAAAAATCCACTAGAGGGGAGTAAAACATTAAGTGAGAACATACAACAACTCAAGTTGGGTATCCTGTATAAATTATACTTGCAACTGTTACCTTATGTCTATTGTTTCTGATCAATCTCACTTAATTGCTTTAAAACCCAAAGATGTGAGGGAATCACTGATTCCATGTCAAAGTCTTCTGCTCTGTGGAATAAAGCCCCACGCCTAAGGCTAGGGAGTCTTTGTACTCTTTAAAGCCACTCACTAATGGAACAAGAGCAGTTCCTTAAAACAATACACATGCCCATTCCATTTCTAGTTTTCTTTTTATTTATAACTAAGTTATGGTGACCAAAAAGATTCCCTAAACCTTAATTCAGAAGAGAAGTTTCCTTCTGAGCACTAATTCTCACTGAAAGGCAAAAGCAACTGCAGTGTTCCTGATCCTTGAGTAGTTCAATATTTAAAGAGACTGCAGAACATTGTCTTTGTTCCAAGTTCTTTGCACCCCAAAAGCTGATTTCCAAGTTCTTTGTTCCAAGTTCTTTGCACTCCAAAAGCTGATTTCCAAAAGCTGAAGGAAGGAGTCCTTAGGTGGGGGTCCCCTCACATTAAGATTATTAAAGACCCTGGCCCATTGGTTTACTACTTCCACTTTAAAGAAATATAATTTTAACATAGTAAATTCATCACCTCTTCAAAGTTTTCCAAGAAGATCTGGGCCCTGGTTCTTGTTCTCGGGGAGAGACATTTTCAGGGAAAGAGAAGAGGGGACACGGGCAGGAGAAGGAAGGTGGCCCCTACTGAGGCTCCACTGGAGAATCAGCTTAGAAGGCTAGGCATCAGGACGATCCAGGCACACACATTCTTTAATTTGTATTTCTAGAGGGTGTCTACATTTCTTACTTTCCTAGTAGTTACAGAATGATAAAGAATGGATATCACTAACTTTAGAGTCAGCTGACAAGAGTTTAAATCCTAGATAAATTAGTTGATTTCAACTGTAAGTCCATAAGGAAATGGTGATGAAAACAAAAGAACAAAACTTGTTCCTTCACTATGTATAGCTTGAGAAGTGCTGGTGGACAGAGGCTGCCTTGAAGCAAGAAGTCCCTTTAGTTTAGGGACTTGGGCAGCCCAAAGTAATCTGCAGGGTTAAAGCCAGGGAATTAAACAGCTGGACTTCACTTTCTTCTTCCTTCCTATCTCCTGCCAGCGCTACTCGGTGACCAAACCCAACTGGGAGCTGGAAAGAGGATGAGTAAGCACTGTTGATGCAGCTCAAACCTGTCAGAGCCCCAAAGTCTAGAGCAGGGTGGAGAAGATGAAGGGAGGGTCTGGAGGAGCAAACAGTTGACAAGCAGATGCAAAATTATTCCTGTAACATCTCCACTTAGACTTACAGTTCCAATTCTAACATGTGAGAAAAGGCTTATTATTATTATTATTATTAGCAGAAGTATCTTCCCCTTCAGCAAGTGCTCCTTGAAGTGCTACTTTGAAGGTCTGGGGAGCTCTGGGGAAGGATGGAGGGCATATTGGAATGTTCTATTTCTACTATGCCATTCTTTAAGGGCAATCAATAAAGGAACACCACAGAAGCAGCAGTGTAGTGGCCCATAGCTGCAGGTTCCTCTAGGATGAGTCTGGCCTGGCAAGGACTGGGGCATTTGCCCAGCAGCTGCCTATTACGGTAACTGTTTCTGATTATTTTGTAGTGGCTCAACTTGTTTGGGTTAAACCATATTCCCCAGAATTCCCTTGCTAATAGGTTCTGCCCAGGTTGGGCTACAGGAGATATTCTCTTGCAAGAGTTGGGGGATGGAAGGGAAATAGCAGCCATTTTGTTGCATTCACATGCTTCTGCCAGTTATGCAATCGAACACGAATGTAGGTGCTGCGATGAAGGAACTTGTGGGTATAAATAAGTTCCTAATCAGGTGATCCTTAATTAGGGAAATTATCCTGTGTGGGCCTGACTTAACTGGTTGGAAGGCCCTACACGAAACAGAGACCCTGCCTGTGAACAGTAGCTTTGACCTGTGCACGTGGGGTCCCAGCTTGCTTGTGCTCTTCCCTTCTTGACTGCCTATTCTGTAGACTTTGGACTCACTTACCCAGCCCCCACAATTGTATACGTAACTTCCTTAGTATCTATCTATCCATATTAGTCATCTTTATCTCCTATTGGTTCTGCTTCTCTGTTTGAACCCTGACTGATAACACTACTTCTTACACGTGGGCAGGCAGGGAAGGCAGTGGAACAGTTCTCATTCCAGTCCCTGTGCCCCCTACACACCCCCACTAGCTCAGTGTCATCCTTTCCAGACTCAGTTTTTCTGTGACCCGTGTCCTTCTCTGACCCCCAATGACACAGGCAGCTCCTCCACTCCCATTAAAGAGGACCTGGAAGGCAAGGAAGGGCCACAGTCAGGGAATCCAGAAGAATGACCTGGTAGAAGGGATGGAGGTGAAAAAGGTAGATGCAAAGAACTGAAGGATCGATTGACAGAAGGAAGGAGGAGAAGAGGAACAAGATTGGTGGGGAAGCAGGACGGGTGGTTTAGGAAAGGTACAGAGAGAAGATCTGGAGGAAGGGAAGGAGTGAGGTCGTAGGAAGGAGAGGGAGACTAGCAGGGTACACCTGTGTTTAGCTTTGTCCTCCTTTGTCATCATCCCCTCCTTGGGAAAGGGAAGGCTGTTTCCACTAGTAGGATGCCTCACACTTCAGTTATAAATAATCTGTGGAGTACCACCCCATATGTGTAAGTGGCTAATCTTTTTTTGTTCCAGTTTTCACTATTTTCAGGTCTTCAATTTTTAGTACTAAAAAGCATAACAATGTTATTCATATGCTTGCTTTAAAATTTTTGATATAAGCGAGGTACAGAACAGTAGGTATACTATGCTACCACTCATATAAAATATGGGATATTTATTCATTTATACTCATGTAAATAGGTTTTGAGTAACAAACTCTGCTTCAAGGGTGGAGAATTAGGCAACTGGGACCAGAGCTGGGAAAGGGGCTTTTTATATATTAATGTTTTAAATGTGGACTTGCTTATGAATTGTCACCATAGATATTGATTATTCTCTGTGCTGCACCTATATGTAAGTAAAACACATAGAGGAGTCAGCCACTGCTATCCTTTCCTACATCTCTCCAAAGCTCAGTCTGTGACAACAGTGAGGCAACACTCCCTGGGAAGGTATTGCCACATATGATTCTGTTCCTCCTCAGCAAACAAATGATTTGTGCCAGTTAACTTAATGCGCCGCAATGATCCTGCTCACCATTGCCATGACCACCCATCCCATGTGCTTTGTGGGAAAATGAGAAACCCCAATAACATATAGAGCCGAGGTTTCTGTACTAGCTTTAGTGAGAGCTCCAGAACAAAGGGAACACATTTTGTACCCATTTAAATCAAAACCAGGCATCTCTGCTTAGGGTGTGCATCCTGATTAAGCAAGCAAAGTTGCACCCACCCCAGAGGAGCCAGCATATACAAGATACATCACGGAAGGACTCTTTCCCTGGTTTTTCTCCAACAGAAACTCGCCTTATGGATTTGGGCTTAAACAATTATCTATGGTCTCTAGAATCGTGGCAGCAAAGGGAAATCAGAGCAGATCAACTTAGTTTAATTTTGAAAAACCCACGGAGAAGGTTTGTGTGATTACAAAGCAATAGATTGAAATGACAGTGAGTTTTGCCAGCTGGAACCATTGAGGAAAGGGTTCTTGGTGGTAAAGCAACTACGTGTCTTGAGAAAACAACTAGTATGTGTTGCAGGCTCAATGGAATTTGCTTAATAAGTTGCACATTTGTCATTGTAGGTCAGTTCTTTGGGTGCCAGAAGACATAACTTCTCTATTATATAATCAGATATTTGTCTTTGCTGGAAAATGAGTACTGAAGAACGTCAATCCTCTGTTGTTTCCAAAAGCCTCTCTCTGGCCAGCTGGGTGTTCTGAACACTGAGCATCCATCACAGGGCACATTATGAAAGCTGAGCCTGGCACTGGGCTTTGGCCCCTCTGCCACTTACCTTTGCACCCTCTCTGCAAGACAACTGACCCAACTCCTCTAAACAGGCTGAGGGCTCAGGAAGTGGGAGGAGAGCAGATGTTTGGCCTTGATCTTAGGCAGAGATGGGAGGCTACAGGATTCCAAATTTTTCAACTAGCAGGTTTCTATCTGGCCACAAATTTTGTCAGCTACAGCAACATGTTAATTACTCTGAAGGACTAAAGCCAAAACATGTTTATTTTTTGAGGTCTTTTTTTAATCTTCTAGTGTCCATACCAATACTCATACCTGTATATATTTTGCTCTAAAATATTTGAAGACTTCTTCCAAGAAGAACAAAACTTTTCATTTCTCCTAAGGAGACCTCTTTCTTTATTCTTTGGTATTTTGACTTTGAGCAAGTACAGATTTTCTTCCTTCTGGTGTTCAAGTGTTTTTTCTTCAGAGCAGGCAAATACATGTAAATAATCTGATTTGTTCCAGGGAAGAGAACTTTGAAAGTAAACTTCCTACAGTATATTCAGGAAGTGACTTGAGGAAGATAATTTGCTTTCAATAGGTGAGATCTTTTTTCTCTCTCCAGATGGGAATATTGCTTAGTTTTTGGAGGAATGGGCCAAATATATTTTTATCTGAAGGGAAGAAAAGAATGTGCCTTTCTTAAAACTTGGTTTTAGGTTTTTCTCAACCTCCCAGCATTCTGGGAACACAAATTTGTGTTGTCCTATATTGACCTAGATTGATATATCCATGTGCAATTTTTATTGAGTACTAAACAACATAGAAGAAATGACAGTGTTTAGTGGGGGAGATTTCACACCAGATTTAGGGGCTTGAAGAAACTAAAAGCACCACCTTATCATTGTCACTCAGAGCTAACATTGATTATTGAGTCCATACTATTTTCCAGTTAGTGTAAGTTCCTTTGCAAAAATTCTCATTTGAACTGATAATCGAAATGAGAGACTGAGGCAAAAGTCTCAGTCGATGGAGGTTTATTACACCAGTTTTAGGGCGCATCTGGGAAAACATGAGCCACAGGC
Source organism: Homo sapiens (assembly GCF_000001405.40). Lineage (NCBI taxonomy): Eukaryota > Metazoa > Chordata > Mammalia > Primates > Hominidae > Homo > Homo sapiens. The sequence goes on from NC_000015.10 coordinate 48,722,708, forward strand.
ACATCTGTGGCTGTTTTCCTGAAGAGGTTTTTAGGAGCTTTAGAATTTATATATTTCTTTAAAGGGAGATAGGCATGCAGGAAGGGGGGAAGGTAAGGCGAATGGTTATATTCTCTTGAGACTTTAGTTAGTGCCCAGTAAATCTACATTTTACAGAGATAAGATGAATGTTTGAAGAGAAAAAAAGGAGAAAAGAATGAATCAATTATGCAGTTGTCTCTGATAGGTGAAGGAGATGACTGATGTTGTCTTGTCCTTGCTCTGCATCTGGAAGATAAGCTTGTAAGCAACATAATCAGTGTGGAATCAAACGGCTTTAGTTTTAGGAGCTAGATTTAAGACGGTAGACCTAAAGTAACAATTGACATGTCCTTGTTTATAGGAGGCCAGCAAAGAGTTTACTTATGAATGATGTGTGAGGCCAGTCCTTCCCAGATGCCTGAGGCCTTTTATGTTTCTGTGAATAACATTAATAACAGCTATTCATTTGGAAGACAGTGTTGCAAGATGGTTGCTGCAAATCCAGGTGTTACAACCAGACACAGTAACATCTAAAAAATGGCTCTAACCACTGATCTAGAAGTTGCACATTTGTCATTTAAAGTCAGCTCTTTCCAGTGTGGAAGAAAATACTTTTTAGAAAGAAACATTTTCTACAAGCCCTGCAGCCTCTCCCTTATATGGCATTGTCCAGAACTGAGTCATATGCCCATCCCTAAACAAGTCACGGTAACAGGAATTGAGGCCACTGGGATTACTCAGGCCAAACAGGAGTCAGCAACAGAGTTGAAACTGAGTCATGAGGGGAAGTGACAGCTATGCCCCCCTTGGTCTGCCAACAAGGAAGAAGTAGGTAATAACGTTGGGTAGATAACCAATAGTGTCCACTATATGTTCCCATTTTCCAGATGTGGAATCTAGGCTCACCAGTAGGTGACAGAATAAAGATATGCAACATATTTGATGTCAAAGTTTGATCCTAGTCACTACCTCTTCTAACCTGAGAAGTCTGCTTTGTACTAACTAGATCTGAACTATTCAGTACAGGTCTGATCCAATTTTAACAGGATATTTTTCAGAACAGTGCAGCAACTCCGAAATGTTTTTAGTATAAAGTCCTCTTATTAATGATAGCAACGGCATCTACATATGTTTGAAAACGATGCCATATTGATGCTGGAGATATATTGTCGTTTTCATTTGTAGATAATGCATGGCCAGCAAATGAGTTCATATTCACCTTGCAGTAACTCTATGGCTTCCTTGGACTCCTGTTCAGCCACATGAGACTCTTTGCATAAGTTCCTTCCCTTCTTTCTCATCTATAGAATGAGGATAATAAGACCTAGTTTGAAAAATTGTTGGAAGGATTAAGACAAAAGTGTAGGTATAGGGCTTAATATGATAACTGATCCATTGTCATGTTTAATGAATAATCTTGAAGACCTTTCAGAGTAGATTGCGACACTGGACTACATTTTTAAAAACTTTTCCAGGAAAACTAATTGGTAGCCAATGAAATCATTGACAGCTACAGGGTCACTGTGATAATACATGTATTGAGTTCACCCTGTGCTCTTACACAGATAGGATATTTCAACTTTTATTGAATAGGGTGAAATAGGGTGTTTCAATTTTTATTAACCGTTCCTAGGGAAACAGTTTGTGTAAGAGCACAGGGTCAAGAAAATATAAGAAGCAGAATTTCATCCAGTACATTCTATATACAACATGATTGATAAAATTATGAAATGAAATGAGGAAATATTTCAGACAAGGGCTATGCCTGAACCAAAACCAAAAATAAGTTTTAAAAGTTTTGTTGATTCTACTTAATTTACTCATCAGACAACATTTTTAAGAGCACAAGATTTAACATGTTCTCAAAGTTTCCAAATTATTGCTGACCTTTGTGGAAGAAGCCAATTCATTTATCTTACTTTCGAAAATAACAAAGTTTCTATTTAATGATGTTTTACTATTTTGATTTCTAATTAATTTCCTGGTCTGGTCCTTAAGGGGAAAAGTTGTTACAATTATATCAAGAGATTTAAAAATCGCATATTTACTACTAGAAAATTTCTAAATATCTTTTTTCTTTTAAGATGAACCATTACTCGTTGAATTTTAAAATTACAAAAGGTGGTTCTATAATATTACAGGCTTTCCTGTTGTGTTGGTAAATTTCTAGCTGCAGCATAATCTTCATATAATGTCATATTCTATAAATCCCTGCTAAAGAGCAAGATCTATTGCTCGTCTACATCCTGCTGAGAAAGCAAGTTAAACTGATTTCACATGTGGAGGAGCCTGCTGAACTCATTTTCCTGCTTGGAAGCATGGAGGGGAAGTGGAAGGAGCGGAAAAAGAAAAGGACTTTCCCCTTTAAAATAAATTCCAGCTCACCTGTAAGCCAAACCAAATAAAGACAGTATAGGGATTAAAGCCATGGCCTCTAGCGTCACAAGAAAAAAAAAATACATCTATATTTAAATGTAATGTTGGTTCCTTAGTTGTGAAAAAGTTACCATAGTGATGTAAGACATTAACAACAGAGGAGTCTGGGTGAGAGGTATAGAGACTCTGTATATCTTTGCAACTTTTTGGTAAACCTAAACCTATTCTCAAATGAAAAGTTTACTGCCAGATCAAATTGAAAAGCTTACCAAGCATCTTCCACCAAGAACAATTGGCTATCCACGGACTCTTGTTTATGGTACTGGAAAACATGGCACAAGCTTGCTTGAAAACTCTTTATCGAACAATGACAGGTTTAGACACCCCAGTGCTGATGGTAATTAAAGACAGTGATGGACAGGTTTTTGGTGCGTTAGCAGCTGAGCCATTTAAAGTGAGTGATGGCTTTTATGGTACTGGAGAGACCTTTGTTTTTACATTCTGTCCAGAGTTTGAGGTCTTTAAGTGGACAGGAGATAACATGTTTTTTATCAAAGGAGACATGGATTCACTAGCTTTCGGTGGTGGAGGAGGAGAATTTGCCCTTTGGCTTGATGGAGATCTCTACCATGCAAGAAGCCATTCTTGTAAAACGTTTGGGAATCGTACACTTTCTAAGAAGGAAGATTTCTTTATCCAAGATATTGAAATCTGGGCTTTTGAATAAATACAATGCTCTCTGTCTTAGCAGGAGAATGGCCCAAACCTGACATGGACAAGCATTGTTTGGAAAGTTCAAGAAGCAATACAGTGTAACATGTCACTTGTGCTTTAAAATTGGTCTGTCTCACCATTTATTACAGGTATAATTTTGGAGTTTATTTTTCAAATAATGTTCTTGTCCCAGAGTTCTTTAGGTTAACACTATGGACTGCGTCCATGTACTAGTATAACAGCTTGGGTTTGTTAGAATTTGGGCAACATTTTGATTATAATGACAACTTCATTTTCACATGTTACTCAGTTCCCTAATAGGATGGTGCTCTTTTGTTGAACCTGTATTTTTTTTTTTTAACTATATTGATTCGTTTACTAGAACCATCTAATTGGGGCATTGAGGAAATGAAGACTAGATACTTCTGTATCTGTGAAGTTGGCACAGGTAACATTTGGACATGTTCATCTTATTCTTAGGAAGGAAAAAATCACTTGCCAAAATAATACATACTTCATAGACAAAAAAAAAAAAAAAAAAGACTTGGGTATAACTTTTGGCTTTGCCTGCTGCAAGCTTGTGTTAACCATGAACAAATTACTTATCTTCTCTAAGCCTTGATTTTAGCCAACCATAAAGTGCTTATACAGAGCCTCACTCAAAAAGCTGTTGTGAGGATTAAAGGAGTTAGTGAAGTGCTTGGCACAATGCTCATCATCAAGTTAGCATCTGTAAATTAGTTGTTCTCATGACTGTGCCCACCAAAGGACTGTGCACTTCAGTACTCAAGGGAGAGCATGGTCCCTTCAATCCACCCTGTCTTGATTCTCCAGTACTGTTGATAGCAGAGTCATCTTCACAAACACCCAGGCTCTAAATCCCTTCTCAGTAGGTCCTGGAAGCATGGGTGTGTCATATTCTCAATCTTGTCACCTCTTCATTTCCACCACATCTACCCTGGCTCTGGCCTTGTTCCTTGCCTGACTGTCCTTGGACATTGTCCTCCTGGTTCCTTGGCTGTTTGCTCTGTTCCTCCAAGTCCTCCTATTATATGGCTTCCCTAATCTCTCTAAATCATGCTACCAAAACTTCAACAACTCTCCCTTTTCTATGAACCAAATTTCGAATTCTTTGGCTTTGACATCCAAGACCATCCATGATCATGATCTAGCCTCAATTTACCTATCTCACTATTCTTCATGTACTCTTTTTTTTTTATTATTTATTTTTTTTTTTTTTTAGAGGGAGTTTCGCTTTTTTATCCAGGCTGGAGTGCAATGGCACAATCTCGGCTCACTGCAACCTCTGCCCCCCAGGTTCAAGCAATTCTCCTGCCTCAGCCTCCCGAGTAGCTGGGATTATAGGCGCCCACCACCACACCTGTCTAATTTTTGTATTTTTAGTAGAAACGGGGTTTCACCATGTTGACTAGGCTGGTCTTGAACTCCTGACCTCAGGTGATGGGCCCGCCTCAGTCTCCCAAAGTGCTGGGATTACAGGCGTGAGCCACCGCGCCCGGCCTTCACATACTTTTAAATCTGGTTTACCTGAATCTTTAGGTAATCATATGCCTAAACCTTAATAATAGCAAACACTGAGGCCCAGACAGGCTACAGAAACAGCTAAGACACAGAGCTAATGACAAAGCAGACTTTAGGTCCTTGATGGCATTCTAAGTTTACACTTTGGAAGGACCCAACATCTACCAACATATAACAATGATGGAAAAAGTATATAGAGAAAAAAGACTTTTAAAACACAAAATGTCCCTGAGGACTTGAAAAGTAAGGTACTACCTGTTCTGTATCTAAATGTAGTAAAGGTAGGCCTGGTACGGTGGCTCATGCCTGTAATCCTAGCACTTTGGGAGGCTGAGGTGGGTGGATCACTTGAGGTCAGGAGTTCGAGACCAGCCTGGCCAATATGGTGAAACCCCATCTCTACTAAAAATACAAAAATTAGCCAGGAGTGGTGGTGCGTGTCTGTAGTCCCAGCCACTCAGGAGGCTGAGGCAGGAGAATCGCTTGAACCTGGAGGTGGAGATTGCAGTGAGCCAAGACTGCGTCACTGCACTCCAGCCTGGGCGACACAGTGAGACTCGGCTTAAAAAAAAAAAAAACCAAAAGTAGTAAAGGTGGCCAGGAGTTTCTGCAGAATAATAAGGACTAAAAGCATCCAACTGAGGAAAGGAACAAAGGACAAGCTTGCTGTCTAAAGCAGTAGTCCAGGTAGGGGTTCCTTACCTCAGGGAGGCTGAAAAAGCTACACTCTCCACCTGAGGCCACAAGTTATATTAAAACTATGTATCTAGAGAGCCTAGAGGTTAAAGGCAGAGCTTTGCAGCCAGGAACTGGGCCAAGCTGCCTGCTGGCTCAGTGACTAGCTTTAGAATAGCCCCACTAGATCAGAAATCACCTATGTAAGACCCAGTCTTGGACTGGGTACTATATGGAGCCCATATGGAGGCAACCAAAAGAACTAGACAGTGGTGGGAGAGAACTCAGAAGGAGAAAAAAAATCTTCTTCACTGTTAGACTGCAAGTTAGACTGCAAGCCAAAATTCCACACGCGTGGGGGAAACTAATTCTGTGTAAGGCAAAAACAAACAAACAAAAAGCAACAATTTGGATATGAACTCACTCCCAAGTGACATGATAAATTACTCTAGAAGTAACTTTAAGAATTTCTTAGTCTTTAAAAATATAAATACATAGAATCTATTAGAAAACAAGATTACTAAACAGGTAGAAATTTTACAAAAAGTCTAGGTGTAAAAACACCAACTAGAAATCCCGGAAGTGAAATTTCAAAACTCAATAAATTAAACAAACAAAGACAGAATTAGCAAACTGGAAGATAGTACTTCCAGTGAAAAAAGACCTCCACAAAGTAGCACAGAAAAATAAAAGTATACAAAAGAACAATGAAGAGAAACGAGGATGGGGCTATGTCTAAGAGAAGTTCCAGAAGCAGGAAACAGAAGGAATGGTGGAGTTAGAGTGGCTTCCTTCTAATCTTTACCCAAATGTTACCATCTCAGCGTGACCAACCCTCACTATTCTATTTAAATTTGTAACCACTCCCTCTTTACTCCTCTTTTTACCCTTACCTGCCCTTATTTTCTCCATAGCACTTACCAACTTCTAACATACTACATAAGTTATGTGTATTTACTGTCTCCCCTGACTAGAGTGTGAACCATGAAGGTAGAAACTCATGTTTTGATAAGCATTGTATCACCCTAGAACATTAACAATCAGTTGTTGACACCTCATAAATATTTGTTTAATGAATAGCTATTGGCTGAGCATTTTTCATAATCGAAGAAAAGTGGTAAGTCCTCAGCTTGAAGGTGAACAGCAAAGATCTAAAAAAAAGTTATAACACATTATTGTCACAATTAGGGCAATTTGAATATAGAATGTATGTATGTTGGCTGGGCACAGTGGCTCACGCCTGTAATCTCAACACTTTCGAAGGCTAAGGTGGGAGGATTGCTTGAGCCCAGGAGTTTGAGACCAGCCCAGGCAACATAGCGAGACACTGTGTCTACAAAAATATTTAAAAATTAGCCAAGTGCAGTGCTGTGTACCTGTAGTCCCAGCTATTCAAGAGGCTGAGCGGGGAGGATCATTTGAACCCAACAGTTGAAGTCTCGGTTCAGTTGCAGTGATTTGAGCAACTGCTCTCCAGCCTGGGTGACAGAGCAAGATCCCATCTCCTAAATAAAAAAAATTTTTTAAGTGTATATGTATATAAATATTTATCAATATTCAATGTCCTAAATATGACAATTGTATTTAAGAAATAAAATGTTTTTGTTCTTAGAAAATGTATGCTGAAGTATTTAGGAAGGAATACTCAGGGTGTCTGCAAATAATCTTCATGGTTAAGGAAAAATGTTTTTATATACATGTACATACTATGTACATGCATACATATGTATATTTACAGACAAATATAAAACAAATGTAGAAAGTAAACAATTGGTAAATCTAAATGCAGGGTATATAGGTGTTTATTTTCTACAGATTATGAAGATTTTCAATATAAAAAGTTGGGGAAAATAAAGAAAAAATTAATAAATACACAGAAAAGAGATTACTCCAGTACGTAACAAATAAATAAAAATAAGGAAATTTCTGGTGATACTGGAGTGAAGAAGCTCCCCACCGGCCCCCCCCAAAAAAAATTACTACAAAACTGAAAAAAGAAGAAAAACAACCATTTCAGGGCTCCAAAAATCAACCAAAGGGAAACAACCAAAATTGAGAAGCTGCTGAACTTTGGAAGATCAGTGAGACTCTGAGGCGTTCTTACCAGGGGCTGCTCCCATTCCGCTCCCCAGCTTGATCAGTGAGGTAGTGCTAACAGTGTAGGAATGACAGTGAACATTAGCAGCCTCTCTGCTACAGTGGGCTCACTTGATTTGGAGTAGAAGGAAAGGAGCCCATGCCCAGTAGTAGGGTTAGTTAAAAACAGTAAAGTTAGAGGGACAAAAACAGGGAAGATGCATAGCTCCGCTAGTCTGAGATTGCAGTCCCATTTGGGGCAAGAGATGGGCAGACTAATTTTTAAATTAACAGGAAGAAAGTCTAGAAATGAGGGGCTAAATAAGCTCTCCGCATATCTCTGCTGGAGTGGGAGGCTGTGTGCATATGTAGGGAAAACCTAAGAAAGCCCATGCTCACCACATATCCCTGAACTAATGAGGATGTGCACATGAGCAGGAAGACCTGGAAGCGCTCAGAGGGAAGCAAAGTGGAGGAAGACTGGAAAATTGCCTGAACATTGAATGCACAGACACATCAGCATAGGATGAAGACCTACTGACTCAAGGTTTTTCAATACAGCCTTCAACCAATAATTGAATAATCATTAAGCAATACAGATGCATAGAAATCCCCTAAAATGACCAGCTAAAAACTAGAAATGCAAATTAAAACAACAGTGGAGAAATCAGCAGGCACACACCATAGAGGATTTTGCAGATAAAGTCTAAGCAAATAATGAAACAACACAACAATAATAATAAACCAGCAATAACAACCCCCAGGGGAACAAATACCAAATCCAGAGTTGCCACAATATGTTACGTAAAATTTCCAGTTTTCAACAAATTTATAGCGTATGTAAAGAAACAGAAAGTCTGATTTATATCAAAGAAAAAAGCTGTCAAGAAAAACTATGCATGTGCTTGGATGTTGAATAAAGACTAAAAGTCACAAAAGGACAAATACTGCATGATTTCACTTACATGAGATTTCTAAAATAGTCAAACTCACAGAAACAGAATAGAAGGGGGCTGTCAGGGGAAATGGGGAGTTACTGTTCAACAGGTATAATGTTTTAGTTACTCAAGATGAAAACGTTCTAGAGATCTGATGTAAAACACTGTATGTATAGTTAACAACACTGTATTGTGCACTTAAAAATTTGTTGAGTATATCTTACCTTCCTGTGTTCTTACCAGACAAAAAATATTTACCAGAAAAATATATGGAAAAGAAAAAAATAAGATGAAAATATGATGACAATGACTCAACAGGGAATATTGTATTATAGTTGCTATTTTAAAATAGTCACGTTTTTCCTGACGAAAACGAGCAATGGGGAAAGGATCTCCTATTCAGTAAATGGTGCTGGGAGAACTGGCTAGCCATATGCAGAAAACTGAAACTGGACCCCTTCCTTACACCTTATACAAAAATTAACTCAAGATGGATTAAAGACTTAAATGTAAAACCCAAAACCATAAAAACCCTAGAAGAAAACCTAGGCAATACCATTTAGGACATAGGCATAGGAAAAGACTTTATGACAAAAACGCCAAAAGCAATTGCAACAAAAACCAGAATTGACAAATGGGATCTAATTAAGCTAAAGAGCTTCTGCACAGCAAAATAAACTATCATCAGAGTGAACAGGCAACCTACAGAATGGGAGAAAACTTTTGCAATCTACCCATCTGACAAAGGTCTAATATCCAGATTTACAAGGAACTTAAACAACCCCAACAAGAAACAAACAACCCCAACAAAAAGTGGGCAAAGGACATGAACAGACACTTCTAAAAAGGAGACATTTATGTGACCAACAAACATATGAAAAAAGCTCAACATCACTGGTCATTAGAGAAATGCAAATCAAAACCACAATGAGATACCATCTCACGCCAATCATCTCACGTGATTATTAAAAAGTCAGGAAACAATAGTTGCTGGCGAGGTTGAGGAGAAATAGGAATGCTTTTCCACTGTTGGTGGGAATGTAAATTAGTTCAACCATTGTGGAAGACAGTATGGCGATTCCTCAAGGATCTGGAAACAGAAATACCATCTGACCAGGCAATCCCATTACTGGGTATATAGTCAAAGGATTATGAATCAATCTGCTATAAATACACATGCACACGTATGTTTCCTGCAGCACTATTTACAATAGCAAAGACATGGAACCAACTCAAATGCCCATTAATGATAGACTAGATAAAGAAAATGTGGTACATACACACCATGGAATACTATGCAGCCATAAAAAAGAATGAGATCATGTCCTTTGCAAGGGATGTGGATGAAGCTAGAAGCCATCATCCTCAGCAAACTATCACAGGAACAGGAAACAAAACACTGCATGTTCTCACTCATAAGTGAGTGAGAACATTGGGAGCTGAACATTGGGAACACATGGACACAGAGAGGGGAACAACACACACCAGGGCCTGTTGGGGGTTTGGGGTGAGGGGAGGGAACTTAAGAGGATGGGTCAATAGGTGCAGCAAACCACCATGGCACACATATACCTAGGTAACAAATCTGCATGTTCTGCACATGTATTTTTTTTTTTTAGAGTAAAGGAAAAAAAAAGAATACATGATCAATGATGAATCTCTGGTTAAAAAAAAAGTCATGCTTTTAATTCTTTAAACATTTTACCTTAATTTTTAAAACACATTTGTAATAGCTGCTTTGTAGCTATTTTTAAACAAGTAACTATTAAAGAGCCAAATGTGGCCAGGTCTGGTGGCTCATGCTTAAAATTTCAGCACTTTGGGAGGCCAGGAGTTCGAGATCAGCCTGGGCAACATGGTGAGATCCCTTACTTATAATTAAAAAAAAAAAATTAGCCAGGCATGGTGGCATACACCTGTAGTCCCAGCTACTTGGGAGGCTGAGCGGGGAGGATCACTTGAGCCCAGGAGTTCAAGGCTGCCATGACTGCACCACTGTACTCCAGCCTGGGAGACAGAGTGATATACTGTCTTAAAATATATACATACATATATATAAAATGATGTTTTTGTATCCATTAACCAACCACTCTAGTATAGTAGGGTAACTATAGTTAACAATAATTTGTTGTAAAGTTCAAAATTGCTGGAGGAATTGGCAGGTTCCCAATATAAAGAAGGGGTGACTGTTTGGGGTGATGGATGTCCCAGTTGCCCTGGTCGATCATTACACATTGCATGCATGTATCAAAATATGTCTATCCCCAAAATATGTACAACTATTATGCATCAATTTAAAAAGAGCCAAATGAAAATTCTAGAGTCAGAAAGTTCAATAGCTGAAATGAAAATTCCTAGATAGGCTAAACAGCAGAATTGAGATGGCAGAAGGATCAGGAAACTTGCACATAGATTAATAAAATTATCCAATATGAAAAACAATAATGATTAAAGAAGAATGCACAGTGCCTCAAAGACCTGTGACACAATGGTAAGCATATTAATGTATATGAAAGCCCCAGAAAGAGGAAACGAGGACAGAAAAAAATAATTGAAGAAATAGTGGCCAAAAAACTGCCTAAATTGTATTAAAAGGATAAATCTAGAAATCCTAGAAGCTCAACAGACTCTAAGTAGGATAAACACAAATTCAGACCTAGACACACCATGCTCAGACTGTTGAAAGCCAAAGAGAAAATCTTAAAAACAGTATAAGAAAAACAATTCATCATATATAAAGAACAACAGGATTAACAGTTGACTTTTCATCATGAATAGTGGTGACCATAAGGCAGTGGAATGACATATTCAAAATGCTGGAGGAAAAAAGTCAACCGAGAACTCTAAATATATCACATACTGTCCTTCATATATAAATTTGAAATATATTCCAAAATCCACAAAGACTGAGAGAATTTGTTGCTGGCATACTTGCCTTACTTGGAATACTAAAGGAAGTAGAATATAGATGAAAGGAAATGACAACAGACCTGGCAACTAGAATCCATGGGAACAAAGAAAGAGCAGCAGAAATGATTACTACGTCAGTAAATATAAAGAACTATAAATATACATTTCTTCTATTAAATTCTTTAGAAGACATATTGCTTTATTGTATAAAGCAATAATTATAACACTGTAATATATACATATATACATATACATATATATATATATACACACATACATATATAAGACATAATAGCACAAAGGAGGGGCAAGGAAATGAAGCTAAACTGGGGCAAAGTTGCTATATTGTACCAGAAGTTAGTCAATATTCATGTGAAGTAGGCCGTAGTAAGTTAAGATACCTATGATAAGTAGAGACACCACTTAGAAAAATAGCTAAAAAAAAAAAGGTTAAAAAAACTAAAATGGTACCCTCATAAATATCTGTTTAATGCAGAAGAAGGCAATAAAAGAGCAATTCAATAACGAAAGATACACAGTAACCAAATAGCAAAATGGAAAATGCAAACCTAACAAAATTGTAGTAAATTTTAATGCACCTAAAAACTCCAATCAAAGCTTCTCTGATAAAAAAAAAAAAAGCAACATCCAGCACTATACTGTCTTCCAGAGACTCACTTCAAATTAAAAGATACAAATAGGTTAAAAGGAAAAAAACAGAAAGACATGCCATGCAAACAGTAATCATAAGAGAGCTGCAGTGGCTGTAGTAATTATAGACACAATGGACTTTTAAAACAAGAAATATAGTAGATACAAAGAGGGATATTTTAAAATAATAAAGGGCCAATTCATCTGAAAGGCATAACAGATATAAAGGTATATATACCTAACAACAAAGCTTCAAAATACATGAAGCAAGAACTGACAGAATTGAAAGAAAAAAGTTTAACAATTACAGCCAGAGATTACAATATCTCACTCTTAATAACCAGTTGAACAAATAGGAATAAAATCAGCAAGGCTATAGCAGACTTGAACAATGCTATCAACCAACTTGAACTGACATTTTTGAATACTCCATCCAAAAAGAGCAGAATATACATTCTTTTCAGGTGCATGTGAAACATTCCAGGATAGGCCATATGCCAGGCCATAAAACAAGTCTCAAGAAATTTAAAAGGATGGAAATCATTCAAAGTATATTATCTGAAAACAAGTAAATTAAAAATAAATAAGAAAGAAACTTTGAAAATCTGCAATTCTTAGAAATGAAGTAACATACTTCTAAATAATCTGTGGGTCAAAAGAAAAATCGCAAGGGAAGTTTGAAAATATTTTGAACTAAATGAAAACAACAATACAACATATCAAAACATATGAGGTGCAACTTAAACAGTGCTTAGAGAGAAATTCAGAGCTTTATACATCTATATCAATAGAGAACAGTTTCATATCAATAATCTAAACTTTCACTTTAAGAATCGATGAAGGGCCAGGCGTGGTGGCTCATGCCTGTAATCCCAGCACTTTGGGAGGCGGAGGTGGGCGGATCACTTGAGGTCAGGAGTTCAAGAACAGCCTTGCCAATATGGTGAAACGATGTCTCTACTAAAAATACAAAAATTAGCTGGGCATGGCGGCACACGCCTGTAGTCCCAGCTACTCGGGAGGCTGAGGCAGGAGAATTGCTTGAACCCGGGAGACGGAGGTTGCAATGAGCCAAGATCGCGCCACTTCACTCCAGCCTGGCGACAGAGCAAGTCTCCATCTCAAAAATAAATAAATTTTAAAAAAAAGAACAAAGAACAGTTAATTAGACATAAAGCAAACAGAAGGAAGAGGGAAAAATCAATGAAATTGGCAATAGAAAAACAAGAGAAAAGAGAAGAACCCAAAAGTTCTTTGGGGGAAAACAAATCAACTAATCTGATAAACCTTTAGATAGACTAAGAAAAAAATGAGATGACACAGAATACCAAAATCAGGAATGAAAGGGGGACATCATTATCAAGCCTACTGAAATGAAAGGATTATGAGAATACTATGGCTAACTGTGTCAACAAATTAGACAATTTAGATAAAATAGCCAAATTCCTCAAAAACCAAAAACTACCAAAACTGACTAAAGAAAAAATGGAAATTATGAATAGCTCTATAACAAGAAAATACATTACTTAAAATCCACACTTCTGCACCACCCCCACCACCAGCCCAGGCTAGATGCCTTCACCTAGTAAACTCCATCCAATATATAAAGAAGAAGTAATACCAATGCTACACCAATTCTTTCAGAAAACACAGGCAAGGAAACACTTTCCAACTCACCCTATGGGACTGGTATTACCCTTTTACCAAAGCAAGACAGAGAGCATGGGAAAACAAGAGACCAATATCTCTCAAGAACATACACATGAAAATCTTTAACAAAGTATAAAATAAAATAAAAATCCAGCAACATTAAAAAAAGGGCTAAATATCATGACAAAGTGAGATTTATGTGATCATGATATCTACAGGGCTCCTGCCTCCCTTTTGTTCTGCCATGACCTTTCAAACCAATGTACACCACTAGTCATAGTTTGGCTGTGTAGTCCCTTCATTTGCACACTAATAAGTGGATACCTTCATATTTATCATAATAGAATTAGGTTACCTTGTCATACACCCTATACCACACCCTATCTCCAACCAATTGGATATAGGATGTATGACATAAAGTAACTTAATCCTATTGAGATTATGAGTATCAAAAAAGATTAAGGATACTCTAAAAGGAGCAGAAAGCAAGAGAACTTCCAATTTCAACCTTAATGTTGAGAGTTTAAATAACTGACATGGATTTTGAACCAAGTGGAAAAGGTAGGTGAGCAACGAGCCTAGATTCTAAGTTTACTAAAAACAAGGGCTTAAAACGATCAAGCACCAACCAGATCCATAGGGAGCATAAACTTGGCTGTTTTAGAGTTTTTTTCTAGAGTGAGAGATGACAGCCTAACTGTTGGAGAAGGAGCATTGTATCTTCAGGAATACAAGTGAGACTTTGACAAGATGGTTTGTTCCTTACTATAGCTGTATGTGAATTCAAGCACTGAAGTCCAGGACCAATTTTTAGACTTATTTATCCCTGGTCAAGAGTTAAGGTGACAGAGCTTTCCAAGCCCAAAAAGTTTTCCTTCTCGGTTCTTGCTTTTAGAGATGGTTATCAGGAGGAGGAGGATGCATCTTGCCGTCTCCCCATCACCACCTAAGTTATCTGGCTCTGGGTGGAAAAATACACTAGATTAACCCCCAAATACAATCCATAATATAGTAGGTGTGGGAGATGTGAGAGAAAGCTATAGTTAACTGTTTTCGGAAGCACTTGCATACAGCTAAATGTTCATACCCATCGCTAGGGATCTGAAAAAGAATTCACCTAAAAACAATGATATTTAGGTAGTCATTCATTTCTGCATGTATTCTTCAGTTTAGAATTATAACCTTTAACCTAGAGCATTAATTAGCCAGTTCTGCACTATAAATGAATGTAAAAATCTAATCGTTTTACATTTTTTGCTACATGACAAAACTTATCTCAATTTTTCAAAAGGTCGTATTTCAGATGAAAAAACAAATGTGAAGCCATAAAAGAGACAAAGTTTTTGGATGTCACAGATGATCTGAAATAATGCAAGTAAGAACTAAAAAAATTCAGACTAATATTTAAATAATAAAACCAGGACATAGCTATGTATTTTGTAGTAAACCCTGGAAAACCTCTAACTGAAAAAAAGATCAAAATTTTGAGTAGATATTGCTAGGAAAAGTCTATGTAGATTAAGTTCATAGCCTCATTAAACATGACTAATTTCAAAAACTAAATCTGACTAACACATACAAATAATCAAAATTTATGTTTTTTTCTGGGTGAATTTCAAACATGATGCCAATATGACATTTCTGTATTCTGAACCACAAAATAATTCATAACAATTCTACAGACCATATGCAAGTTTATTTAAATAAGTTAACACTGCAGAGTGAGTCAATTTATAAGTATAAAAATAGATGGTTTAGAAACCAAAAATAAGCACCACACAAAAGCAGATTATACATACACCATCAGGCCTTTGGAATATTAAGGCAACATAAATATCTCAAGCAATTTTAGAAGAATGCTTTACTTATATAACAGATGTTATTAAAACATCTCAAAAGAGGCAGGGCTCACAATTTTTTTCAGTATGAGGTCTTCCCTTCCATTTTTGTTAATATATTAATGATTCTTCTTAAATACTGTACCATAATTAGTCTAGATTAACAAATGGGCTATCAAAGCCACTATCTTGTTGGCTAGATAGCGGAACAATTAATTTTCTTGAAGGCTGCTGACACACTGAAGATGGTAATGTACTGCTCAGTTTTTTGAAATCTGACTTTAATCTATCAGCCTTATGACGAGATGGGTGTCCACAATTCACACTGATCTTTCCTGGCTCCAAATACGTGGTTTCTTCTGACAGGTATGGAGTTTGATAACGCTGACATTTCATTGTTTGACAAATCATATTACTTTCCTCTGTATCTGAAAGATAACCGGATGGTGAAAACTGTTTGGATTTAACAGATTCACTTGGTATTTCCAAAGTTCCTTGTGGCCTACCATGTACAAATGATGCTTCACGACTGTCAAAGGATAAGGTTGCACTGCTGGAAGGCCAGCCCAAGCAGTCACTAAGGTCCCCTCCATCTTTTACTGGAGGTTCCTGAACATCCAAACCTTGACTTTTCTCAGATGCAGCATTTTCACTTTCCATTAGTGGATTGCATTTATATACTTTTAAACCAAGTCTTTCATTAGAATCGCGAAAGGTTATATGCATGCATCCTGATTCAGAAGGACCAGGGGTACATCTAGGTGAGGGTTTATTTCCTAAGGTTCCAAGAAAGGGGTATGCAGCTGAATGCGGAAGTGATTCAGAACCATTATCACTGAGTAGGTCTTTCTTCTTGTGCAAACCAAAGCCTCCTTCACCTTCACAAGGAACAAACTCAGGAGAAACATTCCTTGGCAAACTGTTTAGGTGCTTGCAACTACCATCCCCAAACTGGAATTCCAAATGTGTCTCTTTGGATCCCACATGCTTTATGCTCTGATGCTCTGAGTTCTCTAACAGCCTTTGTAAGTTACAAGCTGCCCTCCTCTTGGGAGCTTGTTCGCACAGAGTTCTGGTGATGGTGTTTACACTATTTGATTTGCTTTCAATACAACATGGTATTTTCTGATTCACATCATTTCTTTTTGATTTTTTAACTGCAATCAGCATCTCTGAAGTTAGGGGCAGTGCTATTATGTGCAAGGAAACACGAAATTAAGAGAAAATTAATATTTAAAGGGAAGATTCATCCTTGAACAAAAAAATAAAAAAAATTAAAAATAAGAAAAAATTTATGTTTTTATACTGTATTCCCAAAGAATGCTTATATACTGTAATAATTCTTAAAGAAAATACATCAATGCTGGACATTTAAAAATATTCTTTTACATATATCCACTAGATAAAGCTTGGTAATTTTGTTACTAAGATCTGATATATAATTATTATTGCTATCCATCTGACCTATCATTTTCTGCAATAGATGTTATAGCAATTTCAAGATCCAGCCACAATGTTTTCAATCCTGCCCTGATTCTGATGTTAAGAATGGAGTTTCTGACAAGTTCGCTCAAAGAACCCCACCCACCCAATACCTACACATACACTTCTAGAATAGCTAAATAGACTTTCTGATTTAATTACCTAAGACACTAAATCTGATCAAAGACAAAGCAGCCACATAGCATGAAATTAGAGGCATTGTATCTCAGAGTAGCAAGCCCTAGAGTCCATGAAAAGGATTTGCTTCTCTACTGGGGACATTATTTGCACACTGTTGCCCCAGATCTAGAAAATTATTTTCTTGTTATATGTTACTGCCTTTTCATACCTAAGGTTCACATCACCATTCCAAAATTTATACAAATAATCTTTGGCTTGTACATGAGGAATGTTTACCAACATCAGACTCATGGACCCCTGAACAATCTCAGCTTCAAGTTTTCCAGAGGTTCAAGAACCCCATTTCCCCACTGATATGTTAAAAATCTCTCAGTGTGATTGGGAATTTACCAGTCTTTTTCATGTATTTCTATCAGCTCTTGCTTTATATAAAGCTGTATGATCTACAGAAAGAAAACAATTACAGTTTCTTGGGAGACTATTCCATTATCATTATGAACTATCAGCTTTGTCCCTTTTAATGCTAACTCTAATTTATCTAATCTTTTATTTACCTCTATAATTTATCTAATATCAACACTGCATTTGCTTGGTATATCATTCTCCATCCCCTGATTTTTAATTTTAGATGTTCTTCTTGTAAAAATAGCAAATTTCCACATTTTTAAAAACCCTATTTGAAAGTTGTGGTCTTTTAATAACTTATATGAGTTTAACCTACTTATATTTAGTGTGATTGTTGATGTTTCAAACTACTATTATGTCCTACTTACCCACGCTCTCTAGGTTTTTTTCCTCTTTCCTGATTTTGTTAGATTGAAAATGTTTTTTTCCAAGTTTTTCCTTTACCAGTTTTAAAGTTATACGTTCTATGTTTTTGTTGGTTACTCTTACTTTTTTTTTTTTTTTTTTTTTTTTTTTTGAGACAGGGTCTGCTCTGTTTCCCAGGCTGGAGTGCAGTGGTGCGATCACAGCTCACTGCAGCCTTGACCTCCCGGACTCAAGTGATCCTCCCATCTCAGCCTCCCAAGGCAAGTCGGCTCCCAGTTCCTGCTTGATATGGCTAGCCACCTGGAGCACTGCCCTGCTCCCAGATTCTTTGTTCCTGTTGTTGTTGCCCAGCTCAATATTGAGGTTGGGGAAAGGAGGGGAGAAGAAGAAATAAAGAGAGGATTAACCCCACCTGGTTGCTGTTGGTTTAGAACACCAACTAATTACCCCATTCATATCCCCTAGGCCCTCTATTTCTCCTGGAACATATCACCCTCATATGTGGAACAGTTTTGATATTGCTCCTAATTGCAATAGTCATCTCCCGGTGGTTTTGAACTGAGGTTTCCATCTTCCATCCTATACTGTCTTCTTTCTCTCAGGGATTTCTTGTAGCTTCTGGTCTATCCACTGCAAACTTTTTTTTTTTTTTTTTGAGACAGGGCCTCACTCTGTCACCCAGGCTGGAGTACAGTGGCACAATCATAGCTTACTGCAACCTCAAATTCCTGGGATCAAGGGATCCTCCCACCTCAGCCTCCCAAAGTGCTGGGATTACAGGTGTGAGCCATGATGCCTGGCCCACTGCAACTTTTTAAAACCCACTTATAATTTCTTCTTTTTCTCATTCTTTATTTGCTGTTTAAAATCTTTTCTATCATTTCGAGGGATGGAAGCAGCAATAGGAAACTGATGGGCATGCTCAGTCTGCCTACTTAAATTGGAAACTGTGTACTCTTTTTGCGTAAACTTCTAGTTTAAGTAAAACATACAAAACTTCACAAATTAACTCTCACTCCTTACCTTCCCTGCCTTCTTCATACTGAAAATATTAAATAGCTAAAGAAGAAAAGATAGAAAAACCATTTGGCGACTCACTTTGACATACCTGACTGTGTAGTTTTGCTTTGGGACTTACTAGAAATAGGTGTTTCCAGTAATTTTGCCATTGTAGCAAGTTTGCTAGCAGCATTCATAATCTTTTTCTCAGCCCTGTGGGGAATTCCAGAATATTAAAAATATAGTTTAAAGGAAAAAATGAGTTGCCTTAGCCCCATGGTTTCTGTTTTCCTATTGGCTCTGCCAACATTTAGGGTAGCACAGCCATAAACCTCTCTTAACCCCCTATGGCTGATCATGTAGAAATAGTTAATTTAGTGGTTAAGGAAAATGCTTTAAAAATGATAACATGTTGTCCTGGTAATCTCAGGACACATTGTTCAGACTGAACTCACCCTTCTTTTCCATCATCCTGCAAAATCTGTTGGAGGCAAATCAAATAATATTTGCGCATCTTTCGGGCGGTTTCTTGACGTTCTCGCAGTACCTCTGCTTTTACCATTTCTGCAGCTCGTTCCTTACTCTCCTGAATATAACGAAGCATGTCACCTATAGGGAAGTGAGAAAATGCCCACAGAATGTATGTTTATTAGCACTTTTTCAGAAACAGGAGGGGCAGACTTCAGATCAATTTTCTGGTAGATGAAGTGATTTTAAGTATAGTTTAAACATTATACTTTCCACAGTCATTAAAATGGAATATTTTAGATCATCATTTTGGTAGACTCAAATGAGAAGTACTCTATAAGTTCTTTCGGAATGATGACAGCTACATATAGTAAGGAAACATGGCATATTCCCCAGCTAAATTTTGTCATATTCTAAAACACTTAGCGAAGAAAATACTGTAAATATGAGGTACAGAAACTTAGTATTTCAATTGTACATTATGTCCAGTTAGGAAAAGAGAAAAATAAAATATAGAGAAAAGGTTAAGCAGAAAGAAAGGAAAAAGCAAACACAAAGACAGAAGAAAAGGAGGCAGTATGAGCTGGAGAGACTCATTCTTCTCTAGTGCTCTGAAAATTTACGTTCCATTATTTATTGAAAATTCTTTCAGCAGCACTTTTTGAGCATCTAACTAAATATAATATTACAATTCATAAGAGATATGTACAAAATGAGACTACAAGGAGGGTGATGGGACTTATAGTTGGCCTCTGAAATTTACATATAAACATAGCCCACAGCTTTCAAGTTTTTTTTTTTAACTCAATATATCTTTGATTAGGACTACTATTAGCTAAGGCTAACTTTTATTTTTTTTTTTAATAAATCCAAGACTACATCCTACATCTAGAATTTCACCATCTCTGTTATATTAAGGATACCAATTCATACAGGAATCTTCCTGTTAATGTCAGTAAGCATCTGAAAATTAGTGGTTCTATGCAAAAATACTAACTGGGAGACTGTTTTTCATTATTTGAAATGGAAAATGAAATGCAGTACATGTCAAAACAAAACCTCCAACCAACTTTCTAAAAAATAACTAAAACATAATATACACACATACATACAAGTTATCACATTAGGATGAAAACATGCTTAAAATTCCACTTCCCAATTAATACATTATTAACAAAAAGTTGCGTTGCTTGTAGCAATATGCCCTTTATTAGCACCAGTAACAACGGAGAAGCAAATTCCCTTATAAATACCGAATGAGCTTTGTAGAACATCTACACGTGATTCTGAATCTACCAATTATATTTGAAACTTCAGACTTTTCCTGCTCTTTTTGTTAAAAAGAAATGTAATTTTAGGAAGTTAATATACATTTTTCCTATATAAACACTACTTATTGTTTTGGGACATATATCCATTCTATGCATATTAGAATTAGAAACCAAGAAGTATTCAAAACAGGGAAAACACACATCAGGAGAATGCTCTACAGGATATGCTGGCACAACCTGGTACTGACAAGGACTTGATAAATTTATAGCTATGAGAAATAATAACCAGAAACAACAGAACAATTGCTAACTAGATCCACTTCTACAGTCCTTAAAAGTTTATGGTAGGAGGCCGGGCACAGTGGCTCACGCCCGTAATCCCAGCACTTTGCGAGGCCGAAGCGGGTGGATCACCTGAGGTCAGGAGTTCGAGATCAGCCTGGCCAACACGGTGAAACCCTGTCTCTACTAAAAATACAAAAATTAGCTGGGTGTGGTGATGCATGTCTGTAATCCCAGCTACTCAGGAGGCTGAGGCTGGAGAATTGCTTGAATCCAGGAGGCGGAGGTTGCAGTGAGCCGAGACTGCACCACTGCATTCCAGCCTGGTTGACAGAGTGAGATTCCGTCTCAAAAAAAAAAAGTTTATGGTAGGAAGTAATAGTTAATTGCTCATTTAAAACCCATGTGACATTTTCTTTACTACAAATTAGTTAAGTTGTAAGATTATTAACTTTTCAGTTTAATACTAGTGTCCAAAAAGAAACAAGAAAATCAACAATATAAACATAAGACGATTCTCACATCACTTCCAAAAGATATTATTTGGGAAAAATGATCAATGACTACATAATTTTGAAAAGGTATCAATAATCTCTTTTAAGATTGAAGAAAAAGGTAATTTGGAAAATTCCCTAGAAGAACTACTGCTGGTAAACTCTGAGTTTACTTTAACAGTGATAATAAAAAAGGCCCAAGCCATCCTTAAAATCTTCAGAATTAAACTTACATTTAATTTTTTTTACAGCTTTAATGTACTGCCCACGAAGTTCTTCCAAGGCTCCCCCACTGCATGGCAGGCAAGCATTTTCAATGGCCCCTGCTGACAATGACCTAAAAAACAAACCAAAGATTACAAAAACAGAAATGGTAAGTGAAAAATTTCATTTGAAAAATATATATGTATCCATATACTCTAATAAAGTTAACTGAGAAGTGCTAAAAATCTCATCTAGAACAATCTCCACTATACAGTTATTTAAAATAGGGGAAAAATGGAAACAACATAAATGTTATGGTTGCTTCAATAAATAACAGTAAATCCACATGAAAATTTATGCAGGTATTGAAAAACATATGTAGGAGAATATCTAATAACATGGAGAAATGCTTATCTAGTAATATTAATAAAAAGTTATAAAATACCTTATACTATAGCCTCAATTTTAAAAACACATTGTGCATGTGGAGTATGTGTAGAAAGAGGCTTAAATGATATAAAACAAGAGGTCACTAGAGGGTATCTTCAGGAAATAAGGTTTTGGGGGATTTTCTTCTTTTTTATACTTTTTGCTGTATAACAAAAAAAATTGATACTTAAAAAAATTTAAAGATACTTGTACTTAGATTTCTTTAAAATAGCACTTTAAAATAGTAAAAGTATACCTTGGTGGTGTTTTACAAAGTGTTTGCAATTCTTCCAATTTATTCTTCATGTCGTTGTTTTCTTCTATTAATTCTTCAACAACTTTATTATTCTCTTCTATAACAGAAAGTTTATAGTATATTAGACAGTTAAAAATTTTTTAAGCCTTCTTTTCCCTTAAGTTCCCAATACAAATGTTTATAGAAGAGACTGTGCAATTTCCAGTCGCTTTTCTGTAACGTTCATCCCCTTAGAAACCCTACTCAGACCATTCCCTTGCTCTGTTTTCTCAGCACTTAAAATCTGTATCCCATCTTCTTCTTGCTTTGGGTTACACACTGTCCTGGAATTGGGTTTCAACTGTTTCAGATGCCTGTGTTTTGTTTTCCAACTGTGCTGAAGCTCTGTAGAAACCTACTAGGTTTTCTAATTCCATGTTCCCTATGGATCCTGGTAGACAGTTTATGCTCATATAAACGATCATTGAACATGCACCTCGATATAAAACAAAAAGAAAGTTAACCTTAAGTAGGTGTCTTTTTCAGAAATAATGTAAGATTTTCAATTCTTTGAACTTTGTGTGTGTGTGTGTGTGTGTGAGCAACAAGGCTGTTTATTTCACCTGTGTGCAGGCGGGCTGAGTCCGAAAAGAGAGTCAGCAAAGGGTGATGGGATTATCATTAGTTCTTACAGGTTTTGGGATAGGCGGTGGAGTTAAGAGCAATGTTTTGGGGGCAGGGGGTGGATCTCACAAAGTACATTCTCAAGGGTGGGGAGAGTTACAAAGAACCTTCTTAAGGGTGGGGAGATTACAATTCTTTGAACTTTTAAAAAGAGGATGAGGAAACTGATAAGAGTCCATGTGGTATGAAGGAAAACACATGAATTTCAGAGTCAGAGACATCAGTTTACATTCTAACTTTGCTGCTTACAAGGTTGATAAGCCTAGGAAAAATTAACCTTTCTGAACTTTTCTTCACATGTTAACTTACAGATTATAATAGAAATAAAACAACAAATGCACAACACCTACACAAGGCCTGGAAATACCAATATAAATGTGAACATGGCATCTCGTGTTTCCTGTGATGCTACCCTCTCAACACTCCGTAAGTTGAGGAACAAAATTACTCTATTCCCCCTGGTGATGGATATAACTTTTTGTTTTAAACAACTCACTCCCACCCCATCTATTTTTTAATAAACGCTACCAAGAAAGTGGAAAAATAGAATTTAAGAAACAAAGAAGCAATCTCAATAGCAAAGATATAATAACCTACTAAAGTTATATTAAGAAAAAATTTCAATTAAACTATTGACTTAAATTCTGACCCAGACCCTTTGTATCAACTCATTGTTTTGAGTGATATATCAACTTTCTTCGATTATTTGCAAGTCTACGAGTTTTAGAAGATATCAGCTTCAAAAAACACTGTGTAGAATAGTATGGTGCTAAATATTATTATTTATAAATAATAGTCATATCCAACTGCCCTTATCGCCATATTCTGTAAAACAAATTGTCTTGGTTTTCATCATATTTTAACATATCTATGTTTTAAATATACTACAGTTGGACAAATAACTCATTTACTCTCCTGGCCTCTACTAAAGAGCTAAGTAATCACAAAATGAATTGCAGTTGTTAAATTTTTAATCTCAAAATTCTTAAAACCCTTTCTGGTCTTAAAGTAATTATTATCTATCTCTTAGTAATAAGTACTAAGAGTAATAAGTGCCTTAGTAATAAGCAGTCAGTGGTAGTTACAGGTGGCTTCTTTTAGCAGTATTTCCCGAGTTGTGCTATGGTGCCAGGTGTGCTAAGTGCTGGAACAGGACTTGATCCTTATTGCTATAAAGACTACACTCCAAAGGGAAGTACAGACAGCAAATGATTACAAGGATGGTGAATGTTATAAAAAGCATAGGAACTATGGGGAGTGTATAACAGGAGGACTAAACAGGTCTGCAGTGGTTAGGAAAGCCTCCCTGAGGAAGTAATGTATTGGGGAAAAGATGAGAAGGAGTTAGCCAGCCAAATGAGATCAGGATGTTTTGGTGAAGGGAGAAAACAATGAAATCCATGCTATGGCTCTACTGAGAGAAATTAAGAGAGCTGGGGGAAGACAAGGTTGAAGGGGCTGGCAGGTGCTGGATCAAGAACTTTTCAAACCCCGTTAAACTAAGTGTTTTTGGTTTTATACTGAAGGCCATGGCAAGCCACTGAAGAGCTTTAAACAAGAGTGTCATGTTTCAATTCACTTTTTAAAAAGGTTGCTCCAGCTACCCTATGGAGAATGGATTAGAGGGGCTAGACTAGAAGCATAAAGAGTCAGGGAATTATTGCCAGTGTCCAGGCAAGAGAAAGAAGTGGATGTACAAAATAAACTTATTAACCTGGTCTTTTCTGAATGACACCATTATTTAGGACCCTGGCATTTTGTTTTTTGTCCATTTAAATATTTATTATCTGGTATGTGGTGGGCACCATGGCTATTAGGATGAACAAGATATGGCATATTCCTTCTCCTCAGAAAATTCTTGGAGAATTTGGAGAAGGTATCTGACAAGTGACCAAACAATTACAATACAGAATGGTAATGGTGATAATAGAGGAAGAGCCAATGCTACAGGGCCGCACAAGAGCAGCCCACTTCACCCTGACTAGGGAAAATCAAGAAGGGCTTTGCAGATAAAGCATCTTCTGAGTTGAATCCTAAAGGATGAGAGTAAGACTAAAAAGAATGTTGGGGAAAAGTACAGGACAGAATACAAACATCATATGCAATGAAGGTCCAGCAGTAAAAGAAATAGGACCAGCTCAGGAATCGGAAGCATTTCAAATGTAGAGTATAGCGTATAGGCTATAAGCGATAGTGAAAGGTAAGAAGAGGGAGCAGCGATCTAAGCCCCAAAACTTCCCTTCTTCAGAGGGGCACTGGGAAATGGTAGAAAATATCCCTTTCCAAATGTCTCACAGCATTGTGATGAATGGACTAGAAGGAGGCCAGTCCAGACCCTCACGCCCTTGTTTATGCCTTTTCCCTCTATCTCAAACGTTGTTCTCCTTGGCAAACACCTCTATTTTTCAAGGCTTAGTCAAACCTTTCTTAACTTTAATAAGAGGTAGAATTAACAATCCTCTTTCTGAGGAAAACACTGCCAACAGCATTCAACGTTTAATTATTTGTTAATCTGTTGTTAGATCTCCTCACTTAACCAAAAGCTTCTTGAAGGAAGGGAACACATCTCCACCAGAACTGGAATTTTGTATGATTTATTCACTGCTGCATCCCCAGTGCTTAGAAGCCTGCTTGACGTATACTGGGCCCTCAATATCTGTTTAATCAAGAAAGGAAGAAAGGAATGTGACCTTTTAATCAGAGCTGAAATCTTCCTCTTTTGAGTTTTGTAATAATAATTTGATTAGTAAAAATAAGATCCAAATTAGTTTATATTAATCCCAAAAGAGGATCAGTGCACACATTAACTAAAATGTCACATTTGAACATTTCAACAAGGATCAAAGAAATTCATATTGGTAGCAGTGCTACTTTAAATGCTAACCTCCAATTTTTTCCACTACAGCTTTGTGCTTCCTTTCTAAATGCTGAAGATGCCTACAGCATTTCTCCAGTTTTCCTTTCAGATCTTGACATTCCTGCTTTGCCTTTTCAAGTTCTTGGAAGCAGTGTCCACAGCATAAATCCTTAATTTCAAGGACCTTTTTCTTATCTGCAAAAATTAAATGACAGAAAACTTTTATATCAGTTTAGACCAAGAACTATCATTAAAAAAAAAAAAAAAAGACAGAAAGAAAAGCAGATGACTCATGACTAAAGGCTACAGCACGACTGAAAGAGTGTGATGCTTAAGATAGAGAGACATGGGTTTACATATTGTTTCTGCTGCTTACTGGCTGTGTGACTTGGAGCATATTAATTAACTTGTCTAAGGCACTACTGGATACTACCATCTACTTTAAAAATAGTCATGAAACCTATTGCTCTGGATCTTGGTATTGAATACCATTCCCTACTAAAGGGAGTCAAGGATCTTCAAGAAATGGCTGACTCCAGTACTGGGGAGGGTATATACAAAATAAGACTGAAATATCTTCCTATGCCAGAAAGTAAGAAAGTACTCAAAAATACAGGCATGTCACAAGGACATAGGAGCCAGTTTGAAGGAGCTCCACTAGCTGAATCTGGGACAATTTGAGCACTAATGAAATATAGTAATGAATTATAAAGTATTAAAAATAGGAATTTATGAGTCATACCAATAATTTTATGAATGGTAGGTAGGTAAGTGGGTTGGTAAGTAGGTAGGTAGATGGATCGATGGACAGAGAGATAAAATAAATACACAAATGAGAGGAAAGGATTCTTGATTCAACATGCTTAGTGCCAACTGGGATAAATAGAGGGAGGAAGTTGGAAGAATTATAATTTCACAACCACCATAGTAAAGACTGGATCAAGCAAGAATCATCAACGGTTGCCAAATATAAGAGAAGGTTTTCATGAGAGGAAGATATTTGCATGGTCTTAAAAAGTGTCTCCCACAGATTGCTTATCAACTGATAAGCAAGGGTGAAAAAAAAACAGTAATTATATAGTGAAGAAATTAGACAACATATTCACTAGGTAATGAAAAGTAACCTCACCAATAAGACATATGGACACCACAATTTTTAGATGTAACAACATATCACCCCTTGCAGTGCTCCAGCTGAGAAAACACAACCTGAATCAACCATGAAGAAACACCAGACAAACCCCAAATGAGAAAAGTTCTGTTAAAAAAAAATGAAGGTGGAAGCAGAGAATATTTCTCAAAAATGTCAATGTCATGAAAGACAAAGAGAGGCTGTGGAAATGTTCTAGATTAAAGGAGGCTAAAGATACATTACAACTAAATGTAACAGCTGACCCTAGACAAACGTCTGTACTGGAAGAGAAAAAAAAAATGCTATAAGACATTATTGGGTCAATTGACAAAATTAGAATACAACAGTAGATTAATACAATACTTTAATGTTAAATTTACTGTACTAAGGTTAAACAAGAAAATATTCATATTCCTGGAAAATACAGTCTGAAGTACTTAGCCATAAAAGTCACAATGTATATATAACTTACCCTCCAATGGTTCATAAAAAAATGAAATATTCACATACACATATATACATAAGAGCACAAAATGGAGTAAAATGTTAATAATAGGTGTATCTCATTAAAGGGTATGTGAATGTTCTTCGCAACTATTTTTCTTTTTGCTATTTTTCTATATGTTTGAAATTATTTCCAAGTTTAAAAAATGATTTAAAACTTTTAGAAGACGTAAATATATAAGAACTGTTTGGCACAGTAGCTGGCACAGAGCAAGTACACAATAAATAACAGACATTGTCATTAGTAATACATAAAATTTATAAAATTAAAATATACAAAAATGATTAAAAAGTAGACTATTAACATAAGTGATATAATAAAGCAGGAATACAAGTTAGCACAGGCTCAGGGGCCAAAATGTTACTGTAAAGTCATTGATCCAGCAAAATTATTCTTAGCTCTCTCCTGACATTTTAGTTTGATTTAAGTGGTGCCATTTATGTTAATGAACATTAAAGGATTAATGAAACATCACAATGGTACCATAAATTGCATTTATATTTTTCATCTAGGATACTGTTGTAAAATTGGAACTCGTGCAAATACCACTAACAAGAGAACAGATAACTCATAGTATATTCATACACTGAAATACTATGTAGCAATGAAAATGAATGAACTAGAGCTATTGCATCAACACAGACAAATCTTAGTAGCATGCTGTTAAACAGGAAAAAAGCAAGTTACAAAGAATATAGAGTATTAAACTATTTTTATAATGTTAAAACACAAAAAGGCAACAACTTTTTGAGGGTACATACACATAATTAAAACATTAAAAAAGACAGTAATTTTTGAAAATCAGAATATTTGTTAGCTCAGACTGGGGAGAGGTTGCAGGCATAGAACTGTGGTCAACAGCACTGGTGATGTTCTGTACCTTAAGCTGAATAATGGGTTCCTGGTTGCTAGGCTTCATAACTTACAGATGCATACATATATTCTTTGAATGAACTAAGTATTTCATAATTAATGTTTTAAGTACTTCAAATAATAATGAGATATTAGGACAACATAACCAAACATCCAACAGTGGTACTCTCTGGTGGTAGGATTTTAAAGGACTTTATCACTTAATACATGTTTTGTATTATTTAATCCTTTCTAATGAATTTATTAATGTGTTTGTTTTTAAGGGAAAAAAGACTAAAGAAAAATATTTTTATAGTCTGATTTTTCTTTGGCCAAAACTAATTGCTTTTATATTTATAGGACTTCCTAAAGCTAAGTAACATCCAAAACTTGTTTCTACCCATTCATTTCACAGATTAAGATAGAATTCTCAGGCTATTCCAAACAGGGCATAAAAAGTACAATGCAAAATACAAATTAAGGTAATATTATCATCCACTGAATTGGCAGTAAGATATTCTCAGCCACCTAGAACCTAGAAGTAGGGGAAAAGGGTTTGTGAACAATGAGAAAGGCAGAGATGGTATAGGCAGAGATTCTCTAAGATTCTGGTAACATTGCCTTCTGAATTAGAAATGTGTGCAAACTGAGGTTATTTACTTAGTAGGTATGACTGGCCTTGGCAATTATTAGTTCTTTTCCAGGTTACATTAGAAACAGCAAATAAGCAGCAGAGAGAGGCTGTTGCGTTTGTGTGGGGAGGAAAGGAGTAGGCTGCAAAGGGTCAAGAAGCTAAAAGAGATGGGAGCTAATAAAGGATTTGCAAATTTCTAGCTCTGAAATCTCCATGAATAGGCAATATAAGTCCTATACTCCTCAGTAAGCTCTGAATACAAGCGGCTCTAGTACAGTATAAGAATTCTTTTGTCATGATGAAGAGTCTAAGTCATTAAGGAAAAGTTAAACTATTAATTCATCACTCTGCCATAC
This sequence comes from Homo sapiens, assembly GCF_000001405.40. Taxonomy (NCBI): domain Eukaryota; kingdom Metazoa; phylum Chordata; class Mammalia; order Primates; family Hominidae; genus Homo; species Homo sapiens. Next base: position 48,751,895 of record NC_000015.10, read on the forward strand.
GTTGGAAAGGAAGAGATTAAAAACACTGCCCAGGCCCTCAGAAAAACTCACAAATCAATTAGAAAACATCTAATACATTTCAGAAAGATTTCCATTAAAAAGTGATTGAAATTAGTTTCAGTAATTTGAATGAAAAAGTCTGTATTACTTGGCAATTCTCTGATGTGAAACCCTTGATTTCAGGGAATAAAAACATGACTTCTCCATTAAAACTCTCATGATTCTCCTTGTAACAAGAATCAGTTGTGAATGAAGGGAAAACCATAAATAGAAGAAGAGGGCCTAAATTAACCCTCTTATCTAAATACAAAATGAAATCTAGGAAGAGGGGACATTAAGTCAGACGATTATTACCCATTTGTTCACATCTATGATCTCCTTTTATCCTCAAAGCAACCCTTCAGATGGGTGATTATGGATGCTACAAAGACTGGTGGGAACAAAATCCAATTACCAGCTTCTGCTTCTGTTGCTTGTAAGGCCAAGGGCTGAGCATGGTGTCCAGCAGCAGGTCCAGGGTCTCCTTGGCCAGTGCCCTGGCTGGCAGAATCCTTAGAGAGCTCGGCCATATTTCTCTGAAATAAAGTATCTTCAAAGTTAATGCTTAGTAAAAATCTTTATACAATTTTATATTTAAAATGCTAATATTAAAAATACAAAGAGAAAACACTACCTGAAAAAAATCTTGCCTGAACTATCTATCGCCAATATTTTTCTTAGGGTGTTATATAAGTACTGTCACTGTACTAGGAACTAGCTTCCTATGAAACTTTCCAAATAAGAACACTGTCTGACAGGCGACTGGTGGGCAGCTATGAGACAGACAGAAGATATGGTTTGCACATTATATATGTGAATTTGAGATTTTTCAATGGTTTACGTGATTAAACCACATGAAAGACAATATAAAATCAGAATTGTTCTTGAAAATCTAGAACATTTTTACTACAGCAAGGAACAAGTTAATTAGCAAGTATAATGCTAACCCTCTGCCTCCTATGAATTGAAAATAACAGTTAAAAATCATTTTAAATTTATATAGTACTTCATATGCTTCTAAATACTTTAACATACACAGTAATTTTGTAAGGAAGGCCAGCTGAATGCCAAAGTTAAGGACAGAAACTGAGGCTTAGCTAAATTAAACATCTTGCACAAGACCATTTCTTCACTAATATTTATTGAACGTTTTTATGTTCCAGTCCTTGTCACAGCAATACAGCTACTAAATCAATGGATTTTTCATTTTTGGTTTTTGTTTTGAGATGGAGTCCTCCTCTATCGGCCAGGCTGAAGGGCATTGGCGCGATCTCAGCTCACTGCAACCTCCACCTCCCAGTTCAAGCGATTCTCCTGCCTCAACCCTCGTGATCCGCCTGCTTTGGCCTCCCAAAGTACTGGGATTACAGGTGTGAGCCACCACGCTCAGCCAAATCAATGGATTTTTATGGTAATGTTTTCAGATTTAAGATGACTACTAAATCGGAAAGGAACAGAATAGGTGGTATGGAGAAAGTAGTCTTACTGATTATTTAAAACATACTATATATGCCTGATTCTAGAAGCCTTGATTTTGATTATGAGAAACCACTTAATTGACTGTCAGAAAACCTACTTACAATGTCCAACAGAAGCAGAGGTTAGCAATTATAGAGAAGAGGCAATCAAGAAGCTATGGGTTTGAGGTCAAAAGGAGTAGGAAAAGCTGAACCAAAATGCAGTCAGTGCTTCCAGTTTTTACTCAAAACTGGGGAAGAAAAGTCAAGATAACAGAAAAGGGAGAAAAGCAACAACCTTTTTGTCTCAGTTTTAACTTGACTTTGATGGTAAAAGAGACAACATACATCCTTAAGTTTGCTTGAAAATTTTGTTCCATTTGATATTTGTTTTATCTGTTATGAACTACTGTATTAATATATTTTGATATGGCATTCATTTTCTTGAAAGCTATATTTTTCATTCATTGCATCCTCTCCATTTAAAAAAACTTTTGATTGTCTCAGTTATTTTAATGAGGACTTGTTTTTATATATTAATAAACCATCTTTTGTTTTAATTTCCATGAACAATTTTTAAAACTAGAGAGTTAATAAATTATAAATTATAGTTCCTCACATTTACAGCACCTATGTAACAAATTTAAAATCACTGCTCTATAATCATAGCTTTACCTCAAGGTCCTGAGTGAAGATAGCTCGAAAATGGCAGAAGGTCAAGTATTACTTCTATGACAAATTCCAGATTAGGCATTTCAAAGCCATCCTTTTCTCAGGAATGGAATCTGACCCACCCAACAAAAGCCGTAAACATCTAAATTCTTAGCCAGATTATGTGATTCTGTCTCCATAGACTTATGAGCCTCATTAAGTCACACAGATGATCTTATACTGCTTGCACAATTATAAGCCCTGTAAAAAGACTCCAGGGTTGATTTTATATGTATATATTAATGGTAGGAGAAAGGTGTCATAGTTTCTTGATTTTTATAACAGATTTTATAACTGTTATAAAAATCGAAACATGCTTACAAACGAAAGCATGTAAACATGATTTTCCCATCATTTCTCATCTCCAAATCTGCTATAATTTTTTAATTATATGTTTTCTCCAAGTTATTTTAATTATTTTCTCCAAAAAATCTCAATTAAGTGTGAAGCAGTATTCATGGGAAGTGATCTTGCCCAGTAAATTTTACATTGAAGGCAACTACTCGGTAGCAACATCTTTGTGAGGTCAAGGATAAAAATATCAACTGGGGTGAAGTAGGATGGAGTGAGCTGATCTTTCAGGTCCCTTCTGGCTCTAAAATTCTATACTGTTTCAAATGCAGGACCCAGAAAGGCTAAGCTGTGCCATGCATATCCTACCCAAACCCAAGGAATTAGGCCGGGGATTTGTATTTTATTTTTCCAGTGAGCAACTATGTGATTGCCCAATATAATAATCTAGTTATCATCGAATATGGAACTGAAACTCAAGGTTATTTTTTCTAGTTTATAACTCTCCCAAGTAGGTATTAATACCAAATGCTCAATCCTGGCCTTGAAACTCCTTAATCACAATATTTTGATGGAACTTCACTCTTAAGTCTCAACTCTATTAGACAAACCTTATAATACTGGCTTTTTTTTTTTTCCTGCCTCTAATCCCAAATGTTGAAATTGGCTAATCACCATGCTCAGAATATCATTCTGGATCTTTCATGCATACCTAATTGCTTTGATCATAAGGTAGCAAGAATTTGGTTTTACTGAAACTTTCATACAAATTAAAAGCTGGTCTCAGAGAGTACTTATATAACTAAAAGAATATAATTAATTCTATATGCACATATATAGTACATCCAGAAACTGGGCTTCAGAGTTTTATGCGAGTGAGTCGTATTTATTTGCTTGTTTCTATATCAATACCTTTGTACTTGGTTGGCATTTTTTTGCCTAAATGAGACATAAATTTATTGAGGGCAATAAATAGGCTTCCAAACTCTTTACAAGCTTTTAAGAAACTCTTATTATGCATATTTCATGAAGTGGTCAGGCCCAGAAAACAGAATTTTGAAAAAAAAATTTTCAGTTTCTGAAATCTCAGGCCCTTAGAAAGAACAGCATATATTCTTTATTTTATTTTAAGTTCTGGGATACATGTGCTGAACGTGAAGGTTTACTACATAGGTATACATGTGCCATGGTGGTTTGCTGCACCTATCAACCTGTCATCTAGGTTTTAGGCCCCGCATGCATTAGGTATTTGTCCTAAATATTCTTTAGGAAAAAGATATTTAGAGGCTAAAATCTTGTCTTGTATTTGTGACACTATGAAGTAGTAAAGTTTTTTGGCAACGAAACATGCAAACCTTTGGATTTCGCTACAGAAACTTTTTTAAACCACTGACAAAAACATAAGACTTACATCTACTAAAATTTAAAAGGAAAAAAGGAAAAAACACTATATACAACTTCTATAATCATTCTTGGTGTTCAATACCTTCTCTCACTCTCAGGAACATACCTTTTTCCATTCTGGGTCAGCGTTTTCTACAAGCAGAGGAAGTGTATCTTGAAATGCTTTCTGTATGCAGCCCTTTAGTTTTTCAAAATATTGCACAGACATCCATTTTGAAGAACAAGTCGACATGATTTCCAAAAGCTGCTTGTCCTCAGAATCACTGATGTGCTCCTTTTGGGTATCACTTAAAAGAACCCCAAGTACAGTCAGGATGTCTTCCTCATACTGATAGATTTCCAGTTGGATCCGCTTGGCTTCCTGCATAGTCCATTCTCTACGACTCTGGTCTAGACAAGTTTGTAATTCTGTCTCCTTCTGAAGAAGTAGTTCAGTTTTTTGTTTCATAAAGTCTTCTTTAGCTGCCGCAAGCACCTCATTAATTTTATTTCGGTGATCATCTAAAAATTGCCGGTAATCTTGCTCATTTTGTTCTTGGATTCTGTGGATTTCTTCTTGCTTTTCTTTGTTCCATTCACTCCGAGCCTTAGCTAACTCAGCCCTGATGACCACAGGGACTTCTTCGTTCTTTAACTCAAGTTCCTTCTGAAGAGAATGAATCTTCTCTTCCAATTCCTTTCCAGGAAGTATATTTTTCCTCATATTTTCAAGCTCACTCTTCCATTTCTCTTTAGCTTCAGAAACAGCAAATGATATCTAAAGAACATAACAACATGCATTTTGAAAGTCTTTATGATTCTCCTCCTTCGCAAAAAAATTAAGGTAACTATTTTGGTTAACCTCTGAAGCTAGGAAATGTAAAATCAAAATTAAAAGGAAACATGATTTTAGATAAGACATTATTCTAAAAACTATACTTACACTAAAATTGGTCAAAATATATACATAAATATGTTTATATGTATGTATAGACACATAAACACTCACACATATAATTATATAATTAGCCAAAACTAATGTGAGAAAAAATTTCATATTACTTTTCTTAATACAGATACAATCTCAAATTTTATCTGTGCCCCCAACAAATTAAGTATCTTTTACCTAAAGCAAAAGCGGACTCATAAGGATTTTTTACTATTACTTAGGAATATAGCACACACCTGCATAATTACTTGCTGATAAGTGTAACTGTATTTTAATGCACTTTTAGTGGCTAGAACAGTTCATTAAAGGACAATACCAAACAGAAAAAGTCATTTTTCATTAGTCTAATTTGTTTGTATGACAGAATAATAGAACTAGTGGATCACAGAAAAAAACAGGTAGTACATAACTAAAAAGTAATAGCGAAATCAAAAAACCTAAGCTCCAATCCTGACACCAATTTGCAGAGGAAGCCTAGCACAGATGCTTAACAGAACAGAATCTGGAGACAAACTGCTGGAATTAACTTACCAGCTGAAGAACTAAAGGCCCATTCCTCAACTTCTTTGAGCCTCAATTTCCTCATCTATAAAATGGGGATAATTACAATGCCAATTTGATAGCATCCTTTAGGATTAAATGACATAAGGACATAATCCATTTAAAGTACTTAGCCCAGAGCCTGGCAGATGATAAGGACTCAATAAATCTTATGTAGTTATTACTTTTGGATGCATGGCCTTGCAAAAGTCACTTAATCTCTTTGGCACTAACATCTTCACCTATATAAAGGAGTAGAGTAGATAATGGCCTTGAGTCCCTTTCACTTTTAATATTCCTGACTGAATTCCTAACTGAATTCAAAGAAGGCACAAGGACGCACTAGTGTCAAAAGACAGAACTGGGCATCTCCAAAGGCTTGGCCTAGACAATGGTGGTTACCATTGATCAATACTATATATATGGCTGGGATGATGGGATAGAGTACCTACTAAATAAATTTTCTGCTAAAGGAACCCACTATCTAAGGTGAGCTTTACAAAAGAATTCACTGCAAAATTCCTTTGCTACCAGCAGAATAATTCAGTAGTGATTTGAAACATGTTTAAATAGTGTTTTTAGAGAAAACAGGTCATGTTGCAATGGATGCCTGGAAGTCATTCCCAGGTGACTCGGATAGAGGTGATGGATTCCACAGAATTTTTATAACCTGCCCAACCTTACCAAAATGTGCATTTTCTCATGTGAAGTTTTACAAAGAGAATTTGACAGCATTCATCAACTCAGTGCTTCCCAAACTTTGCTGCACATTAGAATCACCTGAGCAGCTTTTAAAAATCCTGATGCCCAGGCCAGGGCCCATACAAAACAAAGTTTAAGGGTAGGGGCCAGGCAACAGTATTTTTTAAAGATCCTCAAGTTATTCCAATGTGCAGCAAAGTTTGAGAACCACTGAACCAACTTAACTACTTCTGAATTCTAGAAACTGTCTTCACACTGTCACAGATCTCAACTAATCACTCTAATCTTAAAATAACTCTATAGCCAATGCTATGGAACCGGCCCTTTCTGGACCTCTTTTGGTTTGGAGGAAGGATGCACAACATGTTGACATTATTTTTTGTGGCTGATATAATTATCTGGAATAGTGCTACTTACATCCAAGTGTAGTCCAAAGACCAGCTGGGAGCCTGTTAGAAATGCAAATTCCAGCCAGGTGCGGTGACTCCCACCTGTAATCCCAGCACTTTGGGAGGCCGAGGTGGGCAAGATCATCTGAGATCAGGAGTTCAAGACCAGCCTGGCCAATATGGTGAAACCTCATCTCTACTAAAAATACAAAAATTAGCCAGGCGAGGTAGCGGGCACCTATAATCCCAGCTACTTGGGAGGCAGAGGCAGGAGAATCGCTTGAACCCAGGAGGTAGAGGTTGCAGTGAGCTGAGATTGTGCCACTGCACTCCAGCCTGGGAAACACAGCAAGACTCCATCTCAAAAAAAAAAAAAAAAAAAGGCAAATTCCCAGGACACCCTCCAGACCTACTATATCATTATCTCTAGGAGGAAAGCCCAGATAGCTATGCTTTAACAAACCCTGCAAGTGATTCTCAGGCCTGCTGAAGTTTGAGAAGCAACAAAAACACTTTTCTCTCATTTCTATATGTCTGCTTTCACAAACATACAGCCTTCTATGTTCTTATGAAAAGATCTCTTGGCCTGTTTTATTTTCTACATTGTACTCAACTTTACTATTCTACTTGACTTCTGAGCTCTGAGACACATATCCTCACAATCATATTGTTTCTTCTCTCTCTCCCTCTTAAATTTCCTTTTAAAATATTTCAGACATACTAAAAAATATAGATTATAATTTATCATGTGTTATCCATTTTTCTTATTTTTATTATTCCCTTTACTTTTTACTACAAAAACAAAACATATTTCAACCTATTACTTTATCTTTGCTATTGGATATGTTGCCTCAAAACTGAGTTGTTATTATGGTACAGATCTGAAATCTTCAATTTTCTTTTAATTTTTCTACACTTTTATTTAAAAATGTTTAACTCCTTCATTAACCTAGAATTTATTGTGATACACGTTGGGTAAACTTAATTTTTCCAAAGTGTTACCTGGCTATCATAAGACTATTATGAAATAATTCCTCATTCCCTTGTTTTAAAACAATTTATTAAGCTTTTATTTATAGTAGGGCCTACCTCTGAAACCTGTATTGCACTGAATTAAAATGAATTCTATTTTTGTGACTCAATACAGTCTGAGTTGTTGCTTTCCAATATATTCCATTATGTGTTAGGGCTTGACTATAATTTTTCCAGAACATTAAAAAACATCTAGTCCTTTTATTTTTCCAAAAACATTTTATAGAATTATTTTGTCAACTTCAAATACATTCAGTTTGTTGGCATTTTGATTAGAATTGGTTTAAACCAGTAATTAAGTTGGAAGAGTACACATGGTTATAATATCTGTATTTTCCAGTCAAGAAACATGACATTTCTGGAAAGGAGAACTGGCTATTTACCAAGAAGAATGTTACAAGACTACTAACACAACAGAGAAAACAATCTTTAAGCATGTGAAAGGATACTGTATAGCTAATAATAAACAAATATATACCTGTTCTCAATTTCATCTAAAGATAGGGCAAGATAGAATGGGAGTTATTAAATAGTTTCTAAGTTATCCTCATAGGAAAATACATTCTTTCTCTAAGAACAACTTGATGATGACAAGAACACTTGCTAGGCTTTGAGCTATTGCTTAACATGTATCAACATGTTTATCCTTCAACAATTCTATGAGTAGGTACAAATTCCAAGGACTGAGATAAGAGAAGGGGTCAGGTAAGACAGCCTCCTGAAGTGTCTTTGCAGAAGAGCTCTTACCCTTTTGTTCACAGAGACCTCATGCTGTTCTTCCCACTTTTTCTGTTCTGCCTTCACAAGTGCTTGATACTCTGCCAGCTCTGGTAGTTCTCCCAGCCATCGCTGATGAGCATTTTGCACAGCTATTTCTACCTGTAGGACATTGCAAAAGAAAGAGGTAAAGGGAAGTATAAAACTTAAAAAAGATCCCATTTTTAAACAGCAATTATGATTTCAGTATTTTATACTGTATATCACTACATAATAAAGTCAAACTGACTGCAAGTACCCTACCTATCCCAAACAGTGGATTCTAATCCTTTTGTTGTAAACTTCCCATAGCATCCCATACAAATGCAACAGAGGAAGTGGGAATCTGTGAATGTTTGATGACCAGTACTATCTTAGAAAGTGTCATACGAGGTACCAATTACCATTTCTAACAACTCCTATTTATCCTGGGAAAGAGAAGGCCTCCTGGAGGACTGCTTGGTGCCAACTGCTGTCTAATCACTACACCCACCACCTTCCTGACTCCTCATGCTCTACACATGTGCATGAACACATACACTGATCTAGTTTAGAGCCCTACACCTGCGAACTTTCCTACTGTCGAGAATGAGTTTATACTAAAGAATGAGGGTGATACCTCTGAAGGGAAAAAATTAAGACTTGATTAATTATGAGGGTCATCTGGTTGTAAATCTGCCACTAGTTACCAGAAGATTATGTTAAATAATTTTACCTTATTCCTTTATTTTAAAATACACACAGATATGCAGATATATGTATATATACGTACATACAACACAAAAGCAGGGTTGATATAAGAGGCTGTATTTCTCGTTAAAGTGCTAAATATGTCAATGTGTAAACTCTGTCTACGTACAAACTCCAAGGAGTTAAGAAATGGGGAAAAGATAAAGCTCCTGTAGAAATTTATCTACTTAAAAAGTTATTATGAAATATTTCCTTTCTGCTGTATTATGCTATTTAAGATTAATAATTTCATAAATACCAAAGCAGCACCTTTAAACTCAACTTTTTGTCTGTGGAACGTTTTCTTAACTCTTTTGAAACCCCCTTCAGTAAACATTTCGGTAAACTAACTGAAGATATCCTTGGCACCATTACATATATTTGCCTGTATTTCCAGACTTTAAAGGTGCCCTGTAAAATCACGTAGAACAATGTAACAAATAAGCAGAATTTCAAGTATTTATCAAAAGTAGAGTGTATTTTCAAAAACTTTACATTGAGTGCTATCTTGTTTAAGAGTTTATAATAAGTAATAAAATTAAAATAACTACATAACGGATGTATCAAAGTCCAAGGAACTCTTGAGGCTAGAAACCCTGTCAGGTAGTCTGTGAGGTCAAAACTTTTTCCAAAATAATATTAAGACACTATCTGTTTTATTGCTGTTCTCTCATGCATAAACAGCACAGTTCTCCAAAAGCTGCATGCTGTGATCATGTCATTGTTCTGACAGTCAGTGGAATGTGTGCTTGGGTATTTTTGTTTTTTAAAAATTTCTCAGATTTTCCAATAGTGTAAATATAAACCACACAAACAGAAGCTCTTTAGAGTCCCCAATTTTTAAAATTGTAAAGGAGTCCTGGGACCAAAATTTTGAGAATCACTGTAATAGGTAAGAAAGATATAACAGATAACTCATCTTTATTCTGTCACAATAGGCTGTACTTTTCTCAGTATGACATTTCTTTCAAATCAAGTAACTGTGTCAGTTAAAAGCTAGTTTTGTGAGTGCCTCAAAGGAAAGGTATTGGCACCACTTTTGGAAAGCTGATGGGAATGATAGATAAAGTTCCATTTAAGGGCACGCCTGCAGATCCAACCACATCAAGTCTCCACACAATGTTGTTAAATACCTTATGTGCTTAGGTTTACTTATCTATAACCACCTTAGTGGAATATTTTCTAAAAAATTAGATATGAAAGATTAATAATTAAACTGTGATTCATTCAGATGTAAAAAGCACCCTCTTTAACCTTGGGCATCTTAATGCTTAGACTAATCTCAAAGGAGCAAATATTTTGTAAACCGAAAGAATATACAGAAAAACCGAGGGGTGGCAGCTTTATGACAGAAATATTATGAAGAAAAATTTAGGAACATGACAGGTTTTCTATCCTAGAAATGCACAAAATCTTAAAAGTATAAAGTTATGAACGAGTTCAATGATAGCATTGTATGGGTTTTCATTAAGAGACAGGCAGTTCCAATAAATTTACTAGAATAAATCTGCCTTTTACCTGTTTGGTAATATTTTCACAATGTTTGAGTTCCAATTCAATTTCGAGTTTCTTCATAGCCCCCTTGATGGCTATGTCCTTCTCTTGTTCTAAGTTTTGCTGGATTGTGCACTTCTGCTCTTCTATCATAATTGCCATCTCTTTCTTGGAAATAACATCACTGGTGGTTACTTGGTCAGTTTGGCTGCCACAATCTAAGGTCTTCTTTTTCATTGCCTTTATAGTTTGATCCAGCTTAGACTGCCACTCCTTTTCAAGCTGTTGAATGAGTTTTTCTTTGATCTGTTTTCAGAAGAAAAATCATACGAGAAGAACAATTTTCAAATAAGTAAAAACTAGAATTAAAAGCTAGCCAGAAAAGCAACCACAGCTGTGTTTGAAAACCATCTAGATATTGTTGTAGTAATTATAAAAGGTTTAGAAATTTAGTCAATTAAAATACACTCTCAAGTAAAACTTGAAAGTTACTCTTTGAACTTAACTATATGACAAAAATCACATGAAAGATTTAAGTATGTTGTGTAAAGTCAGGATATCTTGCTCTTAATATCCAACCTTCTGGAATCTTTCCTATTGCCACTACAAAGATGGCAGGATTTAAAAAAAAAAAAATTACAGTTAATGTGTTTTGCCATCAACACCATGCTCTCCACAAAGGACCGAGTAAATCTAATTAACGAACCAAAACCTGAACAATCTAAAAAATAGTTTTACTCACTTGAACACATTAGAATCTTATTTGTTATAGTGTTAAATTTTACTAAGTAGACTACATTCAAAAGGGAGGCAGTATTATTGGAAGAACATCTTAATGATTTTTCCACTTTAACAGTACAGTGAGGTGGAGCTAAACACAGTCTTAGGCAAAACTATGAAACTGCACAATTTGGTTTTCCCTTTTTCTGTTCACCACCTGGGTATCTGAAGTTCTCCTACTGTTTCCCTGGCTACCAGATCAATAGCAATTAATAGCCATTTTGTAGATAAAAGAATCTAGTTGAGGCCAGGTGCAGTGGCTCATGCCTGTAATCCCAGCACTTTGGGAGGCTGAGGCAGGCGGATCACCTGAGGTCAGGAGTTCAAGACCAGCCTGGCCAACATGGCGAAACCCCATCTCTACTAAAAATATAAAAATTAGCTGGGTGTGGTGGCGCTTGCCTGTAATCCCAGCTACTCAGGAGGCTGAGGCAGGAGAATCACTTGAACTCGGGAGGTGGAGGTTGCAGTGAGCCGAGATCACACCACTGCACTCCAGCCTGGAGACAGAGCGAGGCTCCGTCTCAAAAAAGGAAAAAAAAAATTTAGTTTAAATAAGCTTGAGAATTCTTTTTTGTTTTCATTTCTAAATAAGCTTTTAGGATCATACTTTGTTCCCTAACTTGCTAGGGAACTATTAGCATTTCCTAATCTCATTTGCTATTTAAGTAATAGAGGTAACAAATTATGGGCTTCTGAGACTGCCCATTACTTCTTTGTTTCTAATCCATGATATGGCTTATTTGTTAGTTATAAATATTAGTCTAGAGTTATAATCATTCCACAATATGAAATCAGATCATGGTTTCATTTTGAGGAATCAAAGAAGTGCCCAAAAAACTTGTTATATCCTGAGTTGGGTCGAAAAGTCAAGAGGTGGCTAAATTCCTAAAAATAAAACTGGTGTGGTAACTGCTAATAGCTCAATTCCAAAAGGTAAAATGGATGATTATGTAAGTGCCTGGCAAATAAAAATTACGTATCTGGTTCAAGAAGAATTGTCTTCTAAAGTTAGTACCACATTTTAAAAATGTGGTGACCAGAAAGAAATTTTAATCCACACCTCTTGCTCTTCCTTATCCCAATGTGCTTTGGCTAAGATCACTTCACTTTCAACTTGCTGTTTAATATCAGTTTCTTGATCTTTCAGCCACTTGCTCTTTTCCATCATAAGTGTATCTTGGTACTTTTTTTCAAGTTCCACCTGCAGTTTGCTTACATATTCTTCTCTTTCCTCCAATAGCTGTCTCTTTAAACAAAATTCAAATAAACATCTCTCTACAACACTAACAGTCTCCAAGTTAAAACATGAACTTGTTGTGCGTGTCTTGGATAGCAAAAAAAATCCCTCTAACTTCTAAAATGCACCTACCTAACTCATATTACAATTGTATAAATAAGCCTTAATGTGCATAGAAATGGCATCAGGAATGGGAATGTTGACCATCTTTGCCTTGTCTGCAAATTCATAGGCTTCACTGATTACTACCCAACCTGAAGGATTCCGTGTATATGATTTTTTCCCCCTTTCTCTCAATGAGCCAGGTTAACATGTGAGGAAAGTTCTGTGTGCTACTAAAAGCTTTAAAACTTGGAATTGAGCTCCTATTTAACCTGCAACCTGACTCAGCAAGTGTTTCAGAAAACAATGCATGAAACATAAAAAAACACCCTTTAACTCTTATTGTTACCTGACTCATATATTCTGTATCCAGGTTAAATTCCCTACCTAAAGCTAAGCTGCAGTAAAATGGCTTATGTCCTGCATGGAAGAGCTACCCCAGAAGTGCCCTCACTTGTTCTAGAGTTTAGTAACATTCTCCCATGTATGTGAAACATTTCCTTTAAAAAAAAAAAAAAGGTGTATTTTTGCCTACCTCTGAAAAATGTGAGAAGATTAGACAGTCTCCTAAATATAAAGATGTTTCAGTTCTGACTGGCTTATACTACTAAGGGCTTATATAATTCTATAGTAAAAAACTAATGAATTCCCAGAGAGGGAAGAAATTAAACTTCTAATGCTTTAAGTACACTGGCCCTTTAAGTGAGGGGTGGGTTTGGAGGAGGAGTGTAACCACAAAAAGATAGCAAAAGGGAGCGTTTTAGGGTGATAAAACTGTTCTGTATCCTGACAAAACTATAAACGTGTTAAAGGTTTATAGAACTATACGCCCAGTGGTGGGAGGAAGTCAATTTTACTGTATAACAATTAAAATTTTTTTTTAATTATACTTTAAGTTTTGGGATACACGTGAAAAATTTAACCTCTAAGTTTGGTTTTTTTTTGAAGGATCAAATAGCAGTTTAACTTTTCTTCTTGGACTTGTGTACAAACACTCATGAGCCAAAATATCAGTCAATAGCAGATACTAATTGTAACTGACCCATTATATGAGATCATATTTTATAGTCAAATTGATTCTATTAAAAGTATCAGAAAATATTCCTGGAATGACCTCTTTGAGAAAATTCCTCTTATGTTCTTGCCAATTTTTTTTTTTTTTTTTTTTTTTTTTTTTTTTTGAGAGACGGAGTTTCGCTCTGTCGCCCAGGCTGGAGTGCAGTGGCGCAATCTCGACTCACTGCAAGCTCCGCCTCCCGGGTTCACGCCATTCTCCTGCCTCAGCCTCCCGTGTAGCTGGGACTACAGGCGCGCACAACCATGCCCGGCTAATTTTTGTATTTTTAGTAGAGACGGGGTTTCACCGTGTTAGCCAGGATGGTCTCGATCTCCTGACCTCGTGATCCGCCCGTCTCGGCCTCCCAAAGTGCTGGGATTACAGGCGTGAGCCACTGTGCCCGGCCGCCAATTTTTATACATATAAAAGAATCACACTAGTGATTTCCCTATTTTAATTTTTAAAACATTACTGAAAGCTAAGTCCTCAATTTCAAGGTAATATAAGATCCTTTCTCACTTTTATACTGCCATCCCTACCTAAAACAGCTCCCTTTAGAAGTTCTTTTTCCACTAGATGATATGTATACATGGCACATTTTTCACCATATTAATCTATTCAACAATAATCAAGATATTGAATGAACTGAATTCCTCGCCTGCTCTTTACTATTCTTTTTAAGTGTGTGGTAGTAATAGCTTGCTTTAACATAACTTATTCAAAAACCTCTGTATAGAACATTTATTTAAGCATTTAAAAATATTTTCTAATCTTGAGGCAGATAGCTTTCAAACTGTGGTTTGCCGCTGGTCCAAAGTGTGAAGGACAGTCAGGCCTGTTAAGGCACTGGGCCAGGACAGGGAAGAAAAGAGGAGGTGTGACTGTTTACATGTGATTTTACTCCTGGACACTCACCAAGAGTGACTCAGAAGAATCAGGCAGAGTTGGAGAATCTACTCTAGCCCCTCCAGCTTCCCTGAAGGAGGTCATACGAAGATGCTGACCTTGCTGTCCATATCCTCCATATCATCACTTTCCCTATCACGAGACCAACATTCAAATTCCTACTCTTCTCCCCAGAAGAATAAAATGACAATGAGGTAGTGAGAAAGAAATGGATCCGAGAAAAAGGGCTCTGAACGAATGCTCCGTGCAGCGCTCACAGGACTACATAGGGTTTCCTGAACAGTCAACACCGAAAATGAGGATCTGTGATTTTCAGATTTAAAGTGACACTGATCCTTTTTTTTTTTTTGCCCTTTAGAATAAATCTGCAAGAAAAAAAAAATCACTTTCTCCTATCTATATGCCATTGTACATTAAGGTTTTAATAATCATTTCAGTAATTACTGTATTTTATTTGTGAGCTATATGAGTGTGATACAGCCAAAAGTAAAGAGAACATATGAATACCTTCTCCATTCACTTCTCTAGAACAAATGTATTCGTTTAAATGATAATACTGAGGCTTGAAGAGTGAAAGGATGTCGATACAACATAAACTTGTACTGTACCTTCTCCTGAGTCTGTTGCTCCTTTTCAGTGGTCTTCCTGAGAGTCAATTCTAGATTATCCTTCTCTCTGCACACTTCTAGGTAACATTCCTGCACAGCAGTCACCTCCTTATTCAACTTATCCAACTCAGACCTTGGATACACAAAACCAGCAACTAAATGATTTAACCACAAAAAAATACAAGAGCTGCATAACAAACAATTTTCCTCTAAATTATGGAATAGGGGAATGTAGTCTCTACAGCTTAAAAGGCAGCTAAACTCTTTATTCTCACCTCAGTTGCAAATGAGTTCTCTCATAAGCCTCAAAGAGCTGCTGCTTCTCCAAAGCATGCTTTGCTAATAGGCTTTCACGTATTTGAGTTTTCATGGCTTCATGGTGCTGCTGATAAGTCCTTTCACACCTGGAAACAGAGCGGAATCAAAGGCAATGCCCAGTCTCACTACGAACACCAAAATGAATTGGTTTCCTTCCTTCCTCCTCACCTCTTCCCTCTAATGCAAATTATAATTGAGGTCAGATAACTTTTCCCCAACTGAAAGTGGTAATAATTAATTAATAACCAACAATCTTATGAGAATCTTCAAAATTTTCTTTCTTCAAATGTTTCTAGAGAACAATTAGAAACTTGGATGTGAGACTGCCCCAGTCCTTCAAATAGAGATAGTAATCTATGTTGAGGACTTCTGTTTATAAAAAATTAATGGCAATAATTGAGGGTGTGGCTCCAAAATTTCAAGTCATCTATATTAAACACAAATACTAGCAGTCCCCAACTCACAAGTAAGTTATGTTCCAGAAGTCTGTTTCCAAGTTTATGATTTGGTATTTGGAAGACATATTCCCTCTCACAGACTTTTTTCTTTATAAAGAATAGTTTCCCAGACGAGTCTTTAAAAAAATATTAACCTATAATATTTCAGTGAACTACAGTTTCAATGATACTATAGAACCCAACCCACTACATAACACTGTTTCTATGGAAAATGTGTTCCAAATTCTAATTTGAGAAGCCAGGGACTCATCTCTGCCAATCCAAGATCTCAACAGGGTAGAAATCACTCAATCATTTTGAATCTTTTTGTCACAGGGAAGGGCAGGGACTTAGAGGGGAAGGGTACCCAGGAGACAGTCGTCAGGCATCTATATAGACCTTACCTATCCACAGCTTCTTGTTTGTCATGGTCAAAATCTTGTACCATTTGTCTCATTTGATTACATAAGTCTTGATTTGTATTTCTCAGTTTTCCTTCAGTTTCTTTAAGTTCCTAGACACAAAAGAATAAACTTAGTACTTACAGAAAATAAACATCATTTTCACTGATTGATTTTGTCTTATTTTTTAATATTTTCTATGCTTTCTCTCTCCCCTATAACAATATTTGACATATTATTTTTACAATTCTGCAAAAGAAAAAGTCTCTTCACGCTTTGATAAGAACATAGATTCATTTATTTGACAAGTAGTTTTCTGACAGGACTAAACGTTTAAATTTTGTATTTACTTTGAAATATATAAAATGAAAATATTTAACCAGAGAAGTATTGGCTAGCTGATGCCTTAAAATAAGTCTCAGAATTCAATAATCTTCAGCAACCATCTAAATAAGCAAAGTTTTACTTCTGGGTCAAGAGCTGGCTAAGGAGGAAAGAATACCTCTGTCAGCCATGCTACCATAGAGAAAGAGAACTGGAACTACACTAACTTACCTTCCAATGAAACTACTAACCAACAGTTCACTAGCAAAGGGAAGTAACTGGAACTCATAATCACCTGCTAATATACTTGTCTACTAACTCACATTGCCTCTTTATTTGCAAAAACTCTATTATATCCTTTGTATTTAATGAGGAAATAAAAATTCTCATAAAATATAAAAAATATTTTTAATCACCTGATTTTGTTGTTGTAAAACTTGAATTTCATTTTTAAGCAGCAGAATATCATCTCTGACAACATCAGAAGTAGAAGACTCAGGCCATAATTGATTCTTTGGTTTTTCTGAGGTATCTGTTTTAGTCTGAATATTAAAAGGTCAAAAGTTTTACAAGTTTTAAAAAATTCTAAGTTTCACTTTGAAATACTTCCATACTTTAAAAAAATTGCAAACAGTACAAATAATCTCCATATAGCTTTTACTCATCTTCCCCCAATATAACTACAGCACAATCATCAAAACTAGTAAATTAACACAGATGCAATACTATCAAGTAATCTACAGACCTTATACAAATGTCTCCAATTTGCCCCAAATGTCTGTTTTCTGGTCCAAGATCAAATCCATGATTCTGAGTGGCATTTAGTTGTCATGTTTCATTAGTCTCCTCCAATCTAGGACAGCTCTTCAGTCTTTCAAACCCATGATGTTTTCTAAGAATACTAACCCGTTATTTTGTGGGATGTTCCTCAATTTGGAGTTTTTAGGTTTATTAAAATCAGGTTATGCATCTTTGGCATGCATGTCAAGAACTGATATGTGCTCTTTGCAGGAGACACATGATATCACTATGTCTCACCACTGGTAATAATCAATTGAAGGTGGGATCTGTCATCTCCATTGTAAACTTACTATTTTTTGTTTTATAATAAATGATAAGTATCTTATAGGATACTTTGAGACAATACAAATATCCTATTTCTCATCATATGTTCTCCTACTAAGATCAAGCATTTATTCTATTTCTGTATGTATTCATTTATGTCAGCATTCACTCACGGACATATATTTTATTCAATACATACAATTTTTAAGACTCATGATAGACTTTGGCGAATTGCCTTCCAGAAATGTCATCCAAATGTATACTGTCAGGTAGTACATGGGTCTGCCCATCTCTCTTTGCCTCCAATGGCAGTGATTATCTTTAAATAATTATCTTTGATGGGAAAAGAATATCTAACAATTGCTTTCATTTGTATTTCTTGTGTCACCACCAAAGTGGAACCTCTTATATACCTTCATTGTTCATTTGTTTTTCCACCTTCCCAGATTTATCTGTTCATTTAACTTTGCATATTTTCCTCTGAGAGTTTTCCTTATCTACTTTTCTTTTTATTCATTGATGGGGGTTACAAAGATTTTAAAAATATATCTACTCCGTTTCACTTGTTGTGTACCTGGACTCTGAGCTCTTTGCCACAACACAGTGGCTCATCCTTGTAATCCGAGCACTTTGGGAGGTGGAGGTGGGCAGATCACTTGAGTCCACAGCTGAAGTAACTTTGAGAAAAATTGGAGTTTAGATGTACACTACCGAGAATTCACTATGGCAATAGAGTAGCTGGACAAAAAGAATACTCAAAGATGAGATAGTTATTCCTTTGATCTATTGATCAACCAGACTACAGAGGAAAATGGGAAGGCTAAAAAACAGTACAATGCATGACCACTATCTACTGCTACACATGATAAAGTGTATCTGTATAGCAAATGCCATTAGCAAGTTTAATACAGAACAAAGAAAGCACCAAGATATCTGAGCTAAGGTTCAGACTCAAAATCAGGTTTCTAGTATCCTAAATCCTAGAGCACTCCCACCAAAATGCTTAAACTAATAAACTCTAATGTCTTAATGCAAATTGAGAAACAAGCTTTCATTCCCATCCTTTTAAAGAAATGTAGGGCAACAATGAAAACAGCTTGATTTAAAGATGTTAAATGTGCAGGGGGCAGGGCGGGGAGGAGTCTCTCTCATTTGCTGTTAATATTAAAATCTATGTTTTAGTCATCAAATGTAGTTACTCAGAAGAGGGAATCAGGCTGGAAAAGATTTTGATAGCAAAAACACTGTTTTTCCAAAATATAAAAATTAACCACAATCAAAATTCCACAATAATTAGCACAGAATATTATACATACTTTAGCAGAACTGTTCTAATGAACACAACTCCTAGTTTAAATAGGAGATAAAACAGTACTAAAGAAGGAAGTAAACAATTATCTCCACCCAGGAGGAAAAGGAGTATACTACCCACATTCCTTTTCCCTCTTCTTTTGCTTTTCTTAGTTATTAGGTGTTTTATATATTATTTTCTATTGGGAGTATAGATGGCTGATGATTTGTGAAATATGGAAGGGTAAAAAAAAGGATCTATAAAGGAGAGCAGCCCTAAAGATCTCTGTGATAGCATGATCTTACAGAAATATCTTTGACTTACTTATTAGTCATGTGTTTAGTTTCAATTTGTCTGAAATTGGCTCTGTAAATTCAAAAGTGTCACAAAGTGCTCCAGCTTCATTTTCCGAACTGAAGAATACAGAGGTGGATTTCAATGACTGACAAAACCAGATTTTGTGTACTTTCCCATAGTACCACGACCACTATATAATATCTGTACCATCATCACTATATAATTAATGTCCTCATATAGAATGACTTTTGTTGTAAGAACATGGGCCAGGAAAATCTCATAGAAAATACTACAGGATTTCTATGGAGGATTTATTTTAACTAGATTTTAGAGCACTATTGGTAAAAGCCAATCTTAAAGAAATGCAGATTCCTTGTTACAGAGAATACTTCCTTGTATTTATGGTAAAGGAATTTTACCTAATTGGTATCTCATTTACTAGGTGCCAAGAGTAACCAGAAAAAACATACAGATGCTTTTCAACTTACAATGGGTTTATCACCTAATAAAATCATTATAAGTTGAAAATATCATTAAGTCAAAAATGCATTTAATGCATCTAACCTATTAAAACCATAGCTTAGCCTGGCCTACCTTAAATGTGCTCAGAACACTTATAATAGCCAACAGTTATGCAAAGTCATCTAATGCAAAGCTTCATTTATAATAAACTGTTGAATATCTCATGAAATTTATTGAACACTGTACTGAAAGTAAAAAACAGAACTGTTTTACAGGTACTTGAAATATGGTTTCTACTGAATGCACATAACTTTTCCACCACTGTAAAGTCTAAAAATTGTAAGTCAAACCATCCTAAGTCAGGGACTGTCAGTATCCCTTTAAAAATGGCATTTCCTTCTTTAAACTTTATTTCTAAAAATGTCAAATAAACTCCTGAAAGCCAAAGGTTTATTAATTTAAAAACATGTAAAAGGGCTGGATGTGGTTAGTCACACCTGTAATCCAACACCTTGAGAGATTGAGGTGGGAGGATTGCTTGAGCCCAGGAGTTTGAGACCAGCCTGGGCAACATTGTGGGAACCTGTCTCTACAAAAAATTTAAAAATTAGCCAGGCATAGTGGCGTGCGCCTGTGGTCCCAGCTACTCAGGAGGCTGAGGTGGGAGCATCGCTTTAGCCTGGGAGGTTGAGGCTACAGGGAGCCATGTTTCCACCACTGCCCTCCAGCCTGGAAGACAGAGTGACGCCCTGTCTCAAAAAAAAAAAAGTGTAAAAGTTTTCTTTATTGAGCCTTTTAAAAATGGTTTTTTAACTCTATAGGCTTTACATACCTCAACCTCAATGCTTTTTTCATCCTTCTTCACTTGGTGGAGATCTTCAATTTTCTTATGACAGTCTTTGAGGTCATTTTGTAACTGAGACACCAGATGACGCTTCATTGAGTTGCTACCCAGCAAACGCTGTACTTCTGCCTTTAACTTCAGAATGAACTCATCTTTTGAAAGCTCTTCATTTGGGTCTTCTTCTTGTACAATGCTAATGGAGAAATTGTGATTTTTAACATTAAATCAAGTAATAAATCAGACATGGTTATTCCCTAAAAGCACTGACCACAGTGGTGAACATGTTTTGTCACCTATACAATTATATACTAGTATTTCAAAACAATTTTAAATGTTGTCATACACAAGGATTATCACCTTTGCCATGTCTCTATATACAGAAATACGTTTATTCACAGGAAGAGCCTTCTCAAGCTTAGTCCTGCTGCTCACTGTAAGTAGCTTAGAAATGTGAACTTTGACATAATTTACATTTGTGTTATTGGAAAACTGCATGCTGTATATACATGCCCTTTATGACTCTAACAGAAACAACATAAATATTAAGGAAGAAAAGAATACTAAACACTAGCCATCCTAACCAACAATTTCTGTTATTTTTTTCAACTTACTAAAACACAAGTCTGGGTGAATATCTGAGTAACTAGAAAAACACAAAAATAAAACCATGCTAATTTAAACCCAATTTTAGTTTCAATAAATTTAAAGATTGAGAGATTATCTGCTTCCTTGCCGTAATGAATTAACAAGACTAACCTTTATCTTCCTCCTTAAAAAACTAGCAAACCAAATAAAGCAAATAAAATAATAGTTTTCAATCACTAGACAACAGGCAGCACAGGCCAGGGATTCCTGAGAAAAGGAAAGCAAACAAGGTGAGCTCTAAGATTACCCCAGCTTTCTGCCTGGAGAGTGTCCAGGCCATAGCACAGGGAGGTGAAACCCAAACAGAGCCCAGTAATCTCACTGAGTTTCAGAGAAAGAATTCAGAATTTGGGGAGTCCAGAGTGGCTAGAATATGAAGGGAAGAAATACTGGGGAAAAAGAAGCTGCACAGAAAAAGAGCTCTGGAGATCTGTTCTGTATGAGTGGCTAGGGAAAAAAACATAGGAAATGAATAAGGCTGGGAATATGTTATGTTTCAATGAGCCATAATGCAAAGACTTCCTAATTTAAAGGGCATCAAATAATACCTTAGTAGTGGGGCAAAATTAGCCCCAGATTAAAGCCTTTTCTAAACCTGATGTAGTAAAGCCTATAAAGAAAGCCTTGAAAGGATCAAACTGATTCCAAGTAACTTGTGTGTCACAGAAAAAGTACAACAGTATTTTTAAAAATACAGTAATATCTGGCATCCAAAACAAAATTCAAAATGTCTAGCATTCAATCAAAATTTATCAGGCATAGAAAGAAGTAGGAAAAAAATATGAACCATACCAGGAGAAAAACCAATCAATAGAAACTAACCCATCAATGACACAGACAATAGAATTAATATATTTCATATGTTCTAGAAGGTTAAGGAAGATATGAATATGTGGAGGAAAATGGAAGATACAGAAAAGACTCAAATTAAACTTATAGAAAAAATTATAATATCTGAAATGTAAAATATACTGGATGGGGTTAATAGCATATTTAAAACTGCAGAAGAAAAGATCAGTGAACACATAGATATAGAAATAAAACTATATAATTAAAAACAAAGATAAAAAAGACTAAAACAGAAATACACAGAACATATTACATTTTCCAACATGTGTAACTGAACTCCCAGAAGAGGAGAGGGATGGAAAACATATTTGAAAAAATAATGGCCAAATTTTTCCTAATTTGATGAAAATGAAAACCCCACAAAACCCAGAAGTTTGGTGAATCTCAAGCAGAATAAACACAAAGAAAACCAGCATACATCACACCAATGTCAGATTGCTGAAACCCAGTGATAAAAAGAGAGTGTAGGAAGACTCCCGGAGAGAAAAGAACCAGAGAAAGGAATCCTGAATTCTGTGTATAAATTTGTACAAGCCTCAGTCTAAGCCCTGAACTATGCATGTACAGGGCAACCCTCAAACCAGCATATCAAAGATTTTAAAAACTTAACTGAAATTTAAACCACACATTCAAGTCTCACAATGACTAAACCCGAAGGGATGCATACACAGGTTGGATTCAAAGCAATGTGGCAAAGGCTTGGAGAACCAAACAGATTTAAAACACTCATACAAATTCACAATGTCTAGTATATAATCTAAAATTACTTGACATGCAACTAACCAGAAAAATGTGGCCAAATCTTAAAAGACAATCAACAAATGATCCAAATGCTGGAACTGTCACTAAAAGAGTTTTATAAGTTTAAAGTAGCTATTATATCTCTGCTTTATGAAGTAAAGAAAAAGATACTTGAAGTGAATGAAAAAAAACAGGAATTCTTAACAGAGAAAGAAAAGTGATACAAGAACAAAATAGAAATGTTATTAAGTAAACAAAAGTTAAAATAAAAACACACAAAACCTTCACTAGATAGGCTCAATAGAGTATAGAGGACAAGAAAAAAAGGAGTGAACTTGAAAATAGTCCAGTAGCAATTATGCAAAATAAAAAGGGAAAAACTATAGAAAAAAATGAACAGAGCCTCAAGAAACTGTAGTATAATATCAAAAAATCTAACATACATGTAACTGGAGACCCAAAAGGAGAGAACAAAGACACAGAGACAGAAAAGGTATTTAAGGAAATTAATGGCTGACATTTTCACAAATTTGGTAAAAGACATAATAAATTTATATATTCAAGAAGCTCAGAGAACCCAAAATGAGATAAACTAAAGAAAAACACACTTAAACATATCATAATCAAAGTACCAAAAACTAAATATAAAGAAAAAAATTCTTAAAGCAGCAAAAGAAAAACCTATACATTACTGACAGAAACACTAATTCAAATAACAATGAATTTCTTCACAGAAACCATTGAGTCCAGAGAGAGTGGACCAACATAGCTTTAATGTGCTGAAATAGAAGAACAATTGGTCAGGAATTGTATAATAAACAAATATAAGGATATTTTCATAAAAGGAAACAGACTCTGTCAGCAGCAGACATGCTTGAGAAGAAATGGTAAAGAAAATTCACAGAAGATCATATTATACGATTCTATTTATATGAAATGCACAGAGCTGTCAAATCCATAGAGACAGGAAGTAGATTAGTAGATTAGTTGTCTGGAGCTGTGGAGGCAGGAAGAGGTAATGGGAATGACTGGTAATAGGCATGGAGTTTCTTTGGGGGGATGTTGAAATGCTGTAAAATTAGGTGTGGTGATGACTGCACAGTTCTGTGAATATACGGAAAACCACTGAGCTGTATTCTTTAAGTGGGTGTCTTTTATGGTATGTGAAATAATATCTCAATAAAACAGTAAAAAAAAAAAGAAAAGAAAACCCAAACACCTAACGTATGAGTTTCCTTCATATGAAGGCAAATCTAATAATCTGTAGTGCTTAGGTGTGAATAACTGGGTATTAAAAAGCTAAGGGAAAAAAAAAACAGAAAATGATTGCCCTAATAGATAAGATAGTAGTTAGCCTCAAGGTTACAATAAGAAAGAATATGGGCAGCTCGTGGCAATATTTACTTCTTGACCTGGGTGGTGGTCCTACGAATATTCACTTTCAAATAATTCATTAAGCTATATATTTATGTTCCATGTTTTTTATATGGTATATTTCATAATTTGAAAGATTTAAAAAGCAAAATAAAACTATAGAAAGTACTAGAGAAATACCTTATTTTTAAATATCAAGAAACCATAAATGAAAACAGTGACAGATCTAACTATATAAAAATTATAAACAGGAAAAGTGATAACTCTCAATACTGGCTAGGTTACCAAGAAATAGGGACAGCCTCAGGACGTGGGTAATAATGTAAACTTTAGGGCTGTTTAGTAATATGCATCAAAGCCCTCAAATAAGTGCACACCCTCTAGCAAGACAATTATTCTACTTCTTTAGGAAGTAATCAAAGATGTGAATAAAGACTTGACTACAAGGATGCTTATAACAATGATATTGCATTATTTATAAGTAAAACTTTTAAACAGCGATTTAGTAGCTAAACTGGTTCATTCATCTACATAGTCACTAAAAGTAATCTATAAAAATATTCACTAATATTCAAAGATTTCAGAATATACTAGTAAAATGACATTATAAAGAAATATTATCAATATTATTTTATCTTTTAGAAACATACAAAACAGGTGATGTGGAAGTTTTATACTGAAATATAAAAGTGGTTTTCTTCATGGGAAGTAAGGTGAGATTATTGGTGACTTCTATTTTCTTCTTTTTTAGTCTGTATTTTCTAATTTTTTCATAATGGAGGATTAAGTTACTTTTGAAAAGAAATAAACAGTTGACAGTATCTGCCCTTAAGATGAGGTGATGAAAGTCTCTGTGGTCTTTCTCCACAAAACCCATGAGAAAAACGTAATCATAAGAAAAACGTCATATTCCAATAGACAAGCTTCCTACAAAATACTTGGCCAGTATTCCTTACGACTGTCAAGGTCATCAAAAACAAGTAAAGTCAAGAGAAATCTAAGGAAACATGACCCCTAAATGTAATGGGGTAGCCTGGTTGGGATCCCAGAACAGAAAAAGTATGTTAAATAAAAACCAAGGGCATGTAAATAAACCCTGGATGTTAATTAATAATAATATACCAATATTGGCTCATTAATTGTAACAAATGTACCATACTAACATAAGGTATTAGTAGGGAAAAATGGGTGCAGCATATCGTATATAGGAACTCTGCGTAATACAAATTTTTCTGTAAATTAAAAACTGTTCCAAAAATATATTTTTAAAAAACCTTTATTAGAAACAAAAATACTACCTGAGTTAAAATGTTTACTGTTCTTCAGTTTTAGATGATTCCAAATAAAATCTTAGAATATTGTGTGTGTGTGTGTGTGTGTGTGTGTGTGTCTGTGTGTATGGGTGTGCGAGACAGAGAAAATGAACAAACTATTAGGTAGGCTTTTTAATGTTATAAAAGGAGCTTTTGCAATACAAAATGCAAATTTGTATATGTAATATATATATATATTTTGTAAGTAGTCTGTCTATATACATAGATCTCATTTAAACCACTTCTATTTCCATTGAAGTAGAAAATATAAATTACAAGAAATATAAAATATTTTACAATATAACTTCCTGTGCCATAAGACATGGTGAACTAACCTTAAGCAGAATGATTATTTTGCTCGGTTAACAAATTATGCATCCCCAATTTCTTTTCTTACTGAATGCTGACCACTGAAATAGCACATCCTGTACTCCTAGAGGGAGCCAAGTCAGAGAGAGAAAGTGCTTGCTAAAATAATTTTCTCTTCTTTCCTCAAAGGGGAAAAAAATCAGTGGTAGTGACCAATCCTGAAAAAGGCTCACTACTGAGTCCCATGGAAGTCAGTTCTCCTAAATCCAAATAAACTGTAGTCCCTTATGAAGCCTGCTGAGAAGACCAAAGGGAAAAGGCATTCCACTTGTTAAATGTTTATTATTTGAGCTTAGCAGCCAACTATAATAAGGGAGAGAGGAAGCTGTCTGCAAGCTGCATGCAGATTTAGCTACTCAAATTCCATGAATGTAAAATAGAACATTGAGGCTAAACCCTTAAAATTTACTAGGCAGTAGCTTGAGGGAGGAGGTAGTTGGTAATAAAAGCTTGTAGCCACCAATATTTGAGTCAGTGATTTGAAAGCAGCCCAAGTCAACAAAGAACTAAAATTCCCAACACATGAAAATTATTGCTTCCCCTTATTCTAGGAATCACAGTAGACCAGGGGAAAGAGACAAATATCTTCTCTCCTTTATCTCCTTTGAATTTGATCTGAGTATAATAGCTTTTAGTTTTCCACGAAGCCAAAATATCATCTAATAAACTGCTGGTGGGTGGGATGACTACAAGCAAAACGTTTCTTCGCTTATCTTGTGCTTCACTGGATGTCTTTTTGCCGAGCCTCAGTGACTAATCACACTGTGCTTTATTCTTCACTTTCCCACTGAATGCGTCCATCATTCCTTTTACTATAATAATGATGCGGTGTCTCAGGTTTATTATCTATAGGAATGTGCTTTAAGATGAGTACAGGAGGCCGGGCGCGGTGGCTGAAGCCTGTAATCCCAGCACTTTGGGAGGCCGAGGTGGGAGGATCACCTGAAGTCGGGAGTTCAAGACCAGCCTGACCAACATGGAGAAACCCCGTCTCTACTAAAAATACAAAATTAGCTGGGCATGGTGGCACATGCCTGTATTCCCGGCTACTCAGGAGGCTGAGGCAGGAGAATTGCTTAAACCTGGGAGGTGGAGGTTGCAGTGAGCCGAGATCATGCCATTGCACTCCGGTCTGGGCAACAAAAGCAAAACTCCATCTCAAAAAAAAAAAAAAAGATGAATACAGGATTTTGGCTATGAGCACTAAGTAAATAGAAAGTGTAAAGGTAGCAGAATATGTTTTAATAGACATCATGAAGAAGTAACTATTTGAAAAGATAAACATACATAATGTATTATTTATCCAATTCCCAGACCAACTAGAGCAGAAACTAAAAGTAATCACAAATTGGAGAAAAATCTTTTTTGTCATGAACTACATCTTTAATCCTCAAAAATAAAAGACATGAAGAAAGGAGTTTAAGGCAAAAAGGTTTAACTGACATGTAAATATGAACAGACAGACAACCGAGCCTTTCTCAGGAGTCTGGGTTCAAGTACTGGTTCTGCTACTAATTGTCTGCCTTACTAAGCAAAGGAGTTCACTCTGGTTTTTCCAACTCTCACATGTTGATATTGGATTTGATATTTTTCACAAGGTTGAGAATCAAGAACATTTACAAAGTATGTGTTGAATTAATACAAAATTCATGTGACTTAATATAAAATCTGATCAGTGATATGTTTTAATCAACCATCTACTGTATAACAATAGTAACAGCCATCATTTATCAAATGATGCCTAATATATGTTAGAACGTGTTACATAAGGCCTTTTATATTCATTATTTTATTCCTCAGTTTAACCTCCAAGGGATTTTAAGCTTGATAAGAAAACAGGCTCAGAAAAGCTAAGAAATTTGCCCAAGCTCACAAAGCTGGTAATAAAATGGCAAAACTATTATTCAAAACAATCTGGATCTAAAGCCCACGCTCTTCCCAGTAGCCCCTTAGAATTAATCTGGCATTAGCAGGAAATGAGGCATTCACAGCAGTGAATTTTCCAGGTGACTATATTAACATTTTATGTAAATCTGTCTAAAAAAGATATAATGCACTTCGTTTTTTGCTTTAATTTACTAACCAAACTGGAAGCCTTTCTTTGACAACTTGGGATCATAACTGTGGACATTTTGATGTGGATCAAACACACGTAAATGTGTAGAGCTATTTGCTGTGATACTCAGCAACTCTAGCCTGTTGGGTTTCCATAGTTTTCTCCTTGCTAAGGCTGAGCTGCTGGCCGAAGGATGGATACTGTCTTTCCCAACCCTTGCCCTAGCCCTCTGCAGTTGGTTAGGAAATGAGACAATTCATGGAGTACAAATAAATCTAAGTCAATATGGTCCTGGGATAAGAACTTGAAGGTGGCTCCTACTAAATACATCATATAATCCAGTTCTGATATTTTCTTCTTTGCTTCCTTCTGGATAGCAGTGCTGTGATTTGTAGGGATGAGAGTCCCTGAAGACAGACCTCTAGATAAATGGAGCCTTACTAAACTAGAATAATACCATCTACTTTCACAGTATCACCTGATCACTTTATATTTCTACTTACTGAATCTCATCTTACTGTTCTTAAAATGAGATCACAGTCTCAAAATATGTAACTTCTAAAACCTATCGTAGAGCAAACTTTTCAGGACATTTATATATTTGTATTTAGTTGTGTAATACCTGAAATACAACATGTATTAAACACTCTCTGGAAACTACAATTCAACAATGATGACGAACTCCATCTTAAACTATAAACAAAAGGGTGGTGGTAAGGGCCAAACGCATCCAAAAATCTTTTCTTAACCTAAATACAATCTTTTCCAAACACCGTATCTCTCTCTTCCCTATCCAAAACCAGTACAGGAAATGTGTAAATCCCACCTCTATACATCAAACATAACATTGAATGCATAGCACTTAGTTGTTTCCAACAATGTTTCTTTCTCCCTGACCAGAAAACACGTAAGCTCCCTGTGGGAAGGACAGTTCCTATCTCATCTTTTGTACTCTATTCCCAGAGCCTTGTATAGCACCTTCCACGCAGCAAGTGCTTCTGAAGTCCTTTAAGTGTTTAATTCTCCTTCTACAACCACCACTACTCCCTCCCTAGTCAGTCTCTAGCAGGAGTGATAAAATACTTCCTACTATGAGATTGCTAAAATATCTGTATTAAGCAGTAATATAAAAGACAGAATCTCTACTTTAAAAGTAAGGTCATAGTAAGGTTTCTAGGAAAAATTAATGTATATTTTTTATACTATCACTGATAAATGCAAGGTATCTGCATTCAATACACAGTGTTAACATATGAAAATAATACGCTCTCACCTTAAAACAGATACCATGCATCATCAGCATTACTAATGTTGGTTCTTCTACAGTAAACTAAAATATTCTTTCCATACCTGGTAACTTTGGATTTTTTCCAGTTGACCTTTTTAATACCCAAATCCACATACGATTCAGTGAGTTCTATATTTAATTCTCCTTCTGAGTCACTTGGATGTATTCCTAGTTTTGCAGCAGATTCATAGAGAGAAATTTCATCTTTTAGTTCTGTTAATTCTTCCTACAACACAAAATTATTAAAAATAATTTTCACTATTTTCCTATATGAAGTAATCAGTCATTCTGTTTCAAAATTTGTTTTAATGATCAACAGGAGGCAAAAAAACTTCTTCAAATATATTATTAGTACACATTATACTTTATAAAGGTCGGCATATATCAGGTTTTCAAGTAAAGCCTAAATGAATAAATGAATGAGAAAACAAACATAAGGATTTCCTCTCACATCTCTGTCTCTTAGATTTTGTCCTCCATGGAAAGTGGTGTGTTCCTTGGGCTTAAATGCTGATGGCGGCGCTTTCTGGCTTACTAGAGTACAGGACAAAGTACGCTGGTTTGCCAAGAACAGGTTGTACTTTAGCCTGCCGGTGGTGAAAAGGTGGAGGTAATAATGGAACTCTTCTCCCATATTTTCCTCCCCCTCCAGTGGAAAATGTAAATAGCACTGGAGGAGGATATGACAGAATTGCAGCAAAATTCAACATTCCCCACCCCCATAGATGAACTGATCTCTGGGATACACCCAAAGATGAAAGGACATGCCACTTGAAGGAGGTGGCAGGCAAGCTGGCAGGAAGTGCAGGGCCTTGGCTCTGCAATTAGACAGACCTGAGTTTGACTTGCCAACTGTGTGAAGGAGATGGTGAACAACTCCCATGGGCTGGTTTGAAGGTGGTCCAACCACCTCTATTATACAGAGAAACCCAAGATTCAAAAAGGTGATGTAACTACTGCCTAATTCAGATACCCATAGAGCCTCTTCCAAGTGGCAACACTCACTTGCAAAGCCTTGTTCATGTTTGCACTCATAGCATGTGCCTTCTGTGCTTGCTGCAGCTGGAACTGTAGCTGAGCCACCTCTTGTACTGACCCTGCAGAGGAAAGAACCATAGGATATACTGAAAAAATTAAGGGGACAAAGTGCTTATGATCTACAGAAGACTTGAATCCACTGAGGCTACAGAAAGTAAAGTTCTGCTTTACTACTACTGTCTCTTTAGAATACATAGAGCCCATGGGACCCAGAAGGCATAGGTCTGGGCCAGACATTTCCCAGATTTAGTATGGCATCCCATATGACCTTGGGCAGTTAAAGGCATGGGCTACTATGACCTTTTTATGAATCAAATCAGTCACATTTACAGACCTTAACATTCCGGAAGTCCTTTAATAGGAGCGTAACACTCCAACTCATGGTAAGTCAAAGAAAAAATTCTTTGGAACCCATTTCTACCCTGCAATAAGAAAACTATACCGTGCTGCCTTTAACTTCTTTGTAGATGCTTTTCTATCCAGCATCCCCACCTCCACATGTAAATGAAGTGTATTAGGGTTATAATTCTGAAACTTTAGAAACCTAATATTTTAAATGTACTGGGCAAGGTGGTGGGGGGACTGTTCCCAATTTAAAAGGGACATTATTAGGTTTCAAAAGAAAATGACCATCTGGGAAATGATTAAGTGAAGCAATGATGGCATAAAGAAAATAATATTTTCAAAGCATTTAACAGCCAGGAAAAAGGCTCACCAAGTAATGCCAAATGAAAACAAAGGCTATAAAACTAAACAGGGAGGGGCCCTTAATAAAGCATAATCCAAATTTTGCCCCCTATCAAGACATATATACACATACATTTAGGCAGTCTTTGACTTTAGTATTTTCAGCTTTTGAATAGCCCACCCTTTCACATATTGTACCAACAGTCTAAATTACCTTTCATATGCCAAAGTGTGACTTTCATATATCAGTTAATGAATAACTGTTGACCTGTTTTCACAATGTGAGCTACTTACCAGCAAACAGGGAAGTTTTGTCTATATAGCGGTGTTTGTACAAACGTGATCATTTTATTGTTCTTTGCTCTAATATCATTTTATAAAAATTAATAAGAAATAAAACAACTGCTGAAACTAAAATGATAGGAAGCATATGTCTCAAACTTAATACTATAAAGACCATATTAGAAATCTGAAGCATGACAAAAATGTAACTCTCTGGCCTCAACTGACTAGGTAAGTCACTATTCCATTATGAGGGGAAAAATATGAAAGAAGTTATACAAAGGATAGAACTATATGATCAAATATTGGGCCTAAAAAAGCAAAATATAATGGGATTTTATAATCACTTTTAGTTTTCAGGGATAGAAATTACCCTATAATGTATTTTATTGTTCAATTTTTGCATGTTCAGCTTTAGTATGTTTTCAGAAATGCATTACATAAAGAAGCAGGACATTGTCTATGTGTGTACATTCATTTCATTTGAAGGAAATACATTCAAATGCTAACAATAATTATCTCAGTAGTAGAATTACGGTTATTTTTATTTGGTACTTTATACTGGTCTCCAGCTTCCAAATTATTTAATAAAAACAAACTAAACCTTTATATATTTTTTTATATATGTGTGTATGTATATATATATATATGTATATATATATATATGCCTTCTGTATATATATAAAAATATATATTTCTTTTTTTTAAAGAAATTTATTGCTGATTGTGTTTTCTGTCCCTTCTGGATTTTTACAAGTCATGGATCCTACTACATTCTTTCTGCATATTGAACCAACCTTCTGGGGAGACAGTGGACCTACCAGACACCTACCGGACTGCAACAAGTGGGCACACTGCTTTTGACTCTCCTCTAGACTTCTTGTCAACTTATTAATGATCTCAGTCTTTTCTAACTTGATTGCTTCTTGATTCCTTTCCAGTTGTTTCACGTGATCTTTCAGACGAGAGCAAATGTCTTCCTAAATAGAAAAAAAGTTCAGGAAGTCATTTTCATAAAGAGTTTTAATAAAGAGTAAACTAAAAATTATGATACATAATTAGATTTGATGTCAAACACAAGATCATCACATGGGAGCATCACCTCTTTTACAAGGTAAAGTGCACAGAACTGGGAGTCAAGAGCTTGGGTGAAGCTTCAACTCTTCAGTCTGTTTCTTCTTTTGTAATTATGCTAATAAAGGTTGAATTAGGTGCCTTCTAAAGTCTCCTTCAACTCTATATTCACAAGACAATGAGTTATTCAAAAATTAGATTTTATTCAAGCCAAAGAAAATGTATTACATTCCTATGCGTATTTTATATTGTCAGTATAAGTGTATGTATATATATTTAGGCAGACTACTTTGAATCATGCTATTTGTATCCCAAAACAGTAAGGATATAGATAAACACATGAAAACTCACTGTATTCTAAGCAGCCAAAAGTTCATTCCATTAAGAGCAGCCAAAAAATAATCTTTCCCTCCTCTGAAATTCTTTTAAACTTGATCTGTTTCTTTCTTATCTTTCTCCACCTTTTAGATGTCTTATTTCTCTTAATAGCCCCCTTGAAGGTGCTTCTGCAGTGCCTTAGACATATCAAGTGCTGTAAGAAACACTTGAAAAATAAATGACAAAGAAAAATAGGGTAAATGTGTATGTGCATGTGTGTAACTATATGGGATTACATAAAATATAGAGTGTGTATGCAATATACTCAAGTTTCTTCCAAAAGAAAATATGTTTGGGTGTAATAAACCACGGGAGTCCTGAGTCCAGGTAGAACAAACACACTGTCGAAATCATCACCTTTCTTTCAAAAAAGGCTACACAGGCTGAATTCCAGGCAAATGGCAGAGCATGGGAGAGGCAGAGGAATGAGTTAAGTTGATTAACTGAAATTACCCAAGAAAACCTAAAGAAAATAAGAAATAAGAAGAATACTGAGAAAGGGCTTTGAAGTAGAGAAAAGGCCTTAGGCTTTTGCTGCCTGATCTGTAGTATAACCTAAAGCCCAATAATACCTTAAGGATACTAACACAAGGTACATCCCATAAGAGCACCAATACATAACTACCTTGAAGCAAAGAGACTCTGAAGTCTCCCATTTTAGCTTAAAAATCCATGTGAATTTTGTATTCTATTTCATAATGAAGCTGTGTTTGCTTTAAATTTTTTCTACTAAATTTTTGAGCAAAATGAAGCTTCTGGAAACTAGTCCATGTTTATTCAGCACTGCAAACCTCCTGGCACACTGCTGCGAATTCCAGGCCAGCTTGAGAAACCTGGTTCTAAAGCGCCAAAGTAACGTGGCAAAAACAATGAATGAGCTCATATTAATGACAGCATGACAGTAATGACAGCAAGAAGGGGTGGGGAGACAGCTAATATTTATATTCTGGGGAGGTCACAATAGTGTTAACAAGGGACTGGGAACTAGCAAACAAAGTTAAAGAAAAGGTAGGTATAAAAAAATTGTAAAGAAAAGGCAGACTCTGCCAATAATTTGATTTTATGTAAAAATCAATTAAACTATGGTGTATCCTATTGACAAGTTCAGGAAAACAGATCATACTCATAAAACTTTAAAGTTTAAAGTTTTAATACCAAAAATCAAAAAAGATTGAGTAGCTCAATGTTTGCCATGATTAGCTTGAGTAGTTCAAGTCTGATATGGGCAGACATTTTTCAAGACTGAGACAAGTGTAATGATAAAGAGATGACGGCTGAACTCCAGCCTGGGCAACAGGGCGAGACTCCATCTCAAAAAAAAAAAAAAAGAGAGAGAGAGAGAGAGAGATGATAGAGATGACAGCTGAATCTGTGGGAGGGAAAAAGAACTGGACAGGGTTCTAGCACACAGGAAAATGAGGACTGGACCACACACAGAGAAGTCTGTGGGAGTCTCTAAGCCAACAGAAAGTGTTCAAAGTGGAGCCTTTAAATATAACATTAAAGAAAAGGTAAAAGGTTATGACATAGAAACCAAAGTCCATGACTTCACCAAAAGCTGAAGTTTTCAAGGAGACAGAAGGAAAAAAGTAATATACCAACAAGGAGATAATCAGAGATCTTAACATGACACTTCCATGAATGGGAGGAGGTAAAAGTCAGTTTGGTGGAGAGAGTCCAGGCGATAGTTTACTAGGAGAGAATTATGACATTGGAGGAACACTATGAGCTCCAAGAAGCCCATTTCTTTCACCTTTTCTGTCTCACTAAACAAATTCAAGGGAAAATCAGCCAAAAAAAAAGAACTATTATAATATGTTGTGAGTGCATACAATCTTTTCTACCCAGAAAAGCTGCTGTCTTAAGAAAAACACTAATAATTTTACAATCCATAAATTTCTCAAAATATACTAATTACAGACATTTTGTTTTTAATTTTAGATTCAGGGGATATGTGTATAGGTGTGTTACATGGATATGTGGCATGATGCCGAGGTCTGGGCTTCTGTTAGGCGCTTTGGAATCACCACTTTGCAAAGCAGCTATGCAATTATATGCAGAGCCTAACATCAGTGCCATGCTCTGTTAAAAAAAATAATAATAAAACAAAGTAAAAATAGGCAAAGAACGTAACAGTGGGAAAAGACCTTAACACCTTCAATTTATGGATTCCGGGGTCTGAAACCCACCCAGCACAGAATCAAGAATTTGTTCTGACTTTACTGTAGAGTTCTTCTATTGAAGGGGGTGGGGCAGTGGACAACAGAGTAATGCAGTGGGCACAGGGGTAGAAAACACTAGAAATTCCTTCCAATCCATCCCTAATGAAACTGTGTTTAAGTCAACAGAGAATGGAGACCCCCAACCCAATAAGGAAAAGCCACCAGGATCCACTCTTCTCCAGTCATCCAAGAAGGGCTACTGTCCAAGTCCAACTAACTTCAATGTTACCCTATGTTTGGCCAAAACTAACTTTAAAATAAAATAAAATAAAAATTTATGAAGCTACATCTCAAATTCTGTTTAAATATTCTATAAAGTAGACTTTTCAATAATTTGGTATAGCCTTCGTTTTTTTTTTTTTTTTTTTCTGGAAAAAGAGTCTCACTCTGTTACCCAGGCTGGAATGCAGTGGTGCAATCATGGCTCACTGCAGCCTCGACCTCCTGAGCTCAAGCAATCCTCCCACCTCAGCCTCCCAAGTAGCTGGGACTACAGGCGCATGCCACCATGCCCAGCTAATTTGTTATTTTTTCTTCGTAAAGACAAGGATTCACTATTTTGCCCAGGCTAGTCTTGAACTCATGGGCTCAAGTGATCCACCTGCCTCAACCTCCCGAAGTGCTGGGATTACAGGCATGAGCCACCGTAACTGGCCTTCATCTTTCCCTACTCCTATATATCCTCCACATTGATCAAATTCACAATTTTTTTATATAAAATAAATACATAATGAAATAGATATAATAAAAACACACATAAATACATGTAAAAATAAAATAAAATGATAAATAATTATTGCCAGTAATGCACTCTTATATAGTTCTACCTAAAAGCATGGAAAAATTAGAGGCAGCTATATAGGTCAGAAATAACCCAAATCAGCATGAATTTTAAGTGTGGTGAAATTTTCCATACCCTCACATCTGATTTTTCTTCTCTCCTTCCCTTAAGTTAAATCAATTTTGAAATTACATTAAGAAAAATAAATTCTGAAATGTTATTCACTCAAGTGATTACCTAGAGTTATGGAGCACAAGCAAACTCACCACCTGACTCACATTTAGCTTTCAATATTTTATTCCCCCTTGAGTGAAAATAATAAAAATTCACTGTGCAATATGCTCAAGATGCAAATCTCATTAAGTCTAGATCAGACTGTCTTATTTTATAAATTATACTGTCCTCAAAATTTACTCTCTTCCCAAGAATCATTTCTCAACAGACTGTATTGCTGTATTGACAGGTGAATTACCAAATGCTGGGAGACTCAAGTAAGGTTTTCTACTGGTTAAGCTTCCAAGGTAACCTCTCAAGTTCTAGCCAGCCGCTGGCAGACTCATTTGTTTTGGTCTGGATTTATTCTAGGACCATATAAACAACATACACAAATACCCTACAAATAAAGGACAAGTAATGTGAAAGTTGAGAAAGTACTAATAATCGTATAAGAAGTAGGGTTTCCAAAAGTATACCTTTAGGATGTATTCTCAGATTAAAATATCACTGGCTTCTTTTTTTTTTTTTTTTTTTTTTGGGGAGACGGAGTCTCGCTCTGTCGCCCAGGGTGGAGTGCAGTGGTGCGATCTCAGCTCACGGCAACCTCTGCCTCCCGGGTTCAAGCAATTCTCCTGCCTCAGCCTCCCGAGTAGCTGGGATTACAGGCACGCACCACTGCGCCCGGCTAATTTTTTTTTTTTTTTTGTATTTATAGTAGAGACGGGGTTTCACCAAGTTGGCCAGGCTGATCTTGAACTCCTGACCTCAGGTGATCCGCCTGCCTTGGCCTCCCAAAGTACTGGGATTACAGGCGTGAGCCATTGCGTCCAGCCAATATCACTGGCTTTTAAGTTTCACTCACCTCACACACAATCTAACATTTACTACAAACATCCAAGACTTCTATATGATGAACCATAAAATATCAGTTACAAAACATAACCAGCTTTACTTGTTGATAACAGTTGCTCATTTGAAATCATCCCAACCTGTTCTTTAAGTGCGGTGACTGTGGCATCCAAATTCTTTTGTAAGGACAATACTTGCTCTTCGTACTTCTTTGTGAGGCCCATAACAATGCTCTCATGCTGTTCTCTAGCTCGTTGAAGTGATTCAGAATGATGAAGGTCCACCAGCTGCTGCTTCAAGCTTTCCAGAGCCATTTCAGTTGTTCTGGACTTCTTGATCATCTAGTAAATACACACAGGATATCCATGTTTAAAATATACACAGAGTATTTTAGCTCTGTGCTGTCTATAAACTTTTACTTTTACTATAAAATAAAACTCAAGCATGTTTTAATGAGAGTAGAGAAGGGGTCTCCGCTCATCATGGCTCAAGCTCCTTAAAACAACCCTAGCTGGGACCCTCCAGGCCCATAGTTGTTGGAAACAATGTTCCCTGAGAAAATACATTTGGTAGATACCTGAGGGGAGTGAAAGAGGATTTTGCGCAGCATGATGGATGTGGCTATCAGGCACGGAATCTGCTGATGCCGTGATGGCCCCAGTGCTGTTTGCATTGCTCTATGACCAAAGTGTGGGGTAACCCAATTGTTAGGTCACAGAAAAATGACAACTGTTCCTTGAAAGACTGATGAAACCTGCCAATGGTCACTTACTAAAAACAAAGTTTTCAAAGCTGTAACTGCACAGTTGGTATTGTAGGCAAAATCATAGCCCTCCAAAATGACCGTGTCCTAATCCCCAAAACCTGTGAATCAGTTATATTACATGGCAAGGGAAAATTAAGATTGTATGTGGAATTAATATGGCTAATTAGATTGCCTTAAAATAAGGTGAGTAGCCTGGATTATCCAGGTGGGCCCAATGTAACCACAGGGTCCATAAATGAGAAAAACTAAGGCAGAAAAGTCAGAACCAGAGAGACTCAATCAGCCATTCATTGCTGGCTTTGAAGATGGAAATGGGCCACAAGCTAAGGAACACAGGTGGCCTCTAGAAGTTGGAAATAGCAAGAAAATGGATTCTCCCCTAAAGCCTCCGGAAAGCAATGCAGCCTTGTTGACACCCTGATTTTAGCCTAGTGAGATCCATGTCAGACTTCTGACCTCCAGAACTGTGAGATAAATTTGTATTGTTTTAAACCACTGAATTTGTGGTCATCTGTTACAGCAGCAATAGGAAACTAATACACTTGGTGATTCTGCTGCTTACATAAAAAAGATTACAAAGTTATAACCTTTTACTACATAAAGGCAACTTAACTTTTTAATCTAATAACTATTGGTTTTCAAAAAGTTAAAAATAATCTACATTACATACAAAAATTAAAATTTCAAGAGAATTATTCTTCATTCTATTCCAGAGATTGCCTATTTATTCCAATACTGCTTTCATGGCTAAGAGATCCATCCACTGAATGACACAGATCATTTGTGCCAGGCAGGGTTCTAAGCACTAAGGACATAATGACCAAACAGAAAAGGTCTAAGCTCTTACTACTTTCTAGTGGGAAGAGACAATAAATAACAAGTAAACAAATGAGATCATTTCAGATAGTTATAGAGTAATAGAATATGGCATGATGAAGGTGAGTTGGAGGATGGAGCTATGGGCTACCTTACATATAAAGTGAATAGCAAGTCCTCTGAAAAGGTAATTGTTTTTAGCTAAGACCTGAAGGATGAGGAGAAGCCAGACATGAGACAACACTGTTTAAACTCTTTCATTAAACCATCCTCAGACTTAGCTACAAGTCTCACTCAAAACCAAGCTCATTATTTCATAGTCACTTTCATTTTTTTTTTCTTCAGACAAGTCTCGCTCTCGTCCCCCAGGCTGGAGTGCAATGGAGCAATCTCAGCTCACTGCAACCTCCGCCTCCTGGGTTCAAGCGATTCTGCTGTCTCAGCCTCCAGAGTAGCTGGGATTACAGGCATCTGCCACCACGCCCAGCTAATTTTTGTACTTTTTAATAGAGACGGGGTTTCACAATGTTGGCCAGGCTGGTCTCAAACTCCTGACCTCAGGTGATTCGACCGCCTCGGCTTCCCAAAGTGCTGGGATTACAGGCGTGAGCCACTGCATCCGGCCATCACTTTCATTTTTAACCCTGCCCCCTGCCAAAAAATGAATCAACCACCACCAGGCTTAGCTACCAATGACTTATGACTATTTCCAAAAATCAAATGGCTATCTCATTAATCAAAGAATGTGAATGTGTCACCACTTTAAACTCAAGTTTAAAAAACAGTTCTCCAAATGGAGAAGCAGCAGGAAAAATAAAAATAAAAGCTTCTCGGGATACCAATTCTGAAGCAAACTATTGCAGTCAGGAAATTTAAGTTCTAATGCTTTGTCAATAACTTCAAAGTTCTTCTAAATTTAGTCCTACCCTACAAAAAGTTTTGTTAAATAACTAAACTTTTAATTTTTTTACCATACATAAGTTAAAATAGGTACCTGTTCTTCATTGACTTTTAATGCTTGTATCTGAGTCTCCAGTGCTTTTATTTGAGCTTCAAGCTGTATCTCTCTTTCTTTTCCATTCTGAAAGAGTTTCTGTGATTCTCGAAGGCTGAGAGTCAAACCATCCTTTTCATCTACGGTATTAAAAATGTTTATATAAATAATGTTCCTGTAGAGGGACCCCAATGTCACAATCCCAATCAGATGTCACGTCTGTATCATATATAAATGTTGTTGAATTAAATTTAATTCAGAAAAATGAACTTTAGTTGATTTAGAGAAAACTAAATAAAGAATTTACTTACTTACTTATTTATTTATTTTGAGACAGCGTCTCACTCCGTCGCCCAGGCTGGAGTACAGTGGTATAATCTTGGCTCACTACAACCTCAGCCTCCCCAGTAGCTGGGATTACAGGCACCTGCCACCACTCCCAGATAATTTTTATATTTTTAGTAGAGATGGGGTTTCACTATATTGGCCAGGCTAGTCTCGAACTCCTAACCTCAAGTGATCCACCCACCTTGGCCTCCCAAAGTGCTGGGATTACAGGCGTGAGCCACCTCACCCAGCCCCAAATAAATAAATTATTAAAAATTAAAAATTAAAAAAAAAAACAAACCTGATACCAAAAAAATTTTTTTAGAGAAGCAGAACTACTTCCTTTAAAACTATTATTGCATCCCTTTTGGGGACAAATCCCTGCTAATCAAAGAAGTTATCTGAGGACTAATTATCCTACACATACTTGCAATGAACTCTTTTTTTTGAAACGGAGTTTCGCTCTGTCGCCAAGCTGGAGGGCAGAGGTGCAATCTCGGCTCACTGCAAGCTCCGCCTCCCAGGTTCACGCCATTCTCCTGCCTCAGCCTCCTGAGTAGCTGGGACTACTGGCGCCACCACACACCCAGCTAATTTTTTGTATTTTTAGTAGAGATGGGGTTTCACCATGTTAGCCAGGATGATCTCGATCTCCTGACCGCGTGACCCGCCCTCCTTGACCTCCCAAAGTGCCGGGATTACAGGAGTGAGCCACCGTGCCCGACCCACTTGGAATGAACTCTTAAATTCACCTAATGTTAAATTCTTCCCACATACTTTGCTATAACAGCTCACAAGTTCTTCTCTCAAAATAAATGTTATGAGCATTACAGAAAGAGACATTTTTACCATCAATTAAATTTGAAATGAGCTAGAGTTCAATCACAAAAGTATTCTGCAAATGAAAGTTCAACGTGGACCAAAACTAGAGAAAGCACAAGGAGTAAGCAATTATAATTTGAATCTGTATTTACTCTGTGTGTTTATCCCAGACATGGCACTTCACAATCACTAACTCTTATTTGGATTAAAACGTTTATGCTAATTTGTAGCCTCAGGAAACGCTGCAGTGCAAACTAAACACAAATCACTCTGAAAGCTGGAATACTTCATCCAGAGTAATGACATAAGGAATCAGACATAAGGAATCAACAACTTTTTAGGACAGAATGCCATCAGTACAGTTAAATAATGTTCAATGATTCTAAAAGCCTAAGTGAGAAAAGGGAAAATATAGGGACTCCAAAATAGAGTGTCTTTTTTTTTTTTTTGAGACAGAGTCTCACTCTGTCACCCAGCCTGAAGTGCAATGGCGCTTTCTCGGCTCACTGCAACCTCCGCCTGCAGGTTCAGGTGATTCTCCTTCTCCTGCTTCAGCCTCCCAAGTAGATGGGATTACAGGTGCCTGCCACTATGCCCCGCTAATTTTTGTATTTTTAGTAGAGACAGGGTTTCACCATGTTGGCCAGGCTGGTTTTGAACTCCTGATCTCAAGTGATCCGCCCACCTCAGCCTCCCAAAGTGCTGGGATTACAGGCGTAAGCCACCATGCCTGGTCTCCAAAACAGCGTGTTCCAAAGAGAAGTAATCCAAGGCCAACACTCAGAAATCCTGGGTTTTGTTTTGCTATGCCTCACTCACTATGAGCCCTCTGACCAAGTGTTTTTACTCTCTAAGCTTCGTATGTAATCTGAGGTTATTGGAAACAAGATATCTAACTCAGTGTACCTCATAAATGACAGCATCCAGCATCTTACCTTTTATTATTACAAGCTGGTGATTCAGATATCGAATTTGACGTTCACTTTCATTTAACTTTTCAATTAAGTTCTCCAGTTGTCTCTCTTTTGCTTTGTTAAGAACCTGAAGTTGAATAATCTGCATATTTTCTGCAGAGTCTGGGAATTAAAGACAATTTATTAGATAAAAACATACCAAAATATAAATTTATAGTCATTTAAAGCAGTGTTTTTCAAACTGTGACTACAACCTTTTAGAGCATCATGAAATCAATTCAGTGAATTGTGACTAGGATTAAAAAAGAGAGAGAGAATATATCAGAGTGCATCATGTAGTAAGAAACAGTCTTATTTTGTGAAACTTGTTTCATTTATATATACCTGTTCATATAGATACATGTTGTACACCATATCACAATGTAAAAAAATATAGTTCTTACAGTGGGTCACTGATAGGAAAGTTTGAAAGTCACTGGTTTAAGTTATAACCCTGAATCACTAACTACCATTTTAGCCAGTTAAAAATCAGTATATAACAACTGCAATGAAATAAAGTAATATGCTGTCAGAAAATTAAAAACAAAACAAGTACATCAGCTTCTATAAAATCATTTTTAAAGAAAATTTCTAGACAGCCTCAAAATATTTTATTTTAGGCAGGAGTGGGGAAAATATTATATTTATATTGATGCTGGCACATAACTGAATTAATTAGCTAGTGAATAGATTAATCAAGAATTTTGGGGAGGGAGCAGGGGAGAAGGGTTGAAAAACTATCCATTGGGTACTATGTTCACTATTTGGGTGATGGGTTCACTAGAAGTCAAACCCCAGCATTATTTAATATACCCATATAACAAACCTCCAAATCTACTCCACGAATACATAATTTAAAAAAAAATTTTTGAAGTCTTCTTTTAGAAACAATTAGTCATTTGGGGACCACTTTAAAAAGAGAAAAAAAATGGAAAAAAGGATTGGTAGGTATGCTTCAACTACATAATGATAAATATTCTACTTACTACTAGAACAATGTTTCTGTTAGCTTACAATCAGAAATAAATGCATTTACTGAGTTTTAACCACTTGCTAACTAAATAATTCTGTCCTCTTTTTAGAAAGAGATCTGGTTAAATAAAGAAAATTAAAGACTGAAAAGTTTATACAAGTCAAACTCCTCATAGGTCTTATAGTAGAGCTAGCCCCATCTCCAAATTTTTTAAATTACTGTTGCTAAGAAACTATAATCACTAATTTGGCACTACCATTAAGTTATTTAATTAACTTCCAAATGTCAAATTTAGACAAATGTGTAACTGACTCAACTTGAAGAAGTGCAGAGTGTTAAGAAAGGTAAGGAAAGGTTTTTATATGCAGAAAGACCAGGAGATACAAATACAACTTTTCAAGGGAACTGAAAGAGTAAACACTAAGGAGATGTCAGGCCACTGCTGTGAGGTTCATTTACTCAACCTAAAACCAGTTATGTCATATACACTGTCCACTTCCTCATTCCACAAAAAACTTAAGAACAAAGAGAGGCCATCCTCATATTTGCTGTTGACTCCTTCAGGGGAAAATGAATTCTGGGCCTCCCCCTGTAACTACCCTGCCGTCCCAGTGTACGATGGAAGCAACAATATGAAGTCACAACCCAAAAGTCCAGTTTTCTCTTTGGTATAGCCCAGGTAAGCCAGAATATCCAGTATGACCTTTCCCCTACTAATTAAAGGGAAACAAAAAGTAAAACAAAAACACTTGCTGCCACACTCTAGAATTACACTGGCTCTTCAATATGCACAATAATTAGAAGCTATTTAGTGTGCCAGACAGTATGACAAGAGTAATTCAGTACAGTCACTATACGGGTTTATATTTTGGGATTTTTGTTTTTTGATACTAGCATTTCATCTCAGAATTCTCTAGTACCTATAAGCACTTTTTTCATTCTCATATTTATATACATACTATACAAAAAAAACTGGCAAATGCCACATGACTGAACCTGATATCTAAGTAATTCTGAATATAAACTAATTTATATCAGAGTTGACTAAAAACTGTAAAATCAAAAGAAAAAAGTTGATGATAGTGCTGATGTATTAAATTACACTTCTATATAGTCAAAAATCTGAGATTGAAAACTATGTTTCATTTTCCAAATTAGGCTTCAGTCAAAAAAATATATAAAGTTCATAAAAAGTCTTTTAAAATTTTTTTAAATTTCAAATAAGTCCAGGTATCCTGTATGATAGGCGAGGATACTTAACACTATACAAATAAGGAGAAAAGGCTTAACAAACTAGAATGACTGAAATATAAAGTTGGAAAAATGTCTTTTAACTTTTCATTACGAAAAATTTCAAATATATAAGAAAGTAAAGAGAATAATATGATGAATCTCCACGAACCCATCTCCCAGATTCAACAATTATGAACTCATGGCCAATTTGGCCACATCTATATTCCCACCCAACATTACCCCTCAACAGCCTATTATTTTAAAGTAAATCCTAGACTTCATGTCAGTTTATTCATAAATACTCTAGTATATATCTCTAAAAATAAGGGCTCTTTGAAATATCAAGCACAATTCTATTGTCATACTTAAAAAATAATAATTCTTGAATGTGCTCAAATATTCATTGTGTATTCAAATTTCCCCAATTATGTGGTATTAAAAAATAAATATAAACTTGATACCTACTCTCATTAGCTCCTAAAAATTGTTGTTGCAGGCCTTCGAATGTGTCACTTCCTGTTATCTCCTGGGCTGGTGAGCCATTATTCTGGGCAGAAGACTGATAAGGTTTATATGTCACTTTATTATACGGTTCCAAACCTTGACAACTGGGACCCTGTGATAACAAATGAAACTGACAATTAAGATTTGGCCTTTTCTTCCAAAATTATCTGAATTAGACACCTAAATTAATGTTACGTTACAGAACTTACTTTTGGTACAGTTCAAAGTTGTTTATATATATACACACACACACACACACACACACACACACACACATATATATATCTGCTCAAAAGTAGCACGTATTGTTATTTAACACTATTAATTGAAAGTCTGCAATACATAATTTATAGACACCTAAATTCTACTTTTGAGCACACAATGAAGGCAATTTTATAAATAAAACCCAAGAATTCCAATAAGACTATATAGAAATATTTTATTACAAATGATTTAGATTATGCCAACATCTTGGGAATATAAAAATGCACATATCCAATAACATGAACATGGACCACGGTGCCTCATATCTAATAAATAGTAACTCTTATGGGATGAATAATAACATTCTACGGAGATAGAATTAAGAGAAAATAACCACTTAACAGCCTAAAAAATCCATCCTGTCATTGCGTGACACAGACTAGCTGTTG
This sequence comes from Homo sapiens, assembly GCF_000001405.40. Classification (NCBI taxonomy): domain Eukaryota; kingdom Metazoa; phylum Chordata; class Mammalia; order Primates; family Hominidae; genus Homo; species Homo sapiens. The sequence goes on from NC_000015.10 coordinate 48,796,702, forward strand.
AGGTATTTGCTGTCATTGAGAAATTCTAAGAAGCAACTAACTATATCCTGAGGTCTTACTTCATTAAACTCCCCCCCAGGAAAAACAAGGTTTTTTGGTTTTTCCTTCACATTCATCCTGTCTACTGTTATATCACCATACAATAGAGATATCAGCTTTGACATGTTTAACCTAAAATTTGTTATGGGTGGTGAGCAAGAAAACTGAGGAAATTAAATGTTGCCACCTACACAGAATTACTGCTTTAAAAACTACAATAAGAGACCTGAACACAGCTTCTCATTGAAGCACAGTGCAGTGGTAGAAGCAGCAGTAAATGAGGATAGTTATTCTTTGGCAGACTTAACTTTTAATGTTTAATCAACTATGTCCAAAGAGCCTCTATTTTAAACTTCTGACTTAAGATCATGATTGTATTAGACTGTAAACAGAAAATACCATGACTAATTCACCATGAACCTGAATAAGTGCCCTCTCAGAACTTCGTGTGGTTAAATCATCTTACCATTGTACTCACATACATTTCCTGAACACACACAAACATCACGCAAATGCGTGTGCACACACACAAGTTCTTGAAAGTCAAGTTTTTACAATACCTGAAAATGGTTCCATTGAGGATCTGAAAATTTAATTACATTGGTTGCTTGGTTATTAAATTCCTGCTTCTGACCATTGGTATATGGCCTAAAGTTTTCAGGAAGGTGATATAAATCAGTCTGTTCACATTTACTTGGAGGACTATAACCACTTCCACCTTCATCTCCACCTTCTTCAGGATGGTACACAGGATGTCGGTCTTCAGTTTTACTTCTATTTTCTTCCCAGACATTACCACATTTTTCTCCAGCATATAAACTCTGAATTTCATTATAGCCCTATTAGATAACAAGAGTAAAACAAAAGCACGAAGATCCAGTCCCACCCTCACCAAAGTCATCATCACACCAGATACTTACATTTACACTTTGAGATTTGGGCAGCATTTGCTCATTCCAGCTCATCTCCAATTGCTCAGGATGATGTGGTCTCGAGAAAAAGGAATACTTTCGATTTAAAGCGTATCATTTATTTGTACATAGATAACACAAAGAACCCCAAGATTTTAACCTTTTTCCTTCCAATCTTCACCCAAAATTTTAAGAATCAATTTACAATTTTATAATCATGTAATTATTAATCTTCATCAAAAGAAAAAGACTTATAGAATTGCAATATACAAGTGAAAGTGACTTCAGGTGCTTACTGTCCGTCTGTGCCATCCTCGCTGCAGTCCGAATACTGGAGCTCTGGAGAGGAGAGGTCGTCATCCAGCATGTCATGGGGAAGGTCTGTGAGTAACTGCTGCAACTGAGTCAAAAGGTCTGCATCAATATCATACCAACTTAAACACAAGACACCAAGCCAAAGCTGCCTTGGAACGAGTGGTTTTTTACTGTAGAGGTCAAAGAAGTTCATAATTCCCTCCTTTAATTAACTTCTTAAGTTCCACACAAATTATATTCATCATTTCACTTGGGGAAAAGGGAATGCATAATTTTAGGATTTATATCAGAAGGCTTTTTTTTTTTTTAACGAAGATCTCAGATTTAAATACACATAGAGCAGAATTCAAAAACTTTTTTATGGAAACACAGCAAGTCACAATAATGGTACAATCAATGCATTATGTTATCACAGGGCAGGCAGACTAAGTCTCAGAATCCTGTTTTATCAGTAATCAGACCTTGGGGAATTGACAATTAGGCATCCCACAGGGAATGTGAGTAGCCAGATGCACTCTGGCCAGGTGATGAGAACAGCAGCAGCAGCAGGTGGCCTAGAAGCTCTTAAATGCTCTGATAATGTAGAAACCCGTGGGAGTCACTAATTAGTAGAGAGCCATCTAATTCCAAAGATGAAAAGATACATAATACCCTGCTCTCATACAACATCTGAGTAAAAGAAGAGTTGGAAGACTGTTTTCTATAGATAGCACATGCAAAAGCATGACACTACATCTGACATTAAATGTTTGATTTCTCTCTCCTATTATTTTCTAGAAAAAAATCAGTTTTAGCATTCTGCTTATTATATAAACTAGATAGACAAAATTAATTCATTCAAATTTCAAATGTGATAAAAAGATGAGTAAATAAGCTAGTCTGTTAGACATAATTCAATAACATTTAGGATTTCAATAACTGTCTGCTATTGTCTTTCTTCAAAACCCAATATAATAATATTACCCTAAAAATCCCAATATAATGTATTTCTTAAATTATGTAACAATTAGAAGATCAAATATTATGTTACTAAATACTTTTTAGGGAAACTGTTTCTAATTACTTCTCTTTAAGAAACTAAGCACCAGTTTAATTGACAGCTTGATTAAATCCCTCCAAAGGACATAAATCAAACCCCATAACATTGTGCAAGTGGATTTTAAAGACTTTAAATACTTTGTAAAACCTTTCAGGAAAAAAAAAATGAGATGCTCCCTGGTCTATAGCATTTTTTTTCCACTTTACCTGTCATTAGTACAAAAGAAATGGAATGTGTCCATAAAACATATCTGAGTATTATATTAAGAATTACCAAAAAAAAAAGTTTCTTAAACAAAATATGTATAGTAAAAGTTAAATAAATATATTTTATGGAAGGTCTGAAAGGAATGCCCCAAATTCTTAACTGAGCTTTGGTGAAATAAAATTTGGGAATGGGAACAGAGTATGTTGGAGGTGGGTGGGAATACTTCCTCACTCTATATTTATTTCTCATATTCACTGGATGGGTTTTTTTTAAAGGGTTTCTCAATCCATTTGTCATCTAAAGATGCAACAAGAGAAAGATATTTTCTTCAATGAAAAGTTATCTTCATCTTTAAATCTTTTAACGCTAACATTAACACACAAGACCCTCATTAAATGCTCATCTCCACATGCAAGGTACTTGAAAAATCATTTTGAGAATTAGCCATATCAGAGTTGACTGAGAGATATAAAAAACAAGAAATACAAAAGACACAACATGAAAAACAAAACAGAACACATCAACATATTTGTACAAGACATGCCTCAAATGAAAGGTAGCAAAGCAATTCTACAAAGACACAAATGCACTAGAGAAAAAAGTTGCATCTATGAGGTCTTTTAAAAGTAGCACCACTTGTTGTCTAGAATTATGCATCACTGCTTTAAGGAAAAAGACTACCCCCACATGTTACACAAGGAAAAATAAAACAAATCTTTTATACTTACATTAAGTAAAGACTCCTGAACAGAAAGAATATTTTCTTGTAAACCTTCAGTAAGGTTCAAGTACATAGCCTTAAAATTCAGGGGCGCCTTGACAGGGACATCTGAAGAGTACATTGTTTTCCCCGCACAAAAACAAAAAACTACATAATAATTCAGCAGTTATTGTAGCTTTGTGACACCACAAAATTGGCATCCACAGAGAAAAATTAATTTGAGTATAAGCAATCAGCTAATCAAAATGCTTCTGGATACATACATAAACATCAACTAGCAAAATCATCCCTATAGTATTCAGAGTCTTGCAAGATATTTTACATATATGCTAACATTTTAAAATTGATCTTCAAAAAATTTATCCATCAAGTTCTTTGGCATAGCTGGGTCATATTCCCTGGCTTCTGTAAGTTTCAGGGCAGAGAAAAGCTAAATGAAGTCCTCCTAAATAAGGCCATTCAGGAACAAAATTCCACCTCCAGTGTTTCCATTTCCCAGGATCAAAGTGTGCCCTCCTCATATACATTGTCAAATTGCCCTTTGGTCACTAACCTTGTGCAATAAAACACAAAATTGCCGTATCTAGATATGCATGTTACCAAATACAGAAATTTAGAAACTATAAATTTTCCTCATTAAAGATCTATCAAACTTCCAAATACAGATTCAAGAACAGAAATAACAATCCTTATAAGTGATAAGATTTAATACCACTCATTAATTTAAAATTCATCAGACTGCTTTTTGGCAGCAAGCAGCAATCTCAACAGGATATTACTGTGTATTAACCGAGTTTAAAAATTTAACAGATACCTTCCCTGTAAGAAAGATAATTTGCCACTCTAAGGCTTCAGTTGAAATAAATTCAGAATCATTCTATAAACTCCCCTCCTTTTCTACTTCATGTTTCTTTCTTAAAAAGAAAAAAAAAGAGAGCATTTTACTCAAAGAACTTTGTTAACAAAACACTTTGCAATAACCCATGTAGAACATACAAAAGCCTACATTCAGGGGCAAATGTAAAACAGAGAACATGTAAACCTTTTGTTAGGATTTTCAACTTAAATTAACTAAACAGATTATCTTCAGAGCCTATAATCCTCAATATTCATGAAGGCAAGAGGCCTCAAGTTACAAACCATACAATAATCTTCTCCCAAGAGAAAGGGTAGCAAATGGAATACCTAACGGTCATATTCCCTTTGAACAGGTGACCTCTTAGTACGCTTCTAAAAAGATTCTGATATTTTCAAATATGAATTATTAAATAATGCTTTCATGGATACACGCTAAATGTAAACAAATACTAGCTTTACAACTCCCTCTAGTGGAAACAAAATATCAAAATGCTTCCGCAATTACATCAAACAAGGCAGTTAAAAAGTGGAAGAAAGGCTATGCAATGGAAACCTTGCCTCTAAAATACATGATGCTGAGCTCAATGGAGCTTTATTATTCTATTAGAGAAGTACCACTATAAAAACCAAGTCAGTATTGCCAAGTGCAAGTTTCTATCTGCCACCTGCTACCTAAACCATCTACCTTTCTACTCAAGATCATTTTCAAATATGTCATCACTAAATGACCCGTCAACACTAAATGATCCATCATCAGCAAATATTATCTTGATATCATAGATTACCAAGTATTTCTGCCCCAAATCACCAGCTCCAGAATATATACACACATAAATAGATAATTTTACTATCTGGAACCAACAACAATCACAGAGCTACTTCTGGTGACACTGCAGAAAGTACATGTCTACTCCAGCTGACTGTGAGAGTCCAAAATGGCAATCTTGTTTAAGCTGTGGCTTTACCAACAACTGAGAGGCTTATAACAAGCATGCCTATTACAAAAAGACCTTTATCTGGGGCTGGGTGCAGTGGCTCACACCTGTAATCACAGCACTTTGGGAGGCCGAGGCAGTTGGATCACCTGAAGTCAGGAGTTCAAGACCAGCCTGGCCAACATGGCAAAACCCTGTCTCTACTAAAAATACAAAAAAAATTAGCCAGGCATGGTGGTGCATGCCTCTAATCCCAGCTACTTGGGAGGCTGAGGCAGGAGAATCGCTTGAACCCGGGAGGCAGCGTCAGCCAAGATCCCGTGATTGCACTCCAGCATGGGCAACAGAGCGAGACTCCATCTCAAAAAAAAAAAAAAAGAACTATATCTCTGTAATATCCAACTGTGCAATCACAAGTATAGAGACTTAGGTGAAAAGCATTTTTGCAAAGTCATATTGTTACATTATGAGTGAGTTAATACAAGAGCTTCTGAATTATTTTCTGGGACAGCTTTATAAAGAAAAGTTTGCTTTGGATGATATCTCCTTCTTAGCAAGAAGGACAAGTATTACCAGCAGCTCTCAAGTGGTACAATCAGAAAATAATGCCCTCCAGTTAGTTAGGAGAAACATAAGTAATGTGTGACAATTAATTGATATTAACTGACGATACATATCTCTATGATGTCATCACTCTCACTGATCTACACCCTAATCTGCTCTGTCGACTATTTTTAAGAGATGAGAGTTTCAGTTGAAACACTGTGAGAAGCTGTGGTTTATGTACCTCTCTACTATGCCTTTATGCCTTGACTCACAGTGGGCCAACTTTTACTAATGTACCATTAAGAGTTGTAGCACTTTAGAAATACATTATAGGACGTTTCTAAAAAATTCTTGCTTTTTTTTTTCCCAAAATATGGGTATATTTGTGATGGTCTCTGGCTTGAGATCCACTGGTCTAAATATCCTCTAAATATTGAATAAAGTATTTACTAAATCCTTTCCTTTTTCTGAATGTTAAAGGCACTTTCTCCCTTTGACCTTCAATACAAACAATGGAGAGAATAGAAATGGAAAAAGCAAAATCATAATTGTAAAGCTGCTCATTAGGATGGCATGAAGGTTGGAATGGTGTATTCATTGGGATATGGGCCCATGTGGACAAAATCCCAACTGGCACCAAAACAACAAAATTAAACACAGCTTGGAAAAACATGCTGTATTAGCAACTAGCCTTTCATCCCAGGCAGTGAAAATCAGGACTATCCAACCATGTACCAAGACAGGCTCTCACAAACCCTTAGCAGGGTAGACTATGAGTCAGATGTGGTATGCCTGGTAAGCCTTATAGCACATCATCAGGGATAAAGGCATTCCTCCCACATCAGCAACTTGAACACAAAGTGATTCACTAAGTAGAGAAAGCAATATGCATTAGCCCACTGCTAACAGTTATAACCTAGCCACAATCCCAAAGCCACAGTCCCAAAGCTACCAACCAGGTAGACAGGATAAAACAGCTTTTTTTCTTTAATCTCTTAAGGCTGTGAACCATTTGGCTATTGCTGGGTCAGGAAGACTGAGACAGTTAAAAAAAACCTTCTAGATATGCATTCAAGCTTGGGTTTGACCACCCAATTTATTACTTTAACTTGTAGTGACAAAGTATACATACAGCTGAAGATTTGTGAACAGTTCCGAAGTTTGTTACTAAAATTTGAACCTCTCTAGCCTCTCATCTCACTTTTTCCCTTGCAGCAATTATTTTTTAAAGTAAAAATATTTTTATTAACATGAAGTTTTTTACAAATTTAACCATAATCATCATGTTAGAGTCAATTCAGCTATATATCCTTCCACTCTGCTAGAAATACTCATTCTTAGATACTTGATCTTTCAAGAACAACTTTTCCCCTGAAATTCCCTATCCCAGCATACAATCTATCAAAGAGGTGATCCCAAATAGCTGTTTTCTATATTATCTAGAATTAATTGCCTCCTTAACTAGTATCCCCTCTAAAATTTTAACCACACAATACACTGGCAGACCTATCTCTCTAATATATTTCTCAATGAAAAATCACCTGTCAAAATATTTTTTCTTCTTTACAGTAGTGATTATTTAAACTGACCTTCTCAAGAATCCCAGTGGCTAAACCCCAGCCAACTATCCAAGCCCAGTCATGAATACCTCATGCTGCAGGTTCAAAGTAACAGAAAATCCTCATTCCCATCCTTGCCACAATTGTTGTGAGGGGCCCTGCCAAAATCCGGAAACCCTCACCAGGGTCATAAACTCAAATGCCCTCAGGGCCCTGGCAGAGAATTTACCAGAGTGAAGCAGGCAGGTCTGAGTGCATAAGCCCATGTCTGTGTGAGAAGTGGGGACTGTGGCCAGCTGGGGAAGGAGAGCCACTGCTCAGTTCCAGCCCGCCTGCTGCCATGTGCAAATACAGGCCAGGTGTGGCCAGGGCTTTGGATGTTTTTTAGATAAGCCAGAGACTCTGCAGTGCTGCATAAAATTTTCCCATCTTCAAATACAGATTCAATTTTTTAAAAGCACTCTGCAACCAACAATACCTGTCTGAACCAAATCCAGCAAGTTGCCAGTTTTCTATCACTGCCTTAATTCTACCACCAGCCACATGAGCAATGGTCAACTGACCCTATTCCTTGCTTCCTGTTAATACTCATGGTCCACAATAACTATTAAAAAAGACTTTTTTACATGTTAGAAAATGGGTCATATAAAAAATAGCGTCAGGACAAAAGAAGCCTTTTATCACAGACAATCAAGAAATTTGACTTACACTAAAAACAACCAAAACAACTAAATTGACTTCCACCAATAACACTATTACTGCTGCTATTACTATTGCCACCATTTACTGAACATTTGCTATGTGCCAAGAATTCTGCTAAACACTTTACATATAAATAATATGGTCTCTCCCTTTTATTCCTTTCCTTCTATAATCTATTCACCATGCAGCCTTCTGAAAGATCTTCAAAAATATGATATCAATTTTCCCTGCTTAAAATCCTCCACTGGCTTCCCATTGTTCTTAGAATAAAATACAAACACCTTATCATGGCTTTCCATGATCTGACACCCACATCCACCACCCAACACTGGCTCATATATACCCAATACCATGGCCTTCTGGCCGCTCCACATGATCTGTGGCATACACGGGGTCTCTTCCCAACTTCCCAGCTTACACTCATTGGTGTTTTGGCGTAGACTGCTCTTCCTCAGGCTTCTGCATGGCTGGTTCCTTCTCATGAGTCAAGTCTCAGCTCATATATTGCCTCCTCCCACAGACCCTCCCTCACCACCCCATCTACAGCAATCCCCTATCAATTGCTTTCATAGCACTCCAATTTGTTTCCCTGTCATTTATCAATGATAAATTATCACTCACTCAAATTACTTTACTCACTTGTTTACTTGTTTATTGTCTGCCTCCACTAGGATGTAAACTACCCAAAGCAAAGAGCCTTGTCAGACTTGTTCATGGCAATGTTTCAAGCACCTAGAAACTAACCTTCCACTTCCAAAGCCAACCATTACCTCCTAAATGAAAAGAAAAATTTAACCATTTATCTGATGGTATTATTCACAGTTGTGTTTTATTCCTGTCTCAAAAACAGAAGCATTCCACTTATTCACCTTTTCAGTCTAAATAGCAAGCAGATTTTAGGGTTGTTTTTTTTTTAAAAAATCCAAATCCCTTCAAAATGACACAAGATGATACAATTTTGATCAAGAAATAAAACTTGTTAAAGATTGGGTTTAGTGTCTCTTTTTTTTTTTTTTTTTAACAACTTACCTCTTTCTCTCTTTCATAGTCCTCTTCGTCATACTCTTCATCTTCATTTTGCACTGGTAGTGCCACACTGCCAAAGTCTAATGACATGGTCCTCCTGTGGGAAGGGAAAGATGTTTGGTTTCTGGACACCACATAAAATCTCCCCAGGACAAACTACATAAGAGATGCCATACATACACAAAGTGAAAAGACAGAAACAGACTGGGAGAAAATATGTATAACTCAGTTATGGCCAATAAAAATAATGGTGATTCACCGAAAATAGCTATATGACAGCAATTCATGGAAAAGAAAACATGCAAATAGGTAATAAAGCTATGAATAGACCTTTCTAGTGGTCTGAAGAGTATAAAACAGTAAGATTTTTGCCGACATGAAAAATAAGATGACAATAATAATAAACTAGAAATGTGCCAAATGTAAAAATCTTAAGCTCAAACAAAACTTCAAATGTGATATATTAAACATGGCACAGGCAGTACCCTATTGCTTCATTTTTTTTTAATATCAGAAATCCAAATATCATGCTTTACAAGAAGAAGGCCCCTAAATCATGAGTGAATGACTACTACCCAGAAACCATTTACAATTCAGTCAATGCCATAGAGTGCACAACAAAATATAAGTCTTAAATGTCCTCCTCTTAAGCTTGATAAAATCAGGTTCTGGCAATATACTCGGGAAAAACAGAAGTGAAGGCTGTGAAGCTCCACCACTGTGGACTTCCAATTCCAAAAGCAACAGCAAGAGTTCCCTGGGGAGCAGTGACTGCTGCGGCAGAAGCAGCAGCAGGAAATGGGTTTTCAACTACTTACATTCAAAAAAGCTGCTGCTGATTTAACTTGTACTTAGGGATCCTGACACTATACATAAACTCCTCAGAACTTCAAAGCTCTGAACAATCACAACAAAAAAGTAGGCAGGTGTCATCAATTACCTGGCCTAACACTGCCCTCCATTCAGTCCACTGTTGTTCATGCCAATGAAACGCACTTGGATGTGAGCCTGAGCCACAACTCATTCACTACACCTTTCAAGCTCTAAAATGTCATTAAATTGGAAGTAAAATCAGAAGCATGGAGACCCAGCAATCCAAATGCATTTTACCATAGAGAACTTAGCTCCCTCGTCTTAACAGATACGAACTATATCACAAACTTTTGTGGAAGCCAATAGCTCTAGAGCAGACAATATCCCATTTCATCAGATCTAAGATGTCTTTGATTCTATGATGCAGTTCCATTTGTAGCAGTAGGAACGAGATGTAGCCAATCAAATTATGACATAACATTAATTTTAGGACGCAGTCTATGTTGTAGATATTAAAGTGTGAAAAGAAAATATGCAAGCTAGAATAGATGAATATGGTATTAAAGATTAACATACATATGAACTTCAGTGGTAAAAATCCCCCTATGACAAGTTTTTGTTTTTCAAAGACTGAGTTATGTTTCTTGGCCAACCTCTAATTTGCAGTCTACCTTCTAATCCCTTCCTCTCTGGTCCCTACACCCAACCCGTCCCTTTAAACTCATATCAACTCAGACTATACCTCAACTTAAAACCCTCCAGCCTCTGCTTCTCAGACCACACCTATTCCTTTCTACCCTTGTGACAGGGCTAAACGGGGGAAGAGACATGCATATCGAGGAAAATAAATCTATCTATAAGAATCCTTTTGTATGTCAACATAAGATGAAGATATGAATATGATAAAAAGCCTGTAACATGAAATGGTGAGGGAAAAACACACAATCTCATGTCTCTAGATTTTTTTCCACTATGCAAATAGACTTAATATTCTACAGAACACTATATATATTGAAAATACTAGCCCAATTAAATCCTATGTCCTTAAAAGAGATGCCTGTAGTCCCAGCTACTCGGGAGGCTGAGGAAGGAGAAGGGCGTGAACCCGGGAAGCGGAGCTTGCAGTGAGCCGAGATTGCGCCACTGCAGTCCGCAGTCCGGCCTGGGCGACAGAGCGAGACTCCGTCTCAAAAAAAAAAAAAAAAAAGAGATGAAATTAAGCTGGACCTTAAAGAAATTCCTGAATCCTCCAGGCAGAAAAAATCCTTTCTGTTTCTGAATTCTGTGTCTTCTACCTTTCTTTCATTCAAATATAAATACAAGACGAAATATGGAATTTGGGTTACTTTCTCCTTCATTAAGTTAGAGAAGAGAGGTTTGTTCCCATCCTTTATTAACCTGCCATCAACTGATGTTGATTATTGAAAAAGAACATTAAGATTTATAAGAGCCTATTGCTAAAAATGTAGCTACTAATATTTTAAATAGACAGCTACTTTTTCTCAGATAGAGAATACTTAGGGTTTTGTTTTTAAAGAGAATGTAAAATATCAAAGTATATATCTTTAATGTTATTTTAAATTCAAAACATGTCATTAAAGAAGACATCTAAAAATACCTGAAAAGACCAAAATCTCCCCCACTGAAGAAGGTATAAGTTTTCCTTATCAGAACTATAAACTATAAAAGACTTTAAGAAATGATTTCAGACATAAAGGGAAACCTGATCAACTTAATGTGGTTAAAAATATATATAGTAAAAAGGTAATACATATTTTAAATGAGACTTAAAATAAAAGCTAATACCTTAACTTATTAATCACCACTCATTATCACTGCTACCAGAGACTTTAGTATAATATTCAGAACAACAAAAGAGACTTCTTTAAAAAAAAAAAATAGCAAGATAGTAAATCCAAAAGCCATAAAGAAAAATGTGATGGAAACCTAACCACAAAAAATAAAATTTTGTTTAAGGCAAAAGACATCATTAACGAGTCAAATATTATATATGAAAAAATACATCAATAACAAAGTCAAGAAAAATAAGAATAAAAAAAATTTGCAAAGCACCTGACAAAGTCCCAATATAAAATTATTACAAAGAAATGAGAAAAAGACAATCCAATATAAAATTGGGCGACTGACATGACAATTTATTTTAAAAAGTGTAAATCAATTAGTTTGAAAAGATGCTTAAGCTCGTGATGTTTCAAAGAAGTGTCATTTAAACAATATGCCATTTTCAACCACTAGATTGAAAAAACAAACAAACAAAAAAAAAACTTGTTATCACCCAGTGGTGACTATTTTGTATTTTGTATGGCTCATGAGTTGCTGGTGAAAATATCAACTGCTAAACCATCTTGAAAACTATCAATATTAATATATTGAAAATTAACATTTACACTAGTAAAATTATTTTGAATTAATTTGTCAATACTATGCCACTAGTAAAAATACTGAAAATTTTCTATATCTATTGACTCAAGGCTGACCACTTGAGAAATCAAGATGCAGATTAAGTATACAGTATGTTTTGGTTTTCTTCTTCAATAGCAGTCTGGTAGACTTTCTTCCTAGATAACTTTTTCTGAACCCTTAACAAGACTATAAAAAGTATGTCTTGTTGTTACACTCAGATGGATGCTCTGACCCAGCATTCCTTTTGTTGTCCCCGGTTGTTTTCTCTGCCCTCCTTGCAACAAAAGCAATGGGTATTTGGACAAAAGATTACAAAGCAAAAGTAGCATTGTTTTTGCTTCATCTAATAAACTATAAGCACCCTGAAGGCAGAATTAAAATGTATCTGCCTGCTTGCACATGGTGGGTACATAACAAATATTTGTTGACTGAATATGATATAGGCATGTTACCTTATACGAATTCATTACTTCAATAAAATTTTATTGAATACCCACTGTGTTCCAGATCATATCCTAGATGCACCTAAGACATGGTACCAGCCATGAGGAGCTCACTGTCTCTGCTCACCCTCTCTTAGATAGAGCCACTGATATAAACAGTTACAATAACATATTGTAATAAATTCCGTAGTAGATGAAAGTACAAAGCACAAATTACTTTTCCTAAGAAGAAAGGATAGTTTAGAGAAGTTTTACAGAAAAAAAAGAGCTTTTAGATTAGAAATAAATCTTAAAGGACACAATATGGCTATAAGTGGTTCTAAGAATGAGGGCACTCATTCAGACAACCTGGGCTCAATTCTGGCTCTTCTATTTATCAGCAGTGCAATCTTGAGCAAACTGTTTCTGCTTCTACGTTAAAGAAATGGGGGTAAAAATAATACCTACTTCAAAGATTGATTCTGAGGATTCACAAGATACTACATGTAAAGTAATTAGCACTATGTACCAATCAATACATTGTAGTTTTATTACTATTATGACATTATTACTGATGAATAGGAGTCTGCCAGCTACCGAAGAGGTTTAGGGAATAAAGAGGATTCCGCATATCTGAGAAAAGGTGAATGTGCAGCCTATGAGAAATGTCACTTCTAATAATGCAACCTCCTATGGAACAAAAATGCCACCCTCCTTCAAGATGCCCTCCCAAGCCTGTTCCCCCATGGAGCTGGCCACTCCTTTGCACTTTCAGACTGTATTTCTTATGCTTTTCTTATGGCTTCAACTTCAGCTTCTCTTTAGTTGAGTGCATTCACCTGTCTAGGGAGTGCATGTTCATTGTCACGCACTATGAAGGTATAAGGTGATAATAGGCTTAAATCAGACTCAAGTTCATGACTACGATATAGGAAGGGTTATAAACCCCCACAAAAGGGGTTTCTAAGAACTGCACTTGGAGTTGGGAAATTCTACTTACTTGCTGACATAACTCGCCTTCTAGAATGGAAATAGCCAGAGCACATAGCCCGGTTTAGACTTGCAACACCTGGTGGAGACACCTTATTCATTCATTCGACAATTTACCAAGCACTGTTCAAGATTACAAAGTTTAACAGGACACGATGAAGGGAAAGAAAATAGACATATAAACAAATGATCACAACATCTTGTGATCAGTGCTAATAACAGCACTTTGGACAAATTGATTCAAGTTGCCCAGAGGGCGGAGCGAGTAATGCTAATACACAATAAGCATCCACAGGCTGAGCGAATGACCTTGAGGAACTGTTTGGCGTCAGCTACGGCACTACAAACATGACCAAAGCCGCACGGGGCCCAGGATGCCCGGGGCTACTGGCTTCGGGTGCCAGCGTCACTTGTACTCGGTCAACACACGTGCACAGAGCACCTACTGTGAGCCAGGCGTGACGCCAGGGTGACCAAGGCGGGGTCCGCAGAGTAGGGTCTCAGGGCGACCCCAGCAGCCTGGAAACGAGGCGGGCTTCCCATATGTCACTTCTAAGTAGGATATTGGAGGAATGAAGAGGTCTAAATGACACGTTAAGGTAAAAGCTGAGCCCGCAACATGCGGGCAGTCCACCACCGCGGGATTTGGGGAGGGGGCAGGTCAGCCCCCCCAGGAACCCTCAGCCAGCATCCCGAGGACCCCGCAACTCCTCTAACCCCAGGTCCAAGCTCACCCGTGAATCAGAACTTACCGGAGGCCACGGAGGCTGTTACCGCGAGGAAACTCTAGTCCTGGCGGAAGACCAACTTCTAGCAGATCCCCTTACCCTGGCTCTAGTCCACTAGCTCCTTCCTAGTCACAACCGAACTCACGGGGCGGAGGCCCTTAAGGAGCACTCGCATCCTTCAATCGCCGACTAGAAGCTCGCCCGGTGGGCGGAGCCGTGCCAGCTCAGGGCAGAGCGAGGAGGCAGAAGTCTCCGCCTTCCTCAAGCTTGGTTGAGAAGTCCACCTGCAGTTGCAAAGTACGGCTGTTTGAAAGCGGGCGCCAGAGGTGGCGGGAAGCTCCCCCTGTGCGCCCATTGGTGGATTCGAGAGCCAATTACGAGGAAGTCACCCCGGAGTGGGCGGGCTGATCGGTTGCCTAGAGACGCCGAGGCGCTTCACCCGCTACCTTCGGCCAGGGTGCAGCAGTCTTACGGGGACCCCTTGCCCGTTTGGTACCGGAGACTGCAAAGGTGACTCGTGCCTCCTGCGCTTCAGCACACAGAATCCCGCAGATTCCCCACCGAACTCTTGCCTTAGAGGTTTTTTACATTTGCCCTTGTTTTCTAAGGCGCCTGCTTCCCCATTATTTAACAGCCTTAGATATTTTGCTTTGTCTTCTACCTTACTAGGTGCCGCTTTGTTTACATTTTTGCTTCTTTAATTACTGATAAGATGGCACATTTTTCCACGTGTCTATTTACTACTCTAATTTCCTCGGGTGTGAGTGTTCTTGTCACTTAGGTGTATATTATTAACCTGCCCCTAAAGACAGCGCCACCCAGTCCTCAGTAAAGCCCAGTACTGTGTCTATCTTCTCTGGCTGAAAGGGTTCCAGTGAATAATCAAGGAATTGGTGGCGGCAGGTTCACATATCCTTTCAACCCTTTCCCATGTGTACTGGCACGGAGTAAAATGGTTGTTCGAGGCTCTTCATACTGTGGCTGGTTTTCCTTTGCTACTTCACCGTCCGCCCCCATGATGCCTACACTGACCCCTGTAACCCCATAAACTGGTATAGGGTTTGGCAAACAACAGGTAATTTAACCCACTGTAATAGAATGAACGAAATCACAGCCTGAGCTAACAATGGTTCCCAGAGCGCTTTTTTTCTTTCACCTGCTGTGAAAGCTGTTTCTTTCACCTGCATCGCCTCTACCTTCTCCTGCTACTTAGTTTTGAAGACAGACTAGCACCTCCTTTGAAGCCTTTCATGACACACACTCCCTCACTTCGCAAAAATGATCTTTCCTACCTCTGTACACAGTGTATCCTATATATCCTATTATAGTTCTTTTATCTACTGTAAGTTTTTGTGTGTCTTACACTCAGTACAACGTGAATATCTTGAAGTACTCACTTTACTTCTTGGGTGTCTAACATGACCCTGGTAGGCACTCAAAACAATTATGTTAAATGAGTAAATGAATAAATGAACAAATAGATGAAGATTTTGGCAGGGGGGCAGGCAGAAAAAGCAAATAAAAGGCCTTCAAGTAAATGGCATTTGTTGAATCTGAGCCAAGGCATCTTAGTGAGAATTAAATGCACTTTTCACTTTTCACATCCCACTGAAGTCGATTGGCAAACTGTATGTTGCATTCTGTGCTGAGGGTTATGATGGAGTGCTGCAGCAAGAATGCCAGGTGATCCCCATGCACAAACAACTGCTTCTTAGAAGGATGAAAGCATAAAACGTGTCAGGGTAAGCACATGAGGAGGCAGTGTTTATAATCCATTACACAGTGCTTTACAGATTGGTAAATTCTTTCACAAGCATCATCTCATTTGGTTCTCACTACAACACTGTGGGGGGTTAGGACAGGTATTCCTACCCATTTTCCAGTTGAAGAAACTTACATAAAAATAAATTAAATGACTTGTCCAAGGCTACACAGCTAATACAAGGCAGACAGAATCTGAAACCAGGTCCTTTATCTCCAAACCCAGAGCTCATCACTACATACAAAATATTTTAGTGAGACTAGCATATACGTGACAAAGAGGGAAAATAAAGAATAAATCAACCTCCCATCCTGCCATGCCTCTAAAAATGGTTTTTGGTGGAGTTATGGATATATTCAACTAAATTTCTTTGACCACCTATCCTGTTTAAGTCCTGGCCTAGGTGCAGGGTAGGACCCCTATGCTCAAGGTACCAACACTCTGAGTTACAAGATGCTTACGTAGAAAGATAAATAATAATAAAAATTGTTTACTAAGTGTAATAAGAGTAGAATAGGCAATAATTCTAGGGAAAGTGAACACCTAAAGATGAATCTATCAAGGCAGGTTCAAGGAAGAAGAGAAGGAGAGAGCTCAACAGGTCAGTTGATTAGCATGAGTGCAATTTAAAGGCCAGACCAGCAAAAGTGCAGGAATCTTACATTTAGATGTAAGTCTGGAGAAGAAGGCAGGAAGGAGGTGGTCCATAGAAGAGCTTTAAGCCTGGGAGAATAGGAAGGGCATTCTACAGAGGTCAGGTAATGGTGTGCACAAGGAATGAATCTAACATCCAAAGAAACACAAGCAGACAGAGGCATTCTGGGATAAGAAAGGCAAGTGTGGGAGAAGAAAGTAAAACTGCCAAAGATCTCAAATGCTGGACAAAAGATTATTTGTGAAACGTTGGCTCGATGTTTACCTTGCATGTTTTAAATGGGCACACCTATGAGCTGGGTGAGACATTTCAAGAGAAAATGTCACATTGTTGATGAGATGGGGTCCCTCCCACTAACAAGCATTTATAAAGGTAAAGCTAAACCATTATTTCTCCTTTTTCCTCCTTTTTGGTGTCAAAGCTATCAGGTCAAAGCAATGTCATCACAGGAGTGCTATCCAAAGTGCTATCATCAAGGAGTACTATCTTCAAAGGAACACAGAACTTAGAGTAAGAAGATCTGAGTTCAAGTCCCAGTTCTCCTACCTACTAGCATTGTCCATAACAATTTAACACTCAAAAGCCTCAAAGTCCTTATCTGAAAATAGGGATGATAATACCCACTTCTCAGGATTGTGGCCAAAAAAAAATGAGATGAGATTGTGAGAAACAGCTTTTAAATGTAAAAACATTATTTTCCATTGTGTTTCTATGTACTATGGCTTATTGGATTAGAGTACACACTGGGGTCTGAGGTAGTAAGGAAAAACCAGGAAGGTGTTCTGGGAGTGGATGGCAGAGAAAGACAAGGGTGAATGTGTGCCGAGGGCAACAGGAGCTTATGGGATGGGACAAACAAAGAGTCTACACAAAGGATATGGCTTCATGAGAACAGGACAAAAATAGGAAGTGCTAGAGATGGAACAGGAGTACTTGGAAAGAACCAAGGAAGATCAGACCATTATTTACATCTTATTCAACAGTATTTTGGGAACACCTACTTTGTGCCAAACACTGTGCTGGGATCATTTAATATTGACATGTGGATCAAAATGCCCACTCTGCTCAAGTCCCTTCTCACAGAATCTGCTCCTGCTCACAGTCATTATGACCTCACCACCATCACCATCCTACCACCCACGGTCCTGGCCAGACTTGACTGAATCAAAGGGGAACACTAGACCCAAGCTGGGCCAATCGTATTCCCTTCCCAGATAACTAAGATTCCACAAAACTGAGCAAGGTGGTAGCCATACAGAGGAGAAGCAGACTTTTATTACACTTGCCTGTATTTTATGGGAAATATGCTTCCTCCATAACTGTGTCATATACATGGTAGACCCTAGACTGAAGATCATGAACTTTTGCCACTGAAAGCCATGTATCTGTCTGGTTCCTGTACTTTGAAAAGCCAGACAGTTTAGCTTTTCCTTGCATTCTGTGATAACTAAACCTTAAAAACTTTTTGACTTGAGCTGGCTTGGGTCATTGTAGAGGTTGAATCATGTTCCCTAAAATTTCATGTCCACCTAGAACTTCAGAATGTGACTTTATTTGGAAATATGGTTTTTGCTGATACAATTGTTTAATATGAGCTCATTCGGGATTAAACTTAGGTAAAGCTAAACCATCATTTCTCCCTTTTCCTCTTTTTTGGTGTCAAAGCTATCAGGTTAAAGCAATGTCATCACAGAAGTGCTATGCAAAGTGCTATCAGCCTTAAGTCTAATGACTGGTGTCTTCATAAGAAGAGAGGACACAAAGAGACACATAGGGAGAAGACAGCCATGTGAGGGTAAAGGTGGTGATTGGGGTTAGATTGCCATAGGCCAAGGAACGTCTGGGGCCACCAGATGCTGGAAGAGACAAGAAAGGATTTTTCCCTAGAGCCTTTGGAGGGAGCATGGCCCTACCACATCTTGATTTCAGACTTCTATCTTCCAGAACTGTGAGAGAATAAACTTCTGTTGTTTGCGGTATTGGTTACAGTAGCCCTAAGAAGTTAATAAAGGTAGGTTTACATTCTTGGCAACCAAACATTCATGACTAAGATACATTTTTAGTGATTATATTTGAAAAGTCTAGACCAGTGATACTCCAAATAGGGCCATGGTCCACTGGTATACCTCATTTGTATTAAATGATACAAATGCCCAAGGCATTTCTTCAATTATCATAGGAAAATAATTTGTAGATTTTTATTTTTACATACAATTAGAAATCCACCAAGTAAGATATAGGAAGTTACTAATGTTAAGAATTTGTAAATTAAAATGAGTGCATTTTTCGGGTTTATCAAGAATGATCATCATTTGGATGTGCAATATTACAAAGCTCTTGCTCATGCACAGTTGAAGGTAATTGGAATTCCCAGTTTTGGAAGGAGGATGTTAATAGCACCATTCCCCCAGGAAGTCATGGTCTTTACGAGCTGTTATTACTGTTTATTTATTAACTATGTTTGGCTTCATCAATATCAAGTAAGCTTATTGTGAGTTGTTTGATTAAACCAACTCTATGTAGTGTTAACTACTTTAAATATTTTCACTTTTTCTATAGCGACTTTAAAATAATATACATTTGGGTGGGGCGCCATGGCTCATGTCTGTAATCCCAGCACTTTGGGAGGCTAAGCCCGGCAGATCACCTGAGGTCAGGAGTTTGAGACCAACCCAGGCAACATGGCGAAACCCCGTCTCTACCAAAAATATAAAAATTAGCAAGGCGTGGTGGCACATGCCTGTAGTCCCAGCTACTTGGGAGACTGAGGGAGGAGAATCACTTGAACCTGGGAGGCGGAGGCTGCAGTGAGCTGAGGTCAGCCACTGCACTCCAGCCTGGGCAACAGAGCGAGAGTCTGTCTCAAAAAACTAAATAAATAAATAAAATAATAGACATTTAGAGGTTCGAGTTCTTATTACTAAAACAATCAACTTGTAATTCCTCTGAAATTTGCTTATACTTTATGAAAATATGCTGGCTATGAATTTTTTCTGCTTAAATAACATATTTATCAAGGCAAGTGTGAAAAATTACTTGTTTTTTGAAAAATAGGGCAGTATTTAGGAATATAAAATCATATGAATGAGATCATACTCCTCTCTTAAAAGTAAGTAAATAGGCCGGGCACGGTAGCTCATGCCTGTAATCCCAGCACTTTGGGAGCCCGAGGACGGTGGAACACAAGGTCAGGCGATCGAGACCATCCTGGCTAATGCGGTGAAACCCTGTCTCTACTAAAAATACAAAAAATAAAAATAAAAATAAATTAGCCGGGCGTGGTGGCAGGCACCTGTAGTCCCAGCTACTCGGGAGGCTGTGGCAAGAGAATGGCGTGAACCTGGGAGGCGAAGCTAGCAGTGAGCAAAGATCGTGCCACTGCACTCCAGCCTGGGCGACAGAGCGAGACTCTGTCTCAAAAAAAAAAAAGTAAGTAAGTAAATAATTCCTATTGTTCCTCTCCAGTTCTCTGTTGTCACCAAGTTCTTTTCTCCCTGCCCAAGAAAGAGATGGGCTGGATGAAAGTTAGGTCTTTTGCTACTTTGGTCAAAAGAGTGTAAGCACCAATGGCTTGGATTTCATGTTTAGGCTTTTTAATCACAGACTTTTAATCACCACAGGCTCTTAATCAGAAACCAGTAAAAGCTGTCAGAAGTGATATTGACCATTTTTAAAGATCCAAAGCTGCAATAATTATATTTGAATGTGGAATTAAGACCCACTCAAATGGCAAGAGATGCTCAGGCCATTCCATTTTTGTTTCTTAAAACATTCAGCAGATTAAAAAAGAAAGATGTACCAAAGCAAGATTATAAAATTGGTGTATATTTTAAATGCTTACATAGTGTGTTCAATCCATATTGACAAAATACAGCATAATATAATGATGCCATTCATAAGAAAATGTATAATTTATTAACCTTTATAAATTTGTATGCATTCATATTTATTAAAAATTTTAATGCATTTGAATACTTAGACTAGTCCAGTAATGGAATACATGTTGAAAGTTATTTGATCTGAGGTTGGATTCCCAGAAGAAAAGTCATACAGATGATTTTTTAAGGGCTTCCAGAAGAAACCAGTAAGGAAGTGAAGAAAAGGGTAAAGCTAGGAGAAGAGGCCACGTAAGGGTATGATTTCAGAAGTACCAGCCCCCACCCTGATCCTGAACTCTGGAATGTAACAGATGCGAAGGAACTGAGCTTTTGCACTCTTGTACGAGTGATGGTGCGAGGTGTAAACTCACAGGCCGTTCTGGTTCTTGGTGACCCAAAGCAGCTTCACTAGCCTGCATCTGTTCTCAGAATGAACAGTGACACAGAAGCAAAACACACAGAAGCCAAGGATGGGGTAGACAGAAGTGCTTTGAGGGACTCCAGGGGGTCTGGACAAAGCACTGGCTATATCTCCTACAACATCCTTGTTTGCCATCCTTTGATCTTATCAGCGTATCTCTGGAAATAATATCAGATATTTACATTTGAGGCCCTTCAAGAATGTAACCTCATGCAGCTCCTCCAATTGACCCTCCTAGTCCTAGCATGATGGGACCCAGGACTACCAAGATGATCTTATCACCATATTCTGTGGATATACTATATTCAGTGGAGCTGCCAAGTGTTAAAGTAGAAATTTGCCTAAAGTCTCTTGATATATCTAGGTTTTACCCCTAAACTTTATTAAACTTTTTTATTTTGGGAAAATTATAGACTCACATGGAAGAAATGAGATCTCCTATAAGCTTTACCCAGTTTCCACCAATAATATCTTACAAAACTATACTACAACATCATAACCAGGATATCCATATTAATACAGTCAAGATACAAAACAATTCTGCCACCAAAAGGATCCCTCATGTTGTCCTTTTATAATTGTACCCACTTCCCTCCCACCTACTAACTCCCTCCTTAACCCCTGTCTTAGTCCACTGGGGCTGCTATAACAAAGTACCATAAACTGAATGGCTTATAAACAACAGCAATTTATTTCTTCTAGTTCTGGAGAGTAGGAAGTTCAAGATCGAGGCACCAGCAGATTTGGTGTCTGATGGGGGCCCATTTATTGGCTCATAGAAGGCACCTTCTTACTGCGTCCTCACATGACGGAAATGCTAAGGGAGCTCTCTGAGGCCTCTTTTATAGGGGCACTAATTTAATTACTTTACAAAGGCTCCACCTTCTAATATGATCACATTGATGATTAGGTTTCAGCATATGAATCTTAGGGGGATACAAACATTCAGACCATAGCAACCCCAATCTGTTCTTTATTTCTATAATTTTATTGTTTCCAAAATGTTTATGTGTGTGTGTGTGTATATATATATATATATATGTATAAAATAAAACCTTTGGGGACTGGCATTTTTCACTCTTCTAATTCTCTGGAGATTCATCCAAGTTGTTGCGTCTCTCAATGCTTCTTCCTTTTTAGTGATGAATAGTGTTCCATGGTACGGATACACCACAGTTTGTTTAATCATTCACCCATGGAAGGATCTGGGTTGTCTCCAGTTTTTGGTTATTATGAACAAAGCTGTTATGAACATTCCTGTACAAGTTTTAGTGTGAACATAGGGATTCATTTTTTTTTGTGATCAATACCCAGGAGTGCAGTTGCTGGTTAACGTTAGTTGCACGTGCAGTTTTTTAATAAACTGCCAGACTTTTCCAGAGTGGCTGTACTATTTCATGTCCCTACCAGGATTGTACGTGTGATCTACTTTCTCTTCTCATGGTTGGCATTTGGTAGTGTTGATATTTTCCATTTTACCCATTCTGATAGGTGTGTGGTGATATCTCATTATGGTTTTAATTTCCTTACTGGCAAATGATATCAAACATATTTTTATGTGCTTATTTGCCACCTGTATACCTTCTTCAGTGAAATCTGTGTTCATAAATTTTGCCCACTTTCTATTGTCTTTTTTCTTTTTTTTTTTTTTGAGACGAAGTGTTGCTCTGTTGCCCAAGCTGGAGTGCAGTGGTGTGATCTCGGCTCACTGCAACCTCTGCCTCCTGGGTTCAAGCGATTCTGCTGCCTCAGCCTCCAGAGTAGCTGGAATTACAGGCATGCACCACCATGCCTGGCTAATTTTTGTATTTTTAGTAGAGACAGGGTTTCACCATGTTGGCCAGGCTGGTCTTGAACTCCTGACCTCAAATTATCCACCCGCCTCGGCCTCCCAAAGTGTTGGGTTCACAGGCTGAGCCACTGTGCCCAGCCTCTGTTGTATTTTTTCTAACTGTTGAGTTTTGAGAGTTTTTAACTACATTCTAGATTTTTGTTCTTTGTCAGATATGTGGTTTGCAAATATTTTCTCTCAGTCTATGGTTTGTCCTTCATCGTCTCAACAGAGTTTTACACACAGCAAAAATCTGTAATTTTTTTTTTTTTGAGACAGAGTCTTGCTCTTTTGCTGAGGCTGGAGTGCAGTGGCATGATCTTGGCTCACTGCAACCTCTGCCTCCCAGGTTCAAGTGATTCTCATGCCTCAGCCTCCCAAGTAGCTGGGATTACAGGCACACACCCATGCCTGGCTAATTTTTTATATTTTTAGTAGAGATGGGTTTCGCCATGTTGCCCAGGCTGGTCTCCAACTCCTGAGCTCAGGCAATCAGCCCACCTCAGCCTCCTAAAGTGCTAGGATTAGGCATGAGCCACCGTGCCAGGCCAAAAATCTGTAATTTTGATGAAGTCCACTGTACTAGTGTTTCCTTTTACGGATCATGTTAAGTCTAATAAGTTTTTGCATAGTCCTATATCCTGAAGATTTTCTTTTAGGTTTTTTCCTAAAAGTGTTATAGTTTTACATCTTACATTGAAGTCCACAATCTACTTAAGGTTTGTGTAAAGTGTGAGGTTCATTTTGCCGAAAGATACTCAAGTATTCCAGCACTGTGTTAGTCAGGGTTCTCTAAAGAGACAGAACTAATAGGATATGTGTATACATGAAGGGGAGTTTATTAAGGAGAATTGACTCACACAATCACAAGGTGAAGTACCATGATAGGCTGTCTGCAAGCTGAGGAGCAAGGAAGCCAGTCCACGTCCCAAAATCTCAAAGGTAGGGAAGCTGACAGTGCAGCCTTCAGTCTGTGGCCGAAGGCCCACGAGCCCCTGGCAAACTACTGGTGTAAGTCCAAAAGTCCAAAAGCTGAAGAACATGGAGTCTGGTGTTCGAGGGCAGGAAGCATCCAGCATGGGAGAAAAGATGAAGGCCAGAAAACTCAACAAGTCAAGTTCTTCCACCTTCTTCTGTCTGCTTTATTCTAGCTGCCTGGCAGTTGATTAAATGGTGCCCACCCAGATTGAGGGTGGGTCTGCCTCTCCCTGTCCACTGATTAAAATATTAATCTCCTTTGGCAACACTCTCACAGACACACCCAAGAACGATAGTTTTCATCCTTCAATCCAATCAAGTTGACACTCAGTATTAACCATCACAAGCGCCATTTGTTGAAATGACCAGCCTTTATCTATTGAGTTGCTTTGCATCTTTGTCAAAAATCAGTTGGACATATTTGAGTGGTCTGTTTCTGGGTTCTCCATCTTGTTCCATTGGCCTATGTATCTATTCCTCCACCAACATCAATACAGTCTTTAAAATGATATAATAAGTCTTAAAATCAGGTAAGATGACTCCTCCCACCTTGTTCTTTTTAAAAATTGTTTTAGCTATTCTAGTTCCTCTGCCTTTCCACATACATTTTAGAATAATCTTGTCTATATCTACAAAAATCTTGCTGAAAGTTTGACAGGAATTGCATGAAGTCTGTGTACCAATTTGGGGAGAGTTGACATCTTTCTTATGTTGAGGTTTGTAATGCATGAACACAGTATGCCTCTCCATTTATTAGATCTTTGATTTCCTTCATCAGCATTCTGTCATTTGCAGTGTGCATCTTGTACGTATTTTGTTAGGTTTACATGCATGTCCTTTTTAGCAGCTGTAAATAGTATTGCATTTTAAATTTTGTGTCTATATGTTCATTGTTAATATATAGAAATGCAATTTAATTTTGTATGTTTATCTTGTATCCTCTAAGCTTTGCTAAACTTAGTTCTAGGAGGGATTTTTTTGGTCATTTTCTGGATTTGGGGATTTTGAGGGTTTTTGTAGATCCTTGGAATTTTTTGCACATAAACAATCATGTTATCTGCAAATAGGGACAGTTTTATTTCTTCTTTTCTGATCTTTAAATAAAATACCTTTTATTTCCTTTTCCTGTCTTATTGCACTCTCTAGAACTTCCAGTAGTATATTGACAAGAATAGTGGTAATAGATGTCATTGTCTTGCTCCTCATTTTAGGGGGAAATGACTCAGGCCATGACTTTAAGTATAATGTTAGTTAGCTGTAGGTTCTTTGTAGATTTTTTTTTTAAGACATGGTCTCACTTTATTGTCCAGGCTGGAGTGCCAGGGCACAGCTATGGCTCACTGCAGCCTTAGCCTCCCAGGCTCAAGTGATCTTCCCATGTCTGCCTTCAGAGTAGCTGGGACTACAGGTGCACATCACCACACCCAGCTAATATTTTAAAAATTTTCTGCAGAGATGGGGTTTTGCCATGCTGCCCAGGATGGTCTCAAACTCCTGAGCTCAAGCGACTGCCTGCCTTGGCCTCCCAAACTGTTGGGATTACGGGTGTGAGCCACCAAGTGTGGCCTCTGTAGTTGGTGTTTATTTATTTTTAGTTTACTAAGAATTTTTATCATAAATTGATGTTGAATTGTATCAAATGCATTTTCTGCATCAATTGATATCATGTGATTTTTCTTCTTTAGCTTCTTAATATAGTGGATTACAGTGATTGATTTTCAAACATTGAACCAGCCTTGTATTCCTGGAATTAACCTTACTTAGTCATATTATGGTGCATAATTCTTTTTATATATTGGGGAATAATCCTTGCTAATATTTTGTTAATGATTTTTGATCATATTCACAGAGATTTCATCAGTAGTTTTCTTTTTTTTTGCTGTTTTTGTCTGGTTTTGATGTCAGAGTAATTTTACCTTCAAAATATGAATTGAGAAGTATTCCCTTCTCTTCCATTTTCTGGAAGCAATTGTATAGCATTAATGTTATTTCTTCAAATGATAGAATTCTCCAATGAAACATCTGAGCCTGGAATTTCTTTGGGGGAGGTAATTGTGAATTCAGTTTTCATAATAGTTATAAGGTTATTCAAATGATCAATTTCATATTGGCTAAATTGTGGTAGTTTGTACTTTTTGAGGAACTGGTCTATTTCATCCAAGTTGTTGTCAAATTTATATGTGTAGAACTGTGTGTTGCATTCCCCTATTATTCTTTTGATGTTTTCAGAGTCTGTAGTGATAAATTCTCTTTCATTCACAGACTAAAACCGTTTGTCCCATTAGTAAGACTATGGCAAACTACAGACAATTCATTTTTAACACTAATATGTCGATACTTAAATATTTTCCACAGATGCAGATGGTATATTTCACATGTGTTTGACATAGTGATTTCATATTATAATTTTTGTCGGTCTATAATTCCAATCATAAAAGGTAACAGGGTCAGGTTCATTACTTTTCCATATATAATTACAAGTAATAAAATGGCAAAATTAGTAGAAGGAATTGCAAGAAACATGAAGGTGGGATTAAAAGTATCTCTGTAAGATTGAAATGCATTTGAAGTTGTTCTTGAGCAAAATAACCAATGCTTCAAAATATAGCTTGAGTTTTAATAATAGTAACAAGTTGACATTTTTGCTGTAATTCATTTATGGTTACCTGAGAATCTGGACTTATTTCTCTGCAAATTAGCTTTGCCTTACTGGCTAACCCAAAGCCTCTCTAATGCTTTTAGAAGCTTGACTCTCTTCAAAGTCCTCTGTGCTAGATGTACTCCATTTATTTGCCCTTCCAGATCTCCCCCTCTAGTCTTTTCCATCCTCCTCTGTTCCCAGGAGGCTGACCTCCAGAACTGCATCAAGGAGCTCCCTTGCTCTCTGTCTTCAAGTTACTTGGGCCACTGGAGAATCCCAGCAGGAGACAGATAGGGGGAGCAGAAAAACGTTGGGTTATGAATGCCCCTCACTGCCTCTTAGTTGAGTCAGCAGGGCTGATTGCATTCCTCCACTACAGGCCACAGCTCCTAAAAGGCAGCCCTTGCACACAGCTCCCTCTCCAGATTCTGTTAGCTGTTCTTTCCCTTTCTCCCTTAATTGGCCCCAAGGCACTGCATTCTCCCTCCTGATTTCCCTAAACTCTGCCCACACCTTTGTAAATAGTCCCTTTAATAAACTCACCTTGAATTATCCAGTTTGATTGAGCCAATGTGTTTCCCTGATACATTTTACAAATGACAGTTTCCAAATCCCAAACATCAGACATATTCTGTCAATTGTCACAAAGCAATAATCATTTATTTTTTAAAGTCGTTTACAGGTATTTATAGGCAAATGGATTTCCACTTTAAGACAGATAAAGAATGTGAGATTAAAATAGCATGCAGACATTCCTTTTATTGTTTCCTTTTGCTTTAACTGTGTCTGTGGTATTTTTAAGTGCTGTATTTAACTACTATACTATTACAGTCAAATACTGATTATCCATGTGTACTGCTGACACCATTTACAGTCATTGCATCTATTTGTATCAGGAACTCTTGCTACCAAGTTAATACTCTGCTCAGCTAGAGTGAGACCACAGCCCTGCTCTGTCTCTGATAAAAGTGGTTAGACTACCCATACATTTCTACTGTCTATACTCATGCTGATCCCCTTTTTAAGGACAAACGATCAAGACCTAAGGTATATGGAAAACTGGTGAAAAATACATTAATTCTAGTTGTGTAAGAGGAAACAAATCCATCTAAAAAATTAATGGCAGTAGAAATAAAAATCATAAGCCTTTACAGTAAAATATTAGAGTGCAGTATGCTTGGTTTCTAATGATTTCTATCCAAAAGAAGTTTTATTTAAAACTTAGCAAATATATCACAATCACAAAGACTAAGTTGTATCTACATAGCCAAAATGAAATGGAGTCAAGGCAATATCCAGATAACTCAAGATTAAAAAAAAAAACAAAAAACATTTTTCTTGGAAAGGCAAGAAAAGGACATAAGTAGTTTTCTGCTACTCAAACCAAATCCACTTTTATCATCATTCCCTATATTCCAAAGTTTCAGTATTTTAGACTGAATGGTTTGGAGTCTAAACTATGTGAATGTTGATCTCAGGTGTGCCATTCATTCTGTGAGTATGGACACAGACTATAGAAGAAAAGCTTAATTTTTTACCTTAACTATACAGACTGGTTATCAATAACGACCTCTAACAAATGAAAAACTTGCTTTTTAGAGACTCATACTATAAGTTAGGACTGAAGTAGTCCTCCAAATTCACCTAGCCCATTTAGCTCATTTTATTGCCAAGGAAACTGGAACCCAAACAGATTCAGCAACTTGCTGAAGGTCACACTGGTAAGACTCAGCGTAATGCTTTTCTGTACACCATGCTTAATCACTCTGTTAGTTTACCAGTTGGTCTACATGTGGAAAATCTTTCCAAGTGCTTCATTCAATATGTTTTTTTTTCCTTCTGCATTTTGTCTGATCATATCTATACGAGGTGCTAAGGATATATGTAGGTGAGAAACTATGATTCAGTGTCAGCCAATCAAGAAGAAATTTTACTATAATTTCAAATAGATTCTGTACTTTTACTAAGAATGAAACCAATTTGAATAGTAAATATGAAGAATACTGGTTTTGTTTGCCCTCTTTTAAATCCATGCACTCATGAGGTTTTTTTTGTTTTTTTTGTTTTTTGTTTTTTGTCTTTTTAGCAGGAAGAGGGGGAGAATATAATGAAATCAGAAATGACTGATAGATTTGGCTTCTTCAGCTTGTCACATGCTGTATTTAGACAGTCTGAATAGCAAACACTGAGAAATGCTAGGCCAGAGGATTTGGGCCCCAATCCTTTTAACCAGCAAATGGGACAGTCCAATGAAACAGACAGCCATGTTAGTGGCTTTTGATTTGATTCCACTGACATACACACAGTTCGAATTCAATGTCATATTTATTTTAACATTGCAGTGAAAAATGCTGCTAAACAGAAAATGTAATAAAGTCAATAAGGCTCAAGAAAATTGCTTATTTTTTGTAGCAAGAAAAGCTTTTTTTTTTGGCAAATGGTTCTATAGTCATAGAACATGAAGATACTTAGAATTAATCTCCCAATATGAAAATGTCCCCCAAATTATCAAGTTGAAAGGCACATACCACTGCCCCAGCAGTTCATTCAAGTTGTCGTTAGCATGTGAAATTTTAGTTGTGCTTTTAGCTTGTTATCAATGCAATATGGCCTTAAAAAGTGACATCCGTGCATACATATAATTTCTTTTAAAATGACCAACCCTCTTCCTCTTTTCTGATTTTCATTTCTGAAGACTAATTTTTGTTAGTTCTTCATTTTATAGAGGACCTGGTCCATGATGGTCTTGGAAAGATGCACTTCACAGTTTGTGCTCTATTTTATCTACAAACAAAGTTTAAATTATCTTTGTGTCCTAATACAAAATGGGGTTTCTTGAAATATCAGTGTGATGGTGCTTCAATACTGTCATTTGTTGGAATGCAAAAGTGCTGGATTATTATCTTTTCTCACTGGTTGTTTAAGGCTTACTTCGCTTCCAGAGGAGATGATTGGCAAACTGTTATCCATATGGTATCTGATAAGGTGGCCGACATTATCAAATACATGATCCTTGGTCCTCACCTTGAAAAAGAAGTACAAATATATTTAGGTTAAATTATAGTAGTTCTCCTGAAAGATATAAATAATAAGGGGGAAAATGCCAGATATATCCCTAAAGTAGATACTTTGCTGAAAAAAGAAAAGGTACTTTTTTTTTTTTTTTTGAGACAGAGTGTCACTCTGTGGCCCAGGTTAGAGTGTAGTGGCACGATCTCGACTCACTGCAACCTCCACCTCCTGGGTTCACGCAATTCTAGTGCTTCAGCCCGAGTAACTGGGACTACAGGCACGTGCCACCATGCCTGGCTAATTTTTTTTATTTTAGTAGAGATGGCGTTTCACCGTGTTGCCCAGGCTAGTCTCAAACTCCTGAGCGCCAATGCCCACCTTGGCTTCCCAAAGGGCTAGGAGAAAAGGTGCTTTTAAACTCTGTAGTCCCTAGTCAACAATTTTCTCATTCCTCATTACCATTTTAAAGCAACCATTCCCATAAGTTAGGAAAATGGTAGGCACTTGTCACCCAATCCAAATTTGCAATCAGCCTCTTTGCAGTATTATTGTTTGGTATATTCTATGTCACTATCTCTATAACTATTTAACTGGTTTGTATACAAGCATGAATCCCAGGATTGTAATTATCTTCTGTTAACCAGAGTGCTTCCATATCACCTTGTCTCTGTCAGAAGCAGGCCTTTCTGGAGAAGTCCTACCTCCTATCTCTCTTTGGAGGCTCAGCATTCCTGTCTTCTCCAAGAAGCCTCCTCAGACCTTTCTAATAGGCATTCATGTGTCCTTCCCACAGACTTCATAGTAGCTGATTCACAGATATTTGTTGCATGGAACTTACTGTCGGCATGCCAAAGAAATTCAATTTTCTTATGGCATGCCTTCTATGGAATTCCCTTCCTAGTACCCTATGCATAGACAGAAGCTGTACATTACTATCCATTGTGGCTCTACCAGCTTGGTGGCCTGGTTATACAAGTGCTCCTGTTTGGAGGGTGGCTAGGAACCATCCAGGAAAGGGGAAGGCATGCAACAAGGCAGCACCTCGTTATGTATTTCTGCCAGCTCTCCTACAAGGGATTCTTGGAGTTCTGTCTAGATGTTGGTTTTTGCCGTATTAAAATCATGCATAATTACTGGAATAATTAATATAATTTGAATATGGACTATGACTTAGATAGTATTGTACAAATGTTAAGTTTCCTGATTTTGATCTCTGTACTATGGCTATGGAAGAGAATATCTCTGTTCTTAGGAAATACACATTCAAGGATTTACAGAAGAGGACACAATGGCACCAATTTGCTCTCAAATGGCTCCAAACCTCAAAAAGGTTTTCAACTCCTCCATCTCATTCCCATCCCACACCAAATCAGCTGACCAATCCTTCCATTCTATGTTCTTAATGCCAAGTCACTCTGCCTTCTTCTTTGTATTTCTTCTGCCTCAGGCTGTCACTACTTTTTACCTAGAAGCCTCTAATTACTCTCTCTGTCCCTGGTCTTTCCCCTTCTCTTTAATCAATCCTGTATACAAGTGTGAAATTAATCTTTCAAGTACAGAGATTGTAAGCAGGCCACTCTGGCTGAATGCCCCGTATGCTTTAGTTTGCTAGGGGCTAGGATAGGGAGGGGAGGTTACGCACAGAGAGTTTCAACTATTTTGAATTAAAAATAAGGAGAGTTCCTATAAAACTCTGGTTTTATGACTTATTTGAAAAAAATAAAATCTGGTCCCACTGGGCCTCTGCTCTGCATGACAGCGTTTGGTTGGAGCTGAGTGGTGACTGCCCCCTTACACAGGGTATGTGCCTTTTTTAACACAGCCCACTGTACCTTATGCTCGCTCTATCCCCTGCCCAGCTTTATTCACTTACAGTACTGGCCTAGTCCTGCAGACACTTGTGTTTGTAACTTCACCCACACAAGATTTTTCACTGTGGTAAGAAACATATAACATGAGATCTGTTACATATGTATGTATGTGTGTGTGTGTGTGTGTGTGTATATATATATATATATATACATCTGTTATGTAACAGTTAATACTGTACTATACACTTAACAGATTTTTAAGTGTACAGTACAGTATTGTTAACTGTTAAGTACAACGTTATACAGCAGATCTCTGGAACTTTTTCATCTTGCATGACTGAAACTTTATACCCATCAAACAGCAACTACCCATTTCCTTGAGAACACTGTAGCATAGGACAGGATTTCCCTCTTTTCTATGGTTGTTCTATGGTGTTCCACTATATGGATATTATCATATTTCCTTTATCCATTTATTGTTTAGTGGATCTTAGTTTTCACCTCTTGACTATTGTGAATAATGCTGCAATAAACATGGGAGTGCAAACATCTTTTCAAGATCCTGCTTTCAGTTCTTTTGGATAATTACCCAGAAGTGAGGTTGCTAGATCATATGGTAGTTTTATTTTTAATTTTTCGAGAAACCTCCAAACTGTGTTCCATAGAGGCTGTACAATTTTACACACCCACCAATAGTGCACGAGGGCACCAATTCTTCATATCCTTGCGAACACCTGTTATTTTCTTCCTCTTTTTAAAAAAATAATGGCCATCTTAACAAGTGTGAGGTATTATCTCACTGTGGTTTTGATTTGCATTTTCCTGATGATTAATGATGTTGATTGAGCATGTTTTCATATACCCGTTGGTCATTTTTTGGTCTTTTTGGAGAAATCTCTATTCATTCAAGTCCTTTGCCTATGTTTTCATTGGTTGCTTTTATTTTTTTGCTATAGAGTTGTAGGCGTTCCTTATATATTTTGGATATTAACTCCTTATCAGATACATTGTTTGTAAATAGTTTCTCTCATTCTGTAGGTTGCCTTTTCACTAAGCTGATTGTTTTCTTTGCTGTGCAGAAGCTTTTTAGTTTAATGTAATGCCACTTCTCTAGTGTCCCTTTTGTTGCCTGTGGAAATACCAGTTTTCCTTCTGCCTCTAGTTTCATTCCACTGATACTTGTTATGATGTCAGCCTCTTAAATTTGTCAAGACTTGTCTTGTTATCTAACATAATCTATTCTGGAGAATGTTTTGTGTGCACTTGAGAAGAATATGTATTCTGTTGCTGTTGGATGGAATGTTCTGTATATGTATGTTAGATCCACTTGGTCCATAGTGTTGTTCAAGTTCTTTTTTTCCTCATTGATCTGTCTGGTGTTCTATCCATTATTGAAAGTGGAGCATTAAAATCCCCTACTATTATTGTTTTGCTGTCTATTTCCCCCTTTAGTTCTGTCAATGTTTGCTTCATATATTTGGGTACCCTGATGTGCATATATATTTATAATTATTATATCTTCCTGAAGAATTGATCCTTTTATCATTATATCATGTCCTTCTTTGTCTCTTTTGATATTTTGACTTAAAGTTTATTTTGTCCGATATAAGTATGGCCACTCCTGCCATTTTTTGGTTATCATTTTCATGGAATATCTTTTTCTAAACTTTCACTTTCAACCTACGTGTGTCCTTAAATCTAAAGTGAGTCCTTGCCAGGCGTGGTGGCTCACGCCTATAATCCCAACACTTTGGGAGGCCAAGCAGGTGGATTACCTGAGGTCAGGAGTTTGAGACCAGACTGGCGGACATGGTGAAACCTCGTCTCCACTAAAAATATATAAATTAGCTGGGCATGGTGGCGCACCCCTGTGGTCCCAGCTACTTGGGAGGCTGAGGCAGAAGAATCACTTGAACCCAGGAGGCGGAGGTTGTAGTGAGCTGAGATTGTGCCACTGCACTCCAGCCTGGGCAATAGAGCGAGACTCCGTCTCAAAAAAATAAATAAATAAAATAAAGTGAGTTTCTTATAGATAGCATGTAGTTGGAGCTTGTTTTTTTTTAATCAATTCAGCCACTCTATGCTTTTTGATTACAGAATTTAATATATTTACATTTAAAGTAGTTAATACTAGAGAAGAACTATTACCATTCTATTGTTTTCTGTCTTAAAGCTTTTTTTGGTCCTGTTTCTCCTTTCTTGCTGTCTTCCTTTGTGTTTCATTAATTTTTCATAGTGAATAGGCTTTAATTCCTTTATCATTTTGTTTTGTGTATCTTCTAGAAGTATTTTCTTTGTGATTACCATGGGGCTCGCATAAAACATAGCTATAACAATCTCTTTTAAACTGATAACACCTTAACTTCAATCACATACAAATACTCTACACTGTTATTTCTCCACACACAATTTTATGTTATTGATGTCACCAATTACATTTTTAAATTTTGTGTATTCATTAACATATTTTATAGTTACATAGTTATTGTTGCATAATAACATTTTGGTTAACAACAGACTGCATATACAATGGTGATCCCATAAGCTTATAATGAAGCTGAAAAATTCCTATTGCCTAATGCAATTGTCCTGAAGAATTGACTAATGAGTTGTTGGAACTGAAACAGGAAGGCATAGCTGAAGAGGAGGCAAAAGGAAAGGAAAGTGCAGGCAAAGAAAAAGAAGAAGAACCCCCCAAAAAATTAACAATAAAGAGTTTAGCAGAAGCTTTTTCAGACCTTAACAAGCTTCTTGAAAAGACTAAAAACATGGATCCCCAACACCAAAAGGTTTTCATTAATAGAAAAGAATGCTCATGTTGCATTATCTGCGTACGAGCAAATCTATGATGAAAAAAGAAACAAAGCAAGCAAACCGCCAAGGTCATATTTCTGAAAATAGTGACACTTTCTCAAGAGACTCAAGCAGGTCCTTTAGGAGATATTCTAGAATAAGGCATTGTTATCATAGGAGATGACAACTCCATGCAAGTTATTGCTCCTTAAAGACTGTGGAACAATATGTGGAGATAGAAGACAGTGATATTGATGATCCTGCCCCTGTCTAGTGCTAGCCTAATGTCTGTGTTTCTGTCTCTATTTTTAACAATAACAAAAAAGTTTAAAAGTAAAAAATAGAAATAAAAAATTTTAAAATAGGAAAAACCATATAGAATAAGGATATAAAGAAAGAAGATATTTTTGTACAGCTCTATAACCTATATTTTAAGCTAAGTGTTATTACAAAAAAGTCAAAAGATTAAAATAATTTAAATGTTTACAAAGTAAAAAAATTACAGTAAACTCAAGTTAATTTATTATTGAAGAAAGAAAATTAAAAAAAATAAACTTAGTGTGGTCTAAGTGCATAGTGTTTATAAAGTGTGCAGTAGTGTGCAGTAATGTCCTAGGTCTTTACATTCGCTCACCACTCACTCGCTGGCTCATCTGGAGCAATTTCCAGTCCTGCAAGCTTCATTCACAGTAAATGTTCTACATAGGTGTACCATTTCAAATCTTTTATATCCTATTTCACTGCACCTTTTCTATGTTTACATACACAAATATTTACCATTGTGTTACAATTGTCTACAGTATTCAGTACACTAACGTGCTGTATAGGTTTGCAACCTACAAGCAATAGGTTATACCATATAGCCTAGGTGTGTAGTAGGCTATACTATCTAGGTTTGTGTACATATATTCAAAAATGTTTGCACAATGAAAAAATCATCTAGCAATGTATTTCTCATAACATTTCCCCATTGTTAAGTGATATATGACTTATTTTTCACATTTTTGTCTTTTAACTTCTATAACCAGAATTAAAAGTTATTTACACACTGCCATTATAATATTACAGTATTCTGTGTTTTTCTATATATTTACCTTTACCAGCAAGCTTTGTACTTTCATATGCTTTCATGTTACTGTTTGGTATCCTTTTGTTTCAACTTGAAGGACTTTAGCATTTCTTGAAAGGCAGATCTAGTGCTAACAAACTCCTCATCTTTTGTTTATCTCAGAAAGTCTATATTTCTCTTTCATTTTTAAAGGATGGTTTTGGCCAGGAACGGTGGCTCACGCCTATAATCCCAGCACTTTGGGAGGCCAAGGCAGGTGGATAAACTGAGGTCTGGAGTTCAAGACCAGCCTGGCCAACATGGCAAAACCCTGTCTCTACTTAAAATACAAAAAATTAGCCAGGTGTGGTGGCGGGCACCTGTAATCCTAGCTACTTGGGAGGCTGAGGCAGGAGAATCACTTGAACCCAGGAGGCAGAGGTTGCAGTGAACCGAGATGGTGCCATTGTACTCCAGCCTGGGCGACAAGAGTGAAACGTGGTCTCAAAAGAAGAAGAAGAAAAAAAGAAAGGATGGTTTTGCCAGATGGAGTAGTCTTGGTTGGCAGTCTTTTTTCTTTTAGCATTTTGAATATATTGAACCCACTGATAGTCTTACGGTGGTTATGATAAATGTGCTGATAGTCTTATGGAGGCTCTCTGGCACATAATGAGTCTCTTCTCTTGCTGCTTTCAAAATTCTCTGTTTTTGACATTTTGATTATAATGTATCATGATGTGAATGTCTTAGGGTTCCTCATAGTTGGAGTCCATTGGTCTTCTTGAATCTGATGTTCATTCTCATCACTTACTTGGGAAGATTCAGACATTATTTCTTTAAATAAGCTTTCTGCCCCCTTTCCCTCTTCTTCTTCTCCTTCACTCTCTTGTTTTTGAACTCCAATAATGCATAAACTGGTCTGCTTGATGGTGTATCACAAATCCCTTAGGCTTTCTTCACTTTTTAAAAGTAATATTTTTGTTGTTGTTCCTTTTTCTGAAGAATTTCAAATGACCTCTCTTTGAGTTTGCTGGTTTTTTTCTTCTGCTTAATCAAGTCTGCTGCTGAACCCCTCTAGTGATCTTTTCAGTTCAGTTATTGTATTCTTCAGGTCCAAAATTTCTGTCTGCCTCTTTTTAATATTTTCTTTCTCTCTGTTGATATTCTGACTTTGTTCATGGATGGTATTATTGAGCTCATAGAGCATCTTTATTATACTTATTTTGAATTCTTTGTCAGTTAATTCATATGCCTCTGTTTCTTTAGGATCTGTTTCTAGATATTTATTTTGTTTGTTTGTTTGGGCCATGTTTCCCTGATTCTTTTTGAGTTTCATAACTTTGTGTTGGGATCTATGCATTTGAAAAACAGCCACCTCTCCCTTTCCTTACAAACTGGCTTCATACAAGGGAAGAATCACACCAACCAGCCCAAATAGAGATTCTGGGGGTCTCCAAAACCTTCTGTGGGGGGACGTGACTTTTCTGGGCCTGTGTGTTCAATTTTTCAATTACAGAGGTTTGCCAGTTTTTCAGGAACTTGTAATCTCTTGCTCCTTCTGATGTCTGTGGCACTGCAAGTTCTCTGGTTCTATAGCAGCAAGCCACCCCACTATCCCTTGTTGTCCATGGTCACAGGCATCCAAGGTATGCCAGCTTCCTTTCAGTGCCCCAAGTGGCAGGACAGATAACTGGTTTATCAGGTATCCCTCCAAAAAGCTGGAATTCTGGACACACTTCACTCCCCTCCCTCCCTTCTGAAGGAGAACCTTCAAGTTGTGTACTTTCTCCTATTTGTACTGAGGAGTGCCAGCTGCAGCAAGCTATCCTGTGCTCTTCTTTGTTCTCAGTGGCTCCTGGCATCCAAAATATGGCAGTACCATGAGCACTCCATGTGAAGTGAGACAGAAACCAGTCCCTCAGGCAACCCACTGAAAAGCCAGAACATGGCATGCAAGCTCTACTCTCCTCTTTCCCCCATTCCCCCAAGGGAGAGGTCATGAGACATGGAATTCCTTCCTGCCACTGAGCTATGCTGATTTGGGTAAGGAGATGATGCAGATAAAGTGAAATTGTTCTTCTTACCAGTTTTGACATGACTGTTTTCAGCTCTATGCTCACCTGAGGTACTGAAACTTTTGAAGTGAATTCTGTGGTTCTCATAAAGGTATTTTGGTCAATATAGAGTTGTTAATTCTGTGTTTCTTTTGGGGGAACAAGGGCTGGGACTTCCTATTCTGCCATCTTGCTGATGTCACCACTCACATGGGCTTTGATTGCATCATTTGTCTCAAAACTGCCAATGCCTCCCCACTGCCTGGCAAATTAGGCATTTCTACCCCATATTGATGGCTCTAACTTACCTTTCCCAAGATAATTTTCTGTCTACAGGCATTCTTTGCTACTGTCATTCATCTTCTATTGGCTTAATACCATTCTATTACTCTGTCTGCACCTATGGTTCCTTCTCTATACTCCAAATGTCCCCCTTTTGAAATCTTGCCTTCTTTCAAGGTTTGCTTTACATGATGGACCCTATAAGAAACCTTCTTAGTTTGCCTCAACCAGAATGACCTCTCTGTTCTGAGAAACACCATAATGCTTTGGTTGAACCATTCTTATCTCATTCAGCTTTATATTATAATTATTTAAGCACTTGTTTTATTAAATTATCAGCACTCTGAGAGCAAGGACTATGTATGTGATATTGAACAACAAACAGCTGCAAATTCCTTTATTTCTATATAGCAGGTATTCATTTAATTCATTGAATTGAATTGAAAAGGGCAGAAAGAGGCTGTCCTCTGCTTGATACTCCAGGGTGGCCTCCTACTCTAACCCCTCCACTACCCTCTAGTTAGCATGTCCTGCTCCAGCTGGAAGGTTCCAGAAAAAGCAAATACTTAGCCTTGAGCACTATTCAATACCAGGTTTTGGAAATCATTCAGGGTATGCTTAATAGAACAACATCCTGTGAAACCTCTAATGAGAAGTCAATGATACCTTGCCTTCAGGATCCACCAGGAGAAGATGTTTTGCTTGGCCTCCCTGTAGTCCACTCAGCACATATTGGCCAGGGGATGTTGCACTCTCTCGAACCAAAAAGTCCCCATCCTTTACCAAGAGGCTCTCTGCCGCCTTCCTGCTCAGCTTGCCATGATAGCATTCTTCGCTCCACAGCTGCTGCTTAATGTGTGGCAAAGAATGTGAGCTGGCAGGCTGGGCTGTGGCACCCGGCTGAACAGTTTCTGGTGCCTCTGAAGTCAGAACACAAAGAGAGACATCATCGAGTTACCTCTTCATCCATCCATTCATTCATTTATTCACTCAGTAAATATAACCTGAGGTCCTACTGTGTGCCAGCCATTGTTTAAATAATACTGCTTGGGGAACAAATGAGGTTTTTGTTTTCAGAACTCCCAACAGGCTTTAATTTAATGGTAGATCCAAACATTGCCTTTGGCTTCTGTTACCAGGGAAGCCTTGCCCAGGTGCAGGAGTTTTTCTTTCAGATGGGAAATGGAACAGACCCATGAGAACAGCTTTTATAACTGCAGAGAGAGGCTCTTTATGTCCTAGGGGTTGCATGTTAAAGAGAAAAAGGCTTATGCTGTACCTGGATTACAAATAATTTCTACAATGTTTCCAAACACTTTGAAAATAGCTATAATAACTTCAGGCCATCCCCACTTTTTAGCATTTAGCTCTTGTCCCACCTTTTTAAAACCAAATTATTAGTGTGTGTCTAGTCATTCTTCTGACCCAAAACTTCAAAACTTTGCTAAACCTCACAGCATTCCCACTAAAGGACTACTTTGTTGTTTGTGTCATTCACCTGCCTGGACAAAAACAGTTGATGAGGTAAAAGAAGACAAATCATCAGGGAGGAACAGCCCAAGGCAGCTCCCCAAGGCGCTGCTGAATAAGTGTTGTCCAGAGTTGAGAGCACTGGGGATGGGAAGGGACCTCCAGTTAGCAGTTTACAGTACTATCCACACTCATAATAGTGATAATAGTTACTGCGTAGTTCTCATTTATCAAGTGTGATAGAAACTGCTAAATGCTTTATATACATTATGTTGTTTAACTCTCAAAATTAGACAGCAAGGAAATGAATCTTTAGAAAGGGTGGCCAGACAGGATGGCTCATGCCTGTTATCCCAGCACTTTGGGAGGCCGAGGCAGGTGGATTACCTGAGCTCAGGAGTTCGAGACCAGCCTGGGAAACATGATGAAATCCTGTCTCTACAAAAAATCCAAAAAAAAAAAAAAAAAAAAAAAGCCAGGCATAGTGGCACGTGCCTGCAGTCCCAGCTACTTGGGGGGCTGAGACAAGAGAATCGCTTAAACCGGGGAGGCAGAGGTTGCAATGAGCCAAGATCGCGCCACTGCACTCCAGCCTGGGCGACAGTGAGACCCTGCCTCAAACAAACAAAAAGGAAGGTTAAGGGACTTAAATTTACACTGCTAATAGTTGTAGATCTGAAATTCGAAACAAGGTCATCTGACTCCAAAGCCTAGATTCTTAATTACTAAACTCTAAGGTCCTTGCCTTGGATGTGAAAATCTTTCTTTTAGTAGAATCTAGCCACTCTGCTTTAGTAGTACCCACAGAGGTCCCTAGCAGGTAGCAAGGCTAATCTTACTTGGGGTAGCCTTCAGCATCTCCAGAACTAATAATGTAAAATTCTTATGTCTGAAACCAGGTTCTTATGTCTGAAACTTGTATGTTTAATAAGGCAAATTTACCAGGAAAATAACCATAGAAACTAGACTTTGTTTCTTTTTTTTTGTTTTTTTTTAAACACAAAGCGTCTTTGAAATAGAAACCAGTCTTTATCTTTATAAACACAAAGAAGTGTTTATGTGTCCTTAGGTAAGGGTCTTGCAAATGAGAAATTATCTTGACTATGAGTTTGTATGACTACAATTTACACACGATCATCCCATGAAGTCACTGGTGTAGGCAACCAGTGTGCTGTAGTCGTAATTCAATTCTACTGTTAATACGTTATAGTTTTGTCCCTACTTGAGGGCTTCTTTCTGCACACAGTTATAATGAGTATTCACAAACAGATCTTTTAAAAAATATCATTAATCTAAATCTAATGGCTGGAAACACTCTCTTCTACAATCAAATCTTTCTATTGTTGCCAGAAATAGCCTGACAAAATGTATGCAGATTTGATGAATAATACTTGTAACTGGCCTTAGTGCTGCCTGCTTTCAGGCACAATGGATAACTTCTAATGAGTAGCCATGTGTGTGTTTGTGTGTGTGAAAAAGTGTGTGAGTGTGGGAGGAATGCATGCACGCAGTGTGTGGGTATACACGTCTTAATGCGTGATGGCTTTTGGTCTATTCTGAGATTATGGTGAAGAGCTTTTGGACAAAGACAAAACAATAGAAAAAGAGACATTATATCATCTTGAAAAGAGGCAACGGATCGTGGGCCAACCAGAGGAAATGGACAATGTTTCCCTAACAGTTTCCCAAATTAGCAGAAGGACAAGATACTCCGCTGGGAGATTTCAATCATCCAAACATTTGCTGAAAATCTGATTCTGCCAGAATAGATAACAATTTGTTTATTTTGCTTAATTTTAAAAGTTACACATACTAGCTTTTTAAAATCTAGGAAAGAGAAAAACAAATAAAATTAATCACCTATGGTCTCATCACTAAATAAAACCGCTCTTAACACTGTGGTACATTATCTATTATCTTGCTCCTTTTCTAATGCATAAGTTGACTTTGACAATAATAATTATAATCTAAATATGGTTATTTATATATAATTTATGTGTAATATTTAATAAATTGCTGAATTGATATAATCATATTTTCTGAGAAGAAGTAGTGGAGGTTAAGGAAGTAATAAGGAAGGCCAATCTAGATTTAATTGAAACCATAAAAAAGTGATAGGACTTATAGAAGATAGTAATCATATCATCTTGGAGTTCCTATTGGCACTTAAAGACATATTGTTCACAATCAGACCTTCAAGAAAGCACAGTATAGATATGGCTATCCACACCCAAATGGATCTAATGGGCAAAAACCTCTAAAAGGGAAAATACAGTTTAAGGAAGAGAAAAAAATCTAACACGCAAAATCTGGATTAAATAATTGAAAGTAATCTCAATGAGAAAGAAAGGATGAGACATTTAAAGAAACCAATATGAACTATAAAGATGGCACACTGATGAATCCCATTTTTTAAAAGCACCTGTATACAATTTTTATAGTATTAATTATTATTTTAGCAAAGCACTGGAAAAATTGATATGTCCATCAATAAGGGACTGACTACATAAATCATGATGCACTCATACAATAGAATACTATAGAGCAATTTAAAATAGTGAAGATTGTATGTTTATACAGACACATTTCTAAAAGAGAAGAGTAAAATAAGGAGGTATACAAGGGGATTATTATAACTGAGAGCTGAAACAAGAAAGCGGAGCGTTGTCTTATTTGACATCAGCTGAGAATGTGCACATTGGGTGATTGAAAATTTTTGTTGCTCCGTGCATGGCCACAAATGACGCAAAAGGACCATGAGTATTGATTTTGGAGTTACAACTAAATTTTAGCAAGTAAGCTAATTCTCAAATATGGAATCTGTGAATAATGATAATTGACTGTATACTGTTTATTAGTATGGATTACTGGGTGTATGAAAACTCTAAAATAAAAATGTATTTGCATTGAAAGGAAAAATATGTTCATTTACACAAAGTACCTGAACATTTGGTAGAAAAAGATGTTAACATGAAATGTTAAGCATAAATGAGAGAGAGGTTCAGATAGTACCCAGAGAAAAATTATTTGCAATGTAAAGGAAGAATTAAATGTCTGTCAGACATGTTACAAAGGCATAGCAATTAGTATATAGTAATTAAGATGCTGGTTGAGAAAAGGCAAGTGCTCCAATAGAAAAAACATAATAAAGATCCCAGAAACAAATTCACATATATACTAAGAGCTTGATATAATAGAAAGTAGCATCAGGGAAAAGAGGAGACTACTCAATCAATAGTGTTTGGAAAATTGACAAACATGGATAAAATTAAGTTAGATCCCCAACCTCACATAATCTATAAAGGTCAAGGGGAATAAATATTTTATTATGAAAATAAAACTATGAAGCCAATATTTAAAAAATATAATAGATGTTGGATAAAAAAGAGAAAATTTAATCCAAAGCAAGTAGAAGGAAAACATAATAAAAATAAAATGGAAATCAGTGAAATTGAAAACAAAAAACAACAGAGAAAATTAAACCAAAACTTGGGCACATTGGAAAGATAAATAAAATTAATAAACCTAAAAGAGGACTGATCAAGTAAAAAGGAGAAAATTACCAATAACAGGAAAGAGAGAAGGGATACCACTATGGATGTTTTAGGCACTAAAAAGACAATAAAGGAATATTGTGGAAAACTCCACACGGAACTGCCTCTAAGCTAATAAAATGGAATCCTGCCAAGTTTTCAAGGAAACTACATCGCCAAAGAAATCACAATCCCTTCTAGTCCATGGCTTTTGGCCCCTGAAGCGAACTCTAATCTCTCATGACCACAGTGGGAAATAGCCTGTAAAAGTGGCGAAGCCCCCAAGAAAGGCACTTTCTCCAACATCTACTTTAAGTATGCACATGAAGAACAATGGTAGGAACAACCCAGATGGCATCATCTGGATCCACAGATGACAGTGGACACCAAAAGTCCTTTCCTAAAGCTGAACCAGGATCCAAGCAAATTGCTTTCTCCACTTCCAGCTCATGTAGTCTTCACAACTCTAGCCTGGCCAGATTTGGTCATCGTTGTGGACCAGTGACTGCTGTCCCACACTGTTGCATTCCTCCCTTTTGTGAATGTGAGTTTCTACTGCAATTACCTTATTACTTTTCCCCCGCTAATTTGGGGTATGGAGGGTGGCAGACAACTTGGCAGATAATAAGGATCTTCATCTAATCTTAGATGCTGTAATGGTATAAGTACTTGCAATGTCTTCCTTGGGGAGAAGGCAAATATGTTCTATGTGAAAAGAAAAGTTCACGAATATTTGTGGCAGAGACAGTCATCTACCAATATCTATCCTCCCTTTCATTACATTACAGAACTCCTAAATTTAGCTGGGCACCCAGCTAGAGTAATTTTTCTAGCCTTCCTTGCAGCTAGGTGTGGTCACATGTCTATGGTCTGCCAATCGCAGGTGAAAAGAAATGATGTCTGCCACTTCTGGGTCACATCCTTTAAAGAAATATATATGTGCTCCTCTTGCTTTTCTCCTTTCCCACTAGCTGAATGCAAATGTGATGATGAGGGCCCAAGCAGCCACTTTGGACCAGAGATGGAAACCAGATGTTGAGAATGACAAAGCTACCCTACCAATCCCGTGGCACTAATCTTTGAGCTTTTAGGTAAAAGAAATAAATGTCAGCCCTTTTTACACTACAGCATTTGGCGGGGTGGCGGGGGCAGTATTTGTTATGGCAACTGAGACAGAAACTAACAATAAATCAAAACAAAAATTAGTACCAGAACTCAGGGAATCTTTCTGCCATGTTTGGTGAGAATAAAGATTGTGTCAGAACTTTTTTCTGTTGGTAGTGTGACAAGATGAACTGAGGAGCCCTAAGAGCATACCTGAGAGACATTAGGTTAGTAACTCTGGATTTGTTTTTGTTTGGTTTGGTTATACTGAATTATCAAAAGCTTTTTTTTTCTGGCTAAGGGAGGCTAAGTATGCCTAAAGAAGCTAAAGAGGATTTTTGAGGCAGGAAGGAAGAAAATAGAAGGATCCATTATGGGGGAAGGTTAAAGGTGCAGTTAAG
This sequence comes from Homo sapiens, assembly GCF_000001405.40. Lineage (NCBI taxonomy): Eukaryota > Metazoa > Chordata > Mammalia > Primates > Hominidae > Homo > Homo sapiens. Next base: position 48,840,611 of record NC_000015.10, read on the forward strand.
ACATTTTATTAAAAAGTATGTATAAAGCTATCCCCACTCCATCTCTTTATTACTAGACAGGTGCTTTAACCAGCTAAGCCACGAAGCCTCACCCCATCTCTTTATCAAATGTTCTTAAATCAACATAATTTAAGGTTTTGGAGTTGGATTTATTTTGGAGGGAGCAATGTTGAATTTAACCTCAACAGGGCAGCAAGGAGCCCAAGAGCGCTATGGTACATTAAATCCTAATAGGAAATAAAGAGGGAGATCGTACCAAAGGCCTAAATTATTAAATATGTTGCCACCAAAGCAGGGAAAGGGAGAAAGGTGAGGAAAAAAGGCTAGAGTCAGAGAAAATACATTTTGACATTACAATTTTGGACAAGGCAGACTTTATTTACTTTCAATGAATGATAGAAATTTTGTTATGTATTAATTTTGCCATTTCATATTATTGAATTGCCTATGACAAAAGGCAAAGTTCCTTTGCTTGGATTATGAATAATTTTAACTTTGAAGACTAAATTATAAAGGAACTGGAGTTGTGAATCAAAGAATATTCCAGATCACCTAATTTGGGCCACCCACTAAATAAGTTCTCTGATAATATGTGTGGCTCTGAAAAGTCCGTGAAATGAAAGGTATCAAGAATATACTCTTATAAAATCTAAGGTCCAGAAAGGGTTTTTTTCCAAAAAGTTGTAACAAACATTACCTATCCACACAGGACATTTCCCATTGCACAGTTGAGTAAGCTTAACAGCAAAAATCTGAATTTGTTTCACATCTCATCACCCGTCACATAAGATGTCCTCTGTGGTAGCCACAGAGATGCACTGCCCAGATCTCCCTTCAAGGAAGCACCATTGCCCCAGGTGTCAGCAGTCAGCCTGCAGCTGACCAGCCCTTCTGGCTCTGCCTCAGCTGCCCAGGGTTTGACTTTCCTGGTGTGGCCCACATCCCAAGACTGAGATAAATGGGGCTATATACGCTCAGCCATTTGGGCCCAATGTAGGACAACTCCGACAGACCACATGGGCTTTTTGGTGTTGGCTGAGGCTTTGTCAGGCCTGTGTTGTAGTCCCATCTCCCACTCCAGCCAATCCTACTTCCTCTCCATTGCTTCCTGATATTGATCCTCTTACAGACCCTGCCTGCCAAGCTTCATCTTAGCATCTGCTTCCAGAGAATCCAGCTTGGTTGAATAGGGTGTCAGGAGTGATCTTAGAAAGTCAGCATAAAGAGGGATCACTTGTCACCTGGCTGACAATAAGGACCCCTGGTTCTTAATCTAGACAGTTAAGACGGTCTGCTGAGATCCAGGCTCAACAAAATCTTTTAAATTTTGTCTTGCATTGTAGCCACACTAACTGGAAAGCTGTCTTTGGCAGTTCTGGAGAAATCTCCTGGACTATTAAAAGGATTTTCTTAGTGACTGGCTCTCCATCATTGGAGCAAACCAAATTTGACACCATGCCAATCTCTGAACAAAACAACTTCAATATTTTATGAAAAGCATTTTTTGTTTATTTTTCAGTTGATTATAGGCTTTTGGCTTGTTTTATTTTTATTTATGTTCCTGTTTATGATAGTAATTTGGCAGGAAAGATGTTTGTCTTATTGTATTTTACCCACAGTACATGGGTGAAGAAAGGAGCCAACTTATTTTAGTGCTTTATAGATGACTTATTAAGGGGTTTTGAAATGAATAAAATTAATGCTATCCCTAACAGAAACAGTAGCCACTGTGACTCATGCAAATAAACAAATTCAAAATTATCTCCTGGCCTTGACAGCCCTACTTTCAGCAAAAGTACGTAGTAGAAATCAAAAGTTCGAAGTAAATTTAAAGTATTTGAAAGGATTATTCAAAATCAACATTTCTAAACCTTGAAACCTAAAACAACTCCACAAAGCTCTAATCGATATTAACTATGGTGAAGGATGGAGGTAAAGAAAGAAAACTCAATCCCTGAAAATCAGACCAAGAAAATAGCCTTCTTGAAATATGAGATAGTACAATTAGTTAAATAGTAGCCCTCAAAAAGATAAATTCAAGGCCGGGCATGGTGGTGCCTGTAATCCCAATGCTTTGAGAGGCCGAGGCAGGCAGATGGCATGGGCCCAGGAGTTTTGAGACCAGCCTGGGCAAACAAGATGACACCCTGTGTTTACAAAAAATACAAAAATTAGCTGGGCATGTTGTTGCGTGCCTGTAGTCCCAGCTGCTCAGGAGGCTGAGATGAGAGGATCGCTTGAGCCCAGGAGGCAGAGGTTGCAGTGACCCGTGATCATGCCACTGTACCCCAGCCTGGGTGACAGAATGAGACCCTGCTTCAGAAAAAAAAAGAAAAGAAGAAGATAAATTCAAGCCCTAATCCCTGACCTGTGAACATGACCTAATTTGGCAAAAGGGTCTTTACAGATGTAATTAAATTAAGGATCTTGAGATGAGATTAGTCTCATCTCATACAATCATTTCATCTCCTCCTAAATCCAGTGACTGTTGTCCTGTAAGAGGAAGGAGAGGGAGATCAAGAAATAGAGACACAGGGGCAGTCAATATGAAGACAGTTGCAGAGATTAGAGTGATGTGTCTACAAGCCAAGGGACATCAAGAATTGCCAGCAGCCACCAGAAGCTAGAAGAGAAGCATAAAATGGATTCTCTTCCAGAGGTCCTAGAAGGAACCAACCCTGCTGACACTTTGATTTTGGACTTCTGGCCTCCAGAACTGTGAAAGAATAAATTTCTGTTTGTGGTAATTTGTTAAAACAGCCCTAAGAAATGAATACAGACAGTGAGTAGCTACTTACTTCCGCAGTGCCATGGGCTCCCCAGTGGTTGGGCTGACCTTTGATTTCCAGCAGAGCCAGGTGTACTTTGAAGAGCCTGTGTATTAATGTAGCAGGGGTCATCAAAGAGATCCACTCGGCACGTGTGCTTCAATAATGAGGTATCTCGCTGGGACTGCACCCCTCTTGGATGGACATTACCTGTAGTGATTAGTAGTGATCAATACATTATGTTTTTTCTTTGTAAATAGTAAATAAAATCATGTTTGAGTCTAGAATTGATAGAAACCTAAAGGCCATGCCCCACCCTATACAATGATTGAACACTTAACTTTTAGGTTTGACTTGGAAAATCAAAATAAGCACCAGTCTCTGAGGGAAAGCCACCCTTTCACTGGGCTTCTTTCCCTTCTCGGGCCCAGCCCTCAGCTGACCAATTGCGTCAACAGCAGACAGAAGACAAGCAGGAAGATCCAAAGAGGACTGACCAGCCGTGGAAGAAAGAGGGCTGATAGTCTCAGCAAACAGCACAAACCTGCACTCAACACTGCTCAGAGGGGTTGCCCAGGAATCAGGAAAACACACATGTCATATTGAACTTGATTATCTATAATTAAACTTTTCAAAACTGATTAATTTTAAATCCTTATTCCCTGTGAACTAAATTAATTTATAAATAAAAAATGAATGAATGAATACAATAAAATTCTTAAGAGTAGGAAGTCTGGCTTCTCTCTATGCTCAAAGTTTGCTCTTGCCAACCTCAGCCTTGCACCAATTGCTGATGTTTAATTCTGTTATTCAATGAAAAGAACTCAAGCCTCAGGTTATCTCCTCCTCCTCTATTAATCTGTCCTCTCCCCTTCCATTCTATTCTACACATTGTAGCCCAAATAATCTTTTAAAAACTGCAAATCCGGTCATATTTCTCAGAGGTTTCACACCTCTTCAATTGCTTCCCATGCTCTTTAACAAGCTGTAGGCCTTGCTCTGTCTACCCAGCTACCCTTCTTCCTCTCTCCTCCCCAGCCTCTGTCTGGGGTCACACTGGCCTTCCTGCAGTATGATCTCACATCGAAAGGCTGTCTCCTCTAATTAACATGCTCTTCACTCCTTTTCTCCATCACTGTCATCCTTCAGATATTAACTTAAACATCTCTTTCTTTAGGAAGGCCTTCCCTGACCTTCCAGACCAGAATAGATCTCTGCTTTCCTAGCAGTTTGCACTTGACCTCTGATATGGTTTGGCTGTGTCCCCACCCAAATCTCACCTTGAATTGTAATAATCCTCATGTGTCAAGGGCAGGGCCAGGTGGAGATAACTGAATCATGGGGGCAGTTTTCCCTATACTGTTCTCCTTGTAGTGAATGAGTTTCAGATCTGATGGTTTTATAAATGGGAGTTCCGCTGCACAAGCTCTTTTGCATGCTGCCATGTAAGATGTGCCTTTGCTTCTCCTTTGCCTTCTGCCATGATTGTGAGGCCTCCCCAGCCATGTGGAAATGTGAGTCCATTAAACCTCTTTCCTTTACAAATTACCCAGTCTTGGGTATGTCTTTATTAGCAGCATGAGAACATATGAATACAACCTCCAAAGTCCATATCATGACAGTAATTCATTCTGTTATTTATGTTCTATTCTATTATTTAGTTAAACAGAATATGTGCTAGCCATATAGCTAGCCATATGTGCTCATGGTCATCATAAGGCTGCACCTGAACTAGTGACAGTCCAATGTAAGACAACATTAGTCCTTCTATTGCTTTAGTCATTAAACCTTTTCAGTGTGGTCCAAGGACCAACCACATACTGAATTTCACATCAGGGTGAATAATGCTATGACACTTGTAACTCATAGTATGGAAAGTAAGAATACATCAAGCAGGAGAAGCCCAGTCAGAAGTCTGCAGTCTTACCACCTGCTTCTCCTTTACTCCTTGTCTGTCAGCTGTTACATGTCATCTTGTCATGTGTCATACTCTGTATGTGGGGTATCCTAAAACACGAGTGAGGTTTCTACAGAGGGAGGAGTTGACAGGGTGCCTCATCTGTTTTGTACATTTTACCACCTATAAGATAGTTTCCATTTGCTTAGTTAAGTGGATTTATAAGTTATATTATCTAGTTTAAACTAAACTTGCTTTTACAAATGGAAAGTGGCTAAAAAATTACTGCAAAGAAATGAAGGATTAAGGATAATTCTTTTAGTACAAGCTCCTCCTTAGCTGCATTAGGAGCTTATAAACGAGAATGATCTAATCAGATCAGAGCTTTGGCCCCTCAAATGTTCAAATTATCAGGAATTAAGTGTAGATTTACATCTATTTTCTTTTTCAATAAATGCTCTAAATGCATACTAGACCTTGAGATATTATCTAATGATAGCATCCAGCTGTTGTAATTAGCAAGTCTTTGTAAAAAATGTTTATTTATCATCTACTCTAACTTTAAATTTTCCTATATTTGTGTTTTATGATACATGCATATTAATATATTAGCACATGTGTATACAACTTATACATTATTAAATAACCATTTATGTAGGAGTGCCTGCTCATAAAAATTTACTGAAAGTGAAATATAATCAAAAGTGCTTGAAAGTGGCTTAAGTCAGTTTTTTTTTTTTTAAGTTGACATCTCACCCTGTCACCCAGGCTTAAGAGCATTGATGCAAACACAGCTTACTGCAGCCTCGAACTCCTAGGTTAAAGTGATCCTCCTGCCTCAGCCTCCGGAGTCACTGGGATTACAGGTGTGAGCTACCGGGCCTGGCTAGAAGTCAGCTTTTAAATTCATATGGACCTGAGTTCAAATCCCTGGGGTATCTCTTACTATCTGAGCGGTCTGGGATGAGTTAATTAACCTCTCTAAGACTCAGTTTTCATATCTGTAAAATGTGGGTGCCTAGCTTAAAATACTGTTGTGAGGACTAAGTGAAATAATGTTGGTGAGACACTTGAGCATAGTGCCTGCCTTATAGCAGGTATTCGATAAATAGTTCCCACTGATGCTCAGTTATTATTTAGTCATTGATGCTGGGCCTCCATACAAGATGCTTATCTCTTACAGCAATATGCTCCCCCTCCTTTACTTTACTTAATTCTTATTTGTCCTTCAAGATTCTGCTCTGAAACCATCTTTTTCAGGAAGCCTTCCCCTGAATCCTTCCCTCCCTAAGGTTGGGAATGGTGCCACTTCATGATATACTGCAAGAATCTGTTTACTTCTGTCTTCCCCCTTGAGACTGCAAATTCCTCGTGTCCTTGAGGAAAGACTAGAACGCATCCAATTTGTGTATCTTCTGCATCTTCAGTGCTTGGGATGAAGCAGGTGCTCAAAAGAAAAATGTTTATCAGCTGATTGGACAAATATCTGCATGTCTATCCAATCTTCCTTTGTTGGCATATTTAACCCCACCACGTTTTGAAGACTCTGGATCAACCCACAGCACAGGGTGCTAACGCATCTGCCCCTCACAAAGCGTTAGCCTGAGCTAACCACATCAATTTTACCATCCCGTAGGATGACACCAAAAACATCGGTGTTTATATCTAGCCTCTCTTGAAAACTGCCACCTTTAAGCGCACAATAGAGTACTGAAAAAAAAAAGAAAGAAAGGAAACTGCCATCCCCTTTTTTTTTTTCATATGGGCCATTATATTTAAGTTGGTAATGTTGCCTTAAATTAAAAAAAAAGAAAAGCCCACCCCAGACTCAAATTTAAAATCATTCTAGGCTGAAGTGTTTGGTTGACGAGGGCTTAGACACAGATGCCAGCTAGTACGCCTTCCAAAAGTTCTTTGTATTACTCCAAGACCCTTTCCAGCTTTCCTAAGAGAAGATTTGTAGAGGAAAATAAATATATACACAGTATATACACTGTAAGTAACAACATTTTAAAGTGTAAGCCCTTAGGGTTTGTGGGAACTTAATGTCTTTTTGATTAAAAATATCAACATTTCAATTTAACTGGAAGGTCAGGGAAACATTATTCTATTTTGCTAATTATTGTTTTCCATGAGGGAATTTTTCCATAAGTATGAAGGATAAGGATCTTTTCTATGTCTAGTGATAAATACAATTAACTCTTTCAACAACCAGAGGCTACTGCAGTATTTATAATACACTGGAATTCAAGTTTGAAGTCAATATTTGAATAAATGGATGTCTTCGGAGGCTACTGAAAATATTTCTATAGGTATCTCTCAAATGCCTATATATGAATCTCTGGGAAAAGCCACAAAAACTACATATTTGCTATTCTGGCAACTGCTATTAAATTGCTCATTGGTCAAGAATTTCGGATTACTTTAAAAACATATGCCCAAGTAGGCCAGGCGTGGTGGGTCACGCCTGTAATCCCAGCACTTTGGGAGGCCAAGGCGGGCAGATCACCTAAGGTTGGGAGTTCGAGACCAACCTGACCAACATGGAGAAACCCCGTCTCTACTAAAAATACAAAATTAGCCAGGCATGGTGGCGCATGCCTGTAATCCCAGCTACTCAGGAGGCTGAGGCAGGAGAATCGCTTGAACCCGGGAGGCAGAGATTGCAGTGAGCCGAGATGGCGCCATTGCACTCCAGCCCGAGCAACAAGAGCAAAACTCCGTCTAAAAAAAAAAAAAAAACAAAAAAAACAAACAAAAAAAACATAAAAACATATGCCCAAGTAATCAAAGACAGGTCTCAAGATAGGATTACCTGATTTATAGGTGCCTAGGGATGAAAGGACACTAGTAGGAAACTCTCTCCTGCCACAGTAGGAGGGACCTTACTTGTCATGGCCACTGGGACATGGGTTGATTCCTTCCATCCCACCATGGTTTTAGTAGCTAAGGTTTGGAGAGATAGCCTCTGAGCATTCTGGTTCCTCACCGGAACTCAGAAATGGCTTTTTTATGGAAACAATGTTGTAATTCAGTGATTTACGGGGGAGCAAAGTATCTAGGTGGAGGACTTTTCTTAACTGCAAACACCATCTCACCTCCTCAAGATTCCGAAGTTCCCAGTTACAATCATTACCTTACAGCCACCATTAACAAAGGGAGTATCCAATAGAACTTTCTATTGTTTTATCTGTCATTACAAAATATACATTTAAGCTTCAATATAGGCAAACCAGAATAGTAGAATATAGTATACTTGTCTAAGAGTTAACCATCATGGCTAGGATTAATTCTATAAAAATATATCCCAGGCTCCAAACAAACTTTTATTAAAGTCTGTTAATGTATTTGAATCTTCTTATAGTGGCTTAGGGAAATATATATGTAAATAAGAATAAGGGATTATGTTGTTTGTTGGTTTAAAGAAGAAATAAAACTAAGATAATCTGCAAGACTACACTTACAAAAAGAAAAATCTTGAATTAACGTTAAAATACTTTCATATCCATTAATTCCTTCATAAATTTATGTTTTTGGAGATGGGTGTTTTAAGAATTTTTTTTTAATTAATCAAGTTGAGAACTCTTGGGGGAAAAAGAAGAAGGGAAACCATGTCCCCTTTTTCTAGTGGTAGTATTGTGATTTAGCCCATTCAACATAATTCTAGAAATGTCCATTTCTAGACTTTCACTCAGTGAGTTCCCTTCAGAAGCTGGGTTATTAAGGACAGGAGGGATGTGGCTATGCTGACTATTTAATGGAGAGGAGAGAAACAAACTGGGAAGGGAGGTATTTGGGCAGGACTGAACATTTTGAAGATCCTTAGGATGCTGTTGTAGGTTCGACACTCATCTTTCTCTCTTTACTTCTGAGCTCTCTCTGTCCCAGTGATCTGGGAACTGGTCCTGGCATGCTTAGTTCTGGTGCCCATTTATTTTCTCTCTCTTCTTTCCCCTGCTCTCTCTCCCTCTCTCCCTATGTCCCTTTCCTACTTCCTTCCTACCTCCCTCTCTGTGCCTGGATAATTCCCACTCATCCTTCAGGCCTTGGTTTGATTGTCACTTCCTTAGGGAGAGCCTCTACAGCCTCCCCAATTAAGTTAGGTTTCCCCATTATTTGTTCCTATAACATCTTGGGCTTTGAAACACTCTTCATATTTGTAGGCATTTGTTTAAGGTGTGTCTTCCTGGCTAAACTGCAAACTACAAGAGTGCCAGTTGTGCCTCTAGCTCTAGCACCCAGCACAGTGCCTGACCCATGGGAAGTCTTCAGTAAGTAGTCATTAAATAAAGTGTTGAATAAATGAAGAATACATGAATGAGATAAAATAGGACATGGAGGTATTTCCAAGTGAGCTTCAGTACAGGGGAGAACATGGTTGCAATACCACAAGGCATGCGTGGTACGTTCCTGACTATTAAATCCTTAGGTTAAGAACCTCCAGGATGACGGAAAGGAGAGAGGAAGGAAATATGGCTGTCAGAGAGCATAACTTTTAAGAGATTCATACTTGCCATTAATTTAATTTGTTTAGTAATATTATTAAAGATTGGTTTGGAATTTTAAATAACTTTAAAGAATGGCATGGAATTTTAATTTCTATCATAAGAAGGCATATTTTTACAGAACTTAAAATACTGCCTTAGGCCCAGCATGGTGGCTCACGCCTGTGATCCCAGCACTTTGGGAGGCCAAGGCAGGTGGATCACTTGAGGTCAGGAGTTTGAAGTCAGCCTGACCAACATGGCGAAACCCCGTTTCTACTAAAACTACAAACATTAGCTGGGCATGGTGGCGGGTGCCTGTAATCTCAGCTACTCAGGAGGCTGAGGCAGGAGAATCGCTTGAACCCGGAAGGCTGAGGTTGCAGTGAGCCGAGGTTGCGCCATTGCACTCCAGCCTGAGCAACAGAGTGAGCCTTTGTCTGAAATAAAAATAAATAAATATAAATAAATAAATAAACTAAACTAAACTAAAATAAAATGTTGCCTTAGGTTCACTACTCCGTTTACAAGATAGAGGAAGGTGGTAATCATACCTATACCAGAAAGAATAAATCTTCATGTATCCTTCACTATATAAAAAATAATAAAATTAATATATTACATTGGTGTAATTCCATAAGAAATAAAAAAGTATCCTTGGAAGTGACTACCTTGTAGATGGCAAGTTCCTGCTAATTTGAGTCCTTAAATATGGTTATCCATCTGTATTCTCCACTGCATTATTTATACAGTTCAGTCATCTCCCCCTCTAAAACTGCAAAACTTTCCTTCCTGAAGAAATAAATATGCTCAACAACTAATGGGAATTAAAATGACTAACTCACAATATAACATGTTTTAATTAAAATATATTTCCAATCTGATAGTCAAGGTTGTGGAAAAGTTTTGTCCAACATCAATGATCACATGCAGTAATAAAACATTTACTACTCTGGCAAGTATGGGGTGGACAAGCTCCTAAATGAGATTCTCACATTTCAGACATCCTTTCGTTCCCTTTGCCAAGCCAGAATAAAGATTTTATCTTAATCCTAATGGATCTGACAGGCATCAATTTTCACATTAGCTTACTCCTGATCTTCTTTGAAGTGGAACTCCCTTGGGTTTCGAGCAGAGAAAGCACCTTTCCAGAGAGAGAGCTTTCATGATTTCAAGGCAGTAAAAGACTCCATAAAGCAAAACCATCATCATGGCAGATCACACAAGAGCAAGGGAGAACCATGAGCCTTCCTAGTGACACATATGCAACATTCTGGGCCTATCTGAGAAGCCTACAGTCAAAGGATTATGTGTTTAGTGGTAGATACCTGACTTTTCAATGAAGTATTTAAGAGCAAGGGCCACATATGTCCATAGGACTTACAAGGAATAAGGAGGGTGGCAGATGGAGAAGGGCATTGTACCTACCTATTGCCCTGCTTTGTTCTAAACAGTTCTCATATACACTGCTGCACTTGGAGTTTCCAGGCTGCATGAACAACAAATTATGAAACATTTACAAACATAGTACACATTCATAAACTTAAAAGAAAAAATTTATAATAATCCCAGAAGAATATAGCAGACTTCACTTTCTGACACAGGAAATGTTTGACAGGTAAGAAAAGAAAATGGATATTTGGGGTGAACAGAGAACACTCTTCATAGTTCATCGCCTTGGAGCTGCAGAGTTGGTTCTGATTCGGCTGGGGGGTTCTAAAGGCTACCAGTGTCCTGTGTCCTGAGGGTTACTGCTTCTGCTTGAGAAGTCACATGCCAGAACTCAATCCAAGTCTCAGCCAGAAAGTGATTTTCAGGACACTGCTATAAACATTGGCCATGTAGCCAACCTCTGTCTAATTTTGAATTGGTAGATTGGATTTCTACTCTACTCAGGTTTATGCCAGGCTCACGTCTCACCCTTGAAAATCTTATCCAAAGAACTTCGATCATCCCTGTACATACAACTCTCGTCAGCAATATACTGTGGGGGAGGGATCCACTTGATGCCTTTGAGATGAACAGTGTCTTTAGAAAGATTAGTTTGGCAGCACTGTGCAGGAGGGTTTGAGGGAATGAGATTGGAGTCAGGAAATGGTCTTTCAGAATCATCTAGGCAAGTGAGGACCAGGACTTCGAAAGAGGCAGTAGAAACGGGAAAGTTTGGATAGACTCAAAACATATTTTCATGGTAGAATCCTAGGTCTTGAAGACTGAACTGATATGGGGCCCAAAGTGTGAGAAAAACAGAAGATTGTAGATTAATGAAAGACTGTCAGTGCCATCAATAAACCTGAGTAAATCAGTAGAGGAATCAAGTTTGGAGTCAGGGAGAAAATGCTGAGTTCAACCTTGATATAGATAAGCAATGTAGTGCAATGTGGCATTACAGCTAGAGAGATACATAAGAGCCAAAGACAGAGAAGGTAGAGGAAGTGTGTACACAAGTGGCCTGCCAGAAGCAAGATAAAGGCCAAGGGTAGAGCCTAGGAGAGTGCTAATGTGGTGGTAGGGCAGGGCTTGTGTTTTTATTGGAGGAGATGAAATAAATGATAACATAAAAAGAAAAGGTAAGACTTACTTTGAAACATATCAAAAATAAGATGGATCAATGTATGATAATCAGCTACATATGTAATAAAGCAAATATAATAAAATGTTAATTGTAGAATTGAGATGGTATGTGAGTGTTCATTGTATAATTCTTTCAAATAGTCTATATGTTTAAAAATACTCATAATAAAATGTTGGAAAATGTGAGAAAATGAAAGGAAAGCAGCAACTAGAGATGCAGAAAGAGAATGAAAAGGTGGAAATGTTTTGGAAGCTTACAGAAGAGGTCTCAAAAAATAAGAGGTAGGGCCAGGCGTGACGGCTCACGCTTGTAATCTCAGCAATTTTGGAGGCCAAGGTGGGCAGATCACCTGAGGTCAGGAGTTTGAGACCAGCCTCGCCAACATGGGGAAACCCTGTCTCTACTAAAAATACAAACATTAGCTGGGCATGGTGGCATGCACCTGTAATCCCAGCTACTTGGAAGCCTGAGGCAGGAGAATCGCTTGAACCTGGGAGGCGGAGGTTGCAGTGAGCCGAGATCACGCCACTGCACTTCAGCTTGGGTGACAGAGTGAGACTCTGTCTCAAAAAAATATATAAAAATAAATAAATAAATAAATAAATAAATAAAATAAAAATAAAAAATAAAAAAATTTAGAGGTGGAAGTCTTAGAGCAATCAGGCAAGAGAAAGAGATTAAAAAACATACAAATAGGAAAGGAATAAGCATTTTTCTTCACTGGCTGTAATAATTCTATACCTAGAAAACACTAGACTCTGCCAAAAGGCTCCTGGAACTGATAAACTTCAATAAAGTTTCGGGACACAAAAGCAATGTACAAAAATCTAGCATTTCTATAAACCAGTAACATTCAAATTGAGAGCCAAATCAAGAACACAATTTCACTTACAATAGCCACCAAAATATAATAAAATAAAATACCTAGGAATACATCTAACTAAGGAGGTTAAAAGTCTCTACAAGGAGAACAAGAAAACACTGCTGAAAGAAATCACAGATGACACAAATGAAAAAGCATTCCATGCTTATGGATTGGAAGAATCAATATCATAAAAATGGCCATACTAGCCAAAGCAATCTACAGATCCAGTGCTATTCCAATAAAACACCAACATCATTTTCCCCAGAATTAGAAAAAAATACCCAAAAACAGTTGGTTCATATGGAACCAAAACATGAGCCCAAATAGCCAAAGCAATCCTAAGTAAAAAGAACAAAGCCAGAGGCATCACATTATCTGACTTCAAGCTACACTATAAGGCTACAGTAACCAAAACAGCATGGTACTGGCACAAAATCACAAACATAGACTAATGGAACAGAATAGAGAACCCAGAAATAAAGCTGCACACCTGCAGCCATTTGATCTTTGACAAAGTCAACAAAAATAAGCAATAGGGAAAATACTCCCTATTCAATAAATGGTGCTGGGATAGCTGGCTAGGCATATGCAAAAGAATGAAACTGGGCCCTTACTTTTCACCATATACAAGATAGATTAAATATATAAACGTTAAGACCTCAAATTGTAAGAATCCTAGAAGAAAACCTAGGAAATCTATTCTGGACATCAGCCTTCGGAAAGAATTTGTGACTACATCCTCAAAAGCAATTGCAAGAAAAATAAAAATGGACAAATGGGACCTAAATAAAGAGCTTCTAAGCACAGCAAAAGAAACTATCAACAGAGTAAACAGACAATCTACAGAATGGGAGAAAATATTCACAATCACTACGCATCCAAAAAGGTCTAATATGTAGAATCTATAAGAAACTTAATTCAACAAGCAAAAAACAACCCCATTAAAAAGTGGGCAAATTTCATGAACAGACATTTCTCAAAAGAACACATACAAGCAGCCAACAAACATATGAAAAGATGCTCAACATCACTAATCATCAGAGAAGTGCAAATCAAAACCACAATCACATATCACATATCATATCAGAATGACTATCATTAAAAAGGCAAAAATACAGATGCTGGCAAGGCTGCAGAGAAAGGGGAATGCTCATACACTGTTGGTAGGAATGTAAACTAGTCCAGTCACTGTGAAAAGCAGTTTGGAGAGTTCTCAAAGAACTTAAAACAGCACTCAAACATTTGACCCAGCAATCCCAACTACTGGGTATACACCCAAAGGAAAATGAATTGTTCTATCAAAAAGACACATGCATTTCTATGTTCATCGCAGCACTATTCACAATAGCAAAGACATGGAATCAATCTAGATGCCCATCAATGGTGGATTGGATAAAGAGAATGTGGTACATATACACCATGGAATACTATGCAGCCACAAAAAAGAATAAAATCATGTCCTTTGCAACAACATGGATGCTGCTGGAGGCCATTATCCTAAGTGAATTGACACAGGAACAGAAAACCAAATACCACATGTTCTCACTTATAAGTAGGAGCTAAATATTGGGTACTCATAGACGTAAAGATGGCAACAATTGACACTGGCGACCACTAAAAGGAGGAGGGAAAGAGGGGGGCAAAGGCTGAAAGCTATCTGTTACTATGCTCACTACCTGGCTGATGGGATCATTTGTATCTCAAACCTCAGCATCATGCGATATGTTGATGTAACAAACCTGCACACATACTCCCTCAATCTAAAATAAAAATTGAATTTAGTACACATGTACACAAAGAAGTGAACAATAGACACACTGGGGCCTATGTGAGAGTGAAGGGTGGGAGGAGGGTGAGGATTTAAAAACTAGCTACCAGGTGCTATGCTGATTACCTGGGTGACAAAATTATCTGTATGCCAAACCCCCATGATAAACAATTTACCCTTGTTAACAAACCTACACATGTACCCCTTGAGCCTAAAATAAAAGGTGGAAAGAAAAAAACTAAAACAAAAATAAAATAAAATAAAAGTTGAAATTATAAAAATAACAACAACAAAAAAGAAGAGGGGTCAAACATTATAAAGAGATACAGAATACTGAAGAAGGAAATAGATTTAGCAATTAAACCACTGGTGACCATTGTAAAAGTAACTTCCATCAGATTGTCAAGCAGAGTTCAGATCTTCCAGTATAGTGCACATGTTAACACAAAGACAGGGACAATGCTTTCTAGAAGTTTGTGGGTGAAAGGAAGATGACAAGGAGGTGGAACATTATTAGGTTGGGTTGAGGGAGTCCAAGTTTTTTGCAGGCAGAAGGAACCAATAGAGAAAGAGTGAAGATTGAGACAGAAGTTACTGGACAGAACTAGGACACAGAGTTGGCAGGAGAGGTTTGGATGAGAAGCACAGGGAAAAGATTAGCTTTGGAGATAGTTGCTAAGGAAGAGAAGCAAGGAGAACATGGGCAGACTTAGAGCTGTGGAGGGGTGAAGCTGAGGATAACATGTTGGATCGCCTCAGTCTTCCCAGTGAAGTGAGATATGAGATCATCTGCTGAGGCTACAATTGGGGGATTAGGAGTAAAAATGATCTAGTGTAGCCTCTGACAGTTATTCATTCTCTGGCTCTGTATTTGAGGAAGACAGGACTTTCTCTAAACTAGCATTTGGAAATCCTCAAAGTAAATGCTCTAGTGATAAGGGCAGAATTGCATTGCTGGTTCCAACAACAATAAAACATTACATACCAAATAGCACAACTTTTCACACTGTATGGGGCAGTAAGCCATTTGTTCCGTGGCTTGAACTTTGATCCGCATATCTGAAACACCACCTACTGGTGGCTGCTTCCCTGGAATTTCATTGTAATATTCATGATCTTCTCTCTCCTCGGCATGGCTATCAATATGCACCTCCTCACTGTGAAGGAAAAAAGAATCCTCAAGAGGCTGGGCGAAAATTCAAATACTGTAAGGGATGCAAGGGGATCAGAACCAAGCAAATCATCCTGAAAAACTTTGCATTCATGTTTTCAGTTTATAGCTGTGCTTAAGTGATGTTAAACATTTGGATGGGAGCAGTCAGATGGTTGAGTTGTTTAGCTTTCTGTAGACAAAACGGGGTAAGCCAATAGAAAGTGCCAAGGGTGATGCTTTTGTGTCTCCTCCAGTGATAAAAATAATGATAATAACAATATATGAACTTCCTAAATGTAAGATATTTTTGTCATAAGATCATAAAAATACAAAGTATTCTTGAGTATCTCCAGCACACTTTGATTGTTCCATTTTGGAAAGTTTTGCCCAGATAAAATTTAAATATTGTTCTTCGGGTATAGGGCCTGTCCCAGTTTATTAAACCAAAATGAAAAAAAAAATAAGAGAGCTATGGCCAGCTATCTTGTCTGCACAGATCTGGAGGAGTACATGGGATTAACACAGAAATATTAGAACCATATGTGGCAAGTGGGTAGATTTATATAAACATGGAATTGTTTTTAAAATTGAAACAGGGCAAGACAAACAAACAGACTTTTCTTCCAAATTGGAATCAGGGAAAGTTTCTTACTAAAAAAAAAAAAAAAAACAAGAATAAATCAAGTCTATTTGGATTGAACTGATTCAACTGACAACTCACACAGTTTTGTTAGGTTCATTACATGTCAATAAAATGATAGCACTAAGACAGAAGTGCTATCCTGGGAAAAATTCAGCATCAAGGCCTCCTGGTAACACCCTCTCCTTTGCTACCCTAGACTACCTCATAAAAGGAGATCTCCAAACCTAGTATTTGTTGATACACAAAGTGACATACCAGAGGAAAATGCATTTTAAAGTACCCAAGAGTTTTGTTTCTCCGGCATGAATTGTGTGAGCCAGAGGCATCACTGCATTCCACACTTGGTGAGGTCTGACAGGCCTGAAAGGGTTCAGCTTTCATTGCAGACTTTCTGTGCCTTAGAACAACCAAATCCTTGGGTCCCACCGTGTTCCACTCTAACCACAGTTTAGCTGAAGCCTATCTATTTACATTGCAAACCAACTGACAGGAATTCCTACAAGAGACATTTGATTCTTATTTTGCTCTTTGTTCTTGCTGTGTTTTTTTTTTTAACTGATATGTAAAGGATCTGGGGTTGAAACAAATCTGAGAAGTTTATTGATGTTTATTATTTTGATTTCAATTAATTAATTCAAAGCTCTTTATAGTGCTAGAATAACAGAGATAATCTATTCTTACTTTTAGTGAGAAGGGATCTCTTTTAATCTTGTTACAAAGCAAGAGGATATAACTGGATAAATATGAATGGAAGGAAAATATTATTTTGTACTGAGACTGTGTCTATTTGCAAGAAAAAAATTACTAATTTTATTAGTTCATTTTAAAATGCCACATTAATGTTATATATACACACACAAATAAATACATACAGATAAATGCACACATATATATATATTGTCAAATTATTATAAAACTCTTGGCTGACCTTTCACAAGAAGTATTCAAAGAAGGATTTTTCAAGTACTGTTTAAACCGGAGTTCAAAAGCCTGCCCTATGGTACTTATGACGTCTTGGGCCATTCCATTGTGGCATTCCAATATGTGACAGGCTGCAAGAGGACATACAAAAAATAATATTATAATAAATTTTTAGAAAGAGAAGATTACATAAAATCAGAGTACTTCAAAACCATGAACTGATAATTGAATAAAAGGGAGCAGGATTACAAGCTCTCTGCAGCCATGAAATGATATAAAGAATACTTCACATTTCACATGAATCAAAGAGAAGAAAGATTCAAATTTTACATCAAAATATATCCAACACTTACAAACTGGGTGCTCAAGGCAGGGATTTGGGGGCCACATTTTTACAAAAGCACACTGATTTGACTAATAATGTGACTAATGTTTAACTGCTAGCTCTTGAATTCAATATAGATTATGCTTAGGGCACTAATCTACACAGAAGGCGAAGTTTGAGGTTTCATATTTGTCATCTTTGCACGGTATGTTATGGAAGATTGAAAAAATATGACTTTCCAAATCCCTTCCAAAAGTGGGGAATGAGCTGTTGGTAAAGATAGGGGCTTTGGAATACGCCCCCCGCCCCGCTGCCACCCCTTTTCCCTGTCATTGCTATTATAAAGCACTGAAAAGCACAGCAATCCCCATCTTTGAAATCCCACTAAAAAAGTGTCTTCAATAAGCATCAAAATCAGCACTGGGTGAAGGTGTCATTACCAGAAGATATGAGAGTTTATATTAGATACTTTTTCTGAGGCACAGTTACCAGGAAGGCGCTAGTTTTCACACAAAAATAAACAAGTTAGGGTGCGGGCAGGCATCTGACTATCACAAATGAGTAAGCAAATCTGCTGCTGCCACTGAAAGGAGGAGCTTGTGGTTAGGGACTGTAAATTAATCTCCCTACCATATGTAACATCATTCCTGCCTTGGTTAGAATATGGCCTTGCAATATGAAGATATAATTGATGGAAGTTTCCTAATGGTGACCTAGAAAGAGTCCTAAGGATGGCTTAAAGACAGAGGCAATAAATCTCATGACAAATTTTTACAAAGGAACATTGGGATAACCAGAAGAATTGAGAGATGAGGAAAAGTCCAATAACAGTTTAATATACACAAGAGTGTTGTAAAAATTGTCAGCTATTTTCTGAGAAAAGGAAAGCAGGGGAGAGGCAATGGGCTTAAAGGAGTGCATGGAGAATCAGATTAAATACCAGGGAAAGTATCTTGGGTCTCAGCATTTTGAAAACAAACCTGGAACACATTACTAAAAGGGATATCTGAGGAGAGGAGAGACAACCGTCTTTATGGACTGGTTTAACTATGCTAACTTGGAAGCATGATTTTATGCTTTGCATTGTCTTGGAAAAAATTCATATTTATTTGAAGTAAAAGGCAATTCATTCACATCTAACAGAATTTGTAGAGCTGATAACAGTAAGTTATAACAGAACCTATAACAGTGTTTCTCAGCCTTATGTTAATAATCACCTCAAGGAATCTCAGATATTCTCATTCCAAAACTAATTTGACTTTTACTTAAAAATTTTGTCTGAACACATTTGAAAGGGGTGTGTGTGTGTGTGTGTGTGTGTGTGTGTGTGTGTGATGGTGGTGTGGTGGTATTACTAAATCAAACAATGCTAAGGTATCAAATCTTCATTCTTATAAAGTTGCCCCTTTAAAGTACAAATTGGATCCTGAAATAGACTTAGGAGCTAATTCCGGTTTTGAAACCCAGTTAAGAATATCTATAAATTTATGTCTTTCCTACCAAAGGAAAATATTTGGTCTATCTTTACACTGCCATTTTATATTGTTCCTATATTTTTCTCCACAGTAGCTTTACTTAGTGACCAACAGATAGAAAATGCTCTAAACATATTTGTTGAATGAATAAATAGTGATTTCTCTGAATCATATGAATAGTGCTACTGTATGAAATTGTCTTTGAGTTTTTTGAAGTGAGAATTGCAGTGAGTCCCTGCAATGGGACATGTTCTTATAGCTACTAGGTGATATAAATTATTTCTTAGGTGATTTGTGGAAATAGTCTCCTCCTTGCTAGTCAGGCCTCATATCCGGAGACCTAAAAAGTACCCTTGGAGATGTATCCTCCAGTTGAGCCATGAGAAGCTGTGTTACATTATAAGAAAAGGTAATTCACTAGTCCCAGATACTTGGGAGGCTTAAAGGAGGGAGGAGAGAGGTTCACTTGAGCCCAGGGGTTGCAGGCTCTAGTGTACTGTGATCACACCTGTGAATAGCCACTGCACCCCAGCCTAGGCAACATAGCAAGACCCTGTCTCTAAAAAAGAAAGAAAGGAAGAAAGAGAGAGAGAGCTTACATAATATCAAGTATGGCTTAAATGATAAAATATCTCCTAACACTAATATGCTAGCAACCTAACCAAATAAATACTTTTTTTTTAAAGAAAAGGTAATCCTTTTGTTTTTAATCTCGTAAATTCCCAGTCCAATTAAAAATGAAGTCAAGGCCAGGTGCAGTGGCTCACGCCTGTAATCCCAGTACTTTGGGAGGCTGAGGCAGGTGGATCACTTGAGGTCAGGAGTTCATGGCCAACATGGTGAAACCCCGTATCTATTAAAAATACAAAAAAATTGGCTGGGCATGGTGGCAGGTGCCTGTAATCCCAGTTACTTGGGAGGCTGAGACAGGAAAATCACTTGAACCTGGGAGGCAGAGGTTGCAGTGGGCCAAGATGGCGTCATTGCACTCCAGTCTGGGCGACGAGTGAAACTCCATCTCAAAAATAAAAATAATAATAATAAATAAAAATAAAAATGAAGTCAAAATAGAAAGTCATATCAAAATGGAAACAACAATTTTTGCAATTTTATTTTTTCTTAGGATTGAGGAGATGTTGAGAGATGAAGATGAGGAAGATAATGAGAGAAGCAGGATACTTAAGCCTAAATAAATAAATAAGAAAAGCTAAATTGTACTTCCAGTGAGGGCGATGAGAGAATAGGATGTTTAAAAGAACTCCGTGAAAAGATTCAGATCTGAGTTCAAGTTCCAATTATGCCACTACTTATGTGACCTTGAACAAGTCACTTTATGGCAAGGTCCTTGTCTGCCAAGACAATGTCCTGAGTCATCTTTGAAGTCTTTTTGTTTTACAGAAACCCTATTCTTCCTCTGTCATGGAAGCTCAAAGTCTCTGAGGAACAGGGCGGCATGTGGGTACACAGAAATGAATGAATCAATCAGACACATCAACCAGCCTCTAACGCTTCTGGCGTACCTCTAGAATGTCTTATTTATCTCAACTTTTCTGATTCTGATGCTTTGAGGTTTGGGTCCTGTTCATAGGCTGATGCTATCAACATAATTTTCTGCTTTTCTTTGGATTAGCCTATTACTACCATATTACTTTATTTATTATAGAGACAGGTGTCTCACTACGTTGCTCAGACTGGACTTGAACTCCTGGGCTCAAGTGATCCTCCTGCTTCAGCCTCCCAAGTAGCTGGGACTACAGGCATGCCCCAACACACCCAGCTTGAGAAGACTGGACAAAAATAAAAGAACAAACAGTGGTGTCTGTCTGTCTCCAGGCAAGATGCAACAGCAGACAAACAGACTGACCTCATGCAGATGTTCTGCCCAGTCTCACCACCTTCAGGGAGCACATGTACTTTCACAGTTCCATTGTTGCCTCTCATAGACATGCTATGTTGCTCTATGGAAATGGTCTTTTTTAGGTTGGTCATGGGACAGGATAGAGGTGGGCCTTGAATCACATATAAATATGCCCATTTCCCAGGATTAAAACCAATTCCAAAAGCTTGGCCAAGAATTGCCCAATTTTCAGCTAAAGGGAAAGAAGAAAGACAAGTAACTATATATAAAAAGAGCCAAGTCACAAAAAAGAGGGTGCCTTTTCAGGGATATGGTAACTTTGTTACCAAGGCCTGAGCTTTGCTTCCCATGTCTGGAATCAGATGAAAGTCTGGATTTTTTTCATCCCACCTGTAGCAGGATGGGCTCACACTTCCAGCCCTGGGTATCAAGTACTAAACTAAGATTCAAAAGAACCTGAGATACATATTCATCTGTCTTTTTTATTTGGTTATTGAATTAGGTAGTCATAAACAAGAGGATTACAACTATTACTAAAGGATAACAGACACTTCTTTACTACTTTTATATTTGTTCTTAATAAACAGTTTTTTTGTTTTGTTTCTGTCTTTTCCTTTTATACTTAGAAAACCAGAAATTCAAAAGTTCAGCTTTTCAGGTCAACCACCAGATGGTGCTATGGGATCAAAGCAGGGAGTCCTCCATACTTTAGGAAGAAACAACCTCAAAGAGGCAAGCCAGTATTCAGTTCATAGCTAATTAATACCACCAGGACAGTCGTAGGCATACTTTATAACTATAAACATAAATAAAAATAAGTGGATTAATTTAAGTTGGTTTTACTGGTTTTGGGGTTTTTTTTTTTTTAACTTTCTTCAGAGACCCAGAAGCATGGCCTTCCTATATCCAGGTAGTCCAAGCAGTCCAGTCCTATTCACAGACTAGATTCAGGGAAAATATTAAAACATTCCTGGACTGCCACACATTTGGAGTAAGACAATGTGGATTTCCTCATTTACAGCAATTACAGAAGCAGGGTGTATTAATCACTAACTAAACTCAAAACATTCTTACTGGAACTTAACCTTTTCTATAAAAAAGGCCTTTGATAAAATGAAGAGTTCACTAAAGGGTCCTAGCCAAGATGGAAAAAGTGGGAACTGCCCTGATTTAAATGCACTAATGCTAAAAGCGAATCAAGCAAAAGGAAGAGTGGGAAGCTTCGGGATTGTCAGCATGAAGCCCAGTCTCCTCTGCTCATCTCCACTTCCTGTCAACCATACTGTCCTCCTCATCCCTGCAATCTGGCTCCTGCCTTTCTAGGTGTACAAAAATTGAGCTTTCCAGAGTGACCAGTGGCCTGTTAATTGCTGGGCGAAATAGCATCTTCCCACCCTCATGCCCCTTAACTCCTTTTCAGTGTGTGACCATCTGAGATGTCTCCTTCAGAAGAACCTTGCTCTTCCCCTCTGTTAGGTAATACTCATTTCTTGACTTCCTCCTGTCCCCTGACTACTCCTTAGGCAAGTCACTGTCTCCTGTGGCTTCCCCCACTCCCTGACATCCTTAGCCCTCTTCTTTCTAGGTTCTGCTAAGAAGTTGCAGTTTTTTTCTGCACCTGCAGGCCTGGCCTGCCTCCCTCCCCTCCCTGCCAGCCCCACCCCCAGCCCCAGACCTACTCTCTGGGCTTCTCTTGTCTGCCATTTTCTCCTGGATGAAACAAACTTGCTAGTTAATTTTATAACATCAGCTTTCTGATTTCATTATTTTAAAACATTTATTCAAAGGTTTTGGATATTTTTTCTTTTTATAAATGTAATAAATATTCACTGTAAGAGTTTTAGAAAACAAAAAGGCACCAAGAAGAAATAAAAATTACAGAAAATTTCACTATCCAGTGGTTATCTCAATAACCACTAGGAACATTTTGCCATATGTCTTTCCTATCTTCTTATAATGCGTATCTACCCAGAAAAGTCACCTGGGATTATACTATACACAATCTTCATAATGTTTTTTGCATTAACAGCATTGTGAATATTTTTCCCATATAATTACTTATTTTTCTACTATTAGCTTTAATTGCTGCATCATAGTACATTCTATGAGTTTATTTAATTTGCTACTTATGAATACTAAATTTTGTCTTATGATATAAATAATATACAAAAATGATCTATATTGCTTAATCTTTGTACGTATCCTAATTATTTCCTCAGAAATAAAACTACTGGTTCAAAGGCATTTACATTTTTAAGATGTTTGATGCAAATGATCAAATTGCTCTTTAAAATGTTTGAATCTAAACTCTTTATCAGCAGTGTTCAAGAATAACTACTACTCGAAACCACATTTTATCTTTTTTCAATGTTTGAAATTTGGAGATGAAATATGATGTCTAATTATAATTTGTGTGTCTGATTGCTAGTGAGGCTAAACTTTTTTATTTTTCAAATGTTTCTTGGTGCCTTGCCATGTTCTTTTGTGTGCTCAGGACGTAGAATCTGTCCATCCACTTAATGGCTGGGTAATCTTACGAAAACCGCCTTATTTTTCTCACCTCCAGTGTTTTCTTCTATTTAAAAAAAGGAATGATATGTTTACATACTCCCTAGGGCTGCTGTGAGGATGAAATGAGATAATGCAGATGGAGTACTGAAAATGCCTGGCACATAGTAAGCATGCAATAAATGGTAGCCATTTTTCTTTGCCTATTTTTTTTATTAGATTGTTTGTTTATTCTATTTATGAGAATTTCTGTTTCTTTAGTGGCAACATCACTCCACATCACACAGAATAGTAATAATAGCTACCATTTACTGCCTAGGTGCTATAAGCCAGGTATTGAAATGTTTGCATTGCATATGATATCTCATTAAATCCTCAGGAACATCTGATTCCTATTTCTCCATCAATCTAAATATCTAAATAGTCATCAAGTACTATTAGTTCACAAATTTGACCCAAACTCTTCCTTCCTCCTCCAGTGCCATTTAGAACATTACACTGCTGCCCACGACTAATGAGATGTCCTCTAAATTGAATTCTATCATTCCAGGTGGCTTTTCTGCTTTCCAATACCAATACCACTTTCTTTTTTTTTTTTTTTTTTTTTTTTTTTTTGAGACAGAGTCTTGCTCTGTCGCCCAGGCTGGAGTGCAGTGGCGTGATCTTGGCTCACTGCAAGCTCCGCCTCCCGGGTTCACACCATTCTCCTGCCTCAGCCTCCCGAGTAGCTGGGACTACAGGTGCCCACCACCACACCCAGCTAATTTTTTGTATTTTTAGTAGAGACGGGGTTTCACCGTGTTAGCCAGGATGGTCTCCATCTCCTGACCTCATGATCTGCCCGCCTCGGCCTCCCACAGTGCTGGGATTACAGGCGTGAGCCACCGCGCCCGGCCTCCAATACCACTTTTAAAGACACAACTGCCAGAAAAATGATCATTTAGTAATTTCAGAATAGCAAAACATAATAATATTTTTAAAGCTCAAAATATTTGATGGCTCCAGTGACCTCCTGGCCAGTATTCAAAGTCCCCCCACAATCTGTCTCTGGTCTATCTTTTCAGCTGTGGGACCCCTACTTCCACTTTTTCCTTTCTCTGCAACCCCGCCTTTACACGCACATTCGCACAACCTGCAAACACTTGGCTGTAAGCTCTCATTACACTGCTCTTTCACCTGTGTCTTTTTTTACTTACTCCACAAATCCCAAGCATCTACTGCGTTTTAGGCACTGTTCTCTAGGCATCCCTCTTTCTCTATGCACATCTTATGGATTATGTTTCTCCCTCTTGCTAAATGATAATACCATGGTGGGATTTTCCTTCCATAATCATTAATAATTATTTGTGTATTCAAAAGCTGTGTCATCACCTCTTTGCGGGCACTGTCAGTCCAAGGGCTCAGGTCGGGGGAAAAGATTTAGCACTAGAGGACTGTGTGCAAGGAGGAGGTATGTTGAGAACACAGTGTCTTCTCACAGGATTTTTATAGCCAAGCTATATGAGAAAGAACGAGGAGATCAGAAAAGGAGGAAGAGGTGATAGAGACATATTAACTTTTAAAGCCAAGAAAACTACCCTATGTTACTAAGTTATCTTCTTGGACACACCCATTTTCCTATAGGAAAGAAAGATGTAATAAGGGAGGAAAGAAAACTATGCTTTCCATGTGTTATGCAGATGTTATTATTCCCACTTAAAAGATAAGGAAATCAAGGTTTGAGGTTGTGAAACAATCTGCCTGACATCGTACAGTGAGATGATGAAATAATTATGATTCCAACCCAGTCTTTCTGACTCCAGCATCAATCTTATTTCCTATACACAGGCTGATGGCTAAAGAAAGAAAAAACTGAAACCTTGATTTGGACTGTTTCTGTCCCTCACCTCCCATCCAGGACCTCGCTCAACAGTTCACATGAATGCCTTCTCAAAATCCCCAAGCCAGGATCCCCAGGGGTCCTCTTCAAGCAGCTCAGCTCTGACAAATGACTCAGGCACCAGAACAGGGGCTTTCAAAGTGAATGTGCTGCATCATAATTTTCTCTGCCTCTCCTGTTTCACTTAAGCAAAGGGAGAGCTTTGCAGGCATGTGGATCCTTCTTGGCCATTACCCTTAGCAACAACATTAATCTTTGAACTCTTCACCATCATTTACTTAAGAGCAATGACATGCCCAGAGATATTCTGTGACTGACGGCAAAGTTACTAAACATCTAGATTTCCTGATGTATTTTTTTCTTCCTTTCACCCTGTCATTTCCATGTTAAGACAAAAAGTGTTGTTGTTCAGAGGCCTTCCCAGAAATAGCAAGCAGTTATTATTTAGGGACGTTCAGGCAGGGATGAGAAGAAGTTGCCCTTTTCTGGTATCCTTTGTTGTGCCCTGTTCCTACATTCCCACTGCCCCATTCACTGGTTCCTGTCTCTCCTGCACACTCTTTGACCATGATTCATTCTTCTTATTTAGTTTAGAGTGGGTCAGTTTTAATGGAGTATTTCATACTGTTTATCCTCTGTTCCTTCCTTTTCATCTTTTTGCTGCCACATTCTTTTGGCAAACATTTGCTGAGGATCTACTACGTGCCAGGCTCTGTGCCAGCAGCTGGGCTTCATCATTTCATTTCTGACAATCACAATAGCTTCCAAATGGATATCCCTGCCTTAAGTTTCTCCCTGAATCCATCTACTACATCCTGCTGCCAAACCAATCTGTCTAAACTCTACTTTGTAAACAGTACTCTCCACCCATCTGCCCATGGGATTAAGTCCCTACTCATTAGCTCTCTCGTGTCTGTCCTATAGATGCCTTTTACGCTTTTACATTGTGAGGTCCAGGGTGTTCTATTTATTTACTCCCCAGCATCCCATGTACATTTCCACCTCGGTGTCTTATAGCTCTCTAAATTTTCAAGTCCTATTCCATGTCCACTTAATAAATGTTTGGGGGCAAACTCCATACCTGGGACAGCAGAGGATGTGGCCCAACCAATACGTTCTAGTTAAGGAGGAACCTAACACTTCTCCCTAAGAGGAGTCTGAATGTCCCAGCGTTAGGGATGAGAAGCAATACTAACCATGTGACCTTGCTAAATCCTGAAACAAGAATTCCCATCAAATCACTCTTCCATTCACTCAGTCATTCAATAAAATAGTTTTTGAGTATCGCCTATATGCTAGGCATCATGGTGAGTGCTAGGGAACAACAGCGAGTAAGAGAAACAGGTTCCTGCCCTCATGAAGATTTTAGCCTAGTAGAAAGGACACATTAAACATACAAACAAGTGCAATATGTGAGTAAATAAAATATTAGGTTGGTGCAAAGGTAATAGCAGTTTTTGCCATTAAAAGCAATGGCAAACTGTGATTACTTTTGCACTAACCTATAATAGAAATGTGGAGTGTTAATGAAAAGAGAAATAAGTGTTGTGATGCAACAAGGTAGGAAATGCTACTGGAGACAGGAGGTGCTATCAAAGAAGGTCTCTGAAGAAGAGGCATTTAAGCTGAAATCCATATGATGAAGTCAAGCATTCAAAGAGATAATACAGGCTCTTGAACAGCAAGTACACAGACACACAGACACACACACAGACACACACACACACCAAAGCCAATGCAGGCCAATAACCTCACTCCTCACTGGCTTTGATCTTACATGTAATTCATTTGTCCAGTGGGGATGTGACAGCCAGCCCCCTCTATCATAACCATAATAGCTTCTCTTTTGATAGCTAAGCCTTTGGTTTGTGGATCTTTAAAATGATTTAAATTTCATCTACATAGTTTTTCTACTTTGCTCTGCTAACAGGGCAATTTATTTCCAACTCAAATTTGCATAATATTTCTAGAATCCAGTATAGCACCCTAGTGATAGTCATCACTCTGTACATTGAAAATAACTGTTGGTTACTTTTTAGAGTTGGTATATACCAGCTCTTTAAAAAATCTGTAAGTTGCTTTCCATACCTCGTTGATTAACTGGATCTTTAGCTACGTAGGCAACATAGTCTGTAGTATCCTATAAAAAAGGGAAAATGACTGTATTTAAAATGGATGAACTGTACTGTTGAAAGAAACATATATTTTGGACATGATACTGAGGCAAGGACTCAAATACAAATGTTTTTTATTTAAAGAGACAAGAAAAGCATTGTAAAAGGGAACATAAACAAATATACACCATATAGTTTAACAATTATGGAGTCCATGTTCTCTGTCCCTTGGGGAAAGAATTGGAAAATTAAAAATTTAGAGGCAGACTGTCATTAAGAATAAAAGAGAAAGCAGATAGGGAACATGTTAGGACATATTCTTTAAAACTGGCTAGAGACTATGATGCTGTCCTAGGTTGAAAGTTGAAATATCAGGGATTATGCAATCACAAAAGTGACATAAACTAAGATAGGGTATCATGATCTCCTGTTGTCCAAACATATACCACATACATCAGAAAGTAAGTTGACTAAAGAGACATGTTGGATTTTGTGGTTGTTAGCTTGCTTGTATGCAGTGTAAGTTAACTTAAGGGATAATAAAGTGAAAATACAAGGAATTTATTTGATCAATATACAGAAAAGAAAAATCATTTTAAAAAAAAGAGAACCCCTGAAAAACTTAAGAAGTTCAAAAAGAGATGCACTGCTGACTTCGTAAAAACAAACCAACAAAACGCTACTTGGTAATTCCAGCTTTTATTGAAAACAGTAAGCTGATGAATGATAAGGTTTTAATAATTAAAGATGCTTTTTGTTATCTAAGTTCTTGGGAAAAAATACACACAATTCCATTTGCAGATTAGAAGTATGACTCTCTAGAGGGAAGATGCAATCAACTGGCAGGAAATAAAAGCCCATGTTTGTAATACCCTCAAGGATAATCACTTAATAACCCACAATGAATCACACAGGAAGTGGATCTCAGGGTCAGCATAACTCGTCTTGGGCAATTAAAGAAAATAATAACACATACCTGAGTAAATTTCTCTTACGCAAAAAGAAAAAAGGTTTTAAATATCCTCTAAATAAATAAGGCCATATCCTTGGGCTTTGTTTTATATGAATTTAGAAGGAAAGCCACAATTGCTGGGGACTTTGCCACTCTTATTCAAGTGAAGAGGTGGTCTGATGCCAGCCATGCTGTCTGGTAGGTCCAATTATGGGAAAGAGGCTGTGAGACCTCTACAGACCTCAGTTTTCTCATTTTCAAAACAGCCTCCAACATTGGTATAGTTCTAAAATTCTATAGCTGTAAACATTTGGGAGAATTTACAGAATGCTAAAAGTAAAGCACAAATAGCAGGGGAAAATATGTTTAAATGTATTTAATTTTTGACATACTCACAATGCACTTTTTAAGTGGAGAAAGTATATATAGTTATAGAGGCATTACCAACAACTGTTTTCAGGGCTGACGGATGGAAAACAACTGTTTTTGCAAAGAGAGTAAAAATGAGGGTGAGCAAAGGCCAAGAGATGAGAAGGCTATTCATTATTTTTGAAATTTTGGAGGAAATCTTGTAGAAAGATTACTATGTTGGACCTCAGGGACTTTTAAGTCAGCTTCCTACCCTTGTACACAGTTCACTGTGAAGCTGTAAACGATCTCAGTTAATATCCTAAAACAAATATGGGTATGTGTTAGCAATTGTGGTAGTAGTTACTTCTTGTGACTGTGTGCCAGGACCTGCGCTAACACTAACCATGTATCATTTCACTTAATTCCCACAACACTGTCAGGCAATAGGGATTATCCTCCATTTACATATGAGGACTCTGGAGTTTAGGGAGTTTAAATAAGTCACGTCTACTTGACTCCAAAGCCTGGCAGTACATAATACTGCCTCCCTGACCTGATGGTAAAACTTCATAGAGATGATTTCTAATGCCAATGCTTAGGGTGGCTCCAGACTTCTATTTTACTAGACAGGTGCTTTAACCAACCAAGCCATGGCACCGCCGCCAGATTTCTACTTTAAATTAGAATCAACAGGCTTTCTCACCAGCTTTAGAGAGCACAGAGGTGCTCTCAATGCAGCAGGTACAAACTTTCCCATAGTGGCCACAAATTATTTAATGTTTGTTTTTTATAGGAACAGTGGTTTGGTCAATTTAAAGAACTAAAGGCACATGAAGAGAGTATGAAAAAAATTAAGATTCTGGAGAACAATAACAGAAATCATTCAGGGCATGCCTTGAGTAAATGTTTGCGCACCAATTCTAACATGATGACAACCCTTAAGAAATTTAGGGCAAATGCCAATAATTATTTTTCACACTACATGTATAAACACTACTTTAAATCTCTTAAGAAAAGTATTTGAGTTCCTTCATGGATGACTGAGCTAGGGAGAAGAGAAAGTGCTGGTATTTTTCAGCCTGGATTCAGTTGACCCTCCCTGCCAGCCACCATCCTTGGTGTTGCTATTGAGGCCAGATTACAAGGCTGGATGGAAAAGAGTCCAGATAGGCTCTTGGGCTCAAATAGCAGCTGCTAAGCACCAGACACCTTGTATGTCCCTTGTTTGCTAATGGGAATTCACAATTAGGCATCTGTGGAATTTCTTGGGGAAAAGGTGGAACTCTTAACATTTGGTTTACTTTTAAAAATGGCAGCATCATGGAACTAATATATAATAGTTATTTGAAAATAACTATACCCCAGGCTAAAAGATGAGGAAGTAGTAAAGCTTAAAGGGGAAACTGGATATCCATTAATTAGAAAACAAGGGTTTGAAATCCTGTAAAGGCTGCTTTTCTTCCATATGCTTCGTGAGCCAAGATCGTGCCACTGCACTCCAGCCTGAGTGACAAGAGTGAGACGCCGTCTCAAAAAAAAAAAAAGCATGTCTTGGTTTGACATGCTTAAATACTTTAGGTCATTGGTAGCCAATGTGAAGACAAGTAATTATTGAAGTGTTTTTAAGAATTGGCTAATTTAGCTATATATTTTATACACAGGTAAGTTACACCAACACCCAAGAGGAAGAACCTGCTTAAATGCTTTAGATGCCAGTAAATGAAGCAATGATTACAGAGTAACTTCAGAACTTTACTTCCTTTTAGGATATACAATTATTTCTCCCCCATTGAATATTTAGCAAAAAGTTTAAAACAAATGAAAACTACCATGGTATCAGCTGCCAGATTTAGTTTTTAGCATCCTCTATATCTTTCTTGGGTTTCTAGGTTATTGTCCTATCATTTATGACTCTACATTTTATTCCTCAATTACAGGTGAAAACTAAATGTGGTGGATAGAAAACAATCAATGGTTAAACTGAATTGTATTGGTTCGTTCCTGAAGGATATAATCTTTTCTTTAAAAAATGCTTTGCAGAAAAGAAGGTAATACATTCTGAGTAAGAACAAGGTCTGTGTATGTTCCCCCTGCTTTCTTGACATGGCTGATGTTTAACCATTATGAAAGTCATACTCCATCCTCTTCTAACCTTTCATCAAAACATATGGAAGATTAGAAGAGGAAAGAGTACAATAAAAAGACCAATAATGTCACAGAGTGGCAAAAGTATTCTTCTACTCCCTCAGTTTAAACAGATTTGCTTCTTGCTCAGTTGCAGGCTCCCTAGCTTCAAAGCCCCTCTCCTTTTGCTGTGGTCCAGAAATGGTGCAGTAGGGAGTCAAGGAATGACACTCCATTCTGCAGAGTAGGCTTGGAGAAATCCTGTACAATTTCTGGGAAGTGAGTATCACATGACCCCATCTTGGTAGAGAAGAACTACAAGTTCTCTCTCCCCAGCTCAGCATTTCCTCCATGAGTTCCTGCAAACCTGGTTGCTCATTCCAGATTAGACTTAGTTGACTTGGTTGATATATCAAGTCCAGTTGATTAGTAAAGTGTTCCAGAAACTCTGTGTTGAGAAGAATTCTAAGGAAGGATTGAGCAACACATGTATGACATACTTGCTTTTCATGACCTAGATATTATCAACAAGAAGCTTATTAGATGATAACTCCATGGCTAATAACACAATGGAGCACTACTAGCTCATCTACTAATCCAAGTATTTTAAAATTTAATAATAGGAAATGTTTGCCTAAAGAAAATATTTTATTATCTGCTACATGTAGCTATTCACAGACTGTAATAGTATGTTAGGAAAAGACATGTAGTGGCTAATATGGTTTATGTAAAAGTTATTTTATTTTATTATCATCCAGCCCCAAATGTCAAGAAGTTATTTTAACTCATAAAAAGAACTTCTGTGAAT
Organism: Homo sapiens; assembly: GCF_000001405.40. NCBI lineage: Eukaryota > Metazoa > Chordata > Mammalia > Primates > Hominidae > Homo > Homo sapiens. The sequence goes on from NC_000015.10 coordinate 48,872,079, forward strand.
CCATACTTACAGGATCCCCTCCAGAGGCAAATGAAATAGACTGCATATGATGATTTGCAATAATCTGAAAAACATAAACATGTATACTAATATAAATTAATTGTTATTTCTAGTTATATACAGTCTAACAGTAATAGACATACATTTGTTTGTTTTGTTTTTGCCTGATCAGCATCCCTTTGAAAACCACCCAACCTACACTCTATAATAATCTCATTTAAACCACGAGATTCTGATGATTTTGTGATGCCCATCTCACTGCCCTTGCCCACCCAGGTGGAACATTATCTAGGGCTAGCCAATCAGAAAATACCATCTCTCTGGATACAGCAGAGCCAATCAATGTATTTTGGGAAGAACTGAAATGAATAATAGGAGAGAAAGCATCTCTCTCTGCCATTAAAAACTATGTAAGCCCAAAGCTTCTAGGGGCCATATTATGCTGCCATGTGAGAAAAGTCTGCTGGAATATGAAGCTTTTCTTCTGATGAAAATCGGAACTGAGAACTAAAAATAGGAAAAAAGTCTGGTGGTAACATTTGTTCCATCACTTTAACCAATATATTTCACCCTCTCCCTTTATATTTTTGTTTCTTTTTGCAAAAGTTAGTTTGAATTTGATTTCAGTCATTCACTACTAAATGTATCCTGAGTAAGGCACTAACATTAGGACTTCTAATATGAGTAAGAATCGCCAAGTAACCACATTAATTAGCTAAGAAGATTGTCTTCTATTTGAGAGTCTAGGATTGCTTGTTTGCAAACCACAGTGTAATGACCATTTGCAGAGACATATCTGTCATGCTATTTTGAAGGTTCATTAAAACACCAACTATGCACCTATTGACTAATCCTGCTTTCAAAATTGTGTGACAGAATCTACCAAAGCTGATTATATAAGATGACCAGCAATTTTATTCCTAGACGTATATCCAACACAATTGTGTAAATATGTGCAACAAAAAATATTCTCAAAGAAGACAATAACTGCCCTGTTCATAACAGCCCTAAATTGGAAACAATTCCAATGATGACTATTGTAATATTCAATGGTGGCATACTATATAGCAGCAACATGTTTGCTGAGCAAAAGAAGTCTAACACAAAGAATATACTGCATGGCTTAATTTATATGAAGTTCAAAACTAGGCAAAATTATGGTATTTGAAATCAGAACAGTGGTTATTTCTGGAGCACAGGAAGAAGGGGCAAAAGATTTTCTGGGATTGCTGGAGTTTCTTGATCTGAATATTGGTTATACAACTGTTCATTTTGTGATAATTATTACGGACTTATTATCTGTGTACTTGTCTACATTTATATTTCAGTAAAAACAAAGTCAATATACAAAGATCAATGTCATTCCCATATATCAACAATAGTCGGCCGGGCGCAGTGGCTCACGCCTGTAATCCCAACCCTTTGGGAGGCCGTGGCGGGCGGATCATGAGGTCAGGAGATTGAGACCATCCTAGCTAACACAGTGAAACCCCATCTCTACTAAAAATACAAAAAATTAGCTGGGCGTGGTGGGCACCTGTAGTCCCCGCTACTCAGGAGTCTGAGGCAGGAGAATGGTGTGAACCCGGGAGGCGGAGCTTGCAGTGAGCTGAGATCATGCCACTGCACTCCAGCCTGGGCTACAGAGCGAGACTCCGTCTCAAAAAAAAAAACAGAAAAATAGCCAATTAGACACTGTATTTTGGGGAGAAAGGTACACTTTGTAAGAGTACTTTAGTACAAAACTAATAAGAATCATGTAATGCTTTTTGGAAAACTTCACTGAAGAGTATAAATAAGATCTGAACAAGTAGAAAGATATATATCACTCTCATGGATGAGAAGATGGTATTACAAAGGTGTCAATCCTACCCCAGATTAATTTATAAATTCCATGCAATTCCAATAAAAATGCTTCTAAAATTCATATGGAAGAATAAATGTGCAAGAACAGCTAAAGCAAATTTTAAAAGAACAAATGCATAAGAATTCCCTTATAAGATAATAAGAAATATTATAATATCACATTCAAGATGCTCCTAAATTCATATGAAAGAATAAATGCACAAGAAGAGTTAGCGCAGTTTTTTAAAGAACAAAGACAAAATATTCCTGATCAAACAGCAAGATATAAAACTGTAAAAATGTCACAAGAATTCAAAGTCTAAAAATAGACTCATGTATTTAAGAACTTTTAGTCTATGATAAATCTGACACCAAGCAGCAGTCAGCCAGAAATCATGTGTCCATGGTGAGAAGAACTAGAGCAGGGGCTCCCGACTCCCCTGGCCAGAGACCAAGTACCAGTCCGTGGCCTGTTAGGAACCGGGCTGCAGAGGAGGTGAGCAGTGGATGAGCAAGAGAAGCTTCATGTGTATGTACTGCTGCTCCCCGTTGCTCACATTACTGTCTGAGTTCTGCCTCCTGTCAGATCAGTGGCGACATTAGATTCTCATAGGAGAATGAACCCTATTGTGAACTACACATACGAGGGATCTAGGTTGCATGCTCCTTATGAGAATCTAATGCTTGATGACCTGAGGTAGAGCTGAGGTGGTGACGCTAGTGCTGGGGAGTGGCTGCAAATACAGATTAACAATAGCAGAGAGGTTTGACTGCACAGAGACCATAATAAATCAATTGCTTGCAGACTCATATCAAAACCCTATCGGTAAGTAGCAAGTGACACTTAAGTTGCATCTGGTGGCAGGCTACATAGTGGCAAGTGAGTTGATGTACTTCAGTTGTACAGCTGCAGCTGATGGCAGGCTTTAAGTCTGAATCCGACTATTTTAGTTTGTTCCTGACCCGCCCATTATTTTATTTACCACTCCCATCCATGTCTCTTTCCTGCACCATGCACTTTCTCGGTCACAGTTTTGGTAAGCCCATAAGCTAACCCTAGCCAAAATGAGTAAAAAACAAACTTCACTGGAGAGGTTCTTTGAAAAGGGGGAAAGATCCAGTGATGAGACTGCAGAAGACTTTAAGACTGCCAACAAAAATAAAGCTGCATTTAAAAGAAAATATCAAGAGTCCTACTTAAAATACCAGTTCATTACAACAGGTGATTCACATTATCCAAGCTTGCTTTGCATAACATGTAGCAAGTGGCTATCTAACAAAGCCATGAAGCCTTCTAAACTGCTTTGTCACATGGAGACCACACACCCTGCATTAATACTAAGCCTTTGGAGTTTTTCAAAAGAAAACAATGTGAACACAAAGAATAGAAGAAATTATTGAAGGCCACCACTTCATCAGATGTGTTTGCACTGAGAGCATCATTCTTAGTGGCTAACCACATTGCTAAAGCTAAGAAGTCCTTTACTATTGATGAAGAGTTGATCCTGCCTGCTTCTAAGGACATTTGTCATGAACTTTCAGGAGAGGCTGCAGTTCAAAAGGTGGCATGTGTTCCTCTTTTGGCTAGCACCACAACTAGATGAACTGATGAAATATCAGAGGATAATGAGGCACAATTGTTAGAAAGGAACAATGCTTTTTTGTGTGTGATATATTTTGCAGGAGGATGTGAATGAGGATATGCTATATGCACTTTTGTTGCCAACCAGCACCACAGATGCAGAACTATTCAAGTCTTTGAATGATTACATATCAGGAAAGTGGAATCAGTCATTTTGCATCGGTATATGCATGGGTGGAGCAGCTGCCATGACTGGATGGCATTTTGGTTTCACTACTCAGGTCAAAGAGGTCGCTTCTGAATGTGAGTCTATGCACCATGTCATCCATAGAGAAATGATGGCTAGTCAGAAAATGTCACCTGAACTTAACAACATTTTGCAGTATGTGATTAAAATTATCAACCATATTATACATGCCCTTAACTCACATCTGTTTGTGCAGCTCTGTGAGGAGATGGATGCAGAGCACACACGTCTTCTCTTACACACAGAAGTGAGATGGCTTTCTAAAGGTAGATCACTGGCCAGAGTTTTTGAGTTAAGAGAGCTGCTTCAGAGATTTCTTTGTAGAAAAACAGTCACCATTGGCGGCACATTTCAGTGACACAGAATGGGTCACAAAAAAACTTGCTTACTTGTGTGACATATTCAACCTGCTCAGTGAACTCTGTCACTTCAGGGACGAACAACAACTGTGTTCAACTTGGCAGATAAGGTGGCTGCATTCAAAGCCAAACTGGAATCATGCGGGTGACAAATGAACACTGGGATTTCTGACATTTCAAACATTAGCAGAGATTTTGAAAGAGACTGAGCCAGGGTCTTCTTTCTCCCAGCTGGTGCATGATCACCTATCTCAGCTTTCAAAATATTTTGAGCATTACTTCCTGTATTAGTCATGGTTCTCTAGAAGCACAGAACTAATGGAATATATACATATATATATACACACACACACACACGTATATACACATACACACATACATATACACATATATATGTATATATATGTAAAGGGGAGTTCACTAAGTATTAACTCACATGATCACAAGGTCCTACAATAGGCTGTCTGCAGGCTAAGGAGAGAGGAGAGCCAGTCCGAGTTCTGAAACTGAAGAACTTGGGAATCCAATGTTCGAGGGCAGGAAGCATCCAACACAGGAGAAAGATTTAGGCTGGGAGGCTAGGCCAGTCTCTCTTTTCACATTTTTCTGCCTGCTTATATTCTAGCCAAGCTGGCAGCTGATTAGATTGTGCCCAACCAGATTAAGGGTGGGTCTGCCTTTCGCAGCCCACTGACTCAAATGTTAATCTCCTTTGGCAACACCCTCACAGACACACCAATGATCAATACTTGTATCCTTCAATCCAATCAAGTTGACACTCAGTATTAACCATCACACTTCTCATCCACAAAAGACGGAATGGATCTGTGACCCATTTGTGAATAAGCCAGGTGAATCCACTTTGTCCACGCTAGAAGAGGATCAACTGCTTGATATTGCAAATGACGGTGGCCTTAAAAGTATGTTTGAGACAACTTCAAATCTCCATACGTTCTCGATTAAAGTCAAGGCGGAACATCCTGAGATTGCCACAAAAGTACTGAAAAGCCTCCTTCCATTTTCAACATCCTATCTTTGTGAGGCAGGATTTTCCACAGTAACAGCAACCAAAATGAGATTACAGAATAGACCGGACATAAGGAACACACCTCGGGTGTCACTGTGTCTCATCACCCCCAGATGGGACCATCTAGTTGCAGGAAAACAAGCTCAGGGCTCCCATTGATTCTACATTATGGTGAGTTGTATAATTCTACATAACTATAATGTAATAATAATAGAAATAAAGTGCAGAATAAATGAAATGTGCTTGAATCCTGTAAGTATACACAGTCATATAATTCATATAAGTATATACAACTTAAAACCTGAGGCTTTTAAGTTGAAGGTAAAAACAGGTAAAACATGTTTTTAAAAAACACACAAAATAGTATTTTGCTGTCAATACATAAAGATACATGTAAATGCAAATAAAAAGAATTCAAAGAATACACACCGCATTGCTAATAGTGGAAAGATACCTCCCAGGCGAAAAGAAATGGGACCAAGTATTTCTTCACTATAACTAAAAAAAAAAAAAGTACAATATATCTGTTGTTTGTGAATTTAACTTTTTAAATGAAAACACTAAAAGGACAAAATGGATTAGTTCTTAATATGCTGATCTGTGGTTATGGATGTTGTCTGGTTTGGAGACGTGGATTTACAAGTCATCAGTACATCGGTAAATTGCCCAGGGGAAGAGGAAGGGGGGGAAGGAGCATTAAATGTTACGAAGGCCATGTAAGGTTATTTTCCGGTTTGCAGCATTACAAGCAGCAGTAGGGTTAAGTAACACAGAAACTGTTACGCTCTTGCATGCAGGGTCCCTAGATACGAAGTTCGAATCGATGGAAACGTAGCTCAAAAGGCGACGCCAACACCCCGGAGAAAACACTGAGCTACTCCAACCACAGTGGCGCGCCAAGTAGGAGGCGGTACCTGAGGACCACGCCTGCGCGCGGGGTTACGCAAGCGCGCAGCCTTTGCGCACGCGCACGAACGCACGGCCGCGCAGCATCTGTCTTGCTGGAAGCTTTTTCCTAGAGGTTGAGCGGTTTGCACAATGTCGGAAATGGCTGAGTTGTCCGAGCTGTATGAAGAGAGCAGTGACCTGCAGATGGATGTGATGCCTGGCGAGGGTGACCTTCCGCAGATGGAGGTAGGCAGCGGGAGCCGGGAGCTATCCCTGCGTCCCTCCCGCAGCGGGGCCCAACAGCTCGAGGAGGAAGGCCCAATGGAGGAGGAGGAGGCCCAGCCAATGGCGGCGCCAGAGGGGAAACGGAGCCTTGCTAACGGGCCCAACGCTGGGGAGCAGCCAGGCCAGGTGGCGGGCGCAGACTTCGAGAGCGAGGACGAGGGCGAGGAATTTGATGACTGGGAGGACGACTACGACTATCCCGAAGAGGAGCAGCTCAGTGGTGCCGGCTACAGAGTATCAGCCGCTCTTGAAGAAGCCGACAAGATGTTTCTGAGAACAAGAGAACCAGCCCTGGATGGCGGGTTTCAGATGCATTATGAGAAGACCCCGTTTGATCAGTTAGCTTTTATCGAAGAGCTTTTTTCACTGATGGTTGTCAATCGTCTGACCGAAGAACTCGGCTGTGATGAGATTATTGATAGAGAGTAGTTAGATGCTGTTAAAAGAGGAGGAAACTACTTGAGGAGGGACCCAACTTTCCGCTATCTTTTGGGTTCATTCCAAATAGTTTTGTGCCATTGAAAAACTTGACCTTCAAAAAAATTTGTTTTTCAGAATAGAACACAATAGGACAGTGACTGCACAGTTGTGAAAAAGGAAGAGAATCATTAAAGAAAAAGAAAAAAGATTTTAAGACCGTTGAAATCAATTATCAAGAACGTCCTAAAACACCTATGGCTTTGACTTTGTTATTGATCCAGATTATTTTCCTTGCATTGGGGAAAATATCTTTCATATTTGTTTGCTGTAAAGATGGTTTTGCAAGAATAAGTCATGACCAAGACAAACTGCCAATACAAAAGCCCACTGATACTAATTATATAATGAGAAAAAAATGTATCCAACTAGGACACATATCTTTTGAGTTATTTGGACTGAAAGCTTAAGAAAACTTGGAAAATTCTATTTTGTGATCTAGTCAAGCCACAGTTATCAAAGGCTACATTTTCAGTGTAAGATAAATGGATGAGTAAACTCAAATATGTATCACGTGTGCTTTGTATCTTAAGATGTGTTTCCAAGAGCATCTGAAATTTTGTTTGTACATGTATCTTGATCATTTATAAAGCCACTGTGATCTATAAATCAAGAAAATCCATTGTCATAACCATTTTTAAAAGTCAAAAATTAAGACATCCTTAATTAAAAAGTTTCAAATCTAGACACTAAATGTGTGTGAATGTACAAAGAAAACAAACCATTGCTTATGCTGTTATATACTAGAGAAATTTTGTTTTGCTTGCTGTTTTAACTTGACAGATGAAGGACTTTAGTTGAACTTCATATTGTAAGAACTGTTAATAAAAGTTGTCAAGTAAAAAGCGCTATATCTAAAAAGACTTTATGAACAGTTATTCTATCAACTTTTAAAGGTTTTAAACCTGCCCAGAAATTACCTTGGTATCTGAAGTTTCCCTCTGTCTCCTCCTCTAATTAAGCTTGTTATTTGTCATGCACCAGCATTGGAGATAATAAAATTTCTTGTTCTGTGTATTTTGTTTGGCTAATAGTATTGCATACATACTTTCTCTGTATACTACTTTCTATTGTATGTGTTAACCAGTATTAAGGGAAAATGATCCAGCTTCAGCTATCTAATTCACAAATTAATTTCTGGAAATTAAACTTTGTAAATTAAGTTTTTGCCTATAAGAATTTGCTGGTCTGGGAAAACCTGCCCTATCAATGAGTATGTTGCCGTGGTTACCTTACTAAGATGCTGAAGTTCTAGGAGAGTAATGATTACATCAGAAGGCTAGGTTCAGCAAAATAAGTGTATCAGCAGGTTTTATCATGATCAGTAAAAATGTTCCAAATGCTTCTGCTCCATTATAGCAGTAAAGAACGAATATCCAATGCAACAGGACAATTCAGAGCCTTATTTATTTTATGGTCATCCTGTCTTTTGGGGAGAGAGATCTGTAAAAGATAGGACTGTGACAAGGCTGATCAGAATTGCTCAGACACTAGCTGGGTTAGGAGGGAGAGATGGTGGAAGTAAAATGTTGGTGCTTAGACTTAATCCTACTGCCTCTTCCACTGCTTTCTCAATTAGCGTGCAGCTACGGTCAGATGAGTGTGGATAGGTAATTAATTGCATGGATGATGTAAATTAGTGTGGGTGGGGGTATGCTAGTGCACAATAAACTGGCTGGTTGTATTTACCTCCAGATCTTTATCTTTACCAGGAAAGTTTATCTTTACTAGGAAAGATAAACTCTTGGAAAAAAAAATCTGAGGTCCACAAACTAGAAGGTTGTGATTCTGTTTTTCTCTGGGACTGAGTAGGGCAAAGAGGTGGGGGTGGGAAACACTATTCCATCTGAAGGCCCATCTTGGGGAGAAAAACCTGGGCTCTGCAATTGACTTGGTTGTTTTTCAGTCTTAAAAATAGGCAGTAAGCTGAGAGACAATGAAAATTGTAAATACTTACTTGTATTTATTGAGGATAGAAAACATTTTAACACCCCTTTTAGGGGTGTAAAATTATTTGTGTTTCTTTTACATGCAGTTGCCACAGACAAACCAGACTACTTGGTTAAAATTTGGGTTCTACTATTTATTAGCTCAGTAACTGGGAAATTAATCTCTCTGGCTCATGTCCTAAACTGAAAATAGGAACAATTGGATGTACCTTACAAATTGTGAGGACTAAATGATGATGTGTGTGAGAGTGTGTGTGTGTGTGTGTGTGTGTGTGTGTGTGTGTGTCTTCATTTAAGGAAGCTAGAGAAAGGAGTTCTGGGGAAATTCTGATTTTGCAAGGTAGGGGATTTAAAGAAGATTTTGAGTACACGGTGTGATTAGGGAGAGTTTTCCAAATTTATCCATACATATTATAAATGTTCGCTTAGATCAGATATCCCATGTTGACTGTCTTCAGGCCACAGATCTATTTTGTTTGGTTCATGCTTATAATTTTAAGAGACCAACATCTCAGTACAGAGACAGCAGCTAAAAATCTAGATTCTTACCTTTTTATTATTATTTTTTTAAAGTAAAAGATCTGGGAGCCTTTGACCTATAGACCTATGTAGCCAACAAACAAACAAAAAAACAAAGCAAAAAAAAAAAAAAACCATCTGATTCACCTTTAGATAAGGAAGATTCTGTTTGCCAAGTCCCTCAGTGTTGTCTCCCCAACACAGAGGCCAGGTAGCACTTGACATTTATCATTGGGCCTGCACCATTGTTTTTTCTTGTGCTTGCACAGCTTGCATTACCTACTTGGCCTCTAAATATCTCAAGTTGCCTCTCCTTGTAGAGACTAAAGGATGTCTCAATTTTTGCCTGTTTTACCTTAACTCTATTACCCTTCTGAATTCAGTACCTGTTAGAGTTGTAGAAATCAGTAAAGAATTAGTGGGAGTGTGAGCAACTGAGACTCTGACTTTGCTTGAGGCCCTAAAATACTATATTAAAGTATGTCAATAAAGTCTGTTGCTTGAATTTTAAAACAAGGAAATACCTATAACTTACCCTTGCAAAAATGTATTCCCATCCTGAAATATGGTAATATTTAAAAATTGCAAGCATCGCATGTTTAATATTTTCTGCCTCTGGAGGTTTGTAAAATATTTTCTGGGAATGAATTGTTATATTCTTGATGTTCTCAGTGGCCAAAGATAAATGTGAACTATCCGTTCCATAAATGCTATCATCTATGAATATATCCATAAATTTGAACCTTTGTTTTCAGTCCAAAGCATATCTTAGAAATTAAGTGGGGATGGGGAAGGCATTAGTATTTCTTTGTATTTATTTTAGAACTTCCAGTGGTAGCATTAAGGATTTAATTAATCCTTTTCTTGTGCTGTATCCACAAGGTCTCTCATCTTTGCTGCCTTCATTTCTTAAACATTTTAGTTGCCTTTCTCATGGGAAATAAAGCTTCTTGAGTTGAGGCCTCTACAGTGGCACATCTCTCCCCCATATCCCCCAGCCATTTCCCCTAGGCCTGCAGGAAAGCTCAAAATAGTTATTAAAAATCAGCCCTCAGGTCTGAGATAAATGAGATCTTAACTTTGGTCCCCACTCTAGCAGTGGGCTGAATACAACCCATTCCATGCCACCAGTGCAGAAAAGCTATGGATTACTTTCAAAGGCACATCATATTACTATAGTTACTGGTAATGAAAACCACCCGTTATCCTCACCTCTGTTTTGCCTGAAAGATTATGGATGGGTAGTAATACTTTGCCCTAAAGAAGGGTACTGAAGGGGAAAGAGAGGCTGAGAATAAACTCTGCCCCACCACATATACCACAATCCCATTCATAAATTCCTTATTCATTTCAGACACCCCACAGAAAGGGCCATCTTAAAAAATGATCATAGATTCTACCCAAAAGGCTGTCATTATGATGGCTTCAGCTTTGCCTACTCTTCCTCCCTTACAAAACTCTGAGATAACCCGAGGGCTCCTTTACTTAGTGAGATCTCATAACTAAAAGCATTGAGCTTGCGTGGTACCATCCATGTGAATGAAAACTGAAAATAAATTTTGCATCTACATATGTATTGAAGTCAAAATGTCAGAATGACTGAATGAATGTTTCACCACCCACATGTGTCTTCCAAGTGCAGCCCAAAATGTTATGCTCTCATGATACCAATGGTATCACCACTCTTGGAAGATCAGTCAGGACCCAACTAGACAAGAACTTATTTGTAACTGTTTCATATTAACACTTTTCCTCTAAGGTGTTGTATACTACTGCTTAAACAGTGTATTTTATTCTGTTTTTTTAATTTAGAAAATAAAATAGACCTCAAAACCTGTACTTATATGTTACTGATAATTTTATAATCTTATAATATGCACTTCCTATTAAGTACTGAGTATATGAAAAGGTCTCTGAGAATATTTGAGTAAATAATAATAGGTATCATGTGACTGGCACATGCTATATAATTTACATCTATTATCTCATTTAATCCTCTAAACAGCCCTATGAGACACTTAAAATCCATCCTCTCAGAAACCTTATAAATAAGTACCATAATCCTCATTTCACTGATGAGGAAAACTGAAGCCCAGAGTAGTAGAGTCATTTGCTAGTAAGTGGCAAAGCCAGCATTTCAACCCATATGTAACCTCAGACTTTTAGCATGTTATTATTGCCAAGTACATATTAAACCTTGATCAACAGCACTCCATACAGTAAAACCTTAAGTGTAAAGAAACTTGGATCACAACATATTAGACAAAGAGGAAAATCAGATCCTAACACACATACATAACCTGATAGAAGGAATTTAGTTTAAAAAATTAAAAGCAAGCCAAACAAAATGTCCTGGTTTAGGTACACATTTAGCCCAATGCCTACGTATCTTCTACATTTGCTTCAGCAATGCTGTTCTTTGAGAAATGAGGTTCACAATGAAAACTCAGGCACACCACAGTACCATAAATTATTAAGGAAGAAAACATTACCTTTTATACAATAACATTTTAGAAAGCTTCTCAACCACAAGAATTGGAAGAAAATATTTTCTGCTTAAATTTCAGTTCGCTAGAACATTAACCCCAACATCACCTTTCCCCTTTGTCCCTCATCTGTACCCTGGCCCAACACACAGTCTGTTAGTTGTGATAACGGAATTGCTATCCATTTGGGGAGGGTTGGTGGAGACATCAATGACCAATTCAAGGATATGAGTTGCTAAATGATATTTTCTATGTTCTTTGCAACTTAGTTCTTCATTCAAAGCCAGTTAGGTAGGGACACCTATGTAGGTGGTTACATGCTCCAGTGATGGGTTAGTAATGCTGTTGTTCTAATGATTGTTATGCATAAATCTTCAGCAGATTTTTCCCTTGTGCTGTATTAGGTTGTAGGCATACTCTGTCTAAAACTTTATTCTTTTCATTATCCCCACGCTTCTCTGAAAAAATAGATATGTTTATCTATAAATGACATTTGTGATCTTACCTGTTGGTTGTCAAGATTCATCAATGTGAGACTGCATGTTGAGATGGTCAGTTTTATATTCATTCCTGAAAACTGAAGATTACTTTTGCCAAGGACTGTTGATAGGAACTTAACTGGAGGCTTTAAAAATTAAAGAAGAAAAACAAAACACTGTTAGGAATTTTGTTACAGAATAAATGTTAATGTTTTTTAAATGTTAAAAATGAGTCAAAGTCCAAACTCTTCCTCTCTATTTTACTTTATGTAAATCAAATGAAAGGGAATGGTTTTTATTAAATAAACTTTTTTTTAAATTAGGATGCAGCGAATTCTTTATTAAGTAGTGAAATTTAGGCCCTCAGAACTTTCTCATAGTTTCTCTCCTCCCCAGGTGCTGGGAGTGGGCTCCTGCTTTAATGTAAACAAATTCCTGTGAGAGTTTAGACCAGCTGAACTCTTGAGTCCTTTTCAATACTACAAATCTAAAAAAAGAAAAATTTGACAATCCACTGAATCTAATGCCACAGAAGGCATTGATGAACTCTCCAATTACGTAACTGCTTCCTTCTCTGAGGCCATCCCTGTTCCTCCCTCATCTTTCCCTTCCCAGAGTTAAAAAGTCCTCTCTACTAGTCTAATTGTTACCTTCAGATAATCATGATGCCTGAAATTCTACCACTGGGCACCCTTTTAGGTTAAACCATTGTTTTCAGAAGGTCCCAATTGTTAAACTGAACAAATATTACTAGGAAGGGGTTAGCCCATTCCACATTAACTCATTAATAAAGATGATTTACCAGAAATTACTAATAGAGATTTAGAGGCAGATCCTGAGGAAAGGGATATGTTTTGATAAAAGTCAAAATTCTGAACCAGTCATTTCTCAAGGAGAAGAAGTGTGGGGGTGTGGTGAAGAATCATGAGAGCAGGGGGTACCCAGGAATTATAAAGAAAAGCACTGGGGTCATATGTCAGGAAAAAGGTACCAACAGGGGGGCGAGAGGCTGGGCTGGCAGATTTCCTCAGGCAGAAATGCCACTTACCAACTGATGACCTTAGACAAATAAACTTTCTAAGCCTCAAATTCCTTTTATATAAAATGTGGGGGGAAAAACAGTAGCCACCTCATAAGGGCTGTTGTGAAGATTAAATAATAACTAGAGAACATTTAGCATAGTATTTGGCTGGTTACATGAGAGCTGTTATTATTATTATTACTTATTTTTGCCCTTCCTAACATTAAAAATTCTAAGAAATCATTTGAGAGATTTGAATGCTTTGATGGATGCTTGGATTAAGTCCTGAAATCCTCTACTGGAAAGTGGACCAGATGATGGAAATCAGTAATTCCTCAGCATATGAATCAATACTTTAAGGCAATCAATGAAAACACAATTTGTTTCTTTCCTAGTTTTGCTTTTATATTACTCTCATTTGATTCATTCTGGAGCCATACCAAACTGTTAAACACACACTGTTGAAATTTAATGTACAGTTTTATTTTTAATTCCAAGCACATTCTAAAATGTAGTGCAAACAGTGTGAGGAAGGAGCCCTCAACCTCACAGCTATCACCACATCATAAAGCTGACTCTTGGTCTACTTTCTTTGCTTCTTACACAGCTCTGGGCAAAGCGAGCCACACAGTTCAGGGATTTTGTGTTCCCACAGTGATTTTATTTAACAGCAAGCTGCTCATTTGCTTCTCTAGAGTTTCTTTTCCATGCTAGTTTAAAAAATATTATTGTGAGGCTGGGTGCGGTGGCTCACGCCTGTAATCCCAGCACTCTGGGAGGCCGAGGTGAGCAGATCATGAAGTCAGGAGTTCGAGACCAGCGTGACCAACATGGTGAAACCCCGTCTCTACTAAAAACACAAAAATTAGCCAGGCGTGGTGGCGCATGCCTGTAATCCCAGCTACTGAGGAGGCTGAGGTAGGAGAATCGCTTGAACCTGGGAGGCGGAGGTCACAGTGAGCCAAGATTGGGCCACTGTACTCCAGCCTGGGCGACAGAGCAAGACTGTCTCAAAATATATATATATATATTATTATGAAATACAAATTAAATTATAACACTGTCTCACAGTCGAAAAGCATTTTGTTATCTGTAAAGAACTTTTACGTAAATCATCTTAATTTTGTTCTCACCATAACCTTAATCTCGTGAGAAATGTCCAAAATGTATTTATTATATAGGAGACAAAGTCTTTCATGCCATCATTAGAAATGTCCTAACAGTTAAAAGACCGATGGAAGAAAAAGGAGCGGAAAGCACACAGGATGGGCAGTGAGGCAACTGGAATTCAAGTCCCAGGTTTGATCCTAACTTGTCAAGGGACCTTAGACAACTCCGGAACCCCCTCAATGTTTTTGTTTACCAAACAGGATTAATACTACTATCACTTCCATTCTTCCACCTCTAGCCATGGGAATCTTAGGAGAATCAAATTTAGTATTAATAATAAAGTATATGGAAATGCATAGTATACAGCGAAGTGCTAACAAACTGTAGTGGTTATAATTACTACTTTTAAAATGAATTTTGGCAATTTTGCTGTAGGATTTCTCCTTCGAGAAAGAGAAACTGCAGACCCTGGCCTTGGGAGAGGTCATTATGGGAATGAGAGGAGAAGGGAACAGAAAGAGAAGGCTGAGGATGGGATACTGACCAAATTTTACTAAAGAGTGGAGGCAGGCCTGGCAGAGGTGCTTATCCACATTTTACAAACGAGAAAAGTATTAAGATAGGGAAACATTAATTGACTATATCTGGGTCAATTTATTTGTACTGACATAGCAGCCTAGCTCTTCTACTCTATGTCGCATAGTCTCTCAGGAACCCCCAGTTCTTTTGGTTATTCATTAACTTTTAGACTTCAAAACTCATGGGAGATCACATAAATGAATAAATCATTTTTCCATTAGCACTCCAAACTGCTAATGATGCAGTATCTAACAGATCTAAAGAAATCAAACAAAGATCTGACTATATTCAACTGGTCCTAAATCGTTTTTGGCTCCCTCCCCCCAGGGCAGATGCTTGGCAAGGAAGCAGATAACATTGTGATTAAGTGTGTAAATGCTGGAGCCTGCCTGGGCTTGACCTAGCTCCTCCATACACTGACTGGGCCACTAAGCAAGTTACTTAACCTCTCAGGGCCCCAGTTTCCTCATCTGTAAAATGGGGATAAATAATAACACTAGTGGCTAGGTTTTTTGTGATGATTAACAAAGTATAAAAACCACCGCATACCAAAACTTATGGGATGCAGTGAAAACAGTGAGTGCTAGGAGGAAAAATCATAGATATAAACACTTTTATTTAAAAAGCAGAAAGGTCTTAAGTCAAAAACCTAACATTGTAACTTAAGGAACTAGAAAAAAACAAAAGCCAAAGCTAGCAGAAGGAAGGAAATCATAAAGATTAGAACACAGATAAAATAAATAGAAAATAGAAAAATAGATAAAATTAATTAAACCAAAAGTTGGTTCTCCCAAAAGATCGACAAAACTGACAAACCTTTAGCTAGATGAACTAAGGCAAAAAAGAGAAAAGACTCAAATTACTAAAATCAGAAATGAAAGTGAAGACATTACTACCAATTCTATAGAAATAAAAAGGATTGTAAGAGACTACTGTGAACAATTGTATGCCAACAAATTGGAGAATCTAGATGAAATGGACAAATTCCTAGAATACCTATCAAGATGAAATCATAAAGAAACTGAAAATGTGAATAGGCTTGGTGAGAATATGGAGAAATTAGAACCCTTGTGCATTATTGGTGGGAATGTAAAATGATACAGCTGCTGTAGAAAACAGTATGGCAGTTCCTAAAAAAATTAAAAAATAGAATAACCACATGATCCAGCCATTCTACTTCTGGGTATATACCCAAAATAATTGAAAGGAAGGTCTCTAAAAGATTTTGTAACTCATGTTCATAGCAGCATTATTCATAATAGCTAAGCTGTGGAAGCAACCCGGTGTCCATCTACAGATGAATAGATAAGCAAAATGGGTATATACATACAATGCAAAATTATTCAGCCATAAAAAGGAAGTAAATTCTGACATCTGCTATGACATGGATGAACCTTGAGGACATTATGCTAAGTGAATTAAGCCAGTCATAAAAGGACCAATACTGTATGATTCCACTCATATGAAGTACCTAGAGTACTCAAAATCATAGAGACAGAAAGTAGAATTTTGGTTGCCAGGGGCCGGGGCGATAGGGGACTGGGGAGTTCTTGTTTAATGTGTAGAGTTTCAGTTTTGCAAGATCAAAAGAGTTCTAAAGATGGATGATGGCGATGGCTGCACAAAAATATGAATGTACTTAATACCACTGAACTGTACACTTAAAAAGGGTTAAGATGAGGCTGGGAGTGGTAGCTCACACCTATGATCCCAGCACTTTGGGAGGCTGAGATGGGCAGATCACTTGAGGCCAGGGAGTTAGAGACCAGCCTGGCCAAAATGGTAAAACCTCATTTCTACTAAAAATACAAAAATCAGCCAGGCATGGTGGCACATGATTGCAATCCCAGATACTCGGGAGGCTGAGGCATTGAGAATCGTTTGAACCCCCAGGAGGCAGAG
This sequence comes from Homo sapiens, assembly GCF_000001405.40. NCBI lineage: Eukaryota > Metazoa > Chordata > Mammalia > Primates > Hominidae > Homo > Homo sapiens. Next base: position 48,888,834 of record NC_000015.10, read on the forward strand.
GTTGCAGTGAGCCACTGCACTCCAGCCTGGGTGACAGAGTGAAACTGTCAAAAAAAAAAAAAAAAAAAAAGTTAAGATGGTAAATTTTATGTTATGGATATTTTACCACAATAAAGTGGAGAGAAAAGAAAAGAAAAAAGCCTAAAGTGCTGGAAAGAGTCCCTGGCTCATACTAAGTACTCAATACATGCCAGCTGTTGAAGGAAACTAGCTGCTTTTCTGTTTTTCTCTGCAAGTGTACTTTCCGGATAGATGATAGCCAGGTTTGCTCTGTTTTATTTTGGGATGGGGAATCCCTGCTCCTTAAATGAGAATATCTTGCCTGGTAGCTGGAATCATCCAGTTGAAGCATCCTAATCAGAAATTATGAGAAGCAGGAAGAGGTTAGAGATTACTTTGGAACCATGGGTTCTGTGAAAGAAACTAGTCAAAGGGAGTCCTTGATGGAATTTAAGAGCCATTTGTCAGAATGTTTCATACCGTGTGGATTCTCTAGGTGACACTGGGTTCAGCCCTATGTAATATAATGAAGAATGATAACCAAAAATGGGGCAGAATGGTATAGAAATAGAGCCCTAAGCTGGGAATCTGAAGACTTGGCTTCTACAGCTGGCTCTGACCTTAATCATCCTAGTGACTCAGGCAAATATCATCTCTTGTCTCAGACTCAGTTTAGTAGCTGGCAAAATGAAAAGGTTAGACCAGAAGATCTCTTAAAAAACCCTTCTCCGCCGGGTGCGGTGGCTCACGCCTGTGGCCCCAGCACTTTGGTAGGCCGAGGCAGGCGGATCATGAGGTCAGGAGATCAAGACCATCCTGGCTAACACAGTGAAACCCCGTCTCTACTAAAAATACAAAAAATTAGCCGGGTGTGGTGGCGGGCTCCTGTGGTCCCAGCTACTCGGGGGGCTGAGGCAGGAGAATGGCTTGAATCCGGGAGGCGGAGCTTGCAGTGAGCCGAGATCGCACCATTGCACTCCAACCTGGGCAACAGAGCGAGACTCCGTCTCAAAAACAAAAAACAAAACAAAAACAAAAAACCCTTCCCTTAAACAGTCTGCAATTCTATATGATTTATATAGTTATCTCAAGAGCTTTTGCATTGGCCCTTTGGACTTTTCAAACCAACAAAATATTCTAGGGCTCATAGCTTAATAGCAATAATACTAGCTACCATTAACACAGAAAGTGTAATAGATGCCAGACGCTGTGGTAGATAGTATGTAGACATCACTTCGTTTATTTCTTACATAACTCTATAAAGTAAGTGCTATTTTCTCCCATTTTACAGATGAGTAAACCAAGGATCCAAGAGGTTAAGTAACTTGTCCAAGAGTACACCATTTGTAGGTGGCTGAGGCAGGACTTTAATCCGAGTCTGTCTAACATCAAAACTTTTGCTTTCTTTCCACAGGGAAAGCTACTGTACCCATGTGCTATTACCTCACCTTTACCACTATCCATATTTATACTAGAAAATAGGCCAGGAAGCCTAAAAAGTCTAAAATGTTATAATGCAGAATACATACATTATAAAATGTGGAAATTGGAAGGCACTAAACTGGCCATTTAGTGCAACTCCCTAACTCCACAGGAAATAAGAACAGAGTCTCAGCAAGATGAGATCCCATGCTCACTGGTCAGTAACAGCCAACTCTGGCACCCTACATTTCTGACATAAAGCCCAGGGCTTTCTCCCCTCTGCAGCTGGAGGTATCACCACGTCGGACAGTGTCAGGCAACTCGGAAAGATTTGAGGGACAAGAGCAGTTTTGAGTGCAGCTCTGATATCACGCCACCTAATAAAGGCCAGGCTGGACCTTGGTCATATGGTGGGATGAACGAACAGCGATTTTCATACTATCTTTGCCATAATTAGGGAAACATAAACAAGAAAACCACATCATCATTTACCTTTCGCTTTTTAATGGCTCCATTTGCCCCGGGGACAGCTTCACACAGGCGACTTATTGCTTCCCTAAAGAACAGAAACCATATAAATAAAGACTTAGCATACTACCTCCACACAGTAAGTGTTTAAGAAATGTTAGAAATTATCACGACCAAAAAGTACACATACATAATAGTGAGTCTAACACAAATGGTATTCTCCCAGCCCCACAGGAGGAAATGCTGTACTTACTCCTTCTGCAGGAAAACCTAGCAGCACCCTAATACTGAGCAATTGCTTTACAACAAGGAGCTCTACTATTCGCTTTTTTCATCTCTGTTTTTCCTTGGGTTTTCAGATTTTGTTTATTGTGTTGTTGATTTTTAACCAAAAAGGAGGGGCAGGGCATTGTCATCTGGAAATACTTCGCAGTTTTATCTTTAGCAAAATCATCTCTGTAATGTTATGAATAAAAAGCTTCATAGTATCTCAGAACTAAAGACAATTAAATGCAAAAAGAACCTGACACGAGAAAATTTAAAAGGATCGGGAGAACGTTGAACTTCAAGGTGGTCTCAAATGGAGTTTTATTGACTAGGTTGCTGCTGCGAGCCATTGAGCTTTCATGTAATTTCACAGAAGAAAAGAAATCAATATCAAATTTCCTCCTTTGCTTACTTTTCTGCCCTTCCTATATATTGCACTTCCTGAGAGAAAGGCACCGCTAAAATAAGTAGTTGCTCCTTAATGGAAGTGGTGAAGAAACTGGCGCCCTCCTTTCCAGAAATGCAGTTATAACTAAAAGCTTTTGTCTCTGGGACTCTGAGCATTCATAACTGCCCAAGCTTTCACTCTGTGTAATTTGAACCTTAGCCTTGTGGCTTTGAACACATATATTAAACTTCTCACAAGGCAAATGGAAATCTCTTCTGGATTCCCCAGAGATCATTGTTTAAATTAATAAACTATATTCTCTCACACACACACCAATACACATACACATGCAACATTGTATTATAGTTTTTATATATATTATATTTCACAATAATATTTTCTATAGTTTCGATTCCCAAAGGAAGTGGGGAGAGGTCAGAGAGAGGAATGCAGACCCATTTTTGTTTTGTTTTGTTTTGTTTTGTTTTTGTTTTGAGACGGAGTCTCGCTCTGTCGCCCAGGCTGGAGTGCAGTGGCGCGATCTCAGCTCACTGCAAGCTCCGCTTCCCGGGTTCATGCCATTCTCCTGCCTCAGCCTCCCGAGTAGCTGGGACAACAGGCGCCCACCAACACGCCCGGTTAATTTTTTTGTATTTTTAGTAGAGATGGGGTTTCACCGTGTTAGCCAGGATGGTCTCGATCTCCTGACCTCGTTATCCGCCCGCCTCGGCCTCCTAAAGTGTTGGGACTACAGGCGTGAGCCACCGCGCCCGGCCATGCAGACCCATTTTTAAAACTACAGCTATGATATTTTGTAGTGCAGAGCGATGTTCTTCTAGAAAATACTTTTGAAAGATAAGCAGAATTCCCAAAGATTCTAGGCATTATTTTGCACTTATAATGTATGTTTTAGCTCAGATCATTTTTTCTATATAAATGAAACTCTTCTTCAAGGTATTATCTTGTCTGATTTTTGCATAATTATCTGCAACCAAAGGATAGAATGGATCTTTGGTTAGCATATATTCTCAGAATTTCATATTTATTGTTTCTCTAGGATTCTATCCTTTGTTCTCTGGAGTCAAATAGAAGGATAACACAGATAGTTGGGCCCTCTGGCTTGGTTGGTTGATTGACATTTTGAGTCATCTTAATGACTACTCAATAATTGATAAGACTCATATTATTAATCCAAATTGGCACTGATACTGCCGAAATAGCTAGTCCAGGCACCCCACTCTATTGACAGTATTTAATAAAGAGGTATTATAAGATAGGGCAGATCCTTTAATCCATGAGAGTGATTTGGATGTTTTGGTCTAAAAATACAAAAAATTAGCCAGGCATGGTGGCAGGCACCAGTAATCCCAGCTACTTGGGAGGCTGAGGCAGGAGAATCTCTTGAAGCCGAGAGGCAGAGGTTGCAGTGAGCTGAGATCACGCCATTGCACTCCAGCCTGGGCAAAAAGAGCAAAACTCCGTCTCAAAAAAAAAAAAAAAAAAGTTGACTATAAATGATATGAACTTAAAGTAAAAACAAAGGTGGATATTGATGCTGCCAAATATAATAACAACAATAATAAAAATATAACAATAATTATATGCCAAATATAGTAACTTTTTACTAGAAGTTGTTACTTTTATATAGCATCTTGTAATTTCACAAACTGTTTTCCCACACGTTTGTTTTCTTGATTCTCACACCAATTATCAATATCTTCTAACAAAAAGTAATGCAGTGAATTGAAGCTGAAGGGAATACTTTACAGCATGAATACCTCTCAAGGAGGTTTTGAAAGGATGAACCTTCCTGGCAGGGAGGGGATTGGAAATTCTAGACAGACAGAAGAACATAGGTGAAGACACCAAAACACAAAGTATCATGATATGAGGGGAATTACAGGTACTTTGATATTGCTGGAGCATAACATATGGTAGTAGAAGAGTGAATATTAACTAAGAAATAAGAGTCTAAAAACTGTTTCTGTGAAGTGCCAGACGGTAAATATTTCAGACTTTGCTCTTTTGCAAGTACTCAACTCTGCCATTGTAGCACAAAAAGCAGCCTTAGCCAATATGTAGACAAGTGAGCATGGCTGTGTTCCAATAAAACTTTATTTATAGAAACTGAAGGCTGGCCAGATTTGGCCCATGGGCCATAGTTTGTTGACCCCTGGATCCGATAATTCACACAAAAGGAGGGAGAAATCATTTGGCTTTTTAAGACGGGAAAATATTCACATTCATTATAATTTTAAAATTGAAAATTAAAACAACAAGATACTTCACTCATATTAAATTAGGAAAAAAGATACAAAACCCAGTGTTGGAAAAGATGGGAAATATTCTGCTTTAGGCATATTTATCCATTGCCAGGGGCCTTGGTTAGTATTAATACAATCTGAGAGTAATTTGGTAAAAGTTGACAAATGTCAAAATTTATCAGAGCACAGGTGGGGCGTGGTGGCACATACTTGTAGTCCCAGCTACTTGGAAGGATTGCTTGAGCCCAGGAGTTCAAGGCTGCAGTGCCACTGCACTCCCACCTGGGTGACAGAGCGAGGCCCTGCCTCTAAAAACAATTTGTTTAAATAACTTATTACAAACTTCGACAAGGTGGGGAGAAGCCTGTATTGGGATAGCATTGAGTATATAAGTAAAAGAAACACTTCAAGTAAGAAACCAACCCGAAGTCTTGTGATATAGAGATAAAACATATCAAAATAAATATTGCCACTCGGACTATAGAAATATGAAGAAGTCTATATAAATTAGTGTGAAAAAGTAGAACTTGCAACAGTATGTACACATTGGTAGCAGCTATACAAAATTAATCCTGTGTCAATAGTAATATAGAAAGAGCTTGTAAACTATGGCTTGGTTTTAGGTGCTTTTTTTGTGGTTTGCTATTTTGTTTCTGATTCTACCGATGTTTAGATATAAACAAGGTAAACAATGTTATGTTTTACTTTCATTGTGCACTTGATCGGATAAGTAATCCTTTAAAATATTGAAAATAATGCAGAGTAAGTTCCTTCAGCAGGAGTTTTGCTAGTGTGAGGCAAAGGTGTTGAGATGTGAAGGCACATCAAAGATGTCCCAATGGAGAGGTGACACCCATAGAGAGACGGGACAATGTTCCTGTTATGGATACTAACAGATGTTCTTTATTTCTCTCTCTGCTCCCATTCCAGCTTAGCTTTTAACCCCTCCATCTTTGTAGCCACTAAATCCAGATTTCCTTTTTCAGTTTTTTAAGTAGAGTTACCTGTTTCTATTCCCAAAAGTTTCATAAAGATAAAAAATCTTGAGCACGTTTAGTAAAGCCTTTTAGAATGGTGCACCTTGCAGTAGCAGGGAGCCCGAGTTTCAGTGAAAGAACAGCCTCTATTTATATTTATTTATTTAATTTTTTTGCTTTTGTAGAGATGGGGGTCTCACTCTGTTGCCAGGTTGGAGTGCAGTGGTGGGATCATAGCTCAATGCAGCCTCAACCTCCTTGGGTTCAAGCAGTCCTCCCACCTCAACCTCCCCTGTGGCTGGGACCACTACAACTGGCAAAAACCGCCACAATTAGCTAATTTTTTCTTTTCCTTTTTTATTTTTTGTAGAGACAGGGTCTCCCTATGTTGCCTGGGTTGGTCTTGAACTCCTGGGCTCAAGTGAGTCTCCCACCTCAGCCTCCCAAAGTGCTGGGATTAGAGGTGTGAGCCACAGCTCCTGGCCAGCCCCTATTTACTGAGCACTCTTTATGGTCAGGCCCAGAAGTGAGCACCTTATGTACATCATTTCATTGAGTCATAACAGTACCATTCCAAGGTATGGACTTTACCCTCATTTTACCAATGAGGATAATAAAGTTCAAATAATTTAAATAACTGTACAAATAACGCAATTGACAGTGAGAGAGACAGAATGCAAATCCAGTTCTGACTTCAAAACCCACAAGCACCGGGGAGGAACCATATTGCCAGATGGATAAAAAGGAGGGAGTCCTAGGCTCCAGAGACTAGGGAAAGTAGTATATTGACTGTCCTTCCCTTGTTCACTCCCCTAACATAGTGAGGCGCAGCTCTTTGGCCAATCGTTAATACCCGCGTGGCTGGTAAACTACCCAGGCAAAAGGACAAAGTGGTAGGGGCTGACTCTAGAAAAGGCTTACTCGGATGCCCCTGCCCTTCCCCAGCCCTCTGCTGTCTATGGCTGGCTGCCACCTCCTGGAAGAAACGAGCATCTGGAGCCAGGCTGTGCCCACCTGGGCAAACACATATGAGTGTGCACTCACACGCTCACTCAGAACTGTATATTTGAGGCATGTGAGGCTTTACAGAGCGCCCAAAATCTCTTGATATACAAAACTCTGCTCAAAAGAAAAAAAGGGGAAAACTTGTGCTTATGAACTTGCTTTAAAAAGTAATAATTAGCCAGGCACAGTGGCTCATGCCTGTAATCCCACCACTTAGGGAGGCCGAGGCAGGAGTATCCCTCAAGTCCAGGACTTCGAGACCAACTGGACAACATGGTGAGTCCTTGTGTCCACAAAAATATATATATTTTTAAATTGCCAGGCACAGCAGTGCACACCTGTGGCCACAGCTACCCAGGAGCCCGATGCAGGAGGATTGCTTGAGCCTAGGAGTTCAAGGCTGCAGTGAGTTAGGATCACATTACTGCACTCCAGTCTGGGCGACAGAGCAAGATCCTGTCTCAAAAAAAATAGTAGTTATTAATTTTTTGAATTGGAGACTCTAAGATGAGCCATGCCTCTCTCCAGTAAAAGACCTATTTGTACAAACTTTCCTTCTTTCTTTTTCTTTCTTTCTTTCTTCCTTTCTTTCTCTCTCTCTCCCTCCCTCCCTCCCTCTCTCTTTCTCTCTCTCTCCCTCCCTCTCCCTCTCTCTCTCTCTCTCTCCCTCCCTCTCCCTCTCTCTCTCTTTCTTTTCTTTCTTTTTTTTTTTTTGAGACGGAGTCTCACTCTGTCGGCCAGGCTGGAGTTCAATGGCATGATCTCAGCTCACTGCAACCTCCGCCTCTAGGGTTCAAGCGATTCTCCTGCCTCAGCCTCCCAAGTAGCTGGAATTACAGGTGCCTGCCACCATGCCCGGCTAATTTTTGTATTTTTAGTAGAGATGGGATTTCGCCACATTGGCCAGGCTGGTCTCAAACTCCTGACCTCAGGTGATCTGCCCGCCTGGCCTTTCAAAGTGCTGGGATTACAGACATGAGCCACCGCGCCCAGCCTGTACAAACTTTTCTATTCCATTTAAGAAGGTCCACTCCTCACCCCAAAGCTCCCCAAAACATTCTGTGGACCTCTTAGAAATTACAGATCCCAGGTTAAGAAATACTGCTTTAAATTAACCTCTCAAATTCTGCTGGCCTTGCTGATAGCAGCGTTAACAAATCTCCTGAAATCCCAGCAAGGACAGGCAGATAGATGCCTACATTTTGTTGCTTTTGTTCACAAAGATCTTTTCTTCCCCTGCTACTGGGACCAAGACATTAACTGTAACATTTTCAAGAACAAATAGTACTTTCAGTGCTTTTCTGGAGTCTCAGCCACACCCTTGGGCCAACTTTACAAATGCCGAGGAGAAAGAAAAAGAAAACAGAGTTGAGAGCGATTTCTCCTGGGGCTCAGGGGGTCCCCGCCATTCTTGCAGCCCAAGCAGCTGCGCTCCTGCAGAACCTTTTTGGAGCTGAGTGGCGGTGAGACTTTCTCCAGCTAGCAAACATTCAGCAAGTGTCTGCTCTTAGAGGAGCAGAAATTTTGGGGTTTCAGTGGCTAAAGATTTCCATCCTGGGAGCCTGTATTAGAAAGAAAGAGAAACGCCCCAGAGCACCAACAGTGGCCACTTTGTTTATTGTTTCGCCACATGAGAGAGAAGGGGAGAAGTGGGCTGATGTAAGAGAATGAGAATGCCGTGGAAGATTTGCTTTTAAGCATATAAAACCCTGCCTACGCCATAAGACCAAAAAAAGATATTTTGTCTGTCTTAACAGAGTCCAAACTAATCATCCAAACAAAGCCACCTTTCTTCATCAACTCCTGGCCACTACAACACTTAAGTTATAATTCTTCTGTGTTTTTAACCCTTAAACAGTTAAGCTCCTCTGGAAGCAATGTCGCCACACACACACACACACACACACACGCACACACTTTTTTTTTTTTTAAGTTTGGAAGGCAATATCACAATCCAAGACAAAGGGGAGCATTTAATGGGAGGAGAGGCTGCGCGGCAGATTTTTTCTGGTGAATGTCAAGATGCAGTTCTTCAGTAAATAGGAAAGCCAGAAAATGTGCAACATGAAACCAGGCAAAGGGGCCCAGCTGGAATGATTAAAGGCAATGATCCCCACATCCCCCACCTTCTGACACACACACACACACACACACACACACATCTATAGTCACATATGCAGTGAAGGAGTAGTTCCAGTTTTGTCCCTGCAAATAGGAATGAGAATAAAATTTTAATCACAGCAAGAGCCTTTCCAAAATAAAAAGTCAACGATACTCAGCCAAAACAAATTCACCTGCGTTTCCCAAAGGTCTTTCTTTCACTTTGCATCTCCAACGTAAGTCCTTAAAGAAATCAGTTAACAAAGTCTAAGGGACATGTTGCACCCTAAATGTCTTGGATTGCCTTCTTATTATGAATGAAGAGACTGAGTAATTCAGACTGCACATCCATGTGGTATCATGCTGTTCTCATTGTTCTAGGGAAACCAGTACCATCTTTTTTTAAATCTTTGCCTCCAGGACAGCAAGGCTCAGTGATCTATGTGTTCAATTTTGTCCAGCTTAGTGAAATTAAAGACATCCAAGAATTTGTGAAAGCCCTCAGACAGGACACTTTAGAACAGGAACCTGCCTCTGTGGCGATAAGCACACAATGAACGCAGTCAGTGCCCACAGACCAGTTGAAAATGGAAAGCCTCAGACTTGCTTTGTGCTATTATCAAGGGGCATCACCCGTGTACTCTAGGAGGGTGAACTCAGCCTCATAAAATACATCCTTTCACTTTAGAAACAGGCACCTCGGGTCCCAGGATGGTCAAATAAAACCTTTGAGTACTGCCCACAGCATTTATCCCCACACTGACTTAGTGTCCCACTCTGTTCACCTGAATTGTACTTAAAGTCTGTTTCTAAAGTACATTTGCTAGCCAACCCAGCTCAGCAACCATAGGAAATGGGTTTGTCTGTCTACTTCGTGATTCTGCCCTTTGGCTCTGATGCAAATGTGAACCCATTAATCACACTGGAATGAAGTGAAGGACCCTCTTGTCTGGAGTATCACATCTCCCCTATAACTCTCACTAGTTAACGGACATTAAGTGCTGGTTTTTTCCTGTCCCCACAGAGATTTCCTGTAATACAATCATGTATCTCAAAATTCAAACACCTACACCCACAAACTGATGGCTTATAGGCTTTATAAGTGGTTAAAGAAATGACAATAAGAAATAGAGTTGGTTTCATATAAAATACATGGGAATTTATAAATTCAAAAGATTGTTCTCCTTTAGGGTAAACTGGGCTTCTTTAAAACAACTTTGTTTTTGACAAAATATTCAAAATATTATGAAGGTGTGTCTTTTGGAGTTAAAGAGTGCACTGATGCATAATGTGGTCACTTAAAAGCCAAAGCTCATTTAGAAAAAAAAAAAAAAAAAACCGAAAACAGGTCTTACTTAGTCACCCACTTTATTCACTCAAGCTCACTCTAAGCAATGTATATCTACTTCCAAAAATTCTTCAGAGAATACTTGGAATTTTAAAGATATTTAAAACAGTTTGGCCAGGTGTGGTGGCTCACACCTGTAATCTTTGTACTTTGGGAGGCCAAGGTAGGCGGATCACTTGAGGTCAAGAGTTTGAGACCAGCCTGGCCAACATCGTGAAACCCCATCTCTAGTAAAAATACAAAAATTAGCTGGGCATGGTGGTGCACATCTGTAATCCCAGCTATTAGGGAGGCTGAGGCAGGAGAATTGCTTGAACCGGGAGGTGGAGGTTGCAGTGAGCCAAGATTGTGCCATTGCACTACAACCTGGGTGACAGAGCAACCCTCCGTCTCAATAAATAAATAAATGAATAAATAAATAAACAAACAGTAAAACAGTTTGTCATACAGGTGTCTATATTACTGAGCAAGACAGCAATTGGTGTAATGAATATATTACTTCTACCACTGTTTTTTTTTTTAAATAACTCTGGTTCTTTTAAAGGCTATTTGGCAAATATGTTGTAAATTTTTTTGGGAATTCCATTTTTTTAAATGTGTGTGCACCTCTGGAAGGAACGAACAACTGGCCTACCAAGTTAATCCACCTTGACAAATAATAGTAGGACAACTTCAGCTTGCACATCCACAGAGAGTACACCATTTAGGTAAGTGGTGATCAAACTGTAAAGTTCTTAAGAATCAACTGGGTGCTGGTTAAAATACAGATTTCTAGGACTGTTCCTAGAGGTTTTGATTCTGAGGTGAGGCCTAGGAATCTACAGCTTAACAAACCTTCCAAGTGATTCTGACACAGAGTTCATGAACCACACAGCTGATTAAACCTACTTGGACTCGTTGCATTGAGTAACAGGTTCTGTGCTCTATAGCTTAGACCAGATGGTTGTGTTAGTGCGTGTTAAGGAATGAGGTCACCTCTTCCTAGAGGCTAGGCTAGGGAAGGTTACACTGTCTATACGTTTGATGATATTCCGTTCTGGGGAATTTTGTTTTCAATGTAGTCACTCTATATTCTGGGATAGATATTTGGTATAATCCTCTCTTCTCCTCTCTGCCTCCCCCATTCTCATCTCCTAAAGAAGAAGGGCTTTATGGCTGGGCGCAGTGGCTCACACCTGTAATCCCAGCACTTTGGAAGGGCTAGGTGGGAGGATGACCTGAGGTCAGGAGTTCAAGACCAGCCTGGCCAACATAGTGAAACCCCATCTCTACTAAAAATACAAAAGTAGCCGGAAGTGGTGGTGGGCACCTGTAGTCCTAGCTACTTGGGAGGCTGAGGCAGGAGAATCTCTTGAACCTGGGAGGTGGAGGTTGCAGTAAGCTGAGATCGTGCTACTGCACTCCTGCCTGGGCTACAGAGTGAGATTCCAACTCAAAAAAAAAAAAAGAAAAAAAGAAGAAGAAGAAGGGCTTTTACCAGAGGGCACATGGAGGTCCTGAACATCTTTGCTTACATCACCCTTTGCACACACAAGCAGTGAGAGAGTGGCCTGCATTCTCTCTCTTATCTGGAGGCAGCAAGGTCATCCTGGAGGCAGCAAGATCTAATCTATTTGCCCCTAAAATGCATTCAACACTCTAGGCAGTGGTTCTCAGCCTTGGCTGCACATTGGACTACACCACCAAGAATTTTACGAAGTTCTGAAGACTGGGTCTCAGCTCCAGAGATTCTGAATTAATTGGTGCCGGACAGGGCTTGGGGGTCAGAAGTTTTAAGATCTCTTCCAAATGCTTCCAACAAGGCTAAGGTTGAGAATCACTCTAGCAGCAGTTGGCAAACTTTTTCTGAAAAGGGCCAGGTAGGAAATATTTTAGCCTTTGCAGGTTATATAGTTTCTGTTACAGCTACTCAATTCTGCTGTTGTAGCTAGAAAAACAGCCATAGGCAATCCATAAACAAATGGATGTGCTTGTGTGCCAGTAACACTTATGGACACTGAAATTTGAATTCCATATGATTTTCATGTGTCACAAAATATTCTTTTGGGGTGTTTTTTCCAACCATTTAAAAATTGTCAAAACCATTCTTGGCTGACAAGGTGGCAAAATCGAAATCAGGTAGCAGGTGGGATTTGGCCTGCAGGCTGTTGTTCTCTGACTCTTGCTCTAAAGCAAACCGGAAACAAATGTAAGAGGCTTTGGGGTCGTGGTCAGTTATTAGCTTGTGCATGGTGCAAAGCTTATTAGAGTGTAATCTTTTGCAAGGATTGTTTATACATATTTTGAACTTTGTCTTGTTCGGTTTCTTGGTACAGGAAGTTGGGTATTATAAGAAAGGGGTCTTTCCCTATGTCAGTATAAGAATTATGGGACTCCCTTTACGCTGTAAATTATTGTTTTTCCATTCTTTTATTCTAACAGCACTCAGTAGAGGCAGATGGAAACAAATTATTTTTTCCTTTTAATTATCATCTAACCTTCATTAAGTGATACTATGTACATGAAACAGTGCAAAGTGTTTGGGCAAGCAATACAGAAATAAACAAAAGTGCAAAATTATAGTAACTGTTAAAATTTGATGGCTTTATCTATAACTCTACTTTCTAATGATAATAGAAAGTGAGGAAAAGCTAGTCAGGTAGACTCTGCAGTTAGCCAGAGTTCAAAATCTAGCTGTCTCTTACAATCTCTGTCACCCTGAACAAGTTTTTAAAGCTCTCTATGTCTCAATTCCTTAAATATAAAAAGTAAGAATAATAATAGTGCTTTGAACAGTACCTCAGTAAATGCTAGCCATTATTA